>NC_000010.11:25635000-26260000 GCF_000001405.40 Homo sapiens | reverse complement strand
ATTATATCTAGGTTCTTTTATTTGCTTATTTTTCTACAATGAATATGTGTGGCTTCCGGAATAGGAGAATTATGTTGTCATTCTTATTTTTAAAAAGCAGCCATCTCTTATACAACAAAATACAAATTAACTCAAAATACATCAGAGATCTAAATGTAAGAACCAAAACTATAAAACTCTTAGAAGAAAACATAGGACAAAACATTCATAACATTGGATTTGGCAATGATTTCTTGGACATCATACCAAAGGTTCAGGCAACAAAAGAAAAAAATAGAAAAATTTGACTTCATGAGCATTAAAAACTTGTACAACAAAAGATACTATCAACAGAGTAAGAAGGAAACTCACAGAATGGGAGAATATATTTGCAAATTATATATCTGATAAAGGATTAATATCTAGAATAAAGAAGTCCTAAAACTCAACAACAACAATAACAAAACCAATCCAAAAGACCTGAGTAAGCATTTCTCCAAAAACAGTATACAAATGTCCACTAAGCACATGAAAAAAAAATCCTCAACACCACTAATCATCAGGGAAATGCAAATGAAAACCACAATGAAATACCACTGCATACCCATAAAGAGGCTGCTATGAAAAACAAGCAAACGAACCAAAAACCCAAAAAATAACAAGTGGTGGTGAGGATGTGAAGAAATTGGAACCCTGTGTACTGCTGGCAGGAATGTAAAATGATAAACAGTTGAGGAAAAAGTATGATGGTTCCTCAAAAAATTAAAGATAGAATTACCATGTGATCCAGCAATTCAACTGTTAGGTATCTACTCCAAAATAATTGAAAGCAGAGTCTTGAAGATGTAATTTTTCAGCCCATATTCATTGCAGCGTTATTCCTATTAGTCAATGGTGGAAGTAAGGCTGGGCACAGTGGCTCACGCCTGTAATCCCAGCACTTTGGGAGGCTGAGGTGGGTGGATCACCTGAGGTCAGGGGTTTGAGACCAGCCTGACCAATATGGTGAAACCCTGTCTCTACTAAAAATACAAAAATTAGCTAGGCATGGTGGCGTGCACCTGTAGTCCCAGCTAAGTACTTGGGAGGCTGAGGCAGGAAATTCGCTTGAACCTGGAAGGCAAAAGTTGCAGTAAGCCAAGATTGTGCCATTGCACTCCAGCCTCGGTGACAGAGTGAGACTCTGTCTCAAAGAAAAAAAAAAAAAAATTGGTGGAAGCAACCCAAGTAAGTACGCATAAATGGATGAACGGATAAACAAAATGTGATCTACACATACGATGGAATATTATTCAGCCTTAAAAAGGAAGGAAATTCTAACACATGCTACAACATGGATGAACCTTGAGGACATTGTGAAATAGACAAGTTACAAAAAGTCGAATCCTGTATGATTCCATTCATGTGAGTGAGGTACCCATAGTAGTAAAATTCGTAGAGACAGTGGAGTGGACGTTTCCTGGGGATAGTGGGGAGGGGGTGGTAGGGAGTTAGTGTTAAATGAGCACGGAATTTCAATTTTGCAATGTGAGAAGAGTTCTGGAGATGAATATTGATGATGGTTGCACGACAATATGTGTATTTCACACCACTGAAATGCACAATTAAAAATGGCTCAGATCGGAAATTTTATGTTATGTGTATTTTATCACAATAAAAAAGGAGCTCTGTTTAAACTAATGAACACTAAGGGTTCTCTTCTGAGTCCACACCCTGACTCTTCACTTACAAGCCATGTGATGTTAGACATATCCCCTGTGAGGGGCTATGATAGAAAACTTGTCATACTGTTTAAAACTGTTGTTTGTAAACTATGTTAGCACCAGATAAATGTGAAAGAATATACTATTTTGTGTCTCTAATTAAATGAATTAATTAGGTCAATTTTGTAAAGTGGCTAGAGCTGTGCCTGGCACGGCATAAACTCTCAATCAGTGTCAGCTGTTATTATAGTCCTTCCTGAGATAGGGCAGAATGAAGTACACACAGGACTAGCATCCCTGAGTTCTCTGCATCTACACCCACAGGAAATATGCCACTCAGAGGGCTTCCCACAGCCCTGCTCAGGAATAATCGATTCGGTGTCTCTGTGAAGTCTATCCCACTACAATGCGCTGAACAGCTTCCCAAGGACCCGAAAGAGTTAATTAGCATCCCTAACGACCCCTCAGGCACTGGTTACAATTCAGCTAATTTAACAAAAGAATATAATGACCCCAGGTTATTTATACTTTCAATTGTTTAAATCAATTGTATGATAAAGTGTGGTACTAAAAAGCACAGGGAAGTGTAGTCTAACTGTAATTTATAAAGCTGGAGTGATACGTTTAAAAGAAAGGCTAAAATGTATATAAATGTACTAGTAGCTAATACCTACTAGTAGTAGGTATAAAAGTATTAATCAAAATGGCTAACAGATTTCTTGTGTTACATGGGAGCTAGGAAAGCCAATGACTCTTGTAGTCCTATGCCACTAGGTATCATGCGTCTTGGTCAGATTTATTTTCTGTAAGGTTTTACAACAAATTATGAGTAATTCAGATAATGGCAGGGGTACCCTGAGGGGAGGAGAAAGAGGTGAATGGAAGAGAGCAGGGAGAATGAGTGGAAGAAGGTGCTAGAGCATATTAATTTGTTCTTTTCTTGAGACGGAATCTCGCTCTGTCTCCCAGGCTGGAGGGCAGTGGTGCAATCTTGGCTCACTGCAACCTCTGCCTCCCGGGTTCAAGTGATTTTCCTGCCTCAGCCTCCCAAGTAGCTGGGATTACAGGTGCCCACCACCATGCCTGGCTAATTTTTGTATTTTTGGTAGAGATGGGGTTTCACCACGTTGGTTAGGCTGGTCTTGAACTCCTGACCTCAGGTGATATGCCTGCCTCAGCCTCCTAAACTGCTGCATTACAGACATGAGCCACCGCACCCAGCCGAGCATATTAATTTCTAAAAATAGTTTTGAGTCCATACTGATAATAAATGAGAGACAGCAAGAGAGAGAACAAAAAGACAAAATCTCTTCCCTACAGTGGAATGAAAGGACTAATAAATACAGAAGGAATGACGGAGTTAGAAAATTACTGTTCTGCAACCATCACAACAATAATTCAGGGAAAAATCATCAGTAGATGCTAAACTAGTGGGTGAACATTTCAGAAGCAACGGGGTATTTATGCTGACACAAAGCATCCCCTGCAAGATACTTATTAACTGCAAAGGAGAAAATAGTCATTT
The DNA here is from genome assembly GCF_000001405.40 of Homo sapiens. Taxonomy (NCBI): domain Eukaryota; kingdom Metazoa; phylum Chordata; class Mammalia; order Primates; family Hominidae; genus Homo; species Homo sapiens. The sequence continues at coordinate 26,256,793 of NC_000010.11, read as the reverse complement.
CATAGCGGAGTGACCTGGCAGACACTGCCTTCACCAAAAAATCAAAGTTGATATTACTGATAATGAGACCAACCTCCAGATGAGATGCACTCAAGAAAGCCAAACTTCACCTCCTGAAAGTCCTAAGCCAAATGCATCACTTGAATCTAATCATGGGAAAACACCAGATGAATCCAAATCACCTGCAAACTAAATGGTCTCTACTCATAAAAAACATCAATGTCATGAGAGACAAAGGCAGGCAGAGGAAACATTGCAGATTAAAGGGGACCAAAGAGACATGACAACTAAATGCCACGTGTGATCCCGGACTGGGAAAGATAGCTATAATGGATACTATTGGGACAACTGAAGAAACGAATAAGGTATGTACATTTAATAATAGTATTCTATCTATGTCACATTTCCTGATTTTCATAATTGGCCTGTGATTGTGTAAGTGAATATCCTTGTTTTTAGGAAACATACATTGAGATATTAAGGGGTAAAACAGCGTGATGTCTGCAAGGAGCTTGCAAATGGTTCTCTCTCTATATATATATATAATATGCATATATACATACATATATAATTAATACATACAATATTACACTCAATATGTAATATTGGATTTTATATACAGCATATATTGAGAGAAAGCAAATGTGTCAGACTGTTTATAACTGGTGAATCTGAGTGTAAGGTATATGAGCATTCTTTTTACTATTCCTGCAATTTTCCTTTAAATTTGAAATTATTTTAATAATACAATGTAAAAAAAAGTTGGATGAGCTAAGGTCTGAGCACCTTTCCAACTCTAAGGGTGTCTGATTTGAAAGTCATTAGCAGCTTGTCAACATAGGCTAAGCCCAGGCTGGCCCCTCCCCTCCTTCCTCCCCATCCCTCCCCAGTCCTCCTTGCACCTGCCATCACACATCACTCTCCCGTTGCTTTCTCCTCTCTGTTTCCTTCCAATTTTAGGATTTGAAATAATTTCAGAGTTTGTGTGAGCTTCTCAGGGAAAGATCCTACACAATTTTAGTCAAAAGACTAGGAAACTCAATAACGAAAATTAAACCTTTGCGATTTTTTATTTCCTTCCTTCCTTCCTTTCTTCATTCCTTCTTTCCTTGCTTCCTTCCTTCTTTCCTTCCCCTTCCCCCTCCCCTCCCCTTTTCCTTCCTTCCTCCCTCCCTTCCTTCCTTCCTTCTTTCCTTCCATAATTCACATTTCCTCTCTAGTGGGTCCTCCACCTCATAGCGAAATGGGCAGTAAGCCCCTCTCCTTTAAACAACAAAGCCAAAAGCCACCCTGGATTCAAAGCTCCCCTCCAGCTTCAGCCCTGCCTCCTCCCCTTCACGGCTCCACCTCCTGGACCTTGCCTGTATTAGTTCTCCCTTTTCTCATCTACCACTCACCTCACCCCAACCCACTGCAAATTGCCTTCTGCCCTCACCCCTCCACTGAAACTGCCCTTGCCAAACTCATCAGCCGCCTCCTTAGAAGTCATGCTGATGGGCAGTTGTTGGCCCTCATTTCACCTGTTGTAGCATTTGATTCAGCTGACCACTCCTTTCTCTGGAAACACTCTCATGGCCCTCGTGGCCCCGGTTTCTGATTCTCTGACAACTCTGGCTGCTCCTCCTCAATCTCCTTTGTAGGCTGCTCTTACTCTGCCTGTCCCTGAAGTGTGGATGCTCCTGAGAGTTCCTTCCCAGGCCACCTTCTGCACGGCCTCCCTAGTGTACCTCCTGAGCTCCAGGCCCATACTTCCACCTGCCTACCAGACACTCTCACTTCGGTGTCTCATAACCTCGTCAAACTCAGTATCTCCAAATCTGAATGGTTCACCTCAGACAGGGTCCCTTATCTCAGAGAATAGCAACGCCTGGACTTAGCTGGCAAGCCAGAAGCCTGGCATTCATCCTTGCCTCCTGTCTCAACCTGCACACCAATCAGCCAACACTTCCTGTTCATTCCAGCACTCCCTGTCCCTTGCTCTGCATCTGGTCGGCCCGCTATTCATCATCTCCCATTCATATGACTACAACATCCACCAACTTCCAGTCTCTCATCCCGCCCACTCTGCATTTAAAATAATCTTTCTAACACAAAAATATGCTGTTGTTCCCCTGCTCAAAACCCTTCAGTGATGTCCCATGTCTTTTAGTCAGAAGTCCAAACGGCTTAACATGGCTCATAAGGCCCACATGACAAGGACATTCTGACCAAGTCCTCTCTTCTTTTCAGTTCCTTGAACAAGCCAGGTTCTCTCTCACATCCATGGTTTACAACAGGGGTCCCCATTACCCGGGCCACGGACCAGTACTAATGGTGACCTGTTAGGAACCGGTCACACAGCAGGAGGTGAGCCCTGAGCCAGCATTCCCGCCTGAGCCCCGCCTCCTGTCAGATCAGCAGTGGCATTAGATTCTCATAGGAGCAGGAACCCTGCTGTGAACTGCGGATGTGAGGGATCTAGGTTGTGTGCTTCTTGTGATAATCTAACTAATGTTTTGGGAGGTCGAGGCGGGCAGATCACCTGAGGTCAGGAGTTCAAGACCAGCCTAGCCAACATGGTGAAACCCCATCTCCACTAAAAATAAAAAAATTAGCCAGGCGTGCTGGCGTGAGCCTGTAAACCCAGCTACCCAGGAGGCTGAGGCAGAAGAATCACTGGAACCTGGGAGGCAGAGGCTGCAGTGAGCTGAGATCGTGCCAGGACACTCCAGCCTGGCGACAGAGTGAGACTCCGTCTCAAAAATAAATAAATTAATTAATTCAATTAAAAGAAAAGAAAAAGAATCTAACTAATGCCTGATGATGATCTGAGGTGGAACAGTTTCATCCTGAAACCATCTGCCACCCCCGCCCCTCACAGCCCTGTCCGTGGAAAAACTGTCTTCCATGAGACCAGTCCCTGGTGCCAAAAAGGTTGGGGACCTGGTTTAGAATGTGCTGTGGCGTCTGCCTGGGACATTTTTGCCTCTTCTCTTTATCTGGATGACTCCCATAATCCTTCCCCTAGTTGCAGAACTGGATGTGAATCAATAACAGCCAGTACTTTCTCTATCATGGTGCTTCCCTTCCTGTGCTCATCTCACGCTAGACTGGACTACATCCACCATGTCTGCCATTGTGTTCCAATCAAGACCACTGCCTGCAGCCAAAAGATGGAGCTCACAGGAGCTCACTTCCATCATATAGGAACTCCCCATCCTTCCAAATTATCATCCATACAATAGAAATTTTCTCTCCTCTTCCCTTGACTGGATATTTGGGAAACATCTTTTTGCTCAGTGGCCCAAGCAAATTCTGAAATATTGCTCTGTTTTCTTTCACAAATGTTTATTTTCCTCTCTATATTAATGCACTTTTCTTTTCTATTCTTAGCTACAGCTACACATCATGAATCTAGATTCCACTAATTCAAATTTTGCAAATATGAATGACATGAATAAAAATTCATCAACCTCATCACTGAATATTCAACTTTTTGTTAACAAGGAAAGGAAACCTCAAGCTGTAACTTATGAAATCTTGTATTCACCTAACACATTTTCTTCTTTCGAATTTAATAAGTAATTTTTACAAAATAGAATATTCCTGTTTAGTTATAATGCTTCACATCAAAATGAAAGCCACGAGAACTGAAGTTTTACATTACCTTATCTTATTCCATTTTTTAAGTATATTTAATAAAATTAAAATGCTTTTTAATTTTCAACTCTAAAAGAACCTAGTCCAAACAAACAAAGATTTATTATAACTTTTTTTTTTGTTTTAACTGAGAACCGTGTTTCACTTTGAACTGTCACCCAAAGTTAGCCCCTGTGACTGCTAATTAAGAAGGGGTTGGCCAGGCATGGTGGCTCACACCTGTAACCCCAGCACTTTGGGAGGTCGAGGCGGGTGGATCACCTGAGGTCAGGAGTCCGAGAGCAGCCTGACCAGCATGGAGAAACCCCATATCTACTAAAAATACAAAATTAGCTGGGTGTGGTTGCACATGCCTGTAATCCCAGCTACTTGGGAGGCTGAGACAGGTGAATCGCTTGAACCCTGGAGGCAGAGGTTGTAGTGAGCCAAGGTTGCGCCATTGCACTCCAGCAGCCTGGGCAACAAGAGCAAGATTCCGTCTCAAAAAAAAAAGAAGGGGTACCGGGTCGGGCATGGTGGCTCATGCCTGTAATCCCAGAACTTTGGGAGGCCAAGGCGGGTGGATCACCTGAGGTCAGGAGTTCAAGACCAGCCTGGCCAACATGGTGACATGATAAGATCCTGTCTCTACTAAAAATACAAAAATTAGCTGGGCGTGGTGGCACACACCTGTAATTCCAGCTACTTGGGAGGCTGAGGCAGGAGACTCTCTTGAACCTGGGAGGCAGAGGCTGCAGTGAGCTGAGATTGTGCCACTGCATTCCAGCCTGGGTGACAGAGTGAGACCTTGTCTCAAAAAGAAAAAAAGAAAAAAAAATGTACCTCGCAGGATCTTCCTCCACATGCAGCATTGGGCTTATTGCTAGAAAGACACAGACTATTCTCTTTCACTGGGACATTTCTTCTCAGTTGTGAACCTTCAACTGTCTGCAGAACATAATAAAACCTATCACCCAGCCACTGATAGACTAATGTGTGGTAGGAACGGGTAACTACAAGAATTGAAAGCCACAGAGGGCAGGTCCAGGCTTGTGTTTTGGGAAGGCTGAATGAACTTTACAAAGCGCATTACGGGAAACAAGCATGAAGACTCTCACCTTGTCAGCCTTACGTGGTGTTCTGAACTGTACATCTGACTTTTACAAGGACGTGCTAATAAAAATAAAATGGCTGCCGAGAGTGTTTTAATTGATTCTGACCCCAATGGTGGCTACAAATGATTGTCCACACCTTTCTCCTTGGCTTCTGAACCCAAACACTTCAATGTCACTTAAACCATTAGGGCCAGGCTCTCAGTCTTAAACTCATGTCACACAGATGATGTGAATTATCAATATAGAGTCAAAGATGCCATATAGCTAATAGCACAGTTAAAATTTTTTTCCAACATACTCTCATACAATGCTGCTAGGAGAACAAATTGATGAAATCTTTTGCAAGGTTAATCTGATGCATCCATTTCCTTAAAAACATTCATATCATTTCAATTAGTAAGAATAGAAAGAAATTGTCCTAAATGGAGAAGCTATGGATGCATAAGGACGTTCACTGAAGGATACAAAGGTTATTCGTAACAGTAACACAAGAAATAGAAAAATGTATAGCAGGGGACTGATATTTTGGACTTATCCCATTGTCGGATTGTTTTCAGCATTTTACATTTGTCAACACATTGAATCTTCATAACAATCCTATGAAGCAGGCGCCATTACTTTTTTGTTTTTTCAGATAAAGAAACTGAGGCACAGAGAGGCATTTGCCCAGGCTAGTGCTGGAGCTGAGATTGGAATTTAAATAATCCAGCTCCAAAGCCAGCTCCAAAGCCAGCTCTCTAAATGTACTGTAATGCTTTCTGACATATTCATATGTAAAATGTTATACAGTTAAGTGTGTTTGTGTTTGTAATCATGTGGAAAAATACTCATGTTATCATGTCTAATTAGAAAAAGAAAGATGAGGCTGGGCATGGTGGTGCACGCCTATAATCCTAGCACTTTGGGAGGCCGAGGTGGGTGGATCACGAGATCAGGAGATCAAGACCATCCTGGCTAACAGTGAAACCCCATCTCTACTAAAAAATACAAAAAAAAAAAAAAAAGCAAAAAAAAAATGCCGGGCATGGTGGTGGACGCCTGTAGTCCCAGCTACTTGGGAGGCTGAGGCGGGAGAATGGCGTGAATCCAGGAAGCGGAGCTTGCAGTGAGCTGAGATCACACCACTGCACTCCAGCCTGGGCGACAGAGCAAGACTCTGTCTCAAAAAAAAAAAAAAAAAAAAGGAAAAAAAACCCAACAAATTTCTGTGCTTAGAAAAAGAGTTTCAAAGGTTTAGACACCAATGTGGTATTAGCGATGATCTTTGTACAGTGGAACTATGATTTTTCTGTTATTTTCTTTTTTTTAAAAAAAGTGAGCATATATTGCTTTTTAAATGGTAAATATGGTCATTTATTCCTTCTAAAGCTCTCACTGTGTTTCTGGCTTCCACTCACATTGCCCTCACCATCTCTCCTCCTTGCTTTACTTTGTATTTTCCGTCACAAACTTTTTTCTCGTAGGCCTTATTTTTTCCCACCTTTTATTTCTTACTCTGTTTGCTCTTTCCCACTTCCTTCTTTCTTACTCCTGCCTCTCCCGACCCCTCCTTCTTCCCTCATCCCACAAAGCTTATGAGCACAAAGGGAGAAAGCCCCGAGCCCTAGCTGCCCAGTGGCCCATTTCCCTCTGTCTCTCCCAAGGGGTGTATGTGAGTAGACAGGGGTACTAGAGAGTGAGCCATTTTCTGAAAAAAGCATACTTTTTAGTATTGTATTTCAGTTGTTCTAATGACTTCTAAAATTGTTGAAATAAGCTGGGTGTGATGACTCATCCCAGCTACTTGGGAGAGTGAGATGAGAGGATTGTTTGAGGCTAGGAGTTCAAGACCATCTTGGTCAACATAGTGAGACTCCATCTCTATAACGAACAAACAAAAATGAGCTGGGTGTCGTAGTGTGGGCCTGTAGTCCCATCTACTAAGGAGGCTGAGAGGGGAGAATTGCTTGAGCCTAGGAATTCCAGGCTGGAATGGGCTACTGCACTCCAGCCTGGGTAAAGAGCAAGACCTCATGTCTTAAAAAAAAAAAAATTGTTGAAATAAATATCTTTGACTTTCACATTTGAGGCCCCCTGGCCAGTCACTGATCGTAGGTCCCGCCGGCTCTCCAGCATCCCCCTCCTGCCTCCTTCTCCGCCCTCCTGGTGGTGCATGGCAAACCCCTCCTGCCTCTGTCCTGGCAGCCCTGTCCATGGTCCCTTTCCCCCACCACTCCTCTGTTTTCCCTTCTTGGTCTTCCTTCTTCTAGGCCTGAACTTCTCTTGTGAGCAGAGTGTTGCCTTTAGATGGGCAGATGTCCTCAGGCAGGCCCCTTGTTCCCATGATGAGCCGCCTAGCTGGCCTGGTGGACTCATCCAAGACCACTTCTGCGGTCACACCTGATTTTCACAGGAGTAGGAGCAGTGATGCCGATGCTTTGAAGAGTAGAGTCAAGAGCCCCTACTGCTCTGCCAGTCACCTCTCAGCCCCCTGGGGTTCACTGGAGAACGCCAGCTACCAAGGCTAGCAAGGAAGACTGCCTAGGCCAGCGGGCCACGGCCCTCTAGGTGATTCTTCCCTCAACTCCAGGCTCCTCACCCATAACAGATCAACTACAGATTAAGAAAGTTTTAAAGTCATCTAAACATTTATTCTTCACATTTTTAAACTCCAGTTTTCTCTTCAAATCTCAGTTCTTAAGTACCGGCTACTGAGGAACACTGGTAGCCTTAAAAATATGAGGCAGCTCCCAGCACTTTGAGAGGCCGAGGCGGACGGATCATCTCAGGTCAGGAGTTCAAGACCAGCCTGACCAATATGATGAAACCCCGTCTCTACTAAAAATACAAAAACTAGCCAGGCGTGTTGCGAGTGCCTGTAGTCCCAGCTACTAGGGAGGCTGAGGCGCAAGAATCGCTTGAACCCGGGAGGCAGAGGTTGCAGTGAGCCGAGACAGCACCACTGCACTCCAGCCTGGGCAACAGAGCGAGACTCCATCCCCTCCCCCGCCAAAAAAAGAGGCAATTTCTTTTCCAAAATGTGTTTGCCTCACTCCCATCCTTTTATCCTTAATGCCTGTCTAATTGCTAGGGCCTCCTACTGGCCTTCCTGACTGGAGATCCTCTCGCCTATCTTGCCTCCTGAAGGGTGGCTTCACTCATGTTCTTTAATGAAAATTATTTCCAGTTACCTTGTTTCCAGACCTATCCAGCTTAAATTCTAACTTTAGCTCTCCTTGCCCCAAAAGAAAAAATAACACCATTTTTTTTTCTGATTGCAAAGCTATGTTCTCTGCCAGCAATCAAACAAAATCAGGCAATATAAAAAGGTGTAAACAAGAAAGTGGTAAGCTTCTTTAACCTCATCACCCAGAGCTGAGTGGGGCAGGGAGCCCTTTTAGTGGTCTTCAGGCAATACTTCTAAGTGTGAAAATAAAGGGAAACGAGTTCCTTCAAGGGAAATTCCAGGCACTAGCAAGACCTGAGAAGTAAACGATCAGCTTCTGAGGAAGTTAGAACCACAGGATATTTGATTCCCTGTAGAAACTAAAGGTAACATCTTAACATACATCCTTGGGCTGTTTTTCACAAACCAGGACTCCAGGACTCCCACCAAATGGATTGGCTGGTACGTAAACCTCAGATGAGGGGAAACTGAGGTCTGAACTCTGACCACCTTTCTTTGCTCTAAATTTCTTCCTGAAGGGCCTGGAGGGAGGCACACCCCTGGGCCAGAGCTAGCATTCTTTTCTGCTGACCTCAAAATTTTAAGCAAAGCTGCTCTTCCTTAACCCACTGCAAATCAGAAAACCTTTGAATTCGCCTATGTCCTATAAGTCCTGCTTCAAGATATCCCACCCTTTCGGGCCAAACTGATGTGTAACCACCATGTATTGATTTGCAATTTGCCTGTAACTTCTGCTTTCCTGAAATTATCCCTGCCTTTAAAAACCCCTACCTGCAAGCCATCGGGGAGGCTGAGTCTTAAGCATGAGCTGCTCAATTCACCTTGGTTGGTGCCCTGCAAATAAATGTCCTCCTTTCTCCTGCTGCAAACCTGTGTGTGGATGTTTGGCCTCACTGCTGCTGGCGAGTGAACCTCAGTTTGGTTCGCTAACAGAGGTAAACATGGCTTATTTTTAGAGCTTTCTTTTTTTTTTTTCTTTTCCTTTTTTTTTTTTTTTTTGAGATGGAGTCTTGCTTTGTTGCCCAGGCTGGAGTGCAATGGCATGATCTCGGCTCACTGCAACCTCTGCCTACTGGGTTCAAGCGATTCTCCTGTGTCAGCCTCCTGAGTAGCTGGGACCACAGGCGCACATCACCACCCCCGGCTAATTTTTGTATTTTTAGTAGAGACAGGGTTTCACCATGTTGGCCAGGCTGGTCTTGAACTCCTGACCTCAGGTTATCCACCCGCCTCGGCCTCCCAAAATGCTGGGATTACAGACGTGAGCCACTGCCCCCAGCCGGATTTTTAGAGCTTTCTGAATTCCACGTGAGCCACCGTATTTGCTGTGGCTGCCCCTCCCCCATGCCTCTGCTAAGGCTTGGCTTCTGGACCCCGTGAGGTGCTCATTCCTCCTCCTGTGGCTTTGTCAGAGGCATGTGAATATGAGTAACTCCATCTTGAATAGGAGCTGGGGAAAATGAGGCTGAGACCTATTGGACTGCATTCCCAGACGGTTAAGGCATTCTAAGTCACGAGATAGGAGGTCAGCACAAGATACAGGTCATAAAGACCTTGCCAAAACCCACCAAAACCAAGATGGCCACGAGAGTGACTTCTGGTCATCCTCCTCACTGCTACACTCTCACCAGCACTATGACAGTTTACAAATGCCATGGTAATGTCAGGAAGTTACTCTATATGGTCTAAAAAGGGGAGGCATGAATAATCCACCCCTTGTTAAGCATATAATCAAGAAATAACTATAAAAATGGGCAACCAGCAGCCTCCAGGCTGCTCTGTCTATGAAGTAGCCATTCTTTTATTCCTTTAGTTTCCTAATAAACTTGCTTTCATTTCACTCTATGGACTCACCCTGAATTCCTTCTTGCGCGAGATCCAAGAATCCTCTCTTGGGATGTGGATCAGGACCCCTTTCCTGTAACAGCTTTGCTGCTGGTATTCAATCTTCTGTAACTGCCCTTGCCTTTCCCTCCACTTGTCCAGCTCACTCCTAATTTTAAAAATCCAGCTCAATTCCTGCCTGTTGCATGAAGCTTTCTAGGTCTTCTCAAAGTTCAAATGTGTACTTCATGCCATGCAGTTCCACCCTGTAACTATCTCCTTCTGACGACACTGCCTCTTCCCACCTAGCTCACATCCTGGCAGGGAACCGGGATCAACGTATGGTGCTTTTCTAGAGCCTAGTGACATGGTGGGCAATCAGTACACATCTGACTAATAAATACAAATAAATAAATAAATGGCCAATTGAGTGGCTTCCTTTAAATTTAATGAAAATTCTTAATGAAACTTTAGAGACTGAATCTAATTTTTAGTAGGCTTCAGGCCTACAGGCCAGTGATACTTTACGTGGACATTCTAAAATCTCTCCCACAAAGCACCGCACTGAATCCCAGAGTCCCTGTGAAGTTCAGGTGTCAATTAAGACAGGGATTTCCCCTGAGTCCTCTGGTTCCAGTTGTTGAGTTGCTGGTGCTTTATTTACTTCCTGCTCCCTATACTACGTCCCCTCCTGTAATCACCCCATCAAGCTTACACTATCTATGGTGCCCAAAGTGATGACACCTCCATAAATCAGTGCTCAAAGTGCCTGCTGTTGCTAACGTGCCCAGGTGATGAAAGTCTTTCTGCACTTTCTTGGTGTAGAATATTTTGATGGATTTAACAAAGGTTTTGATTCAGGCAAGGGCTGTGGAAGGCTCCATGGCATCAAGGAACCACATCTGAGCAACAGAAGCAGGAGCCCATGTTAAAAAGAAACGAAGGCTGCAGAGGCTGGGAGGGAGGTGGACTTGCTGCCCCGTGGTCCTCTCCTATTTTCAGACCAAAAGGCACTACTTGTGTGGAATTTGCAAATTGCTAACCAACAAGAGTTGCCGATGCGTGCTCACCTCTCATCACATTTAATCAGAATCACGCTGTCTGTTCCAATCCCTAAGGCTGCAGCTCCCTTCTTGAGAGAAAAATGACTCTGTAAAAAAAATATATATATTTGCAATTAGTTCCATATACAGACAAGATCCATTCCACTGGCTGTTTGTTTTCTGTTTTCCTTTTTTCCTTTCATTTCTAGTCTGTTCCTCCAAAGCCTGGGCTGCTGAGAGAAGATGGCATCCTTCACTTGTGCTTTTTTAAAAACTGTGGTGAAACAGCTGGGCGTGGTGGCTCATGCCTGTAATCCCAGCACTTTGGGAGGCCGAGGCAGGCAGATCACAAGGTCAGGAGTTTGAGACCAGCCTGGCCAACATAGTCAAACCCAGTCTCTATTGAAAATACAAAAAAAAAAATTAGCCGGGTGTGGTGGCGGGCGCCTATAATTCCAGCTACTCAGGAGGCTGAGGCAGGAGAATCGCTTGAATTCGGGAGGCGGAGGTTGCAGTGAGCCAAGATTGCGCCATTGCACTCCAACTTGGGAGACAAGAGTGAAACTCCGTCTCAAAAAAAAAAAATTGTGGTAAAACAACATAACTTAAATGCCATCTTAACCGTTTTTATTTATTTTTTTTTTATTTTTATTTTAAGTTCCAGGGTACATGCGGGATGTGCAGGTTTGTTACATAGGTAAACGTGTGCCATGGTGGTTTGCTGCACCTATCAACCCATCACCTAGGTATTAAGCCCAGCATGCATTAGCTATTTTTCCTAATGCTCTCCCTCCCCCCACACCCCCAACCCCAGCCCCGACAGGCACCACTGTGCATTATTAACTTTTTTCTTTTTTCTTTTTTTTTTTTTTTTGAGACAGAGTTTTGCTCTTGTCGCCCAGGCTGGCATGCAATGGTGCAATCTCAGCTCACTGCAACCCCTGCCTCCCGGGTTCCAGTGATTCTCCTGCCTCAGCCTCCCAAGTAGCTGGGATTACAGGTGCCCACCACCATGCCTAGCTAGTTTTTGGTATTTTTAGTAGAGACAGGGTTTCACCATGTTGGCCAGGCTGGTCTCAAACTCCTGACCTCAGGTGATCCACCTGCCTCAACCTCCCAAAGTGCTGGGATTACAGGCATGAGCCACTGTGCCCAGCCTTATTAACCATTTTTAAGTGTACATTTCAGTGGTTTCAAATATATTCACAGTGTTGTGCAATCCATCACCTCCATCCATCTTCAGAACTCTTTGCATCTTGAAAACTAAAATTCCGTGCCCATTAAACAACTCCTCATTCTCCCCACCCCCAACCCCTGAATACCACCATTCCATTTTCTGTCTTTGAATTTAACTACTCTAAGTACCTCACATAAGTGGAACATACAGTATTTGACTTTTTGTGACTGGTTTAACTTAGTATAATGTCCTCAAGGTTCATCCATGTTGTAGCATGTGTGAGAATTTCCTTCCTTTTTAAGGCTGAATGACATTCTATTACATGTACATACCACATTTTGTTTAGCTATTCATCCATTTATACAAACAGGTTGCTTCTACCTTTTGGCTATTGCGAATAATGCTACTGTGACATATGGGGGTACAACTGCCTCTTCAAGACTCTGCTTTCAATTGCTTTGAGTAGATACTTAGAAGTGGAATTACTAGATCATACAGCACTTCTATTTTTAACTTTTGGAAGAACATCCATACAGTGCTCCATCATGGCGGTACCATTTTACATTCCCACTCTCAGTGGACGAGGTTTCCAATTTCTCCACATCCTCACCAACAATCATAATTTTCTGTTTTCGATAACAGTCATCCTAATGAATGAGAGATGGCAACTCATTATGCTTCGGATTTGCATTTCCCTAACGATCCGTGAGGTTGAACATCTTGTGCTTAGCATCATGTGCTTAGTGGCCATTTGTGCATCTTCTCTGGAGAAATGTCTATTCAAGTTCTTTGCCCATTTTGAATACAGTCGTTTATTTAGTTTTTGTTCTTGTTGAGATTTTTGAGGGAAACTGGAAAGATGCTGGAAATTGTAAATGGATCCAATAACCTGACACACAGGAACTCAAAGCCAATTTTACATACAAGGCTTAACAATACATCAACCAGCTCCAGCAGCTATGTATTGTATGGCTCCCAGGCTTATATGTTACCAAGAAGTTACACTCAGTTTCTCCCAGGTTCAGTGAAACTCAGTAAACTCAGGTAAGAGGACAAGTGACCCTAAATCTAGCACTCTTTATTCCAGTTGCTGGAGGGGCTATTTGTTGCACAGGCAACTGCCAAGCCTGAGTCAGGCTTTAAAAAAGAGGTATCAATTACTGGCTGGGGCAGAATGACTTGTCTGCGTGTACAGAACAGGCCACACTGCCAAGCCACCGCCAAAGTCTTTGTGCCTTTGGTTATTGATTCCGGGTAGGACTGTGTGTCTCAATGGTTGTAATCACCGTGCCATTTGGAGAGCTGAGAAAGGCTAACCTAAGCCCAGCTGTACTGCATCTGCCCATCAGCCTCTTACTATTAACTACACATCATTAAGCTGTCCAAAAGAAGAGCTGCTTCCTCAATTTACATCTCCAAAGGGCTGCTGACTGGAATTTTAAGTTAGGGATCCTAAGAGGGTCCTCTCTCTTCGAATGCCCACTTTTGTACTCTTCTGAATTCTCAAACACACAGCACAGGAACTCTTAACACATGTATTTTTAGGGGGTATGTCTAATCACCAAGAAGAAATCACATTTATAACAGCAGCAAATAATGATGACCAATCAAGGAGACCTGGAGCTGTGGAGTTTGACAAGCTCAGTGCAGCTAGAAGCAATGAGAAAGGGCCATTAGCTTCATTTTACAACCTAAGAATGACAAAGTGGACAGTCATTACCGTGATACCTAGGAACTAGAGGAGAAAGCTTAATTAGATCAAGGTTTGTAAAGATGCATGACCTCCCCCACCAAAAAAAGGGGGGGGGTTTTTTGTGCATTTGGCAGAGCCCTGGGCGACCCCAAAGAGAAGGAGCTCAGAGGCAAGCTAAGTCTCTTACAGCCAGAAGGGAAGAGACAGCCAGCTGCCCCAACTAAGTACATGCAAGCCACTCAAATTACACCCCTCTGTGAATGAGCTCTTAAGCACTAAACTGCAAAAAGGCGAACTGGGGATAAGTAAGAGATCTGGTGCACCTGGTCAATGGGAGGACGTATTCTTGTCTAGTCTTTAATGAGAAAGAATAGGGGTTCTTAAATGAGGAGCAATTACCCAGGATAATTGATCACGGTACCAAATGCTGCAGATTTAAAGAAAAACACATGCCCAGATAGAAAGCTTAAAGACAGGGAACAAAGGTGAGATGAAGCATGAAAAAGAAAATTAGGTAGCAAACATCGAGTCTGTTTATATTTTGAGGAAAGGGAGCAGAGAAATAGCTTAACGTTATTCACAAATAGAAAGGAATCCATGGAGAGGAAGAAAACTTGAGAGGAAAAAGCATCTACCTAATGAGGGAGAAACAGTGAAGATAGCTTAAATGGCATGTCTCTCTGGGCCGGCGAGACCACATGTGGACAGTCGTTTTTATTCCTTAGCACCACTTTGAATGGAAGTACTTGTTGATGAACCAGAGGAAAAGAGTGTCTGAAGAACAACCACCTGGATGCTGAGAAGGCTGGAAAGCAGGTGTTTAGAGAGAACCTAGAGGGTTCTCTGGAAACAAATATAAAAATTGAACCAGTGGCCGGGCGCGGTGGCTCACGCCTGTAATCCCAGCACTTTGGGAGGCTGAGGCAGGCGGATCACGAGGTCAGGAGATCGAGACCATCCTGGCTAACACGGTGAAACTCTGTCTCTACTAAAAATACAAAAAAATTAGCCAGGCATGGTGGCGGGTGCCTGTAGTCCCAGCTACTCCGGAGGCTGAGGCAGGAGAATGGCATGAACCAGGGAGGCGGAGCTTGGCTTGCAGTGAGCCAAGATCACGCCACTGCACTCCAGCCTGGGCAACAGAGTGAGACTCTGTCTCAAAAACAAACAAACAAACAAACAAACAAATGGAACCAGTGATTCAACAGTATCTGCAAGGCCAACAAGAATTGAGGGGAGATGTTTTAGCAAAGAATGCTGAGTTGGGCAACTACATCTGTCAGCAGCACATACTAGCAGACCACCCAGAGGAGTGAGGACGCAAACTACACCTCAGAAGATAACAACCTATTATCATCAAAGGGCCAAAAGGCCCTCTTCCCCTCAATGCAAGGAAGCTATTTATAGAGTTTTCCAAAATACCTCAATACACTTCAATTTTTTGTACTTCCACCTAAAAATACATGTGTGTGCACACTCATGCATGTGCATACACGTACAGACAGAGGAAACTTGGAGAAAAAGGTAACGTGTTGGGGAAAGTTTTGTTAGGAAAATCAGATCCGTTTTTGAAATAAAAGACACCTCAGTTCTAAAAAAAAAAAAAAGAAATGAGCAGAGGGCATTAAGGATATGTGACATGGGTGGCCTTCAGGTGAAGGGCTGTGCCAAGCCTGGGATCAGGGGATAGGCTGCTCTGGAGCACATCATGCTGGAGAGGACAGCATCCTACTCCACCTGGCCCTAGACAGGAGGGTGTGGCATGAGTTCCTTCACTCTTCAATGGCTTCAGAAGACAAAATTCTGAACAAAAATTGGAAGCTACAAGAATTCAAATTTGTCCCAAAATAATCAAGACTCTTGTAATGATCAGTTGTTCATTAATAAAATGGCTTGGGAATGAGCTAATGAGAATACCCTCGTCCCCTCCCTGGATTTGCGAAAAATTACAGTAGAGCCTTGATAATAGAATCTAGTGCTTATTTAGGATTAAATCATATTTCTATTTAAGGACAATAGATATTAAAGCCCAAATAATTTTATTTTCTACTAAATGAAAAAGTAAAGATTGATGGAAGAATAATTTCTCTCACTCTCTCTTTTTTTTTTCTTTTTTGAGACGGAGTCTCACTCTGTCGCCCAGGCTGGAGTGCAGTGGCACGATCTCAGCTCACTGCAAGCTCCGCTTCCCGGATTCACGCCATTCTTCTGCCTCAGCCTCCGGAGTAGCTGGGACTAGAGGCGCCTGCCACCATGACTGACTAATTTTTTGTTTTTGTATTTTTAGTAGAGATGGGGTTTCACCGCGTTAGCCAGGATGGTCTCGATCTCCTGACCTCGTGATCCGCCCACCCCGCCTCGGCCTCCCAAAGTGCTGGGATTACAGGTGTGAGCCACTGCACCCATCCACATTTTTTTTTTTTTTTGTGATGGAGTCTCACTCTGTTGCCCAGGCTGGAGTGCAGTGGCTTGATCTTAGCTCACTGCAACCTCCGCCTCCTGGGTTTAAGTGAGTCCCCTGGCTCAGCGTCCTGAGTAGCTGGGATTACAGGTACCTGCCACCATGCCTGGCTAATTTTCATATTTTTAATACAGATGGGTTTTTGCTGTGTTGGCCAGGCTGGTCTCGAACTCCTGATCTCAAGTGATTTGCCCACCTCAGCCTCCCAAGGAAGAGTAATTTCTCTATTAAAAAAATATATGTAGGTAAACCAGACACAGGTTACATGATTCAGCTTATCCTTAAAACATGCACAAATAAATAAGGGATTTTATAATTATAAAATATTTGTAATTAAAAAAATAAGCAGGCTTTCTAGGTTTGAGTGGGATGAGAATATTCAGCTAAGAGTGAGTGAGAAGGAGCGTATCAGGCTGGAGAGGGCAGCGCCCATCCCTCCTAGCCCTAGACTGGAGGGTGCAGCATGAGCTCCTTCACTCTTTAATGGGGACAGTAAATCTAATCCCTTTAGAGATGGTGGGAGAGTAAGGTGAGTGGTAGAAAGCTCTGAGACAAACTAGTTTAGAATCTTGGCATGCCGGTTTCTCCTCCTCTATTAGAATTGGGACAAGACATCTGGAAAGCCATATCAATTATTTCAAGCCATTGCTGATTTCATCCAAATATTTAACTGAGACTGAGATTTGACTGCCTAACAGATCACAGGGTTTCAGGGACAAGCCTCTGCTGGGCTTGGAGGACACAGATTATTAAGACAGTCCTCAGTGGCTGGCAACCTCCCCTACCTCATTTTCTGTCTTTGTTCCCCTCACTCTGTCTACCTGGTGCGTTGGCTTTCCTGGTCTTCTGTGAGCTTGCTAAACTTGTTCTCCCTTCTGAGTCTTTGCACTTGCCGTTCATTTTCCTGGAAAACCTTCCTTCAAATACTTACATGGTTCCCTCCCTCATTCAATGTAGGTCTCTGCTCACATATCACCTCCACACAGAGATATTTTTATGACCATCCTGTAAAGTAGCTGACTACCACCCTAATCTCATCACCACAAGACACTATTTCTAATATTAGTTCACTGTGTGTCCACTACGAGAACACAGCAGGCTGCATGAGGGCGAAGACTTTGTCATAGCGTATAATTGACAAAATATTTGTTGAATTTGTTGACCACATATTCAGATAACAAGTCCGGGGAAATGTCACTATTTATTGCCTTAACTATCTGGCCACAAATCCCAATGTTGGTGTGGCTCTGGTGGACTCCGTGGACCCCAATGCCTCAAATCTAAAGCCTATTCTAAAAGCAAGACCAGGGGTCTTCTTGGCACCTGCTCCAGAAGGCCTAAGGTGGGGTCCTGCCCAAGCTGGAGGCAGCTGTGTGTTCTCCTAACCAAGCCAGCTGCTAGAGGGAAGAAAGAAGCAACACAGAGACCTCAAATAAAGAGAAAGGACACACTGGCTGGGAAATCTTAGCTCTTAACTCTTCTGACATCCTATCAAGCATTCTACCTTCCAGCTCTGAGATCCATCAATTGACCAATTGTCCTCAGGCTTGATTCTTTTGTTCCAACACCCTTTGTGGGTGGAATTAGTGGGTGTGTGGGGAATGGGGATCATTATATATTGTCCTCAACAAGTAGATCTTGAAGCCCAGCCTATCAATGAGCTGGAATCTGCCCATTTGACCCTTCCTCATGCTTCCTGACCACCCCCCACCCCACCATCCCCCGGGGCCAATCCCTCAGCAGTTGCAGTTCTCACCGTATCCTCCTCCTTCACATCCTTCTGACACCTCCATTCGCTTGCTCCTATACAGTACACCCTAAGATTTGAGGGAAATGATAGCTACAGCTTCCTTAGAAATACTGGTCGCCTCTGTCCTTACTTCTGCTCGCCAGCTGGCCCGAAAGAACATTCTCTTGCTAAAGCATTGGATTTACAAACAAGCTTGTGCTCTGGGAGACCACCTCATTGGTTTCTAATTATAATGATCTGGAGGGGAGGGGACCTCCCAGACACATTTTTAGAGACTGTGTGATTCGCAGGTGATGTGGATCTGTACACAGGCACGTCTGTGAAGCTGCTATCTTATTAGTCACACTCAGTTCTGACTAGTAGATCAAGGTGGCCCCATTGTGAGCTTATACCCTAAATAAGTGTCAAATGAAAGGAATGATGTGTACCAGGTTAAGTTTAACATGAAAAGAGATCCAAGAATGATCTTCAGTGACAAATGTGAACATCAGTAGTGAGTATGTCTTCAGTCATTTTGAGCACTCTGTGGACAACAATTATTTCTATGATTGTGGATCATGAAGAGTGAATGAAAGTGTGTAATGGAAAGAGGTGATGTGAGGCACAATGATGAGGGTTTGACACCTGCTTCTATTTAGGCAAATTACTTTCTCATGCTGAGCCATGATTTGCTCAGGTGCAATGATGAAGTCCTCTCTTGGCAGAATTGATGTGAGAAGTGTAGCTGTGGCATGTGAGGTGCCTTACATATCATTTTTTGGGCTATCCCCAAAAAGGGTAGCCTTTCCTATCCTCCCATCCTTCTACCTAATGTGATACTGTCCTCAGGTCTCCCTCCTTACCTCAAGTGGCATTGTGAAATCTTCGAACAAAATTCATGTCAATCCCTTTCTTTTCTTGTGTGTGTGTGTGTGTGTGTGTGTGTGTGTGTGTGTGTGTGTCTGTGTGATGGAGTCTCGCCCTGTCACCTGAAGTGCAGTGGTGCGATCTCAGCTCACTGCAACCTTTGCTTCCCGGGTTCAAGTGATTCTCCTGCCTCAGCCTCCCAAGTAGCTGGGATTACAGGTGCCGCCATTACACCCTGCTAATTTTTGTATTTTTTGTAGAGGTGGGGTCTCACCATGTTGGCCAGGCTGGTCCCAAACTCCTGACCTCAGGTGATCCACCTGCTTCAGCATCCCAAAGTGCTGGGATTACAGGCATGAACCACTGCACCCGGCTAATTCACTTTACTTCTTAAAATAAATATATGTATGTAGGGAAATCTCAAAATTATACAAGTAGCAATCTAGGATCTAGACTCTCCCAAGGCTGTGGATCCTTGAGTGTTGCTTTGGCACTTTGGGAGGAAGGGCACATCCCTCTTAAGGAAATCACTGGCCCCGACTCTGCTCTCCCTGCTCCCTCTGTCTCGTCTCCTGGTTGGGCTCAGCTCCTTCTAACGACAGTGTCATCTGTGAGGGGCTCACCGAGAGCCATGCGCAGTGCACTACCCTTCCCATGTATCATCTTGCTTCATCCTCCCCACAGCTACGGGAGCTGGGTATCATCATCCCCATTTTACAGATGAGGAGGAGACGAAGGGTCATGCCTTGGGAGGTGGCAGAGCAGGGCCTGTCACCATTTCATCAATTCCAAAGCTCACAGGATATATCACTAACCTGGAGAACAATAAGTCTGTTCAGCCACTTTTGACCTGGCACTGGGAACAAGGGAGCATCCGTCACCTGGCGTGGATGGGATCTCAGGAGCCCCTTCCCATCCCTTTCTTCCCCAGAACAAGGGACACTTGCTGAGAGCGGGCACTGGGTGTGTTCTGCCCACTGCTCTCTCCCCCGTGCCAGAAGCAACGCCTGGCGCCTGCAGCACTAAAGGAAGGGAGGAATAAAGGAAGCATCTCTCTGCACAGTGGCTGAGTTGTGTCTCAGCACCTCACAGCTTTGCCTCTCTGAGTGCGATGGGAATATCCCCAGGAGAGGCAATGGGGAGGTCTTACCTATTGCTTACATCTCAGCAAGGCTTTCAGGTTCTTTCCTGAGAGGAGGTTTGGATGGACTGGGTAGAGGAGAAAATAACATGGGAGCGATGAGGGCCCTGAGGTGAGAAGGAGGTAGGAATGCAGCACAGGAGCAGGGGTGCTGAAGGTAAATAGATTTAGCCCACAATTTCACTCACTGTCAGTTCCGACTAAGGGGGGAGCAATACATTTTGTGGAAGTCATCTGTTTCCAAATTGCCCAAACAGCCCTGTTTCCAAACAGGTCACTGTTTAAAAGAATTTTTTAAAGGAGATCTATTTTTGAAACTAAAAACCTCTCCAATAATGATACGTGAAAGTCATCTTTATGGCCAGGTGCGGTGGCTCACGCCTGTAATTCCAGCACTTTGAGAGGCCAAGGCAGGCAGGTCACCTGAGGTCAGAAGTTCCAGCCCAGCCTGGCCAACATGGTGAAACCCCGTCTCTACTAAAAATACAGAACTTAGCCGGGTGTGGTGGTGGGCGCCTGTAATTCCAGCTACTTGGGAGGCTGAGGCAGGACCATTGCTTGATCCCGGGAGGCGGAGGTTGCAGTGAGCTGAGATTGCGTCATTGCACTCCAGCCTGGACGACAAGAGTGAGACTCCATCTCAAAAAAAAAAAAAAAGAAAAAAGAAAAGAAAGTCATCTTTCTGAAGATGTGGTGGCTCAAGCCTGTAGGCCCAGCTACTTAGGAGGCGAGGCAGGAGGAGTGTTTGAGCCCAGGAGTTTGAAGCTTCAGCGAGCCATGATCGTGCCACTGTACTCCAGCCTGGGTAACAGGGTGAAATCCTGTCTCCAAAATAAAATAATAAACTAAAATAGAGCAATTTTGAGAATTACCTCCCCACAGAAGTGGGTCGAAGCCACAAGGGGCCTCAGCAGAACATTGGCAACTGGTTCTGGGGGATGTGGGTGTGGGCCAGGCTTGGCATGTGAAGAGCGGAGCGAATTAGTTACGGTGATTTGCCTAAAGAGCCACTGTTTGTTATGATTAGGAAGAATATGTTTCCTAGATGAGGTTATGCTGTTTCGCGGAAGATATTTCTGGAAGAGCTTGTGCCACAAAGAAATAAGAGGAATTTGGAATTGAGCTCATGGTTTAGGCTTTCAAAGGATTCAGAGCTTGAGATGTGAATTATTGAGCTGGGATCTTAGCTTCCCTCTAAACCTACTTTAAAGAGAGAACCTAAAACTCATCAAGTTAATTTTTGCCAAGCCTTTGTATGACTGAAGATTTGGGGAACGGGATGAGATTCCAGCAAAGGATGTGTTGAACCAAAGGATCTTTAAGATCACTTTCAATTCTGAGATTTTGTGATTCTCTATTTTAGAGAAAAGTAATCTTGGAACTCTTAAACGCTTGCCACAGAAAGACTAGTTGTTTAATTTAGTCTTATTCAAGTTTTACAAGAAAACAGTTGATTCAAACAACCAGAAAAATTTAATAGGTTGCCCTCCTCATCAGATAAGCAAAGCTCTAGTCGGTGTTGGTGGCCAGAAAAGAAGTGGGTAGCTTTGGTGGGGTGCAACAGAGACAGAGTGAAGGGTCATTTAGAAAACAAAATGGCTCTTCCCTTCATGAATATGTGAACATTTCTGGTTGGATGCAGAAGGCCACAGAGTCTCGCAATGTTGTTCCCATCCCTATGGCTCTAAACATGCCAAGTTACAAACTCAGTGCTCAGATTGGAAGAAGGGATAGTAATGTGACCTGGTTCAGTAGATCAGGAAATTAGCACAAGAATAACTAACGGGGCCGGGCACAGTGGCTCACGCCTGTAATCCCAGAACTTTGGAAGGCCAAGGCAGGTGGATCACCTGAGGTCAGGAGTTCGAGACCAGCCTGGCCAACATAGTGAAACCTTGTCTCTACTAAAAATACAAAAAATTAGCCAGGTGTGGTGGCATGCACCTGTAGTCCCAGCTACTCAGGAGGCTGAGGCAGAAGAATCGCTTGAACCAGGGAGGCAGAGATTGCAGTGAGCTGAGATGGCGCCACTGCACTCTAGCCTGGGTAACAGAGAGAGATTCCATCTCAAAAAAAAAAGAATAATCAACATGGGGAAAATGGGATTTAAGAAAGGATGCTACAAGTGAATTTAGAGCAGCTAGCCAGAGAGAAGCGTTTAGGACATCCAACCCAGTAGTTGAAAGAGCAGTCTTGGGCTGGCCACTATGCTAATCTCTTCAGTGATGGTGTCTAATTGAACCCTCCCAACAGTCTTATGAGAGGAGCATTAATATGACTTTCCTTTCCCAGATCAGAAAACTGAGGCATAGCGAGATTAAGTAACTTGTCCAGTGTCACACAACTAGTACATGATAAAACCAAACATTTCAACCTGTGTTTGTCTGATTCCAGAGCCTATCCTTAGATGACACATCAAAGGAATGATTTTTCAATTCAATAAAATACACTGAATGCAAAAAAAGTTTATAAAGAGCAGTGTTGGTATTATTGAGAAATTACTGAGGCTTCGAATCTTGCTCTGCCATTGACTGGCTGTGACACCATGGGCAAAGTATCCCCCACCTCTGGGGCTTGGTGTCTTCATCTGTAAAACAAGGTGGGATTTTTTTTTTTTTTTTGTCTTTTTTTTTTGACGGAGTCTCACTCACTCTGTTGCCCAGGCTGGAGTGCAGTGGTGCGATCTTGGCTTACTGCAACCTCTGCCTCCCGGGTTCCAGTGATTCTCCTGCCTCAGCCTCCCGAGTAGCTGGGATTACAGGCGCCAACCAACATACCTGGCTAATTTTTGTATTTTCAGTAGAGACGGGGTTTCACCATGTTGGCCAGGCTGGTCTCAAACTCCTGACCTCAAGTAATCCTCCTGCCTCAGCCTCCCAAAGTGCTGGGATTACAGGCGTGAGCCACCGCACCCGGCTGAGGTTGTTGTTTTTTAAAGTTGGTTGATATTTATGCAGAGCTCTCTGTGTCCCAGGCACTGAGGCACAAGTTCTATAAGGCTCTCATTTGATTTTCTAGGAGTCTTGGGCCTTGGAAACCTCTCAAAATGTGTGAAGAGAGAACACCCGAAGCAGCGTCTGTCTTGACCCATGGCCTCCCTCTCCTCACTGAGTCAACACAGCAGCCCCTCCATTATCCTTTCTCCCTGCCAGCCAAGCAATTGAGGAAAGAAGCCTCCATGCCAAGATTGATGTTGTCTAGCCGGAGAAAAGGCATTTGAGAAATGACTTGGTAATTTTCTTTTTTCTGCCTCTGGAGATCTATTTCTGGAGCTGGTGGAGACAGTGTGATTGTAAAATCTGAAAAGACCAAGAAAATATGTGGCCTGGCCTGAAGCCAGAAGGAAGCTACACTAAATGATGAATTGAAAATAATGTCTGAGGTCTAGAGCCCAGAAGGAACTAGCGATGGGGATCGTATTACCTCTTAACCTGCAGCTTCAAAGGCAGGACTCACTTTTAAGAGCTCACCTGTCCAGGATGGTTAGGGTCAAGGGTTCAAGAAGATGCAGGACGGCTTTAAATGAGCTCCGAAAACCCCCTCCAGCCCAACCCTACGAGATGATGAGAATGTTTTTTGGTAGAAAGAGAGAGTCACAAATTAGCATCGGTTTCACATTAAGAAAACAGCTCCTGGTGGAAACTTGATCAGGGAAGGTATAAGATGTTAAGTCAATTGATAAGCTGCTGTATACAAAGCTCTGTTGCTGAATCTTTTAATCTGGTTTCTACAGTGGTAGTCGGTGCATGGAGCTCACTGGTCTTGGACCCAGTAAACCCAGTCTGATCTTGGCTCTACCTACCTAGCTAATTTCAGCCTCCTCATTTGTAAAATGCAGATAACAATCTCTGTTCTACTTGTCCCATAAGGTTGCTGTGAGAATCAAAGTTCCATATCTTCAAAGTGTTTTGGAAACTGTCAAATAGTAGTCAGATATAAGGTGTTATATATTAAAAAAACTATTTGTCAAAAATGATAAGGCAATGATAACCCAAATGATAGGCCAAAGTTAGAGCCTATTGGTATTTTAGGAGAGCTTCGTAATTCAAATGATCCTTCACTACTGTATGCATAGATAGAGACACAAGAAGGAGAAGGGAGAGTCAAATGGTTGTTATACGGCCGAATTGTGTTTCTTTCTCAGAAATGAAGAAGTAGTCTGGGCGTGGCGGCTCACTCCTGTAATCCCAGCACTTTGGGAGGTGAAGGCGGATGGATCACCTGAGGTCAGAAGTTTAAGACCAGCGTGGCCAACATGGTGAAACCCTGTCTCTACTAAAAATACAAAAATTAGCCAGGTGTGGCGGCACGTGCCTGTAGTCCCAGCTACTCTACTCCAGAGGCTGAGGCAGGAGGAATCTCTTGAACCCCAGAGATGGAGGTTGCAGTGAGCCGAGACTGCACCACTGCACTCCAGAGATCACGCCACAGCACTCCAGCCTGGGCGACAGGGCTAGACTCTGACTCAAAAAAAAAAAAAAAAAAAAAAAGTAGACTGAGTTTACAGTATCAGGAAAAGAAGGTAGAGCAAAATTGTTATTTTTAGATCCTCAGACCACATGGCCTGATCAAGTCTCAGTCAATTTACATAAAGCATGAGGCTGAGAAGCTCATGCCCAAACCAGAGATGCCTGGCAGAGAGCACAGAGTGGCTTGCTGCTGGACCAAACTCATTTTAACTTGTGGACGCAGCTTGGAAGCCAAAAGAAAAAGACGCCCAATAAAAGATCATCTGGACTTTTTGAGGCTGAGAATGTAATAACATGTAACTATTTAGGGGTCCAAACCCATTTCAGGAAAATAGTAATTGAGGAGAAAAATAGATCACGTTTTTCTATCCTTGGAGAAGCTGAGAAAAGAAAGTTATCTCCTGGTGGGGTACTAGGTAGAGTGGGCTGAATAACAGATACTCCCTGCCACAAAAATCACATCCTCATCTTCAACACCGTGAATATGTTACTTTACTTGGTAAAAGGGACTTTGCAGATGTGATTAGGTTAAGGTTGAGACGGGGGATTGCCCTGGATTATCTGAGTAGATCCAAAAGAGAGAGGCAGGAGAGCCACAGGTGGAAAGAGATGTGGTGGTAGAAGTAGAGGTGAGAGAGAGAGAAAGAGAGAGATCCAAAGATGCTATGCTGCTGGTTCTGAAGATGAACCAAAAAATGTAGGTGGCCTCTAGAAACTGGAAACATCAAGGAAACGGAATCTTCCAGAGAGCCTCGAGGAAGAATGCAGCCCTGCTTTTCCCATTTTAGATTTTTGACCCCCAGAACTATAAGGTAATACATTCATATTGTTGTAAGCCACAAAGTTTGTGATCATTTGTTCCAGCAGCAACAGAAAGGTAAAATACTAAGTAATTTTAGGCTGTGTGGTTTTTGCCCAATGTGACCCCTATACGTTGAAGAAGGACATTTCACAAAATAAAACCCCAAAAGATGACTGAAAACAAGATGCTTTGATAATTTGTTAACATGGAATTGCTAGTTTCCTTTAATTCCACAGCTACTGCTGTGGTAATGAACTGTATCCACTGATTTCCAATCTATTTCCTTGTCATGGACACCTACAGACACACACAGAGACAGACACACACACATAGATACACATACCTCACTTAAAATAGGAAATAGAAAAAGTTCATGGTGGATCTGGATCTGAGACCCACCACGGTTCCCTGCGTCTCCTGAGTGACATTTCCTTACAGGAGCCCTGAGTCTCCCTCTAGGCCCTTCCTCCCTCCCTGTCTCCTAGTTCCCTGGCTATCAGAGGGCTTCCTGATTGTCTCTGAGGCAGCTGTATTCCAAAGCCCAGGCTACTGTGAGGCAGAGATCATGAAGGAACAGTCTTATGTTTTTGTTTTTTTTGAGAATGGAGTGTGGCTCTGTTGCCCAGGCTGGAGTGCAGTGATGCGATCTCTTCTCACTGCAACCTTTGCCTCCTCGGTTCAAGTGATTCTCCTGCCTCAGCCTCCTGAGTAGCTGGGATTACAGTTGCCTACCACCTTGTCTGGCTAATTTTTTTGTATTTTTAGTAGAGATGAGGTTTCACCATGTTGGTCAGGCTGGTCTTGAACTCCTGACCTCAAATGATCTACCTGCCTCAGCCTCCCAAAGTGCTGGGATTACAGGCATGAGCCACCGTGCCTGGTACGGTGCTATTTCTTTATGGTAACAAAACCTCTGGTCAAGTCAGCCAAAGATGAATGTTAAATGGTTCAGGCTGGGTATGATGGTGGCTCACGCCTGTAATCTCAGCACTTTGGGAGGCCGAGGTGGAAGGATCACCTGAGGCCAGGAGTTTGAGACCAGCCTAGCCAACACTGCAAGACCCTGTCTCTATAAAAAATAGAAAAATTAGTCAGCCATGGTGATACATATCTGGAGTCCCTGCTATCCAGGAGGCTGATGTGGGAGGACTGCTTGAACCTAGGAAGTTGAGGCTCAGGCTGCAGTGAGCTGTGATTGCACCACTGCACTACAGTCTGGGTGACATAGCGAGATTGTCTCAAACAAACAAACAAACAAACAAAAAGGCTCAAGGCACCATGAGGGCAGAATATCTATCAGATCAGTGGGCTGAGTTTTCAAACAGAAAAACTGTATCAAAGGCTCCTCTGGAGTTTTGCTTACATGGGCGTAGCATCAATGGTCCAAATGAGCTCACAGTCCCTCTGCCTTCCCTCCTCTTCCCCTTCCCTCCTCTTCCCCTTCCCTTAATATGCAACTTGATTGCGCAGAAGCGAAGGGTAGGAACTAGAGCTAAAAATATTTTCCTTTTTTTTTTCTTTTAGACAGGGTCTTGCTCTTTCATCCAGGCTGGAGTGTGGTGGTGCAATCACGGCTCACTGCAGTCTCAACCTCCTGAACTCAAGTAATTCTGCTACCTCAGCGTCCTAGGATCATAGGTGCTACCACATCTGGCTAATTTTTTTTAAATTTTCTGTGAAGATGGGGTTTCACTATATTGCCCAGGCTGCTCCTTTATCTTTGAGGGTTTTCCTGAATTTCAAAGAGTCAAGGAGGACACCCCATAGTACCACTCAGCTTTCTCCCCCATTCCCTCCCAAGGTGTCTTCCAGAAAGAGGGCCTCTGGGGATAATGCATTTCCAGCCATCACTCCTTAAACTCGGGCTTTATGGAACATAACCTTAAACTTGCAAGGAAAAGAAACACATACATGTTCAGACGTGAAGGCAATGAGCCTGGGAAGAGCAGCCATTCCTTTCTCCTTGACTTCTGGGAACATCTTAAAGCGTGCGATCATCATGGCATACATGTTAGATATGGCGCCACCTAAAGTGCACAGCAACACGCAGTTACTTTATTTATTATCAACCTCATTTCACATGCAAGCAACATTCCTTATTTCCACTGACCTGAGTCCTCCTTGGACTCAGAAGAAAAACCTATTGACTATCTTTAAACTGAATCCTCAGACTCAAAGGCGCTACCCCAGAGGGCACATGGGGACAGGACAGGTGCCACTGTCACACCCCATCTCAGTCACTAAGGGGAACTGCAGTGGATTCTACTCTTGCTGGAAGCCCTTTGAAGAGGTTTTTAATTCAAAAGCAAAAGGTTTGCCTCCATCCCAGCTTGTGAGCATGGTCATTCTGCACTAGGTGTGTAAAATTCTGGTTATATCTGGATGGAGAAAGCTTTTTTTTTTTCATTTCAACTCATTCAGTGCCTTGCATTTGGATTAACATAAATCAGCTGTTACTGGTGTAAGCTGCTAATCAACTTTTTTTTTTTTTTCTTGAGACAGGGTCTCACTCTGTCGCCCAGGCTGGAGTGCAGTGGCACGATCTCCGCTCACTGCCACCTCTATCTCCTGGGTTCAAGCAATTCTCCTGCCTCAGCCTCCCAAGAAGCTGGGACCACAGGCATGCACCACCACACCCGGCTAATTTTTTTGTGTATTTTTAGTAGAGACGGGGTTTCACCACATTGGCCAGGCTGGTCTCAAACTCCTGACCTCAAATGATCCACCCGCCTCGGCCTCCCAAAGTGCTAGGATTACAGGTGTGAGCCACCACGCCTGGCCTAATCAACAATTTTTACTGAGCAGCAGTCTCCAACCTTTTTGGCAGCAGTGATGCGTTTCGTGGAAGACAATTTTTCCACATATGGAAGGTCGGGGGCTGGTGGGGGTGGGGTGGAGAATGCTTTTGGGATGAAACTGTTCCACCTCACATCATTAGGCATTAATTGGATTCTCGTAAGGAGCATGCAACCTAGATCCCTCGCATGCGCAGTTCACAATAGGGTTCACGCTCCTATGAGAATCTCATGTGGCTGCTGATGTGACAGAAGGCAGAGCTAAGGCGGTAATGCTCGCTTGCCCCTTGCTCACCTACTGCTCTGTGGCCCCGTTCCTAATAGACCGCAGACCTGTACCGATCCACCACCAGGGGGTTGGGGACCCCTGTTATAAAGGATAAACCTCCACGTCCATCTCATCATACTCATCTATTCATTCCCTCTAAACTAGTTCTTCCCTCTCAAAGACATCATTGAAATAATAGAATTGTATTAGCTAACAAAACTTATTTCATAAGTATAGACAAACATACAACTAAGAGAATTTTCAGTCCATATTGTGTTACGTTTTCTGTGTCATCCAAAAGTTGTCAGGGATTCCACGCCATAAGATTTGTGTCTTGTAAGTAGAGTCTCACTTGACAAGCAAAGAAAATGCAGGGCTGTTGGGAAGTTTAGGATGTTTGCAATTCAGGAAAGACAGATTGTTATGAATGCAAATTAATATGCTGGGATGGAAGACATGAGGCCATGGGGCAGAGTGAAGGTACTGCCTCTACCTCCTGACCAAGGGGAACACCCCAAGTCCTGCCGTCACGTGAGTGTTGTGAGTTACTCTCCTTCCTGGTGGCTGAGGAGCAGGAGGGCTCCATGTCAAGCTGAATGGCCCAGGCAGGGGTATGACCTTTGTCTCTTGAGCCCTGGGCTCTGATTCAAGCAGGCTGCCCAGCACAGAGCACTCATCACCCAGACACATGCCTCTGTCCTCAATCAAAATCAGGGCGATTCCTTCCTTTCTGGACTCTAGAGATACAGGACAGGTAGAATCAGGTAGAATCCAGGTCACGCCTGCTCTGAGCAGACACCCGGTGTGAAAGGCTGGCTGTAGGATGCTGGAAGCAGGGTCTGCTTCAGAAGGAAATTCCATCCTAGCTCATGGTTTTGGCACTTCCTGACATTTTGGGCAACATAACTGGTGAGGGCTGACCTGGGCATTGTAAAGTGTTGAGCAGCATCCCTGGTTTCTACCCACCAGATGCCCATAGCACCCTCTCCCCCAGACAATCAAAAGCATCTATAGATATTGCCAAATGTCCCTTGTGGGGAGCAAAATGATCTTGTTTGAGAATTTAGTTGTTCTTAAAGAGGCTGGAGAAGGAAGGAGGGAAGAAGAGAAAGGGGAAGACGTATCCTAAGAAAGTGCTCTTCATGTGCATTTCTTCTGAAGCTTCCAGCCCTGCCCTCCCACACCTCACTCTGCAACTCAGCTGTCCTCTGGCTAAAGGCTCAGCAGCTCTGAGTGAGAGAAAGAGGCTTCTGGGCCTCCAGGCAGAGAAGACTGTTTTGTGTAACAGAGGCATGAGGACAAATGCGTGAGCCCTACCTGCTCTTATTTCCTACGAATCCTCTAAGAAAGGATGTAAAAGCAAGTGCTACTTTGGGAGACTGAGGTGGGCAGATCACCTGAGGTCAGGAATTCAAGACCAGCCTGGCCAACATGGTGAAACCCCATCTCTACTAAACATACAAAAATTGGCTGGGCATGGTGGTGCATGCCTGTAATCCCAGCTACTCTAGAGGCTAAGGCATAAGAATTGCCTGAACCCAGGAGATGGAGGTTGCAGTGAGCTGAGATCGTGCCACTGCACTCCAGCCTTGGCGACAGAGTGAGACTCTGTCTCAAAAAAATAAAAAATAAAATACATGAATAAAAGCAAGTGCTGAAACATTATGAAAACCCTGTTAGCTAGGAAAAGGTCGGTGACTAAGCCAAGCTTTCTTTCCTAGCCCCTCTTTAGTCTTTGTGCTTTGTGACCTGCTGAGCAGTAAGGAATGCTCTGTATTTCTCTGGTTCCCAGTGTAGGTGACATCACAAAAGCAGATTTCTTCTAGGAGTCCTAAAGGACTTTCCATGAAGCATGAAGGCTTTGGATATTATTGATGGAGCTATGACACAGTATGTTTTAAGTCACAGACCTAACTCTTCACATTGAGTCCCAGGGAATGAGACTTTTAGATCCCAGATGCATAAGATGTGTGGCTTTCTCTATCCCCACCCCTTAAATTGTAAGACCCTTTACTGCAGGAGCAAGGCTGGTTGCTCCCGGGAATAGCATCCATAGCCAGTAAGGATGTGATGAGCCACTTCTCGTCTGTGATGTCTTGTAGAAAGTAGAGCAGAAACAGGTTGCAATGACCTTTTCTGCTGTCTCCTCCCAACTTTGCAATGTCTGCACTGCACTGTAGTGTGACATCTATGGCTTGCATCTTGGCGTAAGAGCAAATGGGTCTTTAGGCTCCAAGGAAGCCTATAATTCCCATGCTCAAGCTGAAGTCTTCTCCATGTGAAAATCCCCCATTATCAGTGAGGGTGGAGGGTAAGCTCTAAGCCTAGCAGAACTGCCTAAGAGAATTATTTCTCTGGGTGTATGTTTTCTGGGGCATGTAGGTTTTTCAGACCAGCCAGGTAAATTAGGCCTAGCTGTTAGTCAAATTAGTCAAATTTTCAGGGTCAACAGGTACATCTGTCCTCTCCCTACTCCCGGGGACCATTAAAACTTATGCACGGGAATAAATTCAGCATAAAATAAATGCAAATAAAAGAAAAAAAAATAGAGCCCAGCATGTTCTTGATTCATCTCAGGGACAGATCAATCCTATAACCAACCACACAAGGGTGGGAAGAAGAAAGGTAGAAATGATGTGGATCTCTGTACCCCACCTCATTCCTCATGAACAATGTTTTCAAAGCATCAGGCAATGATGACCAAGCTCCCTCAACAGGGATGGCTTTCCAAAGGAAAACTAAGTACTAAGTGCCATAAAAAATAAAGGCTAGCTTAAAATTCATCACAGCTGGTGTTCAATGACTTTTTAAAAGGCTAATTTTCCCTTCCATTTAACTAACACCTTTTCCTTCAGCACCTGAAAAATTGTGCTATATATTTAAACACATAAAATAGCTGACCAGAGCTTGCAGGCAAACATGCTTAACTTAAGCCCTGGCCTTGGGGTCACTCTTGCTTATCATTTCTTCTTTTCACTTTTTCTTTTCTCCCCTATCCCCGCCTCATCATTTGCTTGTCTTTGTAGATTTGCTGAAGAGAGAGCACAACCACTTGGCCTTTGCTCTGTCTGACACAACGACAGGTGTTGCTCTGGCCTCTCTCTCAGGTGGGTCCTGTCTCAGTGGACTAATGACATCCGCTCCTGCCACTGATTAGCTGATGGTCTGCACATCGGGTTTCTTTTCCATGGGTCAGTGACTCTCTTTGCATTGCCTTCCTAACTTCTATTTCTTTTCTGCATCAAACCAAGGTCACACACAGAACTGTAAACCAAGGGCACAGCTTTTTGTTTCAGGTTGATTCTCTTGGCTGGAAGAGGTCTAAGTAATGGAGCTTAGAATTCAATGGCTGGTGATAAAAAGGCAGGATGGAAAAGACTGAATGGCATGATAAAGAAGAGAAGGGATGAGAAATCTCTTGAAGAAATCGTCACCCTCTATTTTTGCTCTAAGAAATTCTCTCCCAAAGCGTTCTCTGTCCTCCTTGAAATTAGTGTAAATCCACTTTGGTGCTTGTTATTTCAAAGACAGAGTGGTCCATATGCTCTACTGAGTAGATATACCTTGCTATGCACCCTTGAACAGCAAATGCTTTATTAAATGAGGCTACCCATTTCCTTTCACTAATTCTAGGAAGAGCATCAGAGAGTGAATTTCCTGATTAGGAATCTTGATTCCTTTGTTCCACATTATCCGTACATCCTGTTTGTAGGGTCACAGTAGAAGCACTGGGTAAGTACCATCTCTGATTATGCTCACTTTGCACACAAATAACTGATGTTCAAGCATGGGTTACTTAGCTTGGAGGCATGTTCAATGGTCATGTGCACTTAATCACAGTCATTCTTTTGATCAACA
Organism: Homo sapiens; assembly: GCF_000001405.40. Taxonomy (NCBI): domain Eukaryota; kingdom Metazoa; phylum Chordata; class Mammalia; order Primates; family Hominidae; genus Homo; species Homo sapiens. The sequence continues at coordinate 26,224,767 of NC_000010.11, read as the reverse complement.
CACAGTCTATTTAACCTAAGCAGAGGCATAGGCTAGATTTTTAATCTTCCCTAGGTTTACAACAAGGCATTGCATATTAGAAGAAAAAACACAAAGAAAGTTGAAATATCATGTACCGGGAGAAAATATCCCATCGCCAGAGCCCCCTGGCCAGCCAATGATTTCTCTCATTTTCTTTAGTGTGACATATTCCAAAAGCACAAATACTGGAGCAATTTCATAGGTGAACCTGAAATGTAGTAATGGCCACATTTTACCTCTGTAACTCAGATAAATAATTTACAATCATTACAATAGCTACAGAACTATTTCCTTTTTCAAAACATACATTTACAAGTGTTATGATTATAACATTAAGCAGAGAGAAAATTATTTCAAAAAGGCCTTCCAAAATGTTTATTTTTTCTATATCCCTACAGTCAAGAGCTCCAACTACTGACATAATGCACGAGGGGAATTTATTGTATTGAATAAATAAAAAATATTGCAGAGTAACATGATTTAAAATATAATATCTGGTCCCATTTGTCTTTGACATTATGCACAATAATAAATCAAACGTGAGAAAAAAGTCTCTTTTGTATTTTAAAAATTTTGTAGAGTTTGATTACATGGAAGATGTATCAGGACTACTTTCTGTTACATTAAAGTGAACACTCACACTTCAGAAGTTTGTATCACTATTTTAGTGGCTACTTAATAAAAAACAGATTTTCACATAAGATGTAAAGACTATGGAATGTCACTAATAATTATCCTAAATTACATAAAAACACATTTGGCTACTTACATGTTAGTATTTGCTGTTGATGTCAGCCAGTCTGCTGCTAATCCAACCATATCCAAACCAGTAGAAAGTTGATTGAAGTATCTAGGATGCCCTGAATAAAATGGAATACCAGAATCAGGATTGCCTCCAGTGAAAATAAATGCCTCTCAAACACATGATTTCTCTAGCTAAAGGACCTTGAAAGATCTGTCAGTAACAGGAAATCCATAAGTAGAAATCCAACATGTACACACGTGTGTATGCACAAGAACACACACACACACACACATGCACATACACACACACACACACCATAAAAGCGTTTCCTCTAACCACGAAGACTACTTTAGGTTTTGATATTTCTTAAAACATACCCTACAAATCTTCCTTTAATCGGACCCTATAAATATAACAAATATGGTTTGCAATCTGCATGAGTCTCTTTTCTATTTTCAATATTTTCGCAAGCTAAAATGCTACTGCAACCCACAGCCATTCAGACAGGTAACTTCTCCTTTATACTCATGCTGCTAGAAGTCCTTTTTTGTAGTCGTTCTGAGAATCGGTCATACCATGACATCCGCCAGGCATGCCAACATTCATAATAATATCAGTGACAAATGGCTGATGATTACAAAAGACAGGGCAAAAATGAGAAAATAGGACACTCTGCTGAATGATTTGCCCTGGATTCAAAAGGTGATGATTGTCTAAAGATGGCATGGACAAAGCTAATTCTTGTCAATTCTTCTTTGTTAATTATAAACAACAGCGCTCCTCCATAGTTGTGATTTAAAATAAGGCCACATACAGTCAACATCACTGTTTTATCAACAAGATACAGAAAGATATACTCAATCGACTGATTAGTCCATCGCAAGGCTTATCTAATTAACTTCTAGATTCCTCTAAAACTCTCTAAATGGATTGACATCCACACTCTCCTGAGGCTATTATTTAAAATGTGATTATAAATATGTCATTAGCATTCAGTTTTCTCCTCTTGCTCCACAAAAGCCTGTCATCGATAGGTCCGTGATTTGCACAGCAGCAAAAATTTTAGAAGATGGGCCATTGTGGAAATAGCATCTGATAAAAAGGTATCTTCCACATCCTGGACATCTGTCTGAAGCCTGGGATGTGATTGTCTCTCATCTCCAGCACAGGCAAAACAAGATAAAGGAAGGCAATGGGGAAGAGCAGGGACAAAAGTCAATGGCTAGCTTATCTCCTGCACTGGAGTGCTCTCTTATCAGCCTCAGGCATGTGGCCAGACAGACACTGGGTAAAGATATAAGCTGGGAGGGAGCCCATTTTAGCGGGATCAGGACTTGTGTATCTATTGTACATTCTCCAGCATTGTTTTATGTCCTTGTGGCCTCGTGTGGTACCCCTCTATCTCTGATGCTGACCCCCTCAGTTTACCCATCCACGAAGGGTGAGAAGGCTTTTTTGCTGCTGTGGCCACTGAGGTCTGGAGCAACCCTTCACTCCTCTCTGCCTCATTGACTCCCCATTTCATTATGCTCGCAGCTGAAATCACAGCCATTTCCTCCCTCCCGATGCTCCTTCATTTCTCTTTCCCTAACCCTTTTTTTTTCAAGTGAGGAAATTAATAAGGATTATAATTCATATTCATTTTCTGGATGAATGTGGTGTCTATGATTAGACAGTATTTAACTCTAGGGAAACTTGGGAATGAAAACCTGTGCATAAGATGGAGAGAGATTGTGAGGGGTGTGTTGTGCCTCTGGATATCAGAAGGCCAATTCACCCTGATGATAACTTTCCGTAAACAGTGAAAACAGGTTTGACGCTTTCATTGCTAGGTTTCCCTTCCTCCCTATATATATTTTGACCTTGCTCTGCCATTTCACCTGAATCTCTCCTGCCTCAAAAATTTCATTCCCTGATGATGATGTGAAAATAGGGAGGGAGATAGTTTGACAGGTCAGATCAACAGGCTCTCTCGATTTCTGGCAGAAATATTCCCCTAGTGACATTTGCTCCCATCCTGTGGCCCCTACAGGCTGCTTCCTAGGGCTGCCCAGCAAATCAAGGCAGGGCTCTCTCCAAGGAATTGTGAGACCTGCCCCCATAGGTCAGGTGTCCCTGCAGCCCTTGGCCTCCTGCTGCTGTCGCCACCCTGCCAGGCCCTGTGATGGGAGCAGAGCGCACTGCGTCAGCCATTGGGTGGCCACACAGCCTATGCAGCCAGGAAGGTGGCGAGCTTGAGATGTGAGAACTGGCTGCTCAGACTCAGGGATGCTCCCTGCAGACTAGCAAATGAGCCCGGAAGGATGCGCAGACTCTGCGAACAACCAGCCTCAGGCAACTCTGACCCTGTGCTCATGATCAGTTGGGAAGAGGCCAAAAGTCGGTCCAAACTGCTCTTTATGTCCTGGCAACACTCACACTAGGGCTGCCTCATCTACTGACGCTTAATTCCCTTTGTCTGATGGTTTGGTAAAAGATTCAGGACCACATTTAAGTCCTACTCTTCCCCAGCCAGCACCACCACCACTAGCACCAAATCTAATGATCTCTGCAAATGCAAATTATTCTGGAATTCTATCATTCTCTGCTCAGTTTTCCGTGTTCCAACATTTCTTTTTACAGAGGTAATTTTAACAATCCATGAAGACTTCATTTTCCCACTGCCCTTCACTCCTCTCTAAGCTTGGAGCCCAAGTGGAAATCAGGTTAAGGTCTCTCAGTAGAAACAAGATGATAATATGCATTTTATAAAATAATCTCTTGAGGAGTATTAAAATGTCTGGTAGTAGCAAGGATGGTAACTAATTTGACATACCCTAAATAGCATTAGATGACAAGTATGACAGTTATAGCACAGAAATCTATAAAGTTGCCAGCTGAATAGAGAAAATGACTGCTGTTAATTTTTTGAAATGCTATTTGAAGGAAAAGGCCAGCAGACTAAATATGTTATGAAAACTATTGAGAGATTGAATTGATATGCCTTGCTTAGAAATCCAACTTAATCCATCACATTTTTATCTGAACTTTAAATAAAATGCATTACAGTGACACCTAACAGTTTCATAAGCATTATGGCAAAATGTAAGTATTGAATTAGCCCATCTTTTCCTGGCACTAAATGCAACGTTGATAGACAGAACTATTACTTTCATTGACTTGCAGTTCCCATTATCTTAACTCTGTAGACTGCATTTCAGGCACCACTAGCTTTCAAGGATGAAGACACAAAACATTTCCATAGGTTCTTTTTGGTTTGGTAGCAATACAAACAATAGGTGGCAATTTACTATTAACGTATCTAAATATAAGGTATGGGGAATGGGTCAAAAAATGAATTAAAAGCATCACCCAGGATTGCACTATGAATGCAGGAAAAGCTGAGGAGGGGTAGGAAAATTTTTAATGCCTGGTATAAACATCACGTGGGTTCTTCATGAACGTTAATTGAGGATGATGTCTAATACACCTTCAAAACTCCTATTCCATAGCCTGACTTTGATAGAAATCTATGTCCCAAGGCTTTTTGTATGCCTACCTTTCTTCTCTGTTGGTACAAATAATGTGAACAAAAAGAAAAAAAGAACTAAACTTCTCACAGCAAACATTTTAAGAATGTTTGTTATTGATTAGCGTAATACTGCTAATTCATCAGCAAAATGTTTGCAATCTAAAAAGATGACGTTTCTATGGTGATGAATGTTCATGTCATATTTCACATTTTTTATTTGCTAGCAAATCTTTTAAAGGCTACACATCAACTTCGATCCACAAAGTCCTCCCCACCCCTGGAAATTCATTCATACTTATTTTTATTGCCGTAATGAAGTGTCAGCCATCGTGTATCAGGATGATTAGAGACAACGTAAAAAGCGAGGGTAATCAAGACCTGGGCAGATGAATGGCTGACTTTGTGTAGATAACATGAAAGCTCGGAATGCACCCAAATAAATGTTATAAATGAAGCTGTAATATGGATGGAATATAAAGACTCCTGTGAAAAGCCAAGAGACCACAAAAGTACATTTAAAAAAATTTCCCCCTAAGGATATCTGATTTGCCCCTCCCCCCCTTTTTCTTTATCTCACATATACAGTGGCTGGGAGGAACACACATCCTTATATAACATGGCTGAATTGCTAAGCTAGTCTGTATCATGCCTGCTTGTGTGTTGTGCACATTTCCTTAAAAATAAGTGAAAATCTGAATTCAAATCTGAAAGGTTGGCCATTTGACACAATGTGAAAACATCCCTCCCACTCAATGATTAATAGGGTGGTGAGTCCTGTTTCTGATCAGTTTTATGCCAAAGAAAATACCAGCACAGCACTGGTATTCGGGCTTTTGTTTGGATCACGCATTTTTCGAGCTTTTATTTCCATATTCTCTTTCTCCACTTTGAGTTCTTTCTGCTGGTCTCTGCTGATGAATATTTGCTTCTATACCAGTGGTATAACCTCCGTGTCCAAATACATGCAACGTAAAATCTGATGATTTACACTTAAATCATGTTTCTGACATTATCAACTTCAGAAGCATGAACAATAGCAGTGGAAGGTGCTTTGGATTAGAATCATTCTAATAATGACTATTTTTTACATGATGAAAATAACTTTGCAATTTTGAAAATATCAGTAACTCCATCAAACAAAACATTTTATAGAAAAAAATAAAATAAAAATTGTAAACGAAAAAAGAGCTTTATTATTTTCGATGAGACAATACCTGTTTTAATTGCATATTTTAGAGTTGTTTGGCAATGCATCAAAATTTCCTCCAAATTTTGTGGTTGGTCTGCCAATTCCCAATTATATTCTTGGAGAAGCTCATTAGGATAATGGAAATCAATCACTTTGGTTGATCTATCGAAACTTTTCACCACATACTGAAGTAAAATGTTCATAACATCTTGCAGAAACGCCAAAGTGGGCCTTTCTCCATCACACGCCGGCAGCAGGTCTAAAGAATGAAATTAAAATGCCACATTTTAATTTTACTTTGAAAATATTCAAGGCAAGATCTTGATGAGGCAATAACATTTCTTTGAATTGAGAGATTTCATGTTAGATAAAGCTTTTGGAAAGGCAGAACATTTTTCTTTAAAAGGGAGACATTTTTCAAAGGTGAAGGGAATGAATGAGATAAATTATGATTTCTTCTCTTCCCCAAATTAATTACTGCATTTCAATTCATAACTTATATTGTTTGCCTTCTTTTTTTGAAGAGCGTGTACCTCCGTTTATCTAGTTCACAGGAGTTCGTCTTAAACGTGTTTCTCAGTAAACCATCTTACATGTTTACATAAATATTTCACGTCAGAAGTGTTTGTCTCGAATGCCTTCGGGCAAACCAAAGTGGAACAGGTGCATTAGGATCTCTGGTCTGATAGGAAGGCCCGCTGTTTCTAAAGTCAGTGTGTGTGTGTGTGTGTGTGTGTGTGTGTGTGTGTGAGAGAGAGAGAGAGAGCGTATGCATGTGTGTCTGCATGTGTGTGTGCGCGCGTACATTTGGGAGACGGTGTGTAAGTGCACGGGGGTAAAACTCGGCGCGCGGGTTTCATGTGAATGGAATCGTTCTCTTGTGCAATTGCAGCTACAAATCACTCTCGTGATCTAAAGACCTAAAAAAAATGCAATTCTGAATTCTCGGGCACGGTATTTGGAAACTGAGTCCCACCCGAGGCCCCAGCGGCCTAGGGAAGCCAGCCGTCATCGATTCAGTGAGCGCACGAGCGCCTGGATCGTCGGCCACCCGCCATCCCAAGGGCCGCGCTGGGGGAAGAGCGCCACGGCCTCAGAGCCCTCTTGGAGCTCCGAGGCCAGGTTCGGGGGCTTGGACCCAGCGGGCAGGTCCCGCATTTCTCGCTTTTATCTGAAGATTCTGGCAGGTCCCGCCTCCGCTGCCACCTCGACGCCCCTGTCCGGCTCTCAGCGCCGGACCCGCACCGGCCGCGGTGGGCGGGGCAGAGAGAGGGGCAGGGGCGCCCCGGGGCTCCCCGCTGAGTCTTTACCTGTTGCATGGAGAAACGCGTAGTTGACATCCACTTTGGAGCAGCTGCAGGGCTTCTGGTCGCAGGCGCAGGCGGCCTTCCGGGCGGCGGCCCGCGGGGGTTGGCTCCCGCCGCTCTCCGCCGGCTTCTCGGCGTCTCCGTAGAGCAGGGCTGGGTAAGGACACCGAACGCGGGCCTCGTCAATCCTCCGCCGGGCCCGGCTCCCTCGCTCCCGCCTACCCGCAGCCAGGAAACCCCGACTCCGCTGACTGGGATGCGGAGGTGAGAAGACTGCTTGGACCCCGCGGGCCGACCTTGGCCGCCCCGGTCCCTGGGCACTCACCGCACAGTTTGTTTCCGATGCCGCCCGTGAACTTCTGAGCCACTTGGCACCAGGCTCGCGCTGCAAGGAAGAATAGGCAGGCAGACAGCGAGGCAGAAAGAGAACAACAGACGGACGTGTGAAATTTCGTTCTATGTGAAAATCAATCAGTCCGGGGTCCTAGGAGGGGCCGCCTTCCTCCTGGGGGCCGCTCAGGACTCGGTGAGGCCGGCAGGTGCAGAAGGCAAGCGGGAGGCTGGCGGCCCGGGCCAGCCCTCATTTCCTTTATCTGTTTCCCGAGGAGAAGCCCACACCGCTGCCCTTCCAGGTGCCAATCGGCTCAGGCAAATTCCTCTCCCTGCCTACCTTGGACGAGTTTTCCTAAACACTGAAGCTATCCATTTTTTCGCAGACTGTCTTTCTAGATAAAGAAATCTCTCACCTTTCCCATTTTTTTTTTCTATCTTCACGGTCACTCCGTCCCACCCCAGGGTCCAGACACCCGGATCTTAGCAGCGCCCCAGGACCACGGAATTCCATGTCCCCGAGACACCGCGGTCTTTGGGGGGCTCTTCCAACCTTCTGTGGAACGGGCCTGAGACTATTTGGGCGTCTTCCCAGGGTACAAGAGGCTGTAGAGGTCTTGAGCTCTTGGGCCGTCAAGGACTTAGCCCAAAAGCAGGGAGAAGCGCCCGAAGAAGTTTCCTGTTGCAGGTGGAAAAACCTCCTTCGTCTTCTCCGTAGTTCCGCAAACCCCAGACCACCGCAAAACTCGCCCGCCGCAGGCCCCCGTTCTCCTTCCTACCTGTGCCGGGATTCTCGGAATCCCCAGAGCCATCTTCCGACCCGAAAGACCAAAAGCCAGAGCCCGGAGATGCCATCGGCTTTGGAGACTGGAGCAGGTCGCCTGCGAGTGCGAGCTGCGGGCGAGCTGCCTCGGGCTTGGCCCTGCGCGCGCGTGCGTGCCCGTGTGGCGGGAGGAGGGCACCGCGCGGGGACCGGCGGGGCCGAGCGGCGAGGGCGGGTGTCACGCAGGAACAGAAAACGTGCGTGTCTGTGCGTGTGTGTATGCGAGCTGGAGACAGGGTTTAGGGACGTGGCAACCCTTTGGAAGCCGGGGAGCTTTAAAAGAGACCGGGACTACCTAAGGGTCCTCGGAGCCCGGACTCAGGAAAGCGCGGAGAGCCCCAGAGCATTTGAGGGAAAGGGAGCCCAGTGGGGATGAATGAGGGGGCGGCGGAGGAAAAAAACACGAGAGAGGGAGGGAGCTGAGTCGTGAGGATGCGAGGCAGACCATGCACGCCAGCTGGAGTCAGAGTGAGGGGGTGGGAGGCGTGCCAGCGCGTCCTCGGGCGAGCCAGAGGCGGGAAGTGCGGGCGGCCGCTGTCCCGGGTGCTGCCACAGCCGCTGCGCGCCAGCGTCAGCGAGGGGCAGACTGGGGAGACCTCGGCGAGGCGGGAAGCGTGGCCCAGAGGAGTTTTCTGTGTGCATCGATTGGGGTTTTGTTTGAGGTCTGGCTCCAGCTGAGGGGAAGGAAGCGGGGTTCCCGCGCCGTTTTCCTCCAAGCAGGTGCTGAGGTCACTGCGACCTCGAGAGCTCGCGCCCCGGGCGGGCATCAGGCGCCGTTCACGAGCCTGGGGAGGGGACGGCGGGGGAAGGGCTCCTACCCGCTGATGGGCTCATTTCAGCGCCTTGGTAGAACCTGACGCCTGCCTGCTGAACCGCGCCGTACCCGGGGGCGCACCGTTCCTGCGTAGCCAAGGGCTAGATCGCGGGACCCACCGTCCAGGCTCTGAGTGACGGCTGGGGAGAATGACTGCTGATTGAGGCAATTAAAATCCACGCTGGAGTCTACTGAGGACCTCGGGCTGGGGAAAAAAAAATAAAACGAATGGAAACTTCTTGGAAGAGAATGAGGCAGAGCGGCCAGAGTCGGCAGGATTGATGGCGGGTGGGGGATGGAATCAGGGCATTTGGTGACCTTGGCCCGCGGAGGCGTGGAAGCGCCCGCTGCTTGCGTGTAAGGGGGATCTGTGTGCGCCTGGGAGGGGAGAACAGGGTTTCCAACTAAGCAATCTCGGCTTTACAAATCCGAGTAGGAAAGAAGGCATCGCCTGCAGGGCCCTCGTTTTAAGGGGCTTCAAACCAATGCCCCCCCTCGCCCCCAGAGAATCTTCGCGGTAGCGGGTGACCCGGAAGCGCGAGATTGGTTCTCTCTGAGGCGTATTAGGAGGCGGTTTCTCTTTTTCTAATAAAGAAAGGAGGAGAAAGTCAGAATCGTTCTGATGATTTCCTTTCTACAAAAAGCTATTGCAGACAGGGAGGACGCCCTAAGGATTGGGAGCCCTTTGACAGTTTGCGCTGCGTTCTCCTGGCAGTGGAGATGAACTTCAAGTGCACCTCGGAGCTCCGGGGCTCTGGGGGAGACGGAGGGAGGGAGAGAGAGGAAAGGGCTGAGGTCGGCTTCCCGAGGCGGCTGCCTTCCCCGCGCCTGGCCAGAGCGCCTGTCATTTCCATTGTGTTCACAAGTCGTTTTATTTCTCTGACCTCCTGAACCAGCCACCAAAGCTGCTAACAAAGCAGAGACCCGGGGATCCCGTCTGGGCGAGCACCCCTCGACCCTCGCTTAGAAGGGACATCCTGGGGCCCATGCTGGACGCATACAGGCCCAAGTCCTGTGTGCTCGAGCATAACTGTCCCTGGTCAATTCTCTCCACAAAGCGCTGTCTTCTTCTCGCGTGCCTGAGTCCAGGGGTTCCCTGAGGAGTCATGGGATCCACACTATGGCAACTGGGCCCAGGCGCCAGGATGAGAGCAGGAAACCAGTCGGGCGTTGATAGCGTCCTGCCGAAGGCTGGCACTGAGCGTGCTAGGTGAAGTCTGTTCCAGGCTGTGGGAGCCCGGGTGGTCGAAAACTCAGGGCTCAGTTTGGCTCCTCTTTCTTGCTCTCCTGGCTCTGACACTCTAGGTCACCACAATAACAACTCCGGAAACCTAAAGACTTGTGGTTCAGCCATCTGCACTTCAGGCATGGCAGCTCCGCAGCTCTCTCCAGCCTCGCAGAGGCTGGTTCTTTGTTGAAATCCATATCAAATCCTGCAAAGGTTTTCCTTCAAGCCAGCAGTCTAGGGTTGCAGAACTTTTCTACTATGGATGAGTGGTTGAAAACATAAAGGTTCTTAAAAGCAAGCGTTTAAATCACACAAAACCCCCAAAGAAGAAACGGATTAAAACACCTGAATTTAACTGATTTTTTTTTCTTTTTGGTAAAGCAATGGCTTCAAGTGCTACCGTTTAAACTCCATTAAATCCCACAGCTCTGGAGTACTTTGGATCTAATGGTGATATTTACATTTTTTATTTAAACACACCCTACTTCAGATGCAGATGGAGATCTGATTTGTCTTTCCTGAAGGCTGTCCCTCCCTAGACGGTAATTTGCTTTGTAATGACTTTCATTTCACTAAAGAGCCCATTCCCCCTCTCCGGGGCTTGGGGTTGGAGATAACAAAAGAGCTCTGGGAGGTAATAATTACAGTCATTAGTTCACAAAGGAGGCAGCCAGTGAATGGGAAGGGAAGGCGGCCGCTTTGGAAGGCCCTTCCTCAGATGAGGGGCGAGAGACCCAATCCTCCGACTTGTAGGGACAGTTTCCTTAGGTGTCTGGTTTACCAACATATGGGTCTCAGGCTGACCCAAAGAAGAGTGTCTGGCACACATTTTCCTGTGTCCTTCCCGTGCTTAAATGTCAAAGGACAGAGAAAGAAGGGAAGATGGAAAGAAAAAGAGGAAACAACCACGGAAGAACACAAAAATATTGCAACCAAGCATTCACCAAGCCTTTGCCATTCTCTTTTCTATTCTCACTTAAAACATTGGTGCAGGAAAAATTTAGGGAGGGAGTCTGTTGCCTCCCTCCATAAATTCTCCCTACACCAACAGAAATAACAGAAGGGGCTGAGTGCCAGGGCTCTTGTCTTCAGGGGCCACCCAAGAAGGACGCCTAGATTGAAGGGTGGCCAGGCAGAAAAGCTGAGCTTAGCTTACTGCTCCTTACCCCTGGCCCCTGCTCCGCCCTCCCCACAAACCCAGGCCTTCTGGAGGCAAGTGGACAGGCAGCTAGAGGTGGAAGGGGGCCAGGCCACTTTGGGCTTTAGACACCCCTGCCCCTCCCAAGCCCCTCTCTCTGGTGACCTGCTGTGCTGGTTTCCTGGGTACTGGGCCATACTCAGCTCCTCAGTGCATTCGCACAGCTGAGGGTTACTCCTTACTTTCAGTCGCAACCCCAGCAAGACTGTGCCGCTAACCCAGGGAAAAAGAAGGCCTGGAGGGCACTTGGACTCTGCCATGCCATAGCTGCAGGTTTTCCCTTGGCCACATTGCATCTGTAAAATGAAGAGATTACACGAGTTGGCTCTGGGGACCTTTTGGTGCCAACTCTTTGAGTTGGCGAGATTACTATGCCCTGTGGACCAGCGGCGCAACAAACGCTCTGAGCCCTCTGCACATGCCCTCACTCACTCCTCGAATATTTCCCCAGAGTCTTTTGACTCCGGCTTGTGGGTGCAGGAGCCAAGGGCACCCACACAAGGGGTGAGCCCCATCGTGATCAGAACCCTTCTTCCAATTCCATGCAACGACCTCATCACCTGTCCTCACCCTCTCCAGGTTGCTTAGATGGGAATGTCAGTTTCATAAAACAGCTTAAACCGGGTTTTAGAATAAGGTGCAGTCAACCCAGGAATGCAAACTTCTGTCCACCCACTAGCCTCCCCCATTTTAAATACACACAAAGTCGGAGTAGCAAAGATGGCCCCAAATCTGCAGACCGGGAGAACCTGAAATCTGACAGTTCCACCCAGTGGGGGCACTAGCATCTTTATAGATGGGGCCAAAGACAGTCACGCAGATTGGGAAGGCATCGTGCAGGCGAGCACGTGTGGTGTGTTGGGGATTTAGACATTGGAGGCCTCTGCGTTTGTGTGGCAAGGGGTTTTAGCTTAGATTGTGTTTGTCTGAAGTGGCTGGGTGGTGCTGGGAGTTCGCTGATGAAGGCACCTCAACGCCCCTCCTTGGGCCCGTCACCAGCACAGCCTTATAGCAGAAGCCCCTCAGAAGCCCTAGAGGGGAAAATGAGGGATCAGTCACGCAAACCACGGGTTTTCCAAGGCACTTCCTTTATTTAGTGACCTTAATAACCAAAGGAAGAGAAAGAGCAAGCTTGAGATGAAATACATCTTCGAAATTCTCCCCACCCCTCCCGGGCTTTTTTCTCTAAGATTCAACCGCTAGCAAGTGTTCTGTTGGCCAAGAAAAGCCGTTTCCAATAAAAAAAAAAATCTGTGAATTCAGTCACCCCAAATGAGAGAGGGGTTGGCGAGATCCCAGGCGCAGTGGAGTCCACAGGAGTCACAAAAAAAAAGAACAAAGTGATAGATTAGGGGAACAAGGACAGGGTTGCCACAACTGGCGGGCTGGTGAGAAAGGAGGGTGCGGGAGTTCCGAGAGAGAGCGTCGGGGGAGGTTTCCCGAGGGCTCCCAGGTCTCTTGTTTCGGAGCACGAAGGCCGGCCCGGGCACTTGAGGGCCGAGCGCAGCAGGCAGCCTCTGCGGAGATCAGGGCCGCAGCTTCAGTGCCTGCTGGTGCCAGCCCCAGAGTGCCTGCTTGGCCCCTGCTGCCCCGCAGGCTCCAGCGCCTTCCGACGGCGGTGACTGCCTCGTTGAACGGTTAGGACTGCTGGACGAGGCGCCGGCGCTGGGAGGTTTTGCGCAGGAGCCTCCTGAAGTCGTAGGGGTTGGCTGCTGGCTCTCTCTCCTCCTCCTTCTCGGGGCTCTCCGCCGCCCAGCACCTGCAAGTGAAACCCAGGGCCCAAGTGTCAACCTCACCACAGTGAGCAGCGCGTCCCCACCTACCCCGAGTTAGGCGGGTCCTCTTCCTCCCACGTTCTGCCAACCGCGGACATTTAGGAAAGGCACAATCGAAACGACTGGATAATGGCCAAACGTATCTGCGATAATTCTCAACAGGTTTTAAAAACTCCTCTAAGCTGAGGAGCAGAGGGGCTGGTGGAGCCTGGTAATGGTGTTTAGATACGTGCTAACTAAAGCTTCAGAAGGTGCAGTTTGGAAAGGTGAGTTTGGATTGCAATAATTCACAACCAATAAACAAATATTTATTTTAATACCTTAATTTTAACACACTTTGGTCAAACAAAAAACTCAAAGTGCCCAAATAGACACTCAATATTTTGCATTTTAAAACTGCTCAGATGTTTCTTTAAAAAATGCTCACTCAAAATCTGACCAACTGCTCTGTTAGTGACACCAAGAGCTATGGGCCTTGTTGGCTTTTTCAGTGTTTCAATGTTTTCAATGAGGCTGCTGGGCTAAGTTTCTGAATCCATTGCTGAGAACCCCTGCCAATGTTTACCTTCAGATTCTGCAGCTTGTCTGGAAAGTGGGGTATTCCCTAAAAATGCAGCTACATAGATTCATTCACTCCCCATTGATTCATTCATTCATTCACTGAGCACCTGCTAAGTACCAGCCACCAGTGTAGGTGACAGGTGAGCAGAAGTCCTTGCTGTCATGGAGTTTATAGTCTAGTGCAGGAGACCCACAGACAACTTGAAAACACCAGGGGGTGAGAGGCTACACAGAAAAGTAAAGCTGGGTAATGGGGAAAGAGTGGTGTGTGTGTGTGTGTGTGCATGTGTGTACAGGCAATTTGATACAGGGTGGTTGGAAAGGCCTCTCTGACAAGGTGATATATAAGGAGAGACCTGAAGGAAGACAGTGAGCCATGCAGATCTCGTGGGGAAGGGCAGTAATTCCAGGATGATAGATCAAGCAATGTAAAGGCTGCAAGACTAGAGTGTACACATCGTGTTCAAGGAACAGCAAGGAGACCACTGTGGCTTGAAAAGAGTAAGCGAGAGGGGGAAATAGCAAGAGATGAGAGAAGGAGGAATGAGGATAGAGTGTTCGGATAATTTAGTGTTCAGATAATTTGAGACCATGTCAAGGACTTGACTTCTCCTCACAGTGAGAGAAACATTGAAGGGTTCTGTGCAGAGGAATCACTCATAACAGGATCTGTCTGCCAGGATGAAAGTAGGAAGGCCTGTTAAGAGATTCTGTAGTAATCCAAGCAAGACCGATAGTGGCTTACACTAGGCCTGTGGAGGAGGAGGTGAGAACTGGCCAGATTATGGTCATACTTGGAAGTAGAACTGAAAGGGTTGGCTCACTGATGGATTAAACGTGGGGTGTGAAAGAGAAGAACCAAGAATGTCGCCAAGGCTTTTGGCTTAAAAACTGGAAGGATGGAACTGTCATTTAATGAGATGGGGAAGGCTGCAGAGAAGCATAATTTTTGCAGTGGGATAAACATTTTAGTTTTGGTTATGCTAAGTTTGAGATATTTATTAGATATTCAAGAAGATATCAAATATATAAGTCATGGCAAGGCTAGATATTTCAGTTCACAAATTTTAAGTACAAAGACAATTCCTTCCCTCCCTCCCTTCCTTCCTTCCTTTCTTCCTTCCTTCCTTCCCTCCCTCCCTCCCTCCCTTCTCTCTCTCTTTTCGCTCTTTCTCACTCTGTCACCCAGGCTAAAGTGCAGTGGTACAATAACAGCCTCACTGCAGCCTCAACCTCCAAAGCTCAACTGATCCTCCAGCCTCAGCTTCCTGAGTAGCTGGGACTACAGGCATGAGCCACTACGCCTGGCTCCTTTTTTTATTTTTATGTTTTTGTAAAGACAGGATCCCACTAATGTTACCCCGGCTGGTCTTGAACTCCTGAGCTCAAGTGATCCTCCTGCCTTAGCCTTCCAAAGTGCTGGGATTACAGGCATGACCCACAGTGCCAGGCCAGGAATTTTAAGTACTCAGACAATATTTAAGGTCATGAGAGTGCATGTTGATAAAGCAAAGGTCTGGGACACTCCATTACTGAGAGATCAGTGAAATGAGAAAAGTCAGCAGGGAGAATGAGAAAGAGCAGCCAGTAAAGTAAGAGGCAAACCAAGAGAAGTGCTGTCCTGAAGGCCAGTGAATGAAGTACTTAAAGAAAAAATGAGTAACATAGGTGTTAAATCACAGAGCATGGCAAAACGGAGGTCACTGT
The DNA here is from genome assembly GCF_000001405.40 of Homo sapiens. Lineage (NCBI taxonomy): Eukaryota > Metazoa > Chordata > Mammalia > Primates > Hominidae > Homo > Homo sapiens. The sequence continues at coordinate 26,209,558 of NC_000010.11, read as the reverse complement.
TAACCTTGGCAGAGGCAATTTCAGTGTCGTGCTGGGAGAGGAAACCTGACCTTGAAGCGGCTCAAGAGAATAGGAAGAAAGAATGTGCAGGAGGTAGTATCATTACTCTTTCATGTATTATTCATTTACTATACTGAAGAGCAGAAAAAATGGGTGGTTGTAGGGGGGGATTGGGTCAAGGATGTTTTTTAAGATGGATCTGAATGCATCATGTTCACTAATTGCCAGAAATGATTTCGTAAAGAGAACAAACATTCAAGGTGCAGAAGAGTGAGGGGACAATTGCAGGACAATGTCCTTGAGTCAATGATAGCACTTGGATTTAGTGCACAAAGGGAAGGTTTCACTTTAGCTAGGAGGGTGGAAAGGTCATCCATAGAATCCTGAGGGAAGTAGATAGGTAAGTGGTAGGACGACTGATATATTCAGCATGTGTCTGTTATCTGCTACTGTTATAAAAGAAGGTTGTCAGCTGAGAGCCAGGAAGTTTGGAGGGTTTGAGGAGAGAGGAGGAAGTTTGAAAGAGTGGACAGGGAAAGTGGCATAAGGAATTTTTAGGGAAATGTAATATTGCAAAGTAACTAAGGGGCTGCCTAAGGAGTGGCCATAATTTTAAGTGGGATTAAATTGTTTTGATTTTACTCAGCATTGGAGTTTGCCAGTTGAATATAATTGAAGGAGAGAGGGCAAGGCCATTGGACATATATGCAAATGAATGAAAATAATGGTGAAAGGAGAGGTCTAGAACGTAGCCTGCAGATGGAATATGCCTCTATTCTGGTCTGTTCTGAATAGGGAATTAAAAGGAAAAGAAAAAGAAAAAAACCTTTGGCAAGGTCTTTCAGGGCATCCTGAGCTCAGTGGATACTTGACGGGGAAGGTCAAGTAGCATCATGATGGGTATTGAAGGAGCAGATCATCCTCTTCTGAGTTACTGACTTGAATTTTCATACCTATTCAGCTTATTTCTGTTTTAAGAATATTAAATATCAACTATCTGCCAGGTATATCACAAACATTATTTCTAATTCTAAGGACAACACTGCAAAGCCTTAGATTCTTGTTATTTTCAATTTGCAGATGAGAAAACAGACTGATCCTAGTTGCCATGGCTAGTAAGAAGTGGAGTGCAGATTCAAACCCAGGTCTATAGGGCTCAAATCTTAGGCTTTCCTCCTTGTATCCTTTTGCCTCTTTTTTTGTTGATGCTTCTTTCACAATTCTCCTGTCTCTTAACTGAGGCACTTGTGTTCCATCTTATTTTCCCCTTTTTATCCTCCATTGATCATCTTGCCATAATTAAAACCTGCTTATGCCCTAAACACCCCACATCTCTCACCACCGCCCAACAGAGACCCCACTAGGTCCCATCTTCAGAGGAGACAAGCAGATGTCAGCCTCTTGTTGTCCTCTTTTCCTCTAGTGCCATTCTCTAATCACTGATTGCCTGTCACCAGCTTTCATTCATTTAAAGTCCATGAGAACAATGAACTATCAAAAAAAAAATCAAGAAAACAATCTCACTTACAGTAGCTACAAAAAATACTTAGGAATAAATTTAATCAAGGAGGTAAAAGATCTATACATTGAAAAGTATAAAGCATTGATGAACAAAATTGCAGATGACACAAATAAATGGAAAGATATTCCGTGTTCATGGATCAGAATAATTAATATTGGTAAAATGCTCATACTACCCACAGCAATCTACAGATTCAATGGAATCTCTATCAAAATTCCAATGACATCTTCACAAATATAGGAAAAAAATCCTAAAATTTGTATAGAACCACAGAAGACCCTTTGGTAGTCAAAGCTATCTTGAGCAAAAAGAAGAAAGCAGGGAGACATCACACTATCTGATTTCAAACTATATTAAAAAGCTATTGTAAGTAAAACAGCATGGTACTGGCATAAGAACAGATGCATAGACCAACAGAATAGAGAGCCCAGAAATAAATCCAACATTTACAGTCATTTGATTTTCAACAAAGATGCCAAAAACACACAATGGGGAAAGGACAGTCTCTTCAATAAGTGGTGCTGCAAAAACCACATGTCCACATGCAGAAGAATGAAATTAGATTGTTATCTCACTTACAAATAGCAATCTCACATACAAAAATCAATTCCAAATGGATTAGAGACTTAAACATTAGACATGAAACTGCAAAACTAGAAGAAAATACAGGGGCTAGCTCATGTGATGCTGCCTAAAAAGAGAAAAGAAAAGAAAGAAATTATAAGGGAAAACCTCCATGACATTGGTCTGGGCAATGATTGTGATCTCAAAAGCACTGGCAACAAAAGCAAAAAAATAGACAAATGGGATTACATCAAACTAAAAAGCTTCTGCACAGCAGAGGAAGCATTCAACAGAATGAAGAAACAATCATTTAAATGGGAGAAAATATTTGCAAACTATGCATCTAGTAAGTGGTTAATATCCAAAATATATAAGGAAACTGATACAACTTAGAAAAAAAAAACCCAAACAGAAAACAACCCTCCAATAACCCAATTAAACAATGGGCAAAAGACCCAAATAAACATTTCTCAAAAGAAGACTGAGAAATGGTCAACACGTATATGAAAAAATGTTCAATATCACTAATCATTGGGGAAATGCAAATTACAAACACAATGAGATCTCACACCTGTTAGGATGGCTACTATAAAAAACATGAAAGGTTACAAATGTTCGCAAAGGTGGGGAGAAAAGGGAAACTCTTGCACATCATTGGTGGGAATGTGAATTAGTACAACCATTACAGAAAACAGTATGGCAGTTCCTTAAAAAATTAAAATCAGGCTGGGCGCGGTGGCTCACGCCTGTAATCCCAGCACTTTGGGAGGCCGAGGTGGGCAGATCACCTGAGGTCAGGAGTTTGAGACCAGCCTGGCCAACATGGTGAAACCCCATCTCTACTAAAATTACAAAAATTAGATGGGTATGGTGGCAGGCACCTGTAATCCCAGGTATTTGGGAGGCTGAGGCAGGAGAATCACTTGAACCTGGGAGGTGGAGGTTGCAGTGAGCTAAGATCGTGCCATTGAACTCCAGCCTGGGTGACAGAGTGAGACTATGTCTCAAAAATAAATAAACAAATAAATAATATAATAAAATAAAATAAATATGATCCTACTTCTGGGCATATATCCAAAGGTAATGAAATCAGTATGTAAAAAAGATACCTGGGCTGGGCGCTGTGGCTCACGCCTGTAATCTTAGCACTGTGGGAGGCCGAGGCGGATGGATCACTTGAGGCCAGAAGTTCAAGACCAGCCTGGCCAACATGGTGAAACCCCGTCTCTACCAAAAATATAAAAATTAGCCGGGCAGAGTGGCATGCACCTGTAATCCCAGTTACTCTGGAGGCTGAGGCAGGAGACTCGCTTGAACCTGGGAGGCAGAGGTTGCAGTGAGCTGAGATCATGCCACTGAACTCCAGCTTAGATGACAGAGCGAGACTCACTCAAAAAAAAAAAAAAATCTGCACTCAGATGTTCATTGCAGCATTATTCACAAGAGCCAATATATGGAATCAACTTAAGAGTCCATCAATGGATGAATGGATAATGAACATGTGGTATATGTACACAATGGAATACCCTTCTGCCTTAAAAAAGAAAGAAATCCGGCTGGGCACGGTGGCTCACGCCTGTAATCCCAGCATTTTGGGAGGCCGAGGAGGGCAAATCACAAGGTCAGAAGATCGAGACCATCCTGGCTAACACAGTGAAACCCTGTCTCTACTAAAAATACAAAAAAATATTAGCCGGGAGTGATGGCGGGTGCCTGTAGTCCCAGCTACTTGGGAGGCTGAGGCAGGAGAATGGCATGAACCCAGGAGGCGGAGCTTGCAGTGAGCCGAGATCGTGCCACTGCATTCCAGCCTGGGCGACAGAGCCAGACTCTGTCTCAAAAAAAAAAAAAAAAAAAAAAAAAAGAAAAGAAAAGAAATCCTGCCATTTTTAACAACACGAGTGAACCTGGAGGACAGAATGCTAAGTGAAAGAAGTCAGGTGCAGAAAGACAAATATAGCATGATCTCACTTATACATGGAAGCCCCCCCCCAAAAAAAAAAAAAAAAGACAAGCACACAGAGCAGTGAGTAGAATAGTAGTTACCAGGGCACTGGTCACGGGACTGGGGAGAGAGATCAGTCAAAGGATACAAAATGTCAGTTAGGCAGGAGGAATAAATTCAAGAGATTTATTGTACAACATGGTGACTATAGTTAATAGAAATGTATTGTGTACTTGAAAACTGCTGAGGGTAGATTTTAAGTGCTTTCACCATAAAAAAGATAGCTAAGTGAGGTAATTCATATGTTAATTAGCATGATCAAGCCATTCCACAATGTACATGTATCTTAAAACATCATGTTCTATACCACAAGTTTATACACGTTTTGTCAATTAAAAAAATCACAAGGCACTCAGTTCACCATCGCTGTTGTCTCTTACTCCCAGACTTACACCCTCTCGCGCAATGCCAATACTTGGTGTGTGTATATACACAAAAAGATATTCTTTGTGCACTAACATCTTCTGACATGTAGCTTAGTCTCAAATTTCTCCAATTGTTTCAATAGCACTATTTCGCTGTTTGGTTTTTGTTTTCTATTTTAAATTCAGGATACTGTCAAGGCTGTTTTGTCTCTGTAACCTTCCTTAGTTTAGAAAAAAAAACCTTATCTGAGTTACCTTGTTCAGCTTTGTTATATGGGTATACTTTTCCTTCAGCATCAAGCTCTTGGAGGTAAGGATCACATCTTATGCACTATTCTATCCACCCCTTCTTCAAATGCCCAGCATGATCTTTTGCATAGGATGGAAATACTGAGTAATGGTTAAGGCCATCAACTCTAAACTTAGAAATTCTGGCTCCATGAACTTATCATCTAGGTGACTCTTTGCAGTCACTAAACTTTGTAGATTTAGCCTCCTCATCTATAAAATGGGGCAATAATAGTAACTGCCTCGTGCGGTTGCTGTGAGGATTAAATGAGACAATGGCATAGTGCCTAGCACAATGTAGGCAGTCAACAATACTAGCTGCTAGCATTTATTGCAGTGGATACTAAATAACACCCATAGACATCACTTAATCTACATCAGGAGTATTTCAGGAATAGAACGCTTTCATAGCAGATGTGTATCTGCCAGTGGGGGGAAGGGGAAGGATACATTGGAGAAGGGGCAGGGTGAGCTTTTAAAATGGGAAGCAGGTAAGTCAGTGAAAAGCAAATGGGCAGGGAGTGAACATCTGGGATTTTAGTTCACTAACTCAGTGTGTGATCTTGGGCAAATCACTTAATCTTTCTGGCATTTGGTGTTCTTCTGTACAGAGCTCTGAGATTAGACTAGAACATCTCTAAGCTCCAACATGTTACAGTGCTGGATCCCAAGATGGAAGAGCACATCTTCTTTTGGAGGCAAAGGGCAAATATCATAGTTTAGATGGATTCTGAAAAAGCAAATAAAGATGATAATAGCCACCACTGATAGAACACCTTTCCTATGCCTCTCCTAAGTACCCTATTGCTACATTTAGTCTCTACAACAACATGGTGAGGCAGTTATTAGTAAATTCTTTTGCAGATATGGAAATGAAGCTTAAAGAGGTCAACTATCATGAGCAAGGTCACTCAACAACTAAGCAGCAGGATCAGGATCCAAACCTAAGACCATGTGACTCTAAAACTTCTTTTCTTAACCACCATGTCACTCTGTAAAATGGGTGAGGGTTCTGAGGACCCTAGATTCACAGGATATTCGTTTAGAATTTTGGATGAACAGCTTTTTGTTTTCCATCATTACTCCCATTTTTCATATGTCATGTTTGTTTTATTATGTACCCAGATCTCAAAATGCCACAGATATTTTGGGAGAAAAGAGAAAAAATTCCTAAAGTATGAAATAAGCTACAAAATAATTTACTTAATGTCAGAAAGTTGGTGGCAAGGTGAGAATTCAAGTCCAAAATATGCATTTTTCTATGAATCTTTCTCTCAAATGTTTTTGGGTCTGACATCATTGATTCTGAGAAATTAACAAGCATAATTAAGAAACCAATGAGTAATTAAAATTACTTTGATTGAGCTTGAATATAGATTTTGGATATGATATATTGCTTACAATCAGATGACCATATAATAATTTATCATCCAAACTGAAGTACTTTTATTAAATAACAGGAGTTTTTGTTAATAATTACTCCAAGAAAACAGATAAAAACTCAGTTTTTGCTAGGAAAACTGAGGTATCTGATTACTTTACCATAACACTGTACATGACATTACTTTTAAACACCATATCACTCCAAAGATGCAATATTCAGTAAGAGTGCTTTGTCATTCATCTATATATAAAGTGAAATATCTTAAGAAATGAAATTGTGAGTATAAAACTGCAAATGATGTACTTTAAAGTTTAGCTTTTTACCTTTCATTAGCCTTAATACATTGATTCTGGAGTTCTTGCTGTGGTCTTCGTTCTCTTAAACTAGGGCTATGTTCCTTTGGTCCAGAACGACTGGGCAAAAATTCCTTATAATAGAAATCTTCCAAATCTAATAATTTTCCCTGACTGTAAATGAACACATAAACACACCATTGCATCAATCTAATTTTCTACTCACTTAAACTTACAGGATACTTTTTTTTCTTTAAAAGTATTTACTATAATTTAGAGTAACATACACATGTCAATAGAAATGGAAGGTCTTGAAATGTGGGAAAAACAGTGTATCCCATAAGTAAAAAAGAAAAACCTTCATATCTTACCTTGAACAGAACATTAGCTGTGGGAACACATTTTCCTGGTTCTATTGCACTGAACTTGGCACCAAACTAGTGGTTACTAGAATAGCCAGTGATTGCAGTGTTTCAGTTTGGCCAGTCCAGATCAGCAGTCACTACTGACCTTTAGGCCATTATCAGAAAAGCTCACCTTTGTGTACTAATACTCAGCATTTTCAAATTTTATCAGCCCTCAGTACATTGATACACATATGATCTTAACTTACCTCCTTCATGAATAACATTCTGTCCTCCCTCTACTCTGTTCTTTAGCGGATTAATTTCTGTGCTAGATTTTAACACCCACACATGACATACACATAAGGGTGCATCCTTGCCCATGTTAATTCTTGGTTCTACTCAGGGCACAGTCTGGTTCCTATGGTGCTCTGGGACTTCCTAAGAGATAAACAGGTAGGTCTGGGAAATCTCCAGGTGTTACAATGCTTCCAGGAAAACACACTTTTCAAATTACAGATACTAATCTAAAAAGGACTTTCAGGATGTCACTGATTCAGAAATAAAGAACTGTGTTCACTCATGCTTAATAGAAACGCTCTTGTTTGTTCTTAGCACTCACTGTCTGGAAATTGGTTGACATGAACATTGATTAAAACAGTGATATAATATTAAAAGAGTAAAATATCAGTGGGAAATATAAGAAAAGGAGAATAATGTGAATTTAAGTGTGCTATACTTGCAAGTAACATAAACCTTATCTTCTTAACAAATCTATAAAAATTACAAGCAGCAAGATTTAGCATGTGTAGAAGGAGAAAAAGCAAAAAGGAGTTTGGGGAAAGGAAATTCATGAATACAGGTATGTTCAAATTGCCCAAGCAAAACCATTCCATGGAACAAGAAAAGCAAATTACCTACTGGGAGGGTACGATTCATTTAAAACATATTTAAGTTCTTAGTGCTATGCTGGCTCAATAGATTTCCAGTAGGCAGGATCTTATAAATTATATATAAATCACATATTCGTAACGTAAATGTATTGGGTGCACATTACTTTCCAAATCTATGCATATAAAATAGGTGATTTTTTTTTTTTTTTTTGAGACGGAGTCTCGCCCAGTCGACTGCTCAGGCTGGAGTGCAGTGGCGCAATCTCGGCTCACGGCAAGCTCCGTCTCCCGGGTTCACGCCATTCTCCTGCCTCAGCCTCCTGAGTAGCTGGGACTACAGGCGCCTGCCACTACGCCCGGCTAATTTTTTTTTTTTGTATTTTTAGTAGAGACGGGGTTTCACCGTGTTAGCCAGGATGGTCTCGATCTCCTGACCTCGTGATCCACCCGCCTCGGCCTCCCAAAGTTCTGGGATTACAGGCGTGAGCCACCGCGCCTGGCCTAAAATAGGTGATTTTAAATCATAATTTGAACACATGGATTTTTATTTTTGTTTGAATAAGATGACTGATTGAAATCCAGAAGTAATAATTACCTGTCTTTCCTTGGTCTTCGTTTTTCTTCTTGGATTGACTTCTAAAGGAAAGAAGAATTCAAAAGATCTATATAATATTATGATCTTAATATAATGGATATATAACTATAATCTTAATATGTAAATACATTTACTCTTAAAAGACTAAGTTAGAAATAAGCAAGTGGATACAATATTTTAAAAATTTAAAGAAATATAATTTACTCAAGTTTTATTAATTATAAATTTCTGGTTATTTTTGCCACACCTAAACTGAAACGAATCTTTGCATTCCACATGAAAAATGTATTTCCCACACAGTGACCAATATAAACAAGGCTATACATAAGATCTATTTACTACAAACGGGAGCAAACTAAAATTTCTGGGAAGCCCATTTCTCTATACAAATGCAGTTGTGATGGAAGCAGGTTAATTAAGCTGCTTTGAATGTCTTGCTTCTTTGTCTGCAGGTAAAACAGATGGGTGAATATGGACGGCAGGTGAAACAGTCCGCAAAAAGAATGGAATTGTGACTTCATAAACCTATAGGAGCCCATTTATGACATAAATGTAGCAGCACAGATGATATATGTTTTCATTTGCACAATGTTTTCATAGTTGAGAACTTTATGTATCAAGGTCAGAACAAATTAAGATACGCAAATATGGAAATCATTAGATATATTTTAACTGATACTTCAATTCGAACACTAACAAAATGGTCCTTTGTATGTAAGTTTCACCTTATATACAAACCAGTATTATCTTTTGCACTGTAGCATTAGTAATGTGTTTTTGTGTGTGTGCTACTTCAATACATTTGAGCTCATCTATTTACATGTTGCCACAGCGTATTTGTCTTTTAGGCTGAGAAAACAGACACCATACTCACCTTGAACAAACTGAAGATATTATAACTGTGGAAACCCTATAGCAGGTATCAAGTTGGCTGGTACCATAAAAGTGTTGTATAACAAAAATGGCAGTTAATAATGGTTTATAAATACTGAGGGTTTTCCCCAGTATTCTTAGAGACACAGTAAGTCACGTTTTTTTCAGGATTTATCATTTGTTGTGCTCTAAAATAGTAGATGAGTGAAACAGTTCATGGTTTCTTTTATTCTTATTGGTTGGCATTTTAACGGGTGGATGAGGTGGAAGTGAGTGCTTCCTTGCATCAAGTCTGGGAGGAGACCATTCAGGAAATAATGTAAGGGCAGGATATCAATTACATTCCTGTTCTCCCGTTTCCTGTCACTTCACATTCTTGATCCAATGCCCTAGGCTAAGAGGCGCTTACAAATAATTACATTGCCTGCATAGGAACAGTGGCCACTAGCAGTTCAGTTAATGATCTCCGGGACTGGGGTGCTGTTTGTTGTGGTGGTTGTTTCTGTTTTAACATGACTTCAGTAGTAGTTTCCTACAGAGGTCCTGCCTCCCTCATCCATTACCTGAAAAAAAGTCCCTTTTGTTCTGGGTAACAATTGCCTATAGTTCAAAGTTAGGCTTAAGTGATGGCACTATGTTGAGTGACAGAGATGCCCTTTATATAACCAAGAATCAAATAATGTTCTGCCCTTGAATTCTCAGGCTGGTGAAGATCCTATTTATACTAGATCAGCACTTCCTTCTGGGACATGGTGTATATAAGTTGGTTCTCAGTTACACGAATTCCTAGAAGAGGATGTATTGTCCAGACATCTTTCACTCTTGCCTGTGTTAGAATATTCTTTTTTCTTTTCTTTTTTTTTGAGACAGTGTCTCGCTCTGTGACTCAGGCTGGAGTGCAGCAGTGCAATCTCGGCTCACTGCAACTTCTGCCTCCTGAGCTCAAGTGATCCTCCCACCTTAGTGATCCTCCCACCTTAGCCATCCTTGTAGCTGGGACTATAGTCATGACCCATCGTGCCCAGGTAATTTTTGTAGTTTTTGTGGAGACAAGGTTTCGCTATGTTCCCCAGGCTGGTCTCGAACTCTTAAGCTCAAGCAATCCACCCACCTCGGCCTCTCCAAGTGCTGGGATTACAGGTGTGAGCCGCTGCGCGTGGCCTTGTGTTAGAATATTCTCATGAAATGTAATTCAGTAATATATTTTTCCAAAAATTATTTAAGATGGCTCATAATATAAGTCGTTATACAATCAAAATAATAAAGTAAAAATTGTAAATGAGAAACAAAGGAGGCAAAGGAAGTAGGTGCATTAAGATGGAGGCTTACATTTGTCTCTTAGTTTCCTAACAGCTGGGGCTAAAAGGGGAGCACGATGCATTAACCTCTACCCTTTGTCATGAAAAGGGAAGCATATCACTCCTCAAAGGTGAGGATTTTATAAGAAATTTATTACACGGACTTTATAGTGGGGACTTTTTTGCGAAGATGTACAATGTTTTCAATTATAGTTTTGAAATTACAAATTAAAAACTTGAAATTTGAAATGCAAATAAAGAAGCAAATGTCCCATGGCAATTTCCTGTAGAACCAGAGTAGAGAAAAGAAAGAAAGAGGAGACAAACATGACTCACGTAGATTTTCTGGCTTGGGTGTTTCTTGAGGAGGCCTTTAAAGAATAGTGTCTTAGCTCTGAAGACTTTGAAGAACCTGTTCCTTAATCAGGCACATTGCACTCCCCCTCCAGCCCCACCCGACATAAAGAAATATGTTTTATGACAAAACGTTAAAATTCATATCCATTACATCATGGTGAGCACAATCTTACTTTCCTTTTGGTAATACACTACCAATTTCTTTATTTAGACGGATGAAGGAGCTAAACGTTGAAGTTAGGAAGAAAAAGACTTTGGAGTGGCCAAACTAGCTACTGCTGTAGTTCAGGGAAAGTACTGGAAAGAATAATAAAATTGGAAGGGATCTCTGATAAGATTGTGTTCGATTACTCGTTTTTTTGAGGAAACTTGGCCCTGAGTCATTTTTGCTGATGCTGCACAGCTTTGAGCATTAGCCCAGGCAGTACAACAGGCCATGCGCACTCCGCTAATGCTCTCCTCCACAGGCACGCTTCTGCGGCTTGGCTCACTCTTATTTTGGACACAGCAGCAGCATTTCCTGGACGTAAGAGATAAAGAGCATCAAGTCATAGGAAAGAGGCAATACTGATTTTAAGGCCGCTAGAATCGCCATTGTAAGAAGTGACATCCAAGGAGAAAAAAAAACAAAACAAAAACTATAAAAATAGCAAAACAACTGAAAGCAGAGATGTTTGTGTTGGGCAAATGTAAAGGAAATAATTTTCTACAACTCAACAGCCCCTGAGAGTACTGTACTACAGTGGTCTATTATTTAACAGTCTTCTAGTTACGATGTAAGCAGCACAGTGTTCTGAGGAGTATGGCTGTAACAGCGAGCATAGGCCTCGCCTCCATAGAGCTTCTAGTTTAGAGGGGGAAGTCACACAGGAGACAAGTAGACAAATAAATATTTATAAATGCACTGAAGAAGGCTGGGTGTGGTGGCTCACGCCTGTAATTCCAGCACTTTGGGAGGCCAAGACGGGCAGATCACCTGAGGTCAGGAGTTTGAGACCAGCCTAGCCAACATGGTGAAATCCCGGCTTTACTAAAAATACAAAAAATTTATCTGGGCATGGCAGCAGGTGCCTGTAATCCTAGCTACTTGGGAGGCTAAGGCAGGAGAATCGGTTGAACCCGGGAGGCGGAGGTTGCAGTGAGCTGAGATTGGGCCACTGCATTCCAGCCTGGGCAACAAAGTGAGACTCTGTCTCAAAACCACCACCACCAACAACAACAAAAAACGCAAAATGCAGCGGAGAAAAATGAAGCAGGCCAGGGACATACAAGAGAGATTGGGTGCTGCCTTAGCCATGGCAGTCAGGGATCTTCTGGTAAGTATAGATACAAATGAAACCAACCCAATAGTCCCATAGACTGTTCTTTTTGATAAACATAGAAACTAACCCTTCTGGTCTTAAAGTTTGAAACTTTTGTTTTATCTGAGTTCCTTCCTCAGGAAATAACCTTCAGGCCCCTCAAAAAAAGGACTGAAACTCACCACAACACTGCACTCATTCACCATGACTACTTCCTTGCCCCTCCCTAGTTCTTGTTTTCTTAAACATTGTTACATTTCCTCCCTGCTATATAAATCCCTGGCCTGAATCTGTAAGGGAGATGGATTTGAGACTGAGCTCGTGTCTCCTGGGCTACGGCACCTGATTAAGGCCTTCTTCCTTGGTAATACTCGGTTCAGTGATTGGCTTTCTGTGTGGTGCGCAGCGGGACCTCAACCAAACCCCTGGTGTTTCAGTAACAAGAATCAAGAACAAACATTTTGAATAGTGCTACAATAAAAGTTCACAGTACTCTATTGTATATTTCAAAATAACTAAAACAGTGGAATTGAGATGTTCCTAACAAAGAAATAAATGCTTGAGACGATGGATGCTCCAGTTATCCTGATTTGATCATTACACATTGTATGCTTGTATCGAAATATCACATGTATTCCATAAACATGTACAACTAGTATGTATCCATAAAAATGAAAAATAAAACATTAAAAAAAGTTAAAAAAAATTCATTCACTTAAGTGACCCTGGGTCATCAAGAAAGGGTTTAAAATATGCAGTATAATATATTTTAGAAAGACTTTCATGAAAACCATTTAAAATTACAGAAAGTGTTTGGTGGTTAAAGGGACTGGGGCCTCATTACAGCCACACTTTTCACTATGTGTAATGCCTCAAATCCTGGGAAGGGCCAGATAAATATGAACACGTGGTATATCTTCACTTGTAATAATATACTCCTTTTCTGTGTTATTTTTCATTGAAGTCATAGATTTCAAACTCAGAGTTATTAAAAAGGATCCTATTCCCTAATGACTTAGGATGTATGGAAATATAGTCACTTAAAAATAATAGTGCAATGACAAAGTAAGCTTCTTGGGGATGGAACTCATTTATGAGGCTCAGAATTTGCTCCACACTTCTCACTGGTTGTTAGTAATAACATTTCACTTCAGTTCAGGTCTTTTACAATTTCTCATACTGGGAATAGTATCTGCTGTTGAAGCCATCACAATCACTTGTCATTTCAGTTGCACTTAATAAAGAGCATTGAGTATCATTGACTACTTAAACTCAGGGTTAATAGGGAATGTTTGGTAATTTCTAATCTTGTTTCTGCTGTTCTATTTAATTGCATAAACAAATGTCAGAGTATTTGCTGCTTTTTAAATTATTTGAGAGCATAGAAAAAAATCAATTTCATTTCTTATTCAGCTTCCTATATAAAGTGACTGTCAAACGCAGGTATCTGGAATTTTAGATTTTTCTCAATTTACTCCTATTTGTTTTTCATTCTTTTATTTCATTGCTCTCATTTGTACAACACATATTTATTGCATGCCTGCTATGTGTCAGGTTGAATGCAATAGGCAAACTCCTTGACCTCGTGGAAGCCACACCAATCCCTCTTTAGCATGATAAAGTGTCATAAAAGGGAAGTATGGGCTTCTTCGGGAGGATATAGGAAGAGCTCTCTTGGGATTTGGGAGTGACAAGAAGGTTTCCTGAAGAAAAAGACATCTAGGCTGAGGGTGTTTTGATCATGAAAGACAAGAAGGGGAAGAGGATGTGTGTTTTAGGCTGAGAAAAGGGCATGTCCAAGGACAAATGTTCGTGGACAATTTGAAGAGGAGAATGCAGGTTACTGGGAAGGAAGGGCTGGAGTGGAGAGTTTGGAGGGGTGAATGAATGAATATCAAGCACAGAGGCTGGAAAGGTGAGCAGGCCCAGATTTTGACAGGCCTTCATATCTTAGGACAGTGAGACGTAACAGAAAAGTTCCATCAATGGGAGGATAGTATAATTGGATATTAATTTTAGAAATACAACTCAGGCTACAGTGTGGAAAATACGTTAATTGGAAGGGGAAAAACAAGACCAAGGGACCAGTAAGAGGAGTGACTCAGAACTACTGACAAGACATGCTGGCCTGGAAGAGGGTATTAGCACAGAGCATGGAGAGAAACAGAAACTCAAGAGATATTTGGATTTAGATTTTTGAATATGGAAGATGAGAACGAGGGAGAAGTCAAGGTAATAGTCAGATTACTGGTTTGTAAAATTAGTTGACTATTCACAAAAGACCATATATTGTGTGATTCTATTTATAGGAAATGTCCAGAATAGGCAAATCTACAGAAACAGAAAACTAGATTGGTGATCGCCTAGAGCTTGGGGCAGGGGGTGGGGAGTGGGTAATGACTTCTAATGAGTTTCTTTTTAAGGTGATGAAAATGTTGTAAAATTGATTGTGATTATTGTACTAAAAACCATTTAACGTATATTAAGGTGGGTTAATTGTATGGCATGCGATTTATATCTCAACAAAGCTGTGAGTGTGTGCGCCCATGTATGGATGTGTATGTGTGTGTATATATCTCTATACATGTATACATGGATGCCCATGTGTATCTATGTAGAATATGTAAAACAAACATGAGGTAGTTTGATATTTGAGTCTGGAGCTACAGAGAGATCTAAGCCAGCGATCAAGATTCAGAAATCAGCAGTCACTGAGGTTGTAGTAGCTAATGGGATTGTCTAAAGGAAATGAGAGGGGAGGAGAATGGGTTTCCACAGACAACCCTCTTTGGAAACTGAAAAGAAATCACTAGACAGAAGGGAATGAACTAGAGAAGACTGGCTAACTTGGAGGTCAAGTGTGAGCTTCATTTTCTGCCTGCGAGGTGGGAAACTTATTTCTAACTGATTCTCTGGGTTTCAACACATCCTCTGGGTTCTCCAGGGCATAGGGGAGTGCTGCTGTGTCACTGTGGCAGTGGGGAGTGGAAGACTGAATAAATATTGCAAATGGAGGGACCAGCCAGAGGGTGCAAAGGCCTCGGGAGCATGAGGGAATGCAGCTCACCAGCAGAGTTTCAAGCAGTTCACTATGGCTCGAGGACAAGAAGAGGGCAAGAAAAGAGGCTGAAAAGCAGTCACGGGTCCCACGAAGAAGGCCTTGGAAGGAATCAGGACTTCATCCTGAAGGAGTTGCTGAGCCATTAAAAGAACAATTAAGGGAGGAGCATGCTCAAAGGTATGGTTTAGAGACATTTTCAGGTGCAGGCTGGAGAGGATGCGATTAGGCAGTTACGTGGGACCTGAAATATTCCACAGTGGGAAATGATTAATAGTCTGAAATATGGTAATTGCTGTGAGATTAGAGGGGGGAAATGAGTTGGAGTGAGCTTTTGCAGGTAGAAGCCACAGTTAGAGCCACTGATGGATCACAGGTATGAGAGAGAGGACAAAAACCAGAATGACTCCCAGGTTCTTGGTTTATGAGACCATGTGGATGACAGTGGCATTTATAGAGAACAGGAACATGAGAAGAAGGCCAGGCGATCAGGGGCAACGCCAATGAGTCCTCATGCTGTTAGTGAGCAGGAGCTGAGGGGTCAGAAGACCTCAATAAAATGAATGGCCTGGCAGCTAAGGCATGCTTATCTGTGTCTCAGAATCCTGATCTGAGAGATATGGATAATACATTCAGGGATATTTCCAGGATTAGCTATCACAGTGGATGTGAACAAGCCTTATTCTAGGCCTGGAATTTAAAAGATGCTTAATAAACGTCTGTTTCCCCTCTTCTTTCCTTTTCTTCTAGTTTCACCATAACCCACCCATTTACACCAGGGCCCCTCTCTGGAGAGCTCCTGCTATGATGGGTTTCTCTTTCTGAGTTGATATTTTCATATCAGCTCATATTAATGGACCAGCAGAGAAAGCTGCAAGGAGGACATGGTAGGTACTACCATGGGAGAGGCTTGAATGTGAGGAAGAAGGGCTGGAGGAGATCAAAGTGCCCAGATCCCCAGCCAGGGGAGGGCAGTGAAGAGGAGACCAAGCGCATCTCTGTCCTGCCAGGCCTTCCTTTGTGCCTGAACTAATCTAGCCACAGTTTTCACACTGGCCATTAGTAGATGTGATGGCTCCCATCTGATAGTAAGAGTGAGCCACTTACATGAAGTAGATAATAGTATGTGGAGTCTTCAGGGTTATTTAATGTTTTGGGTTTCCGGGGTCGTCTTGGGGGTCTCAATATTTTTGGCTCCTCTCCTTTACAGACACCTATAAGAAAGGTGATCATAAACAAGTATTTAATTACAAATACTATTATCAAGTGATGTTTTCCTTTTGGGATAAATAAGAAATTATACACATATGACTGAGGCTAAGGCTGGAGAAAAAGGAAATACGTTTGCTGCATAACCAACCCTTATCCTACTCCTCACCATGTGCTTTCCTCTAGTTGTCTGGTGGTCTAGGACTTTGAGAGCTAAGGGGAAGAAAACAAGAGGAAGAAAAAGAAAACCAATGCAGCCGGGTGCAGTGGTTCACGCCTGTTATCCCAGCACTTTGGGAGGCTGAGGCAGGCAGATCACTTGAGGTCAGGAGTTCGAGACCAGCCTGGCCAACTGATGAAACCCTGTCTCTACTAAAAATACAAAAAAATTAGTCAGGCGTGGTGGTGGGCACCCGTAATCCCAGCTACTTGGGAGGCTGAGGCAGGAGAATTGCTTGAACCTGGGAGGCAGAGGTTGCAATGAGTAAAGACCGTGCCATTGCATTCCAGCCTGGGTGACAAGAACAAAACTCTGTCTCAAGAAAAAAAAAAAAGGAAAGAAAGGAAGGGAGGGAGGGAGGGAGGAAGGAAAGAACGAGAAAGAATGCATAGTTTGGTCACGTGGAATTGAATAGAGCAGTTCAGAGGATGGATAAGGTCAGGGGTCAAAGCTGCCAGAAAAAAAACTTAAAAAGGAATGTTATGCTCACAGAACCTCTTCTGTCCCTTCCCTCCCCCTTGTACCAGCCTCACGCAGTGACCCGTCTATCCAAGCACTGCACGATCTTCATTTTTAAGTACTGCCTCATATGTTATGGCCCCAAATGAAGAGACAGCTCATTTGCAGAGTTGACTCTTTCTCAAAAGCCTAATCTATTCTTTCTCCAAAATTTAGAACCTCAAACCAACAGCTGTTTTAGATATGACATTAAAAGAGTGACCAAGAGAGAATAAATTTTTTTGTCTTTTCCTACTCTTTCTGTTAATATAGCCAAGATCTCAAACCGGGAGCAACACCGTCAGAGCCTCTGGTGATCTGTACACTTGGATGTTCATGTTCATTACAAGTGGCTTTGTATTTACAGAGCTAATAGACCTCATTACATATTTCTACTTTTTTCATGATTCTTGACCACCCCATCCACCGACTCTGTTTGCGCAAGAATGTCTGCTCGACAGATAGATCAGGATACAAGTGTGAGTTGGGTATGGTACTTATTGGAAAGCTTCATTCAATACACCTGAGCACATATTTCTAGGTAGGACTTTAAAAGCAGTAATAGCTCATTCTTGCATACAGTAAAGGGGGAGTGATGATTCCTAATCCCCAGATGTTGAAATACACAGAGAAACAGAGCTGTCCCAAACTAGACTAATCAAATAAATGAATATTTATATTTATTATATGTAAACAACTGTGACTGGCAAGTGTAAATCAGCTTCAACCGAGGGTGAAAGACTCATAGACGTCTAACCTTCTAGTTCCCTGACCAGCCCACTAAGTAAAGACACTGATCACAGAAGTATTCATATTCTGACATTATCCAGCTCATTCATTCCAAAAGGTATGGGAAATGTCTGGGTGACAAAGGAGATCAGCTAATTGGGAGTACTTCACAGAGGTGTAGTGCATGGAACAATGCTCCTCAGAGAAACCTCAACTATCATACATTACTGTCTTTTTTGAATAAAACAAAAAGAGATCTTTGTCAATGAGACCATGTTAGTACAGATTAGTAATAAACAAAAGTGAAAGCACTGTCCAACCCATCCCTGGAGGTTCATCTCCCATTCCCTCTCTCCCTTTTTCAAGGAATAGATGGAGGAGGTGGAGGGAGTCCAAATATCTGAGCCATTTCTGGATCCATCTTAGACTGTCACAGGCACGAGGAAAGATGGTAAGGCCTGAATTCTTGCCACCATCATAAATAGTGTTCTTTTATTTTTTTCCTTCTCATTATCCTCTCTCCCAGTGCTGATTATTAAATAGCTTCTATTGGCTCTTGCAAACTTTTATCATTTCAAAATGCATTTGTCATATCCATTTATATTACTCATTTGAATCTGAATGGCAAGAAACATAAAAATATGGTATAAGTTATTAGATATTCTTAATATTTTTAGAAACATGAATGTGGTATGTGACTAAATTTTAACTTGGCTTCAATATTATTTAAAATCTGAATTAAAATATCAGAACATTACTATCATAATACAAATTAATTAAAATGAAGATGGCCAAGAAGCTGAATAATTGCCAAGAGAGTGAAAAACAAAAAAAGGTTCTGGGAATAAAGGCATTATTGATCTTGTGTTCATTTTTTCATCAAATATTCCCCCATTCAATCTGATTTGTCTATTGAAAATGCTTTCTATTAGGTTGGTGCAAAGGGAATTGCAGTTTTTGACATTAAAATTAATGTCAAATAGAAGGTGAAGGGTGCATTTCACCAACAAATCCAAAGGTCCTTTATCTGTCCCTGTTGTCTCTGACCCTTCATCATTAAGCATTATTAAACACCCCTTGTCTTCATGACTCAGGATAAAGTTTCTGAAGGTAGATGACTTATCTTATTTTTCTTTGTATTCCCAGTACTTATAGAAATACTTGACACATAGTAAGTGCTTAAGATGACTAAGTGATCTTCCCCTTGCCTCCTGGATTGAATCATCCTCTCCTCAGGTCCTGGCAATTTCTGGTGTTCCTAATGCACACCTCAGGTTTGACCCTCCCATCCCATAGGAGCTCCTGCCCTAATTTCTTACTCCTTACTGAATACTTCTCTCTCAGACTCAAATGAACCCGCAGTCATCATTCTTCTCCATCTAACATTCTGTACACTACAACCTCAATGGCAGCATTATTTCTGCTTCCCAGGTTGAAAACAATGATAACACCTTTGCCGTGTGCCTCTTCTTCATTTCCTACAGACAAGCAATCATTAACTTCTGTCCATTGTTTTGACACATCCTTTGAAATATCTAATATTCATCCACCACCTAGTCTCATTTGCCATTGCAATCACTCTGGATGAAACGACTCATTTAATAACTGTGGTAGAGTCTTAATATGGTTTCTATGCTTTATCTCACAAATGAAAACCAGATTTTCCTTTCTTTTTCCTTTTATTTTTATTTTTATTTTTTGAGATGGAGTCTTGCTCTGTCTCCCAGGCTGGAGTGCAATGGTGCAATTTTGGCTCACTGCAACCTCTGCCTCCCTGGTTCAAGCTATTCTCCTGCCTCATTCTCCCAAGGAGCTGGGATTACAGGTGCTTGCCACTGCGCCCAGATAATTTTTATATTTTTAGTAGAGATGGGGTTTCAGCATGTTAGCCAGCCTGGTCTCGAACTCTTGACCTCAGGTGATCTCGCCTCAGCCTCCCAAAGTGCTGGGATTACAGGCGTGAGCCACCACACCTGGCCCAGATTTTCCTTTCTTAAATACCACTTTAATTGTGAAATTTCAAGTTTCAAAAATTTATGATGATGCCTCTTTTTTCTTTCTTCATCAAGTTAAACTTCTGACTCCAGGTTATTTACAATCTTAGCAATTTCAGTTTTATCTCCCATTTCCCCCCAAATGGACTTTCTCCTCTTGTCAGTCCAGTTATCTCACTGAAGCCCTGAGAGACGATGTTTATAGGTGTAACTTTGCTTTTTCTCACCTTCTCATAGAAAAGCTTTTCATAGCCTCACTGAAATCTTAAGCTTGTTCAATGTCCACCTTCAATCCTATCTCTTTCATGAAGCTTTCACTGACTCCCCAGTGATCTCTCTTTCATTGAGCATAAATGGTACTTGCTAGTTGCACAAGCCATTTTAAACCTGTTACAGGCTGAATTGTGTCACCTCAAAATTCACATGTTGAAATCTTAACCTCCAGTAGCTCAGAATGTGACTGTATTTGGAGATAGGGTCTTTAGCGAGGTAATTAAGCTAAAATGATGTCATTAAAGTGGGTCCTAATCTAATGTGACTGCTGTCCTTAAAAGAGCAGATTAAGACAGACACACACATTGAATCCATAAATTACCTTGGGCAGTATGGCCATTTTCACAATATTGATTCTTCCTACCCATGAGCATGAAATGTTCTTCCATTTGTTTGTATCCTCTTTTATTTCATTGAGCAGTGGTTTGTTTATAGATTCAATGCCATCCCCATCAAGCTACCAATGACTTTCTTCACAGAATTGGAAAAAACAACTTTAAAGTTCATATGGAACCAAAAAAGAGCCCACATTGCCAAGTCAATCCTAAGCCAAAAGAACAAAGCTGGAGGCATCATGCTACCTGGCTTCAAACTATACTACAAGGCTGCAGTAACCAAAACAGCATGGTACTGATACCAAAACAGAGATATAGACCAATGGAACAGAACAGAGCCCTCAGAAATAATGCCACTTATCTACAACTATCTGATCTTTGACAAACCTGACAAAAACAAGAAATGGGGGAAATGATTCCCTATTTAATAAATGGTGCTGGGAAAACTGGCTAGCCATATGTAGAAAGCTGAAACTGGATCCCTTCATTACACCTTATACTAAAATTAATTCAAGATGGATTAGAGATTTAAATGTTAGACCTAAAACCATAAAAACCCTAGAAGAAAACCTAGGCAATACCATTCCTTACATGGGCAAGGAATTCATGACTAAAACACCAAAAGCAATGGCAACAAAAGCCAAAATTGACAAATGGGATCTAATTAAACTAAAGAGCTTCTGCACAGCCAAAGAAACTACCATCAGAGTGAATAGGCAACCTACAGAATGGGAGAAAATTTTTGCAATCTACTCATCTGACAAAGGGCTAATATCTAGAATCTACAGTGAACTCAAACAAATTTACAAGAAAAAAACAAACAACCCCATCAAAAAGTGGGCGAAGGATATGAACAGACACTTCTCAAAAGAAGACATTTATGCAGCCAAAAAACACATGAAAAAATGCTCATCATCACTGGCCATCAGAGAAATGCAAATCAAAACCACAATGAGATACCACCTCACGCCAGTTAGAATGGCGATCATTAAAAAGTCAGGAAACAACAGGTGCTGGAGAGGATGTGGAGAAATAGGAACACTTTTACACTGTTGGTGGGACTGTAAACTAGTTCAACCATTGTGGAAGTCAGTGTGGCGAATCCTCAGGGATCTAGAACTAGAAATACCATTTGACCCAGCCATCCCATTACTGGGTATATACTCAAAGGATTATAAATCATGCTGCTATAAAGACACATGCACACATATGTTTATTGTGGCACTATTCACAATAGCAAAGACTTGGAACCAACCCAAATGTCCAACAATGATAGACTGGACTAAGAAAATGTGGCACATATACACCATGGAATACTATGCAGCCACAAAAAATGATGAGTTCATATCCTTTGTAGGGACATGGATGAAGGTGGAAACCATCATTCTCAGTGAACTATTGCAAGGACAAAAAACCAAACACTGCATGTTCTCACTCACAGGTGGGAATTGAACAATGAGAACACATGGACACAGGAAGGGGAACATCACACATCGGTGCCTGTTGTGGGGTGGGGGGAGGGGGGAGGGATAGCATTAGGAGATATACCTAATGTTAAATGACAAGTTAATGGGTGCAGCACACCAACATGGCACATGTATATATATGTAACAAACCTGCACGTTGTGCACATGTACCCTAAAATTTAGAGTATAATAATAATAAAAAAAAGACAGACACACACAAATAGAAGACCATGAGAAGATGACCATCTAAAGGCAAGGAAAAAGGCCTCAGAGGAAAACAACCTTGCTGACACCTTGATCTTGAACTTCTAGCCTCCAGAACTGTGAGAAAGTAAGTTTCTGCTGTTTAAATCACTCAGTCTATGGTACTTTGTTATGGCAGCCCTGGAAAACTAACATAGAACCTAATCCCATATTCTTGCCGCTTACTATTTTTCACTGTGAATTTTTTTTTTTAAATAGTGGAACTCGAAGTCTCTAGATGGTGGGGATCATGACTTAGGTTTTGATGTCTTTGTGTCATTTCATTGGTGATCTACATGTGGTAGTGTTTGGAGATGCAAAGACTGTGATTTCATTTCAGCTTAGAGATGTAGTGCTAAGTGAATAGTAGATATTCATATACTTCTGTGAACTGGATCACTATTGTCATCACATATAAAAATAAATTTCTCATGCTTTAAAGATAAATGTAAATAAAATAAGTAATAAAGCTCTTGGAAGAAAATCTGGGATAATTCATGAACAATCTAGGGGTGTGAATATTTTTATCAAGATTCAGAAGTCATAAAAAAGATAAGACATATTTGCCTATTAAATATAGGCAAAAACCTTTATTTGGCAACAAAGTCAAAAGACACATGATAGACTTGGAAGGCTATATTTACAACACAGATATAAATAAAGGGTTCATATTTTTAATATGCAAAGAGTGCTAACAAATGACTACCAAAAATATAGACCAATGAAAAGTGAGCAAGATTCCAGTAGAAAATTCAAGATGCACAAATCCAAAAAGCAAATAAGCATGGGAAGGCACCTGAATTTACTAGCAGATAAGGGAATATAAATTAAAACAAGATGCCATTTACTTTGCTACACATTAGCAAAGATTAAAAAGAAGAATATTGGCTGGGCGCAGTGGCTCACACCTGTAATCCCAGCACTTTGGGAGGCCGAGGTGGGCAGATCACGAGGTCAGGAGATCGAGACCATCCTGGCTAACACGGTGAAACACCATCTCTACTAAAAATACAAAAAATTAGCCGGGTGTGGTGGCAGGCGCCTGTAGTCTCAGCTACTCAGGAGGCTGAGGCAGGAGAATGGTGTGAACCCGGGAGGAAGAGCTTGCAGTGAGCTGAGATCACGTCAATGCACTCCAGCCTGGGTGACACAGCAAGACTCCATCTAAAAAAAAAAAAAAAAAAAGAAGGATATCACTGATGGACAGGATGTCAGGACAAGTGTATGCTCCCAAATTGTTGAAGGAAATGTTAATTTCTAGAGCCTTTTAGGAAACCAATCTATTAAAACCAAAAACATCTTGTAACTCAGTAACTTCATCACTGGGGATTTGTCCCATAATATTAAAATTCCAGTACACAAGTACATTTTCAATGATATTTACTGCAACATTTTTCATGGTAGCAAAAAATGGAAACAAAGAGAATATCTAACAATAGGGAAAAGGTTATGTAATTATTGTGATTCACAAATAGAGGATTATGCAGCCATTGAAAAGAATAAATTACAGCTATACTAGTTGATATGCAGGGATTCCTGCAAAGGTATTGAGAAAAGCAAGTTGCTTAAGTGTTTATATTATGATCATATTATGATCCTATTTATATAAAACAATGATGAAAATCTCTGTTATATATATACACCTACATGTATGCACATCTGCAAAAAATATGAAAAATTACATTTTCTATAATACTAGTTCCCTTGGTTGGGGGTGAGTAATGTGGGTTGAGAAAAGGAACAGAGGGGAGCAAACAGAAAAAAAAGAGAAAAAGAAAACAAAACACTACATTAAATAATAATCCTGGAATGGGCTGTGTGCGGTGGCTCACACCTGTAA
This sequence comes from Homo sapiens, assembly GCF_000001405.40. Taxonomy (NCBI): domain Eukaryota; kingdom Metazoa; phylum Chordata; class Mammalia; order Primates; family Hominidae; genus Homo; species Homo sapiens. The sequence continues at coordinate 26,185,611 of NC_000010.11, read as the reverse complement.
TTCCAGCACTTTGGGAGGCCGAGGCGGGTGTATTACTTGAGGCCAGGAGTTCGAGACCAGTCTGGCCAACATGGTGAAACTCCATCTCTACTAAAAATACAAAATTTAGCCGGGCATGGTGGCACACGCCTGTAATCCCAGCTACTAGGGAGGCTGAGGCAGAAGGATCACTTGAACCTGGGGGGCAGAGGTTGCAGTGACCTGAGATTGTGCCACTGCACTCCCATCTGGGTACCAGAGCAAGACTCCATCTCAAAAAAAAAAAAAAAAAAAAAAAAAAAAGAATCCTGGAATGTATGGTATGGTAGCATTGATGTAAAATCATAAATATGCATGTTAGTGTATCATGGAGATCTAAAAATCAAAATGCATTGAATTTTCAGAATTTCTGAAAATCTAATCTGCTTTAGTGTTAGCTTCTTGACATTGTTTCTTCACCAGGATAATCTAAAGCCAGAGGGCTGACTAGTCTTAAGGGGTGTCTCACTTAAGATATTGCAATGCAAGGTGGCCAGCCAGTGAATGAAAATTATGATGAATGTATTGCATTCAACAGACTATGATTGCTCTGCTTAAATTCCTTCAGAATATTTTTTTAAAGAGCAAACTTCCCATGAGCTTATCAGCATACAAATATTTCAGAGAGGCATACATTTATTTGGCCTCTAATGGATCTGTGAATTTTTGCTCCTTTGGAAAAATATAAACACTCTCTACTAACCTCATCCTAACCCCTTAATTACAAAAGTGACATAAACATTTATAATCACAAATTATCAGCAGCATATCAATGTGGGTACTAGCATAATAAGGTTTGTGGCTATTTTGTGGGTTGTGCGTGGTAAATATTAGCTTGTAAAGGTTATTGCTGTATTCAGTAGCCAGAAGGTAAGATATTTATTTACGTTGCAGTTGTGGTAATAATGTCATTAAGTGTTTTGGTTTGTCAGAAATGCACTTTTTTTGGATAATGAATCACCTAACATCCCCGCTTTTTTGCATTCAGAAGAAAGAAGATAGATTTAAAACTCATTGCCAGGGAAAATTGATTTAGAAAATTAAATTTCAGTATTAGTCTCATTTTAATGATAATTACACTGTTTTACTTAAGTATACATGCAGAGTATAATTTGCAGAAATATCACATGTCTAAATCAAATATTAGCAGAACAGAAATGCACTTGTTACTGTAATTTTTTCCTTAATAAATCAACTTTTCAGTTTTTGTAAATTTCCATTTCCTCCTAAGAGTCTATGACCTTCAAGCAATAGAGTGATCTATGGGAAATCTTAGGAGAGGAATTTTCATTGCTGCATGTTAAAGGCAGACTCACTCTAGTCATGGTTGCAACCTGCCTTCTGGAAGCTGCCATTTCCACCAGTCACCTCATCTGCCCTTGGCCAGGCTGGCTGTTTTGGCACTGGTTCTAGACTTAAAGAGAGCTGCACACAGTTCTGAGCTTATGGACAGGACAGTTCCAAAGGAGTCCTCTCTGCCTTGCATGGCCTCCTTCCTTTAGCACCGACGGACATGTTCAATTCTCTCTCTCTTTTTATTAAGAGATGGGGTCTTGTTATGTTGCCCAGGCTGGTCTCGAATTCCGGGGCTCTAACCCTCTCACCTCAGCCTTCCGAGTAGCTGGGATTACAGGCCTGAGCCTTCGTACCCTTAATTCTCATGCTTGCCCTGGATTTGACCTCTTGCGTCTACTCTGGGATATCTCTGTTCTCTTGAGTTTATTTGAGGTGAAAAGCTAAGGGTACGTGCTTGTCCTGCTCTGAGTGTCCCTAGAACTTAGGGGATGTGTTACTATTTAGGGGATCTGACTCGCAGTCTTCTCTGACCTTCTCAAGAGGCAACTGCCACCCCCAGCCCCATTCTGAACTGCACAACCACTCCCGTGGCCTTTCTCTTCCTGCCAACTGAATGCCGATGCCCCAGGGATAGCTTCCACCTCTACCCATCCTATAGGTCATGGGCTTGTAGCTTTTGGCCGCTCTCTGATTTGGGTACTTTGAATTAATACCCAGATCCTTGAAAACGACTTTTAGTTTTATTTATTTTTTATTTTTTATTATTATTTTTTTTGAGACGAAGTCTCACTCTGTTGCCCAGGCTGGAGTGCAGTGGCGCAATCTTGGCTCACTGCAAGCTCCGCCTCCCGGGTTCACACCATTCTCCTGCCTCAGCCTCCTGAGTAGCTGGGACTATAGGCGCCCGCCACCAAGCCCGGCTAATTTTTTGTATTTTTAGTAGAGACGGGTTTCACCTTGTTAGCCAGGATGGTCTCGATCTCCTGACCTCGTGATCCGCCGGCCTCGGCCTCCCAAAGTGCTGGGATTACAGGCGTGAGCCACCACGCCCAGCCGAAACATTTAGTTTTTTAACAATACTGGTAGGTTCAGGTAAGGTTCCTGCCCCACATGTCTCTCCTAGTTGTGGCAGGAGAAGCAGGAGGATAAAGCAGCCTGTGTGGGGGGTGAGACCCACAGATACACCCTCTGGACTGTCGCTTGTCTCTTGCACATTATCGCTACATCTTGGCACTCCACTTCTGTCATTTTCCTTGGGCTGTCATCTCGCATGGATTACAGTCCTCAAAAGCCAGTTCGTTTTGTTCTAGTCCAAGGAGTTAGATTACACACACACCTGCCTGGTCATCTCGCTTATATGTGAGCAGTCATCAAAACAGGGCGCCACAACAGAAGCACATGCGAATGCACATGGTGATACCAAGGGTGCCCTGAGAGTGAGGTCTTTGTTGGGGAGAATGAGCTGTTATGCGGAACACTGTGAGCACGTCTTCTGTGTATGACTGCCCACCAACTATGGATACAGCCAAACAACCAAAATACATGTTTATTTGCTTGGAGAATAAGGAAAACTCAGAGGTGGCATCTAATTACATCTTGGCTATTTTTCAAAATGAAGTGGGTATTCATTTATTTAAAAAATTTATATACATAGCCTGAGGTGAAAACTTGGAATAATTTTTCCCAGAGAGCCAAACTTAAAAAAATTATTTATTGACTGTTCATAGTCATTTTCTTAGATTGGCCTGTTAAAAATACAGAATTGAAGAACATTCTCTGACTTTAAACACACAACATTTGTTTTTTTCTTTCCCTCCGCTCATACTTCATAACACATAGATAAAAGGGTTTTTGGTTCCTATCAAGATGAGCTGAAATATACCAGTATTTTTAAAAAGTGATTATTCTTTATTAGAGCACATCTGATCACAAGCTGGCTGGAGGAGTATCAAAGAAACTTTTAGTGGCTTGAGACAGCATGGCAGCAAAGGTGACAGATCTGGAGATGACACTCTAGTCTTACCACATGTGGCTGTGGAAGTCCTCTACCAGGTTGCAATAATATTATTCAGATTCTTAATTTTATATAGAAGTGAAGTTAGCGAGGGATGGAGAGTATCCGCTATACTGGAGATGACCATCTTGTTCTCACTAACTAGTCACTCAACTCTTCTAGAACCCTAGACTTAGGGGCTCTTGTTGTTAATGAACCACCTCGCGTATGTGAAGATTAAGCTGAATTACTTACAGTATTACAATTCCAATTCTGCAATATTTTATTCAGTGGTTAGATTAGCTAGCAGTTTGCTAAGGCTATTCTTTGAAAAATGAATTTAAAGGGCTGTTAATATTCCATATGTGAATGTGTCATTACTTATTAATCATTCTCCTATTGTTCAATTTTTTTTCTTACCATATACACAATTTTTTTTTCAGCTCTGATTGTTTCCTTAGGCTATGCTCTCATAAGTGAGTTTACTGGGTCAATGATATAAACTAATTCAGTGGGGTTTTTTTTTTTTTTTGGACATATTGCCAAGTCACTTTTCAAAATGTTGACACTGCCATCTTACCATATGTTTGGGAATAATTACATTAGCACTTTGTTATTACTGTTAAAATATTTTTTCATACTTGCAATTTTGATGAGTAAAGAATAGTAGTGGGTTTGACTTTTTATTTTTTTTACTCCTAGAGTGGTCATATATATGCTTATTTTCCATCTGTATTTCTTCTTTTGTAAATAAATTAATGGCTTGTGCCATTTTTCCATTGAGAGTGCTATTTTTCCGAATGATTTATAAAGAGCTCTTTCTACGCTAAACAGTTTAACTCTTTTTACATTTGTTCCAAATATTTTGTCTTCAGCTCTTTAACTTTTAATCATGCTTTGGAATCTCTAGAAGGTTTTAACATTCATGTAATCCAAATCTATCACAGTTTTTCTTTGTAATTCCTTTTATTACTTCTTATAGTTTGTCCTTTCTAAGCAGAGATTGTGAAATGCTCAGTTCATAGCATCTGGCTTCATTTGGTTTGTTTATTTCTTACATTTAAATGATCAGTGCATCTGGAAAATAACTGGGCATTCAGCAGAAGATAAGAATATTTTATTTCCTCATCCCAAATCAGAGACATTTTAAGCATTATCCATCCATTTCTTTTCTGTTCGTATGTATCTTTTTGTAAATGACAGGTTTTTATAAATACTCAGGTCAATTTTAGGGCTATTCTGTTTCATTAATCTGTGATTGATTTTTGTAAAGGGGACATATGATTTTAATTATTATAGCATTATTCATTTTACTATCTAATGAATAAGTCCTCATTTATAGTTATTCTTTTTTTCTCTGAAATTTACAAATGATCCTTAGGGATATTTTCTTAAATTCCAAAGAAAATCTCATAGAGATTTTGAATGCAATTTTTTTAAACCTAGAAAGTAATTTTAGAATGGTCATGTTTACCGTATTTTATCTTTCAATTCAGAAACACAATGTATCATTCCATTATGCATCTCTTCTTTTTTGTCTCTTTCAGGTTTGGTTGCTAGCTTTATTTCAAGGTATTGATTTTTTTTTTTTGCTATTATTTCCAATGGGCTCTTTTTCTATTAGAAATTTTTATAGGAAAGAATATCTATCTATATAACTATACATCCTTACTGAATTCTATTCCTAGCATCAATCATTGCATTTTTAATGTTGTCTGCTAATAGTCCTACAATCCCATCTGTTCCCTTTTGATAGTTATGCTTTTTGAAAAAGCTTCTCTTTGCTGTCTTATTGCATTAACTGGAAATTTCCCAATAACATAAAAATGTGGTGTTACTAGTATCTTTATCTTCATCCTCCTTTTTAATGCAACTGCTTCCAGTGTTTTATAGTTAATTATGAGGTAGATGATTGAATTAAGAAACGTATTCTTCATATTGTTAAAGAATATCCTTCTGCTTTTGGTTTAGTAAGAGTTTTACATTTCATCAGTACAGAGTGTTGGATTTTACTGAAAACTGTTTCAGCATTTATCAAGATAGTTTTTTTGATCTTTTGATATGTTATATTAATATGTATTATGTGGACAGTCTTTTAATGTACTATTGCATTCCATTGGCTAGTATTAAATACTATACTCAGGAATTTTATCTCTAAATTAATAATTGAGGCCAGGCGCGGTGGCTCACACTTGTAATCCCAGCACTTTGGGAGGCTGAGGCAGGTGGATCACCTGAGGTCAGGAGTTCAAGACCAGCCTGGCCAACATGGTGAAACCCCATCTCTACTAAAAATACAAAAAAGTAGCCAGGCGTGGTGCCGCACGTTTGTAGTCCCAGCTACTCGGGAGGCTGAGGCATGAGAATCACTTGAACCCAGCAGGCAGAGGTGGCAGTGAGCCGAGGTCGTGCCACTGCACTCCAGCCTGGGTGAAAGAGTGAGACTCTGTCTCAAAAATTAATTAATTAATAATTGAGATTGAACAATAGTTTTTAAAAAATGTTATTGTTAGACTTTTGTTCTAGGACAGATGAACATCATAAAATAGGTAACTTCGTATATTTTTCTTTCTTTTTTTCTCAAACAAATCACATACAATGAGATTTATCTGTTCCATGAATGTTTGAATGTGTTTGCATAAAACACTAGGAGTTCTTGGAACCTTTGTTGGAGGTAATTCTTTGAACAGCCACATCATCATACAGTAAGTTCTCACTTGACAATGTCAATGGGTTCTTAGAAACTGCAACTTTAAGCGAAATGACCAATTTTACAATAGACTGATATAAACAAGAGTTAACTTCTTATGGTATATTTTTGGTCACAAAAACATTACCAAACTTCTCAACAGAGACCAACACTGAAATATATGTGAACTATGCATACATTTAAGAAAAATTAGGTCAGGTGCAGTGGCTCAAGCCTGTAATCCCAGCACTTTGGGAGGTAAAGGTGGGCAGATCACTTAACGTCAGGAGTTTGAGGTCAGCCTGGCCAACATGGTAAAACCCAGTCTCTAATAAAAAAAAATACAAAAATTAGCTGGGCATGGTGGTGGTCGCCTGTAATCCCAGCTACTGGGGAGGCTGAGGCAGGAGAATCACTTGAACCCAGGAGGCAGAGGTTCCAGCAAGCTGAGATCGCGCCATTGCACTCCAGCCTGGACAACAAGAGTGAAACTCCGTCTCAAAAAAAAAAAAAAAAAAAAAAAAAATTAGGCTGGGCACGGTGTAATCCCAGCACTTTGGGAGGCCAAGGCGGGCGGATCACAGGGTCGGATCGAGACCACCCTGGCTAACATGGTGAAACCCCATCTCTACTAAAAATATAAAAAATTAGCCCGGCGTGGTGGCTGGCGCCTGGAGCCCCAGCTACTAGGGAGGCTGAGGCAGGAGAATGGTGAGAACCTGGGAGGCGGAGCTTGCAGTGAGTCGAGATCGCGCCACTGCACTACAGCCTGGGTGACAGAGCAAGACTCTGTCTCAAAAATAAATAAATAAATAAATAAATAAACATTTAAAGCAGAAGGCAAGCAGAGTTATTAGCTGTATTAAAGCTGAAGTGTTCAGTTAATATAATTCCTACTGTCTTCAGACTGTCTGAGTTCCCTTTTGAAAACAGATGAATAATCATTTTATGTATATTTTCTTCAGGAAAATCAGAAGATTTAGATGTTATGAAATCCCACACCTGGGTAAAGTTGTCCCTTGTTGTTGTTGTTCTTTTTCTTCTTTTTGCTTTTTTTTTTTTTGAGACAGAGTCTCGCTCTGTCACCCAGGCTGGAGTGCAGTGGCACGATTTCGGCTCACTGCAACTTCCACCTCCCAGGTTCAAGTAATTCTACTTGCCTCAGCCTCCAGAGTAGCTGGTATTATGGGCACCTGCCACCAGGCCCAGCTAATTTTTGTATTTTTAGTAGAGAAGGGGTTTCACCATATTGGTCAGGCTGGTCTTGAACTCCTGACCTGAGATGTTCAAAAGTGAAAATCTTGGTGGCGACCTCTACTTCCTCCCAGGACGCTGCCTCCCATTTGTACCTCTCCTTTCCAGCAGCGGCCTGGGGTGAGCTGCCTGGCTTCCTTGCTTCCCCACACCACCTGCTCCTCTCTGCCCCACACTCACCAGTGCTGCCACTTCTGTGACCATGAGGGAACCTGAAGCCCTGGCCTTCCCTCAGCTCCTACCCTGCCAGCATGCCTCCTGGGCACAGGCCATTGCAGCAGCCAAATGAATGGGCCTCTGGGCTCTGACTTGCTAGTCTCTCTTCTTCACAGCAGGAGGCTCTCAGCCAGGGCCAGAGAGCAGGAGAGCAGCAGGAATGAAGGGCACCAAAGAGCCATTTGTGGTCAGCTTCACTGCAATTCTTGACTTGAAAACGATGTGGCAGAATAATTGATGAAAACATTAAGGTATTTCCCCTTCCTCTCATATCAGGCAAATAGCCAAGTGCATCTTAGTATATTTCTGCCTCAGAGATTTTTTCAGGGAAGAAATTAGAAGTTGCATGAGGTCAGTGGCTCCTCCTGTCTTTGGTAACAGCCAAACTCATTGCAGAGATGATGTCAGGGATCCCTGAACGGGGCAGTGAGATTGCGGAGGGCCTCCAAGAAAGCAAGGGAAAATAAATGCAGATTCTTCTGGGCAGAGGTCAGCAGGGTTCAAAGTCGTGGGACTCCTGAACTTTACCGTGACAGCTCCTGGGGGAGGTCATAAGACTGCAGAGAGAATGGCTACCTGGAGTGGGCATGGATAATATGAGGCTCCAGACCTCCACAGTCTAGGTGCCACCTGCAGGGTGTGGGAGCAGCCAGACCTCCCAACCTGAAGGGCTCATGGAGGCCAGCTGGAGCCATGAGTGTCCCAACAGTAACTTCATGGGCAAATGACCAGAGACTACAGGGTGTACCTGATCTTTTGGTGGTGTGCAAGGCCATATAACCTTTGCACAGCTCTGGGGAGAGGGAGGTCTGAAAATTATTGAGATTGAATTCCTCACCAGTTTAGTATAATAGGTTGACTAGAAAAAAGTTCAATAACAATACTTCTTGTATAATGGGGTTTTGCACCTTCCACACTCTATACTCAAGGTTGCAGATGTTGACAAAGGAAATAGAAATATTTCTATTTCTATTTTTGCGCTCTCTTATCAAATCTGCCTCCTGCCAGCCCCCCTCTCTATACCAACCCCTTTTATTCCCTTGTGGCGTCATATGCCAAGTTCTAGTTAAAATGAAAAAAGGAAAACATACTAAATGGAGGGGAATTAAGTCAGAGAAGGTAGAAAGTGGGTAGAACATCCTAAAAAAACTGTATCTCCATATAAGAAATGAAATAAAGGTTCTCCTAAGACAGGACACAGGCTCCTCAAATCTGCCATAGAATAATGGTGGGAAACTAATAAACAAAGTATCTGGCATTTCCTTCCCATTCAGGAAGTTCTAACTCTACTGATTTTTACCTGAGAGGCACTGCTGAGAAGAAACTCGTCTATTAATTGGCTTATGGTGCGAGACACCCAGATAAAGTGACTTCAGTTGCTGTGACAAAATCATTTCATTCAATTTTTTCTGCAGAATGAAATATTCTTCAGATAACTTTGATATCTAAAAAGAAGGTCATGTGTCAGGTTAAATCAAGGAAAAGAATACAGAGAGTTCTGCAGGCACCGGGGGCTGGGAAACGCCTTACCAGCACTCTTGGGGACTCTCATGTTCCTCTCCAGGGCCCACCCTGTCCCTTGCACCAAGGTCTGATAAAGTTCTCACCTGACAACCTTCCCCCCTTGTGCTCTGAATACTTGCCATCTCACATTTTTCTTTAAAACTGCCAAGCACGTCATGCTACATGCAGAATTCTGTTCTGATCGACTCCTTCCCAGGTTTCTGAGATCCGGCTTCCAGCCTCGCCACTCTGCTGTGTTTGCCTTTCTGCTTCTGTCCTGAGGACCCCTCTGCTGCCTTTGATTGTGTAAACCTCCTTCCTTTTCTTTCCAGTCTTTTTTTTTTTTTTTGAGACGGAGTCTCGCTCTGTCGCCCAGGCTGGAGTGCAGTGGTGCGATCTCCGCTCACTGCAAGCTCCGCCTCCCGGGTTCACGCCATTCTCCTGCCTCAGCCTCCAGAGTAGCTGGGACTACAGGTGCCTGCCACCACGCCCGGCTGATTTTTTGTATTTTTAGTAGAGACAGGGTTTCACCACGTTAGCCAGGATGGTCTCGATCTCCTGACCTCGTGATCCGCCCGCCTCAGCCTACCAAAGTTCTGGGATTACAGGCTTGAGCCACCGCGCCCGGCCTTCTTTCCAGTCTTTTACCCTGATTTCAGGGCTGCTCTATTCTGGTTTCTCTTTCCATTCTGCCCCCCGCCTCTATCGTGTCCGCATCCTGGCTCTGAGAACACGGCTGTCCTGCTGGGTTGAGTGTGAGGCTCCTGCTGGGACAGCCTCTAGCTTTGTTCCATGGAGCAGTGAATTTACTCCATGGCATTACTGGCCAGCTCCTAGTGGATGCCTTGGTAATTCTACATCTCATGTCTCCACGGCATAGCAGGTCTGAGTTCTAATCCCTGATTTGGTCTTTGGAGTGAGAAGAACTGTATGTTCGTTAAGCTCACTATTTCCACATGCTTAAGAAGAGTAGGAAGGGGATGGGTAAATTAAAAATGGCAGATCTCTACTGACAGCTAGAAGTTGGAGATGTCTGGGCCACACCTCTCGCACTAAGGAAGGGTCCAAGTGCAGTTATCGTGTTTCTCATAGGCTCAGCCACTGTCAAATACAAAAAGGGGAGTTTAGGGACTCAGGAATATTAGATAGTCTTTCTTGGAACTAACCCATTATGATATTTCTTTTATTACTTCATACACCATTGATTACCCTGGAAATTCATGTATTTTAGAGATCATCCAGTTAAAACTCTTCATTTCACACTGGAGAAAATAACAGTGCTAACACATAAAGTGATTTTATGAAGGTTAAATGCCTAGAAAGAGAAAGGAGGAAGTGGAATTGGTATTTACAGAAGCCGGTTCTTGCGATCTTTCCATAGCACCAATTTATAGGAGATAAATTGTATGTATCAGAGATAAATTGTATGTATCAGAGACAAATTGCATGTATACCCATGAGAAGCCCTAAAACCTGTTGCTTCCTATGCTCCTCTCTAGAAACAGCTGAAACACACCTATGATTGGCATGAGATATTCTCCAGGAGGGAACTTTTCTCTGCGTTTTTTCTTTGTGATTCCTTATTTTCCATGACTGTTCATTCACTGTCATGATGTGACATGCAGACTTTCATCTTCACTGTATATGCTTCGGTGTGGCTACCTATCAAAATCTGATACCTAATTATGTCTTCTCAAATTTGTGAAAGGGAGAAAGCATAAACTTTGGAGGATTTAGAAAACTTAAAACGACTTTTTTTTTTAGCTCTAATTAAAGATCTAATTAAAGATACATCAAACTTTTCACTGTCGAGCCTCAGCATTTTAGTAAGCTGTATAAACCAATCTCTAGTATCACGACTACATGAGGTTTCTATCATATTTTATACTATTGTTACCACGGTAAATTGGGTTAAAAGTTCCTGGCTATTTGAATAGCACAATCCCTGAGACATTTTATTAAAAATGTTTGCGGGCCCATCAACGCAGATAAAACAATCTACCAGTTATTAATTATGTGTTTAATTCAGTTATTGTATAGTTCCCAGGGACTTTTATTAGTAAATAAATTTATTTATTCACATACCTGTTTTGAAAAAATTGCCAAACCACATGCTTCTCTTTCTGAAGTTGCTTTCGAGTCTTTGTTATCCTTCTTCTTGATGTTATTGATTTCCTCATGTTTTGTGGGATAGGAATACAAATTATGAGTGTTTCTTGCTACTTCTGTTGGTGTTGTGACAATCCTCTGATGCTTAAAAGAAGACATCTTGTCCTTCCTCAACTGCTGCCTTCTCTTGTAACCCCGGTATTTGCTCTGAATGAATACCGCTGCTTTATCTTCTTCCTCCTGGGCCTGTGTCACTGGTTCAACTTGCCTCTCTTTGACTGTCTCATGCCTCAGACGGCCTCTGCCTTCCTCCTGGCTGCATATCGGTGCACGCTGGGTAACTACAGATGTCTTCTTTTCTTTTTCCATGCTGTTTGCATTTTGATAAATTGACCTTTGGCTAAGTGTAGGTTCCAAAGTTTTTTTAAAGGAAGTCTCATTTTCAGCTAACCAAGGCACTGGGTAGCTTGGCCTTTCTGATATGGCCTTCCTTTCTAGATATGCTGCTTTTGACTCTTCACAATTCCTCTCCTCTGTGTACCTCTGATAGTAACTCTGGATCATAGCTTCCTCTTTCTCCACTTTCCTTAGATTGCTGTTCTCTTCCAGGTCTTTGACAGACTTCTGTTTGGGGCTTACTTCTGGCCCTACAAGGTAGAATTCTTGCTTAACCTCTTCCTCATACACATTATTCATTTTTTTTGGAGTCTGATACACTCTGTTGTTACTCTCCACAGCATTGGTGGTTTCCTCTTCAGGTTTGAAAGTGGAAGTCTTCACTACAGATACACTTCCTTTATTATTTGGAGCTGAAATGAATCTTTCATTAGCAGAGATTGCATTTTCTGCTTGTTTCTTCACGAAAGATTCCCTGTGTAAAATATATTATCTTTGAATATACAGTACTAAACTGGAGCTTATTACTTCTATTGGCAATAGTTATATGCTAGATACCGGTGGGAGAAAGGCAAAAGGAACAAAGAAAGCTCAAAATTAAAAAGTATCAAGTCACATTAATCAAGTGCTTTCCAGAATGTTCTCTCTGGTGACAACTGTGATAACTACTCAAATAATGAGAAAACCAGATTCAACTCGGAGTGAGAAATATCCTAGCATATGAAGAACCATCTTTTCATTTAATGAGATATCAAAATTCTAGGAACTTAATCCTTTCAAAATATATCCTTTTCAAAACAAAGTACCTTTAGTAGTGAGATGCTGTGAAAAATATACCTAAGTTTGATACCAGTAAGCAGGGTATGTTCACTTGGCTGACATACTGTACTTTAATAAGCACTAAGTTTACTGATCAGAGGAAGTATCTTATAAAATTAAAGGAAAAGCAATGTCCTCGCTACAGTTCATGATCATGTAATACGGTGGCCAAAATTTCACAGTTGCTACTTTGCTAATATCCTTCCAAAATGATTTCCCCTTCACTTGAAGATAAGGTTTTCTCTGCATCTTTTTTTTTTTTTCTAGCCAAAGGCAAAACCCTTACAAGAGCAATACAGCCAAGAAAAAAGTTAAGATGGAATGAAAATGTCATACCATGACACCTTGATATGCTAACACCTCTCGTTGCTACTTGGAGGGCTTTTGCACCAAACTTTTCATCTTAGCCCAGAAACCCATGTGAGAGTTTAGGTCTTCTGTGATCTGTTTGTGAAGTCGGACTCTTCTTTGAGTCAAATCTGGAAAAAGCTACCGGGATTCCATTTTTCTAATTCTACTGGCCACTTCCTAGGACTAGAATTACTGTGGTATCCCCAGGCTAGTACAGGAGGCATAGCAGAATCCTGCTAGGATCAGTCAAAAAACTAGGTAGGGCATCAGATGCCCATGATTTTGATGAATCGCTACACTAGTATTTTGAATTCCTCCATAGTACTGACCTCTCTAAGAATGCTTACATTTATTCAAAATACAACTAAGAAGATAAGCGTGCAGTCCCTAACTGATTACGTTCCGAAAAATCCATTTATAAGTTAGTTTTGATCCTTTAAATGCATTTCACTGGTGAAGACTTGTACACACTGCTGAAATTCCCACATCAGTTACATGTCTGGGCTCAGGCAACTCTACTCTGTGTTGCGGCTGGCTGGGGAACATGTGCAATGATGGGTGCTTCTGAGGATCAACCCTTCAGAGCTCCAGCGTGGGGAGGACTGGCGATCTCTTCTGACATCTGCTGGAGAGCCCTGCCGGCCTGGGCCTTTCTCCAGCTCCCCGCTGTGGTATTCTAGGTCACAGTTCAGGGGCTCTGACAGGGAATGGTTAAGTGAAAACAAGCGCTTCAGGTAGCTGAGGGAAAAGGAAAGTCAGAAGTGGAGGAGGGAGGGAGTGCTGGCCCGCAGATCTCTGGCAGTGGTCAGGCCCACCTGCTTCTCCCTTCCCTAACTTTCCTCTCTACAAGCTTCCCTTGACTTTCTGCCTCTACTTCTTTCATGTCTGACTTTGTCATCCACCTCCCATGAGAGTTAGCCCAATCAATGTCAAATTCTCCATCCCAGACCACAGTGATAGCTTCTTACTCACACTCATGTGCCCTGAAGTGGATCTTGTGTGCAGTAGATTCTTAATAAGTATCTGCTACATTGAAAGCTAATCCCTGGTATCCTCAGAAGAAAGGTGGTAGCAAATGGGTATGTAATTGAACATCACACTTCCTTATTAGATGTGATATCTACAAGCAGTAATTTCTAGAAGTAGTACAATTAGTCCATCTTTCTTCGATTTGCAGCCAGTTTATATTTCTCTCAGCCTCCAGACTGAAGTACAGAAGTCACAGGTATCATCCAGCCTCCTGCTCCTGAGGCAGGCCTGTGATGTCTGGAAGTTTGCTGGACTGTTTTATCGCCAGTAACAAAGAGAAACAAATCATTTGGATCCTCACAAGCAAAGACAGAGAGCATATATATAGGTCTCAGAATACACAAAAACTGAAAACACCAAATGTATCTAAACTTCAAATAAACATTCCTGTTTTTCAAATAAGGAAATGAGGTTGGCCTGAGGGATTCAGGGAATGTGTGGGTGAAGGTGAGGGGAAGAGGTGGCAGAGAAGTCATCTATGAGATCATCTGTGAGACCACTATTGGCAGGAGAGAATAGCGGTGGGTGAAGAGAACGTTAGATGTGGGTGTGTGGGGAAAGAAGGAAGCTAGGAAGCCACCTCTTCTTCTATTTCATTCCTTCACCCTTTCTATGGCCAGACTTGATGTTAAAAACAAGGGGACTAGGGTTGGGGCTGGAATGATCTTTATCTCTCTGGATGACCATGTACTCAGTTTGATAAATTCAAGTTTCACCACTTGGGCAAAATGTAGATATTTTTCCCTTTCCCTAACCACTACCAACCAAGGCAGGGTTCCCTCCTCCTTGCCCCCAGTGTACCCTTTGCCTATTTTTATAGCAGAGTTAACACATTTTACAAGAGGGATGTGTTTGTCTGTCCTGTTTTTTCTGTAATACTCTGAGAAATTTGAGGATAAGGATTTTGCTTCACGTATCTGTGTCCCCACTGCCCAGCATAAAGCCTGCTGAATAAGTGAATAAGTGGTTTGCTAACATGCACTTGGAAGTACAGACATGAGGGCTCACAAGAAGAAAGAGCAGCTGGTGATTATGACATAGGGGCCAATGGCATATTGGCTATTAAAGCCACTGGAATGAATGAGAGGGCCCAGGGATACATTTAGATATGGATGAGGATTTAAATGTGGGGATTGGAGGACATATTAGCAAAGGACACTCAGAATTAGAAGTAGAATTATAGAAAGCAATCTGGTAGAAGCCAAGGAAGAAAACATTTGAGAAATAACTCCAAAATAGGATAGAGAACACAAAAGTAGCCTCTGGGTGTTCACTGACATTTGATGTGTCAGTATCAGGAACCTGACTAGTACAAGAAAGGCTGTGAACATTATTCTATGACCTTACAGATCTGAAAAATCTATATGTTACAACGGTATAAGAATGAACATCATTATACCTTGTATTTTCAAAGTTTTTCTTGTAGTCGAATTCCTGATCAGAAGTTTGAATGGTTGTTACTGCTGTGTTTTTCATGTCAACAATTTCTTTTCTTTGTTTCCTGACAAGGTGTCCTCTTGCAGCTGAAACACAGAAAGCCCATAGTAGTGTTAATTATAAACAAATAAAAGAAATTTACTTTAAAGAGTAGAAATGGTGGCTTTGACCATTGATGTCAAAGAGGAAAATAAAATTAAAATGCCAAATAGAACAGGTTCACTTAAAAATGTGATTCATTAACAAGATTCTTCTACATGGCAAGCTATAGCAACAATAACTAAAGTAACTTTCATACTAAGAAGAATACTAAAATGAAATCAAAATGATAGAGATGAGCAAAGTTGATGACAAAGTGTGCTCATTTGCTTAAAATTCAGTAATAATCATTTTCATTTTTTTGCTATGTGTTTCATATATTTTGGCCAGATACATTTCAGATGATCAGATTGTATATTTGAGAATTCAGATTAATTTTTTTTAAGTTTTAGAAAGTTAATACAGAGCAAATATATATTCTGTAACATTCCCTGTGTCAGGGCAGCGCCCAATAATCAATGACTATTTCTTCAGAAAAACAGAATATTTTTACTAAGTTGGGGGAGTAAAGAACTGTAAATAACTTCACATCACATTGCTATGTTTTACTGCCAAAGGCTCTATGAAGAACCTTTTTATCAGAGCTTTATAAATTTTGAAATTGTGGATAAAGGATTAGAGCCCAAATTACTGAGTTTGCATTTTGATTTCTCAGTGAGAAGTTAAGGGCTTAAAATACAAAAAGAGATGAGGATGACTCATTGCTGATTGACAGAACGGGGATTGGAATGTTAATCTCTTGAATGTCAGTCAGCTCCTCTGCCCACGATATTAGTGTTCTTCAGAATGCAGGCTGCAAACCATTAGTGGATCATAAAATTGATGTAGTAGGCCAAATCTAGCATCTAAAAATGAAATGGAATAGACTAGAATTAAAAAGATCAGAACACAGTGCTTGTAGTGTGTGTGTGTATAGGTTAAAAAGCAAAATACATTTTTTTTCTCTAAGTATCCAGTCAAAAAAATTTGAAAGAGAGCATACTAGGCTGTGACAAGCTCTATCTAAATTTCATTTCTTATGGAAAAATAGAAAGCAAAATCCAAAGTCTATTAATACAGCTTAATAAAAGTATGTGAAGTAAAGTATGGTTATAAATATTATTTCTCTACAGTTAACAGAAATAAATGGATGCCCTTTAACAAAATAAGATTTAAGTTGTCAAAAATTATGGCAAGTGTAACCTTTGGAATAAAGTAGAAAAAATTCTTATTGTCCAATGAGCTATAATAATATGATTCTTGAGATCTATAATTAATTATTTGCTATATCTTCCACAATAGGTCAATTGTGTTCCATTAATTCTTGACAGAAAAGTTAAAAATTAAATTATTTAAGACAAAACGTTTATCCAAATATTAAAAGTGTCAATCACTAAAACAATTTGACTTAGATTTAATATAGCAAAAGTATCAAGGCAACACAGTCTGGAATTAAACACAAAAGCTACACAAGAATTGGAGGTTTGCCTGTAAGAAGTATTATAAGATTTGATTTTATGACCATATCTAAATATGTCAAAGAGATTACCTGACTGTATTATTATAGCGCTTTCTTTCCTTTTCTCCTGTATTTTTTGGTATCTTCTTGAACACAAGAATGCTCTGACACAAGCTTGAATCAAAATAAGCTTGTCAATAGCTTCCTTTCGCATTAGATTTAACTGCTCCACGTGATAATACTTAAGGAACACCTGAAAAATTAAAATATAATACAAAGAACCATGGCACACAGATGTGAAGCAGTTATGTGCTGTGCTTTGAAGAACAGAACACATTCTAAATTGCTTGAGATTTTGGAAATCACTGTCTTTTGCTTCTTTGCCCTAGATGTCACTATGACAGTACAGATTTTTATGCTTGAAGAAAACATTTCTTTGAGAAGAAATGCAGAAGGTGACAACCATGCTGTTTATTTACAACAGGTAACTAGGTTTTGTTGGATGAGACAATAAGAGTGGAGGATGTTGAGCTCTTTTAGCAAAGTTTCTAGCATCGTATATTCTGGGCTAAGCTAATTTTTATGCTTTTTATTTTTTAAAGGCAACTATATTTCCCAAATTAAAAAAATCTGAATAGATCTTATTATAAAGTAGAGGACAGAATTATAGTTCCGTTAGTTAATTCATCTAATGTTTATTAATGTTATTGAGACCTGTTACAGGTACGTATCTGCTGGGGATACAGAGATGAACAAGGCAGGTCACTGTCCTTTGGGGCTGGTATTGTTGTCAGTGAAGAGAATAAGGCCAAGAGAAGGCCCCAGGCAGATTTCATTAACAAGGTTCTCACTGGACCCAAAGGCTGCCATGGAGAAGGGAGGGCTGACTTTTGATTATTCTAAAATCAACATCAATTGGAGCAAGGGAGGAGCCAGAAGGCTTGGCGTGTTCTCATCTAACATTTCTCTCCCCTCCTCCAAGGAAATGAAAAGCTTGTTTTTTGTTTGTTTTCCTTTTAATGGCTAAATTTCCTAATAAAACTCATCTCAAAGAGTTTATTGAATCCTTCAAGAAAGTCACTTACATTCAAATTTTATGGCTGAGTCATGAGACCTGATAACCCTGACTGTAGAATTCTCTCAGTGTTCCATTACTTAAAAGCTTGGCACCATGGGTAAACACGTTTGTGTTACAGGTTTGATTTAATTCAGTTTTAATTTCTACAGGACTCTAGATGTTAATACATTTAGTCCATTCTGCTGTTGACAATTCATTTAAAATTCAATCTGTTTAAAAAGGTCATCATTTCTTTTTGCATGACATTAGAAATGTTCCTATATTAATACTTTCTATCCATGTTAATGAGTTGGAAAAGGTGAAGTGGAAGAATACAAATAGCTTTAAAATGCTACTTAAATATCATGCAGAACTATAACTGCAAAAGGCCTTTTTACAAGTTAAAACTCCATTTGAAGTTAGGCATGTGTTTCAGACCATAAATCATGAGATTTTAGCCTGATAAAATTGATCATTTTGAAATTTATAATCTAAGAGAAAATGGTGTGAATAAAATACTCATTTTTAATGCCCAAAATATCCCCTTACTAAAGTAAATATGGATTACTGAATACACAGGACACTCAGTTTAAGGTGGCTTTTTTTTTAAATCTCTTAAATTGTTACAGGGATAGTTTCTCATCCAAACATTATTAAAATTCTCTCCCACATCTCCTACACCCAAGACACAAATATTATAAATTTCTTTGCAAATATGGGAGTTTGTTTTGGTTTACTTCTGTGGTGTGGCTGATAGTAGGTATTCTTGAGTGGTCAATCTATGAGTATCTCTTGGCTTTAGCTTGGCTCTTTTCCTCATCCTCCCCGTGATACATTTCATATCCCCTTAAGATATATTCAGTGCACAATGGAACCCTGTTTATTTCCTGATCCCTGTCTCGTAATGCTATGAGAATACCTGAGAAGACCAATACATCCTTTCTCCAAACAGTGACCTCTCTTTCTTCCATGTTCAAGATTGGTTATGCTTTTTACTTTGTTCTCTAAGGGATTAAATAAGCTAAGATCTCACAGGTTCTGCAAGCTAATATATAAACACATCAATGTCCAATACATATAGCGAGTCTAGTAATAGTGGTGAATATTTTACTCCAGAAAAATTTCAAGTTTATGATAGAAGCAGGTCTGAGAATTAAGAAAAAAAGGAAAACACGAATCTTATTTGGATCATTATGATTCTCTACAGCTTTTTAACTATATTTAGTAGTGATAAACTAGAGAATATATATCTGTTTTCAATACCATCTGAAGTAAAGTACAATCATTATGGTTTATCCTTTTTTGATAAATCTTCAAGATAAATTTTTCTTGCATTTCTTTTTTTAAATTTCAATGTAAACTTTTCTTTAGAGTCAGGGTCTTAAGTTGCATAGGCTGGAGTGCAGTGGTGTGATCATAGCTATTGCAGCCTTGAACTCCTGGGCTCAAGCCATTCTCCCACCTCGGCCTTCCAAAGTGTTGGGATTAGAGGTGTCAGCTACCTTGCCCAGCCTTTTGTATTTCTTAAAAGAAATCTTTATGAAGAGCAAAAGCCTTTAATGTTGACGAAAAAGAAAATCTTTATGAGTTTATAACTTTACTTCCTCTATTGTAAGTTATAGATTCTATAACATAAAAAAACCATACTTTCAAACATTGTAAAATGTTACAATTCTCAGTGAACCCAGCATAATTATTTATTTTCCTGAAAATTACATGAAAACATTACTTTTGTTTTTCCAAGAGCCCAGTTATCGAGACCAGCTTTTTCCAAAATGGTGGCACAGGTGTCAGGGCTCATGCGGGGCTCCTCGCTCGACTTGTAGCAGAGAAGGTAGTACCTTGGAATGGAAAAAAGGGCTGGTTAGTATTGCATAAAGTGCCAACATCTCTGTAGCTTGGTGGTTCCCCAACAACTTAGTGCAGGGGCTGAGGAAGAGATGCCCAGACTTGATGCGGAGAAATCCTTTAGGCATCCTCAGAACAACTTCGGAGTAGACCAAATTCCAAACTGATGGAAACCCAGTCCAGTCTGTATAAATTTGAGCATTGTGTTTTCACCTTTGTGATCACCTTTCAAAACTTAATACTGCACTCCCCTGACAAGAACTCCATCAGTCAAAAAAATTAGCAGTTTTGTTTTTGTTTTTTCGCTACCTTTCTCTGGACACTAAAAAGTGCAGGACTGCAGTGGCAGGAAGCAGAAGGAATTATTTTTCACATTGAGTGTTAACAAAACTCTGGAAGCTGATCTTCAAATTGGGTGATGGAGCTTAATTCCAGTGAAACTTCCCATCACTGTATACATGCCTTCCATCATTGTTTTTCCTTGAGGGACACTATGTCTCCTGCTAGAGTTTTGCTCTATTGGTTAATCTATCCATAATCGAGGGAAGGAAAGAGGAAGGGCTAATGCAGGAAAGAACTGAAAGCAGGTCCTCAGGTTAAATCACAAGGCTTAGTGGGGAAGGGGATGAATTAAGGAAAGAAAATCTGCTTTACACTGGTCAATAATCTTGTGCAAAAAGACAGATTTCCAGAATTTTTAATACTCTACTATTTTTAATTTATTGGTGCAAGATTAGCCTGAAAGTCCAGTGCAACAAAGCAGCAAATTTTGGTAGGTTTTGAATTTCAAAAGAGAGGCCCTGATATGTAGACGGCTGAGGTGGCACGGTGACATGCAGAGCAGAGTTTTACCCTTGACTCATTAACTGTATATACTTGGACATGTCACAATTAAGTATCAATTTCCTCATCTAAAAATGAGTCCGGAGATAAAACCTCTAAAATGAACATATTTCAACTTTGCTAAGTTTCACCTCATTAAATCTGCAATGAAGTAGCTTCTGTTAGGCTCCGTGGAGAAGAATACTGGCCTAGAATGGTATAGAATGAAGTGACCATAACTTTTGCTGTTAGTGCAAATAACCCCAGGGAGTGCCTATTAGCCACTAGGCCTGCTCACTTCAGGACTAACTCGCTCATGTACACATGGTGACCCAGTAGCGGCGACTCTGCATTCACAGCCTGTCCATCAACTCTTGGCTTTCCTTCCTTCCAGAACCAGCCAGGGTCTCACAGTTCATCGCAGGAGCCACCCTTAGGCAGCCCCCGCACCTTTCCTACTCTCATTCCTTTGTTGTGCACTCCCTGCAAACATGCGTGCCTGGACCCGCCAATCATCTGCGTCTCTATCCTCGTGCCGGGCTTCAGAGCACAGCCAGAGAAAATCTTCACAGTCGGCTCCCTGTGGATGTGTGGATTCCTGACTCAGCCAGGCTCCCAAGAAAGCTCTGGATCCTGACCAGTGTCCAGGGCCACTTTCCTCTCTTCTTCCTCACAAAAGCGACTTAATTGCGTCCTGCTTTCTCCAAGTCTCCCAGCAGCCCCTGCCCTCCGTACCTCTCTCAGCAGACAAGCTTCTCTACTATATCACTGGAAGCCACCAGACACACAATTCATAGGCTTCTTCCCCAAATAAAAATTCATTTGTTCACTATCAATTTTCCCTCCTCCTTCAGAGGAGATTTTCATCCTCCGCCTGTGTTCTAGAGGCCATCTCCTCCTCCTTTTCTGTATATTTTCAATCTCATTTCTCTCTTCTGGCTCCCTCCATTTACAAAATGGATGTTTGTGTGTTGTTACAAAGCAAACACCTTAAGCCTCGCTCATCTGTAATGATTCTGTTTCTTCCACTAGCTTTGCTGATAAGTTGAAAGACGGTTTAAAATAATCGTCTTCACTTCCCATCACTCTTCACTCTTCACTTCCCATCACTTCTTCAGCTCCAAGAATCTCATTTAATCACATAGCAACAAGGCCTCTTATTTACTCATAAAGGATGCAGGAGTGGTGAAATCTAACAGGTCCTTTTCCATTCTAATTGTAAGCGTTTTTTCTGCAGCACTTGCTGTTATTGGCTGTTCTGTCTTGCTCTCTCCAAGGCTTCCACCTAATGTCCCCTGCCTCTCCTCCTCCCTCTTAGTCTCCCTGCATGCCCCATATTTAATGATTTAATGACTTGTTGCTTAAACGCTAGTGTTCTACAGTGTTCCATTTTTTTCTAAGCTCTGTCCACAGGCATCTCATCTACATGCTTGGCTCCAACTATTCCTGTATGTGGTGATTCCTAAATTTACACCATCAACCCTAACTGTTGATATCAACTCTAAACACATTATTTATGACTTCCTACTCTACATGCCCACCTGGTTAACTTTAAACTCAGCGACATTCATCACTTTTTCCTTCCTCCTCCATTTCCTGTCTCTATGAATGATATTACCACTTTTTAAAAGGTGAGCTAGAAATCTGTGTGCCAGCCTACTCTTCCCTATTCTTCACTCTATGGATCTAACAAGCTTAAAGTCTCTCTGGAATCCATTTGTTTCTCGCTATGCCTGCTGCCATTACCTTAATTGAATACCTCATCCCTTCTCACCTAGACTTTTGCAATTGCCTCCCAACTAGTTACCTCCACTGTCACTCCCCTGCCCTGCCCCAGCCACCGTCCACAGCTCTGTCTGAATTATCTTTTTTTAAATGAAAATCTGATCATGTCCTTTCCTGACTCGAAAAGTCTCTATGGATGTCCCAAGTTCTAAGCTGGGATGGCAAAATCAGGTGCTTTCAAAGTCTAGGCAGATACCATAAATATGGGAGCCTGGGAGCAGTGGGAATGTCGGAGGAGAAGGTTACACCTGCCAAAAAGCATTGGCTTTAAATTGTTTGCCACACATGATGACTACCATGCAAGCTCCCTTCTGCCCTCCTATATCCCTATCTGCCTTTCCAGCCTCCTCTTTGCTATTTTCCATGACACTCCGAGCTCCAGTCATGAAAGTTACTTAAAATTGTGCCAGAGGGCCATGTTTGCTCATGCTTCTATGCCTTCGTATGTGTAACTCACTACGCTTGCGCGCCCTTTCATCCCACTCCTAGTTTCCTTAAGGAAGACCTACTTTTTCAATATTCTAAAAACTCTCCTCAATGTATCTTCAATTAACAGATTAACTGGAGTAATGAAATTGTCTTTTCTTATGCAAAACGCACCAACTGAGGTCCGCTGCACACTTAAGGCTCAAGGCTGGCAGTTCTCACTAGTGCGCCCGTGTGTGTGTTTGCTCTCACTGGATGAGCTGTGTTTGCCCCCAAACCTGTTTATGCCAGTTGTATTTGGTGTGATGTTATTCAAATAAATATCAGATTGAAATCTAAGTGAGAAAGCCAGAGGATTGTTTCTATAAAACTGCATCAAATGCTTTGGTAAGACTTTATAAAGAAGTCTTGTAAAAAACCATGAAATTAAACGTGGATGAAGCAATTACAAAGCATTGAGGAAAATCATAAGAATCAAGAAATATTCAGTCCTGTGGCTGTTTCACAAGTATTTTTAATATCTTGCTTCACTCCAAGAAATGTTAACTGGAAATCATAAATGAGAGATTACAGATAGCTTATGCAAGAAAGAGCCAATAAACTATAATTAATAGATGTACACTCAAAGAAAAAAATTAAGCCTTTATCAAAAGGTTAAAAAACAAACTTACATTGATGTTGTAAGTAAAAATATTTTTGCTGTGTTTTATGTATTACTTTTATTATTCTCTGCTTTATCAGAATTTCTCATACAATCTAAACCATCCTTCCTTTATGCTCTCAGAGTATCTTCTTTATACTTTCATTAAAAATACCCGGTCTTCTTTCATTAATTTGAAAAATACTTGAGCACCTACTATTTATTTGCCAGGAACCCTTCTAGGTGCCTCAGACACAACAATGAACACAGGATACCCACACCCTTGCTGCCTGCAGCTGACTTTACATTGCATGATAATGCAGATTTTTAAAGCCCTGTTTCCATAACAGGTCTGTGAGTTTCTTAATGTCAGGGGCTCATCCATTAATCTTTGGACTTTGAATCTTTCAATTAAGATTTGAACTCATTTTTAGTTCAAGGACTGGAACACAGTGGGTCCCTCAACTAAACGTTTGCTGAATGTATAATGTGCTGTTGCTGGGACTTGTGGAAATAAATACTTAGGTAAGCCACACGTGCTTATGGAGGGCATCCCCTAGGCCACTATAGGTCATAGGTAATTTTGGGAGCTTGAGACTGAGGCAAAAAAAATAATAAAAATAATTATAGCTAATATGTATTGATGACACCTGGTTCTATCAATAAAATCCATATATATTATTTCACCTAATACTTATAAACACATATATAATGTAGATATTGTTATTATCATCCCTATTTTCAGCCAAGGACATTGAAGCTTGAAGCTTATAGAACTCAAGTAACTTTGAATAAGGCCACAGATTTAGTAAGTGGCAGAGTTGGGATTCAAACCCGGGTTTGCTGACTTCAAAGCATGGTACTTATCTACTCCACCATACTACTGCCTTCAGTAAGTTCTAGTTGTATTAGAGCTCTGGTAGCCAAACCATTATGTACAGGTGCTTAGTGGGAAAATGGAGCCAAGTTAAGTGGCTGGCTTGTTAGCGTAAGGGTTCCTTTGAAATAGCTGCAGTAAAAACCCAGTGTCTTGTGCAAAGTTCATGTTGTATATTTTTCCTTAAGATTGTTTCTTTGTTATAGAACAGAAGAATTTATCTACAACAGAACAAAGGGTCTGGGGAATTTTGCATCCTATGCAGAGGATTAGCAGTTCTATTTACACCCCCATAGAACCTCTGAAAATTGTTCTGCCTTCCTAAGAGTCTATGCCAATTTGGATGACAACTTCCAAATTAGTGACACAGAAAAGGTTTAGCCTTTTATTTCTGGAACTTCCTGTATTCAGAACAGCTATTCATGTGTTCTCTATACACTTAGTTTTATCCCCTTCTCTTTATTTATTGTGTAGTAATTTGCTATTCTGTAATAGCACAATAATTACAAATATATTTAAGAATTTATTCTCATTTCTGACATTTGAACTACAATATCATTAAGAAAATAGGTTTTATTCTCATTATGCTCTACATTGTAAAACTATGGTTATTTTTCAAGCTATAAGATTAGGCTGGTATTCAAGGCTCTCTTCATAATTTTAACACAATTGTTTTTTCATATTATCTTCTGTCACTTCACCAATGCAATGCCCACTCTACCAACCCAATCCAATCTAAGTCCCGCTAGCTTTTGGCACACCAACCTGTACACCAAGAAAACTCCTGTTTTCTCCATAAGCCGTACCCTCCTTCAAGTCCCAGTTTGAGTCCTTCTTCTTATTTTTTTATTTTTCATTTTTTTTAGAGATAGGGTCTTGCTCTGTCACCCAGGCTGGAGTGCAGTGGTATGAACATAGCCTCCTGTAACCTTGAACTCCTGGGCTCAAGTGATCCTCCTGCCACAGACTCCTGAGTAGCTAAGACTACAGGCATGAGCCACCACACCCAGCTAATTAAAAAAAATTGTTTTTAGAGATGGGGTCTTGCTACATTGCCCAGGCTGGTCTCAAACTCCTGGCATCAAATGATCCTTCTGCATTAGCTGAATGCCTCTTCTTGATATCCTCTCTCATCAGCCTTCCTGGAGATGCTCTTCCTTCCCTTGAACTCTTACACTGTGTATATCATTCTCTTGGCCTTGGCACTTATTACTTCACATTGCTTGTTAACTTTCCATGTCTGTGCCTCTGGTGATTCTAACTGGACTGTCCAATATTGAAGATCAAGCCACTTCTAAAATTCAGTGTCTCCCACAGTGCTTAGCATGGTGCCTTATACATTAAAAAATCACTGAAATTTAAGAGTACTTATATTAATATTACACTCATAATATCTATATTACTATTTAAGCAAATTAAAGATCTCATTTTTTTCTGAAACATGAAGTGCATGATAATAAGGTCAAATTTTAATCTTAATTTGATATTTGAAACTCCTTTGTATCTAGTATTTTTGGTTTACCTGCTTTCATGAGCAGGATGGAGAATTTACCTATTAGCCAATAAAAAAATTCCATTTTTTTATTTCTTAGTTTTGGTTATAAAATTGTGTCTGATCTGTAGGAAGTAAAGTTGATGATTAGCTGCTAACTAGATTTCTGGACTCTAAACTTGAGGTTTTGGTTTGTCTTAAACTACTATAAGGATTGGCCAACACAAAAGTCATATGTTTATGTAATTTTGATCTCCATCATGAAAAAGGTAGTAGAGTTTTCTTGATTTCAAAGCATTCCAAATAAATAATCCCAGGTCTCTAAAGAAAACCAAAATCAGCTGGGTGCAGTGGCTCACGCCTGTAATCCCAGCACTTTGGGAGGCCGAGGCTGGCGGATCACGAGGTCAGGAGATCAAGACCATCCTGGCTAACATGGTGAAACCCCTTCTCTAATAAAAATACAAAAAATTAGCCGGGCGTGGTGGTGGGCACCTGTAGTCCCAGCTACTCGGGAGGCTGAGGCAGGAGAATGGCGTGAGTTTGCACAGAATGCAAGCTCACTGTGAAGCGGAGCTTGCAGTGAGCCAAGATTGCGCCACTGCACTCCAGCCTGGGTGACAGAGCGAGACTCTGTCTAAAAAAAAAAAAAAAGAAAAAGAAAAAAAAGAAAAACTAAATCAAGAACTACCACAAATTTGCTGAACATATAAAAATTAGCAGAAATAGGCCAGGCACAGTGGCTCATGCCTGGAATTCCAGCACTTTGGGAGGCCAAGGTGGGCGGATCACGAGGTCAGGAGATGGAGACCATCCTGGCTAAAACGGTGAAACCCCGTCTCTACTAAAAGTACAAAAAATTAGCCGGGCGTGGTGGCGGGCGCCTGTAGTTCTAGCTATTCAGGAGGCTGAGGCAGGAGAATGGTGTGAACCCAGGAGCCGAGATCCGGCCACTGCACTCCAGCCTGGGCAACAGTGCAAGACTCCGTCTCAAAAAAAAAAAAAAAATTAGCAGAAATAATCAGAATTCTCATCACATTTAGAAGGAGTCTTGGTTACTCCAAGTAAAAGAATGGCTAATAAAATGCATAAAGTTTTACGGAGGAGGGGAGGAAAATTAGAAATCAAGTTTGATGTGCAATCACAAAACACGGTTTTGTTCTTAATAGTAATTTATATACTTTGAAAAAGGGTGAAGAATATTATAAATGGGACTTCCTCAAATACTGGGTTTCACCTGAAAATTTTAATAGACTTCATCTTTAAAAATGGAAATTTCATTATGTTTAATGACCAATAGAAATGATAGAACTGAAAAAATATAAAAAATATGGGCATTTAAAATATTAAATATATAAGATATTGAACCTTCACATTACTAATAACGTATTACTCAATAAAATATATTTAGTATATAGCTTAATTTATTTTATGTTAATCTCAAATATTAAAAGGAACTCCTTGGCTGGGCGCAGTGGCTCACGCCTGTAATCCTAGCACTTTGGGAGGCCAAGACGGGTGGATCACAAGGTCAGAAGATCGAGACCATCCTGGCTAACACGGTGAAACCCCCATCTCTACTAAAAATACAAAAAAAATTAGCTGGGCATGGTGGTGGGCACCTGTACTCCCAGCTAGTCGGGAGGCTGAGGCAGAAGAATGGCATGAGCCTGGGAAGCAGAGCTTGCAGTGAGCTGAGATCGCGCCACTGCACTCCAGCCTGGGTCACAGAGCCAGACTCCGTCTCAAAAAAAAAAAAAAAATAAAATAAAACATTCCTTATACCAATTGATTCTTTTAAAAAAATTTATGTTAGCTTTTTAAATTGACACATAAACCTAATTGTTTCATCTTCCAAATCACCGTTAGAGACAGTATCTCATTTGATCATTATAAGGATCCTATCAGGTAGTTAGAGCAGATTTGGTAGGCGAGTAAAGTGAGGTTAGGGTTATAGGCCAGGGTTTCTCAGCCTCAGCACTGTTGAGATTTGGGGCTGGATAATTCTTTGTTGTGGGGAGGCCATCCTGTAAATTGTAGAATGGCTGTTTAACAGCATTCCCAGGCCTCTACCCACTAGAGGTCAGTAGCATCCCCCCACGCCCCTACACCACACAGGATGTGACAACCAGAAATGTCTCCAGACATTGCCAAGTGTCTTTTGAGGGGCAAAATCTCTCCCAGCTGAGAATCAGTGGTATAGGCCTACAGTCACATAGCAAGTGGCTGAGCTAGGGCGAGAACCCAGATTCTCCAACTCCTCAGTACAGAAGCTCACGCCTCTGGATCATGCTGCCTATACCACATAGTACCACCCATCTGTCCAGAGTCTTTCAGCCTCAGTTAATAGCTATCTTCTTTTTTCAACACATAATCATTTGCATGAACAAAATGCCTCCCTCCTAGACCTCTAAAGATTTTTTCATATTATGTTTCTTATAATTCTTCTGAATGATTTTTATATAAACTGCACAATAGAAACTGAAAAAGAAATCCACATACCGCTTTATAAAGTTAGCAAAAAGTATCCGATGGGAGAATCCTAGTCTTCGAATTCTTGCTGTTTCCAGAATTCCTGTGTACCGAAGCTGTAGCAGAACTTTCTCTTTGTCATATTTTCTTGCCTGACGCTCACTATTTGGTTTGATGCAACGGACAAAATGAGGTTGGCCCACCACCATTTTAGACAACAAATCCATCAGGGAATACTATAATACACAACAAAAATAAATTTCCCAATGTAGCATACAAAAACGTATGAGCTTGTAGGCCTTTCTTTTTACTACAAGAATAACATTCAAAAAATGAATGTTATAAATGCTCCCATTAGTCACAGTAAATGGAGGAAAATCTGTTTTAATGAACATTTTATTTATAGTATAGTTCTAAAAAATACAGATTTACTTATAAAAATGTAGAGGCAGTAACTAGAAATTTAGCTATTAAAAGTTTGCTTATAAACCATTAAGGCAACTTTAATTAACAGATAAAATTATTTTTGATGTAGTTTGTAAGCAATTATATACTCTTAGGCTAACTTACCAAATTATAATATTATACAATCTTACTAATCCTTCTTATATATTAATTTCCTTGTCCAACTCTCTCTTTATAGATGGTAAAAAAGGGAATACTTTACAACAGACACTGGAGCTTATTGGAGGGTGGAGAGTACGAGGAGGGAGACGATCAGGAAACATAACTAACGGGTACTGGGCTTAATACCTGCATGATGAAATAATCTGTTCAACAAACCTCCATGACACAGCTTCACCTATATAACCAAACTGCACATTTACCCCTGAACTTAAAATACAATTAAAAAAAAGGGAACACCTTAATCCCTGTTAGGATCATCTCTTAGTTTAAAATAAGGACAGAAAAGTCAATAGCGTTTAATATGTAAGAAGTAGATATAAGCAAAGTGAAATCCAATTAAATATTTTCATCAGTTCTAATTTGATCATTTTCTTATTTATTTTTGGATAATTTAAAAAATTCACATAGATATGAAACTGTGTTCTATAGCAATACCTTATTAAAACAGTAGCCAATTACTAGACAAGTAAGTATAACATATTAGGATAATCAACTAAAAGTGGAATCCCAGAAAGCGAGTATCTCAAAGACCAGGATCACATTTATTGGTGAGGTAATGTATGGACACAAATAGCAATTGACGGCTGGATCCCGTTTAGTGTTGGAAATGTAAGAGCCTACAGTCATAAAGCCAGTGCAAAACAAATGCTGAAATTGGCAACCGACAAAGCTCTGAATTTGCATGGCTTCCTCTTGGGCACTGAGGCTCAGATGTGATCTTTTCAAACAGCTGGGCCTGTCACTTTGGAGCCTTTTTCATTACATTTATCTGTAAGTCATCATTCCTTTACTCGTGCGAACATCTGCCAAGTACTGGTGGTACAGGGGTGATACTCTAAGCAGGACCTTCCTGCAATTTAGGCGCTGGTTTTTCTGAGGGACTAAAGCATAGTGTTACACTGTGTTCAGTCTTCTCTGCAGAATGAAAATAGCTTTAAAAACACACTTCATGTTAGGTGGGATTATCTTCTATCATTTCTCACTTCAGCCTGAAGATTAAAAAGATTTCATGAACTAATCTGGTTTAAACATACATACAGTGTTTGATGCCAACAACAGTGGTATGATAATGGTGTTGGGTAACTCACTTAAAAAAAGGAAACAACTTGGCTGTAAATACGTTCAGTGATTCACCTATGCTGCATTTCTGATGTAAAGTGAAATGTATTAGCAACAAACGTCAGGTATTAAGCATATAAATGTACTGGCACTACTCAAAGATGATTAAGTACACACTGTCTTCTATGAGCTTCGGACTTAAAAAATATTTAGTAAAGGTACTCATATATTTTTTAAAGAATTTTATGTTTCTGCTAGAGAGTTGGATACATTCACTGAACACTTAGAGTAAATTTAATCTAATTTCCTCCACCTCCTCCACATTAAATTACATAAGTAATAACTCCAAGTTTTAGTGGTATTTTCTTCATTTTCATTGGATGGTTAATAGGTTTTTATCAGAATAGGTAAACAAGAACTGGAACCAATAATGGGAGGGTTATCTAGAGCACAGAGGAAAAAAAAGTACTTGGTTTTTTTCTTTTATCCTACATTGCCCAAGGAAGGAAGGTCGCCTTGATCCTATGCTAAGCACACTCTCTTAAGCACGTTACCGCATCTTCCTGATGACTCTTCTCCTCGCACCATTCCTACACGGGCTCTATTTTCCTTTTGAGGTTTTTAGCTCTGTACAGGCAGGGTGATATGAAATGGAGATGGATGCTCAGCCTTGCCCTATCTGTCTACTCTAAAATCATTCAGGATGGGGAAGGAGAATTGGTAGTTATCATAGCATTGAAGTAAAAATCCTTTTAGGTTTTATTCTAGTGGAAATGCATTCTGTTCTATGGACAAATTTTAATCAAGGTATAGACTTTCATTAAGATTGACCTGGGATACAATAATTTCACAGGTAGAATGTAAAAATAAACCAATCTGCAGATTTTGAAGGTAGATGCTAACATATCCTGTATCTAACAATAGTAAATGGAATACAATAAACATTCTCTTTGCTAGTGTTACTGGCTTTTGATCTGTAACTCATTTAGACTAAATAGCACCCCTAAGCACAATACATCATAGTTTAATATCTTACTCTAAAATATGATGCAACCGTTTGTGTTTTCATGTTGGTTGTCTCTCTGGCATGACGTGTGGCTTCTCCAGTGTCGCCCTAAGGAGACCAAGGAAGACAGTGATGCCTTGGTATCTATTGTACTTTATTATCTACAGACAGCATGTGGCATTTTCCTTCAGGCTATCTTAGTTTATGCATTCAAATATGTAAAACAGCAAAATGTTGATATTCTTCCTTTAGGTAATTGTTTTGTCAGTCTCATTGGAATTTTAATTGGTCTTATGTAGACTGTGAATATCTCTCATCTTCACTAGTACATTTTTAGTTGGTCTTAGTGTAACATTTAAAACTAGCTAAAAAAGGGCTAGGCATGGTGGCTCATGCCTGTAATGCCAGCACTTTGGGAGGCCGAGGCAGGCTGCTCATTTGAGGTCAGGACTTCAAGACCAGCCTGGCCAACATGGTGAAATCCTGTCTCTACTAAAAATAGAAAAATTAGCTGGGTGTGGGTGGGTACCTGTAATCCCAGCTAATCAGGAGGCTGAGGCAGGAGAATCACTTGAGCCTGGGAGGCAGAGGTTGCAGTGAGCTGAGATCATGCCACTGCACTCCAGCCTGGGTGACAGAGTGAGACTCCAGTCTCAAAAACAAACAAACAAACAAAAACAAAAACTGCCCCCCAAAAACTAGCTAAAAAAGAAGAGTTGGAAATATTAATATATCAGAAATGCATGATTATTTTAGCCCCTAGCAGTAACAAGAACATAACATAAATATCTGTTCAAACAGAAAAGCAAGATCAAAGGGAGAAAAACTAAGAAAAAAACTGTTGACTTTGAGAAGCATACAAATATTGCCATCATACCGGTTAGATTCTTAGACTCACTGCCAAGAAAAAAAGCATTTTCTTACCTTTGCCAGGTTGATTAATTTTTCTGAAGTCCTCATTTGATAGTTTATAACATTTTTAGTTTTAGAATGTGGCAGATTACCTATGAGAATGTAGAAAAATGTAATATACCTTTTAGAATCCTTAATGGCTAGATGATTTTTCCCATTTACTTAAATGTTAAAATAAGCATTGTTAATCCTGCAATATTCATAATCATATGCTTGGTTAACTATTTATGGAGGAACTTAGGAATAAAAAAAATTATGTAAAAATGTACAACAAATTTTAAATTCAGAAAAAAACTCTTGAGCTTGGAAAACAGAAAAGGCTGAGGTGTTGGGTTTCCTTTGAATTGCTAGAAGACTTGAGATGATTATGATTGAGGGAGCAGTTTGCTTCTTATTTTTTTGTGTGATAAATGGCATCTGAGATTTTCTTTAACACAGGCTAAGCTTTACAATTGGCCTGAAAAATCATATGAATCATTAATTTGCATGAGGTGGTTATAAGCAAATCAACTATGGTTGGAGGCAATGGCCTTTTTCAATCTAACTTTCAGAAACGTGCTTCATTCTAAGGACTACACAAATGCACACAACCCAAAACAGTGAAAAAATTATGGCCTGAGAAGCCAGAAAGACTTGGCTTTGAATCCCAGGTATAGTACTTAAACTGTGTTGCCTTTGGGTCATTTACTTAGTCTCTGATCTGCACCCAGAATCCATAAAATGGGAATAATGGTGATTTCCTCACAGAGTTTTGATGAAATGCGATAATATGTCTGGCACATGGAAGGCCCCTGAAATGCAGTTCACTTTCACAGCTCTCACCCCACCAAGCACAAGGAACCAACCAACCCACAATCGAAGAGTTTATTATCCTAATAGTAATGTGCAAAATATCTTCAAAATGCAGTATCAATTCAGAAAGATCATTTCTTGTCTCTCTCCTTCTTCTAGGTGATAAGTAGAGGCTGAATGTTTTTGGCAAACCTTTCCCATTCTTTATGGTTGCAAAAGGCTGGCCTAAGATGGTGCAGGAAGGAATCATGATGGGAGTGTGCCTGGCAGGGCCTCTGCTCTGCTTCCTCCCCTCCATCCGAACTCCAGGGGAGGGGCTGAGACGGGTGTGTGCCACAGTTTCCATGCTAGGCTTGCCCTGCACACTGCCCTGTTCACTTTTCAAAATGTGAAACTTACTGACTACAGCAGAGTGGACAGATACAGTAACAGATGATCTTTAGAGTGGCAGTTTCAGGAATTTCGCTTAAATTTATTTATGTAGATCAACGGGAACTAAAATTAGCATAGACCTTAATTTCTGAAAATATATCCATTTTGGTTTTTATAGCTCACCTAATGAACAAACTTGTGATAAACCCAACTAAAGACGTGAGCTGCAAGTAACTGTGGTGCACTTTCCCCTAAAAATGGCTGAACTGTATGTCATATGTGAAGTCATATATACAAAGGGCCATGGTTATTTTAGAATCTTGAAGACATCATAATATAGAATTGAAGAACTCTAACTCTAACATTTTCCATTGGGAAACCTTGGGAAAGCTGCTCAACACTTTCAAGCCTTAATGTCTTATTTGTAAAAAAGTAGTGCCTCCTTATTGT
The DNA here is from genome assembly GCF_000001405.40 of Homo sapiens. NCBI lineage: Eukaryota > Metazoa > Chordata > Mammalia > Primates > Hominidae > Homo > Homo sapiens. Next base: position 26,152,327 of record NC_000010.11, on the reverse strand, counting down.
GTTGTTATTAGGAGTAATTGAAGGTGCTTAGCACGGTGCCTAGCACATAATAGATAACAAAGTTGTCTATGATTATTATTACATGTTTGCACATCTGGGTGAATATAAAATCCATATGTCTTTGCTATCTCTGAGGTTCTGAGTTTATTGAAACATACTTGACTATTAAGTTCTTCTCTTCTCCCTGGCCAACCAGACACTGTTCTGCTGATAGCCAAGCAACACAACATAGTATTTAGAGCCTGGCTGCATATTTTATAAGGGCAAAAAACATGGAATTAGATGGATAGATGCTGTTGGTGTATATGAAAAGGGATGGCAATTGTTAAAGTCAAAATTAATGACTTTTGCTTCTGGGTCAGATAAAGTAACACCGACTAGATTAACCTTCGCACCTCAAACAACTAAAAAGACATACAAAATGAAAAACAGGTTTCATACATTGTGCGTCAAGCAGTGTAAGGACATTGATCCCTAAGAGAGGGAAGACAAATGAGGTGAGCCCTCTGATTGTGCCAGCTTTCTGCCTGGAGAAGTGTCAGCCTGAAATGCAGCGAGTGAGGGAACTCAGGTAAAGCCTGGGAAAATAAGCCAATATAACCAACAGAAAACAAGTGGCAAGATGATAAGAGTCAAATCCAACCATATCATTAATCACATTAAATGTAAATCATCTAATCATCTCAATTGAAAGGCAGAGATTGTCAGACTGGATTAAAAAAAACCAAGACGCAACTATGTGCTGTTTAGAAAAACCCTACTTTGAATATAAAGAAAAACAATAAGTTGAAATTAAGAGTATGGAAAAAGATATGCCATTCACTCACTAATCATAAGAAAGCTGGAGTCTCTATATTAATATTAGGCAAAGTAGATTTCAGAACAAACAATACTGCCAAGGATGAAAAGGGTCATCACATAACAAAGGAGTCTATCCATCAAGAAGACATAACAATTTTAAATGTTTATTTACCTAATAATATAGCTTAAGAATACATGAGCAAAAACTGAAAAAAAAAGAGAGACAAATTGACAGCTATAGCCAAATATTTAAAAATCCCTCTCTCAGTAATTGATAGAACCAGGAGAGAGAAAAACAGTAAGAATACAGAAGATGTGACCAATACTCTCAATCAAGTGGACCTAATTGACATTTATGGAACATTTCATCCAACAACCAGCAGAATAAACAATATTTTCAAGTGCAAATGAAAATAAAATAAGACAGATAATATTATGGGTCTTAAAACATATCTCAATAAAGTTAAATGGATTAAATAACACAAAGTACGCTCTCTGAACACTATGAAGTTAAATTAGAAGTCCATAAATAATATTTGAAAAATCTCACCATATTTGGAAACCTTATAAACTCTTATAAATAACCCATATAAGTGCTGATATTAGAAAAATGTCTTCTTAAATCAATGATCTAAGTTTTACCTTAGAAATGAAAAAAGGAAACAAAATAAAACACAAAGTAAGCAGAGAAAGAAAACAACAAAGATAAACGAGAAAGAAAAAGAGAATGAAATAGAAACAAAACCAATAAAAAAACCAATGAAACCATTTGAGAAGATCAATAAAATTAACACATGTCTAGGAAATCTATCAAGAATAAAATGAGAGAAGACACAAATTACCAACGTCACTTATGAGACAGCTGACATAACTTCAGGATCTACAGATACTAAAAGGATAGTAAGAAAATGTTGTAATCAACGGTGTCAATAAATTTGACTATGTAGATGAAATAAATTTCTTAAAAAACACAATCTACTAAAGCTCACTCAAAAATTAGATAACTCAGATAGCTTTATATTTACTAAACAAATTGAATTTGTAGTTGAAAACCTCACAAAACATCCTTCAGGCCCAGTTGGCTTCATTGGTGAATTCTACAAAGCAACTTAGGAAGAAATAATACTCATTCTACTATTCCTGAAAATTGAAGAAAAGGCAATATTACTCAATTTATTCTATGAGGCCAGCATTACTGTGATTCCAAAGTCACAAAATGAAGCATAAGAAAACTATAGTGCAATATTCCTCATAAACAAAGATGCAAGCATTCTTAAAACATGTTTGCAAACTGAATTCAGCAATATATAAAAAGTACAATGCATCATGACCATTTGAGGTTTTTCCCAGGAATGATTAAAAAATCAGTCACTCACCATTTAACAGATACAGCATTGTTCATAATAGCCAAGATATGATCAACCCAGGTGTCCATCAATGGATGATTGGATAAAGAAAATGTGGTGTCTACACACACACACACACACACACACACACGAATACTATTCAACATGGTTGAACCTGAAGGACACTATAAGTGAAATTAGCCAGTCAAAAAAGACAAATACTGGATGGAATTTGTGGAATCTAAAAAAGTTGATTTCATAGAGCTAGAGAGTGGAATGGTGGTTACTAGTAGTTGTGGTGGTTGCAGTGAGAAGAGGTAGGTTGGGGAGATGCTGGTCAAAGGATAAAATGTCAGCTAGATAGGATACGTAAGTTCATAGTATTATATACTTGAAAATTGCTAAGAGAGTAGATTTTTAAGTGTTCTCACCACAAATAATTATATACAGTAATGTATATGTTAATTAGCTGGATTTCATTATTCTACAATGTACGTATATTTCCAAATGTCATTTGTATACAATAAACACAATTTTAGCTGTCAATTTAAAAAAATAACAAAAAAAAAGGGTAATCTATTCAGTAGATGTGGAAAAAGCATTTAACAAAATACTATATGCATGCCTGATAAAAACTCAGGAAATTGGCCAGGCGTGGTGGCTCATACCTGTAATCCCAGCACCTTGGGAGGCCGAGGCGGGTGGATCACCTGAGGTCAGGAGCTCAATACCAGCTTGGCCAACATGGTGAAACCCTGTCTCTAGTAAAAATACAAAAATTAGTTGGGCGTGGTGGTGCACGCCTGTAATCCCAGCTACTCGGAAGGCTGGAGTAGGAGAATCTCTTGAACTTGGGAGGCAGATGTTGCAGTGAGCCGAAATTGTGCCACTGCACTCTAGCCTGGGCAACAGTGTGAGACTCTGTCTCAAAAAAAACATGAAAAACAAAAACAAACAAACGAAAAACAACCAACAACAAAAAAAACCATTCAGGAAATTAGGAATTAAAAAAAAAAGTAACTTCTCCCCTGATAAAGGGCTTCTATGAAAAAATCTACAGTTAACATTATACTCAGTGGTGAAAGACTAAAAGACTAACTACTCTTTCCCCAAGATCAGGAAAAAGGCAAGAGTGTTCACTCTTGCAACCTGTCCTGTGTTCAACACTGGTGATTGCATTGTGATTCTAGCCAGTGCAACCAAGAAAAAAGAATTCAAAAGGAAACATATTGGAAAAGAACAGGCAAAACTCTTTCTTCACAGACAACATGATCAATCTGTGAAGAAAATCCTTTGGAATTAACAAAAAAAAGCTACCCTGATAAATGAGCTTAGCAAGGCTGCAGGGCAAAAAATCAATATACAAAAATCAATTAGACTTCATATACTGGCAAAAACCAGAATTTCAGTTAAAAATTACCATTTATAATCACATAAAAATGTGATACACTAGCAGATAATTTGGCAAAGGATGTGCAAAACTTGTACAGTGAAAACTACAAAATGTTGCTGAGAGAAATTAAGGGAGACTTAAATAAATGGAGAGCTATACTGTGCTGATTGGAAGATTTAATGTTGGGAAGATACCAATTCTCCCATTATTGATCTATAGTTTCAGTGCATTCCAATCAAAACCCAACCAGGATTTTTGGTAGAAATTGACAAGCTCATTCTAAAACGTATATGGAAAAGCAAACAAATTATAATTACCTAAACAAGCCTGAATAAGAACAAAGTCAGGTTAACTTGTACTGCCTGATTTCAGGACTTTATAGAAAGCTACAGTAGTCAAGAAGTGTGCATTAGCCTAAAGATAGATAAATATCAATGACACCCAATAAAGAGTCCAGAAATAGACCTATTTATTAGTCAATTGATTTTTCAAGGAGTGTCAAAGCAATTCAATGGGGAAAGAACAATCTCTTCAACAAATGGTGATAGAACAGAGAGGTTTGGAGGGAAGGATTATAAAGGGTCATGAGAAACATCATTTGTGAGTGATGAGTATGTTCACTATTAATCATGGTGATAGTTTTACAGGTGCTTATATATGTCAAAAACTCATCAAATTTTACTGTTTAAATATGTGCTGTTTCTTGTATTTCAGTTATACTTCAATAAAACTATGAAAAAAGAAATGCAGAGAACAATTTTAAACTCCAGTAAAGAAAAACAACCCAAACTATATTTTTTCTACTTACAGCAAATGCAAGGATGTATTATGGTTGGGTGGAACAAAGACACGTCCATTTTTAATCAATAAGAGAGCCCACCAAACTTTTGGAACCTCAAAGAATCATCCAAAAGCTGCCCACTCCTGATTTGCCCAGGTAATTCTGAACTCTGGAGGTCAGTATACTCTTGTAGTGAGTAGCTAGGATACCACCACATTTTCTGCATGACTGCTGCAAACACTTACCTTTAATGAAAAACTAGCTTATTTATATTCATTTTTATATTTTCTTCAGATGATCTGGGGCAGAGGATATTAACAAATGAATATTTAGTGAGCCGAAAACAAACTCACATGAAAAATTAAGGATGAAATTAGTGAAAAGCGCAGAGATAGAAACTATTTGATTGGGCTTCAGAAAACTTCCAGGTAAGGAAAATTGTCTTACCTGTTTTGGTCAGAGGGTGGTTGACTAGTTGCCTAATTACACTGTTGTCGGATGACCTCAAAAGTAGCACAATGTCAGTAGGAAGAGTGTCTCTGTTTTTGGCTAAGAATCCACTTGCATTATAGAGGACCTGTTGATACAGTATGCTATAATTATCACAATCAATGTCATTGTCATCCTCCTCCTCCTCACCATCATCATCATCAACAACAGATACTCATTATGAGCTTACTCTATGTTCAGCAACAGTGATACAAGCATTTACTAAGGTAGCCCCTTATCATCTTAAGGTAGCTCCTTATCATCTTAAGGTAGCTCCTTATCATCTGTGTCTCACTGATTTTATTTGGGTTGAAATGACCAAAGAGGTTTGATTCCTCTCATTTATTACATTAGGAATTTGGTATGTTTCTTTTCTCTGTTTGGAGGGATGGAGCAGCATAAAGGAAGCATATTGAGCCACAAAGGCATTCCTATTTCTATGATAATTGATCCACCTGTGTTGAATTGGCCATGATAGATTTTTATCTCAGTAGTAGTGTGATTTAAAAACACTGTGGCTTTTTGTGTTTCTGGCACTTCTAAATAATGTTATTACTTAAAAAAAAGTTTAGAGATGAGGTCTTGCTATGTTACCCAGGGTGGTCTTGAACTCCTGAGCTCCAGTGATCCTCCTACCTCGGCCTCCCAAAGTGCTAGGATTACAGGCGTGAGCCACCATGCCTAGCCAATTTTACGACTTTTTAAAGATCAATGTTATCCAAAGATTTTTGTGGAAATGATCCAATATAGTATTTGTTATGGGTCAAATTGTGTTCTTCTAAAATTCAGATTTTGAAGATGTAAACTTTCACTGTGACTGTATTTGGAGACAGGGCCTTTATGGAGGTAATTAATGTTAAATAAGGTATAAGAGTAAGACCCTACACCAATAAGACTTGTGTTCTTATAAGAGCAGGAAGAGGAACCAGGGATATTTCTCCCCACTCCCTATGCTCACATAGCAAAGGCCATGTGGGGACACCTTGAGAAGGTAGCCATCTTCAAGCCAGGAAGAGAGGCCTCCCAGATGCTAACCCCACTTAGAGCACTTTGATCTGTAAGCCTCCAAAACTGTCAAAAAAATAAATTTCTGTTGTTTAAGTCATGCAGCCTGTGATATTTTTGTTATGGCAGCCCGAGCAGACTAATAGATTGTTTCTTTAGATAACTTTAGATAACTTTAAGTTCTGTGTAATTTTATTTTTATGTATTTTTCATTTGATACATTCTTTCTTGATCTGAATATCCTCTTTGTCCTCCCATATTTATGACATCATTGTGAAAGAATGACCTGTCATTCTCTGCAGAAGGAAGGAAAGAGAGCATCCTCTGGGTCTAGGACAACAAATCTGAGGTTTTCTCTGCTGTGGGAATGTGTTTCTGTCAATGTAGAGACATTTCTTCCTCTAACTGCATCATAATCCATTCATCTGGCTTAGCTCAGTTATCTGACTGTACCTCCAGCCTGGCACCTTCTCTTCTTGAAAGGGAGGAGGGACAAAGAGTGCAGTAGAGAGAGAATCATCTAAAGTCTGAAAAAGGCAGTCTATACCAAAGGTCCTCAGGCATTGCTACAAGAAGGAAACAAATAGGTAACCATTGCCAGCTAATCTCACCGAAGGATTCTTTCAGTTTTGTGTCTTTTCTTTTTGTTTTTTCTTAGTTACTTAAAAATGATTCCTCTAGAAAAACTATAAACTTATGATTGTTAAACTAAGAGAAAGACTTTTCTTTTAACCTCTTCAGCATAGATGCTAGAAGCGCATGCCCTGGAGTGGGTCTGGCCTCCATAGTGAGTGGCTAGCAAAGGACAGGATGGATTACAGGACATCAGAGGGCATAATTAGGGCCAGTGGGGGCGGAAACAGACAGCTATGACATTATCATTATCTATAAACATTTTGGGCCATAATTTTCATGTCTATCCTATTATTCATTAAAAGGCTAAGGAGAAACTCAGTCATAATTCTTTAGAGTTCTTACCTTTCCTGCATAATGGTGAATTCCAAAACTAAGTTCCATTCTTTTGGGTCTCCAGAAGTATTGTGATTTCAGGTTACCTTCAAATTTTTCTGTAGAAAAATACTGAACTCAAATATCAAGCATGTATGAGATCCTCAAAAAATACTGCGAAAATTATTTACCATAAAAAGGACAATGTGCAGTGAACAAAGAAAATTTTACATAGCTAATATATGCAGATTTGGAATAGAATTATACATGGTAAAGTAAAACTCAAGATCATTAATTTCCACCATTACATTACGATTTAGGGCATCAGTCCTCAAGCCATGTCATGCATCAGAGTCACCTTGAGGGTTTTTTTTTTTTTTTTTTTGAGACAGAGTTTCGTTCTTGTTGCCCAGGCTGGAGTGCAATGGTGCGATCTTGGCTCACTGCAACCTCCACCTCCTGGATTCAAGTGATTCTCCTGCCTCAGCCTCCCAAGTAGCTGGGATTACAGGAGCCCGACACCATGCCTGGCTAATTTTTTATATTTTTAAAGTAGAGACAGGGTTTTGCCATGTTGGCCAGGCTGGTCTCGAACTCCTGACCTCAGGTGATCCACCTGTGTCGGCCTCCCAAAGTGCTGGGATTACAGGTGTGGGCCACTGCACCTGGCTGAGGGTTTATAACACAGGTTGTGGGCCCTAATCGCAGAGTTTCTGACTCAGTAGGTTTGGGGTGGGATCCAAGAATTTTCATTTCTAATAAGTTCTCAGGTGATGCTGATGTTCCTGGGCAGGGGACCACATTTTGAGAACCACTGGTACGGAGGAAGTAAACTACTTGAGACTGACCAAAGAGGTTTGTAAAACACAGTTTGATGTCAAGCCATGAGCCTAAAAATCTGGCGTTTTTGCTCTCTTTTCTACTTGTAGAGCTATAAATTATTATTGATTACATGAGAAATAAAACATGATCTTAAAGGCAGCTGAATTTCTATAACAATTTTGCCACCTTCGGAGAACTTATTCTAGAAGGATCATTTGATCTAAAAATCAACTGACTGCTATGAAATGATTTTCCCCACCACTTTGGGGTCAGTTTATTTTCCATCTAGTATTGTCCAATTTGAGGAGAAATTAAGCCAATCAGTGAGTCAGAAAGAAGGAACATCACAGACCTAATGGTAAGAAAGAGGCTCTACATGTCACCCAAAGTAAATGACAGAAAGATGTGAATCCACATTTTCTGAAAGTATTTCTCATACAGAATAAATACCTCCTATCATCAGGGAACACAATGTTCTGCGTTTAAAAACATTTTTTTTTCAGATATCTGAAAAATCTAGTTTTTTTTTCTTTTTTAATTTAAGGAGTAAGACATTTTCATTTTAACCAGCTTGAATGGTGATCTTTTAAAATGTATTATACATTTCTTTGCTTTCTCAAACACAAAAAATGAATACATTTAATCTTACTTTGATGACTTAGGATTATTATCATGAATATTTATTAATGTACTGTAACTTAGAGGTTATTAAGGTATTTGAAGTGATTTGCCTATATTAAATAAATGAATAGAACAGAACATCACAGATTAATTTATTTCCTACCTGTTAACTATCTCTTCTCAATTCCAGAGCTGTCCTTTTGCACTGCTCACCAATTTCTAATTTTGGGCTGGAAAATTTCTAAGGTCATTTATAACCTGTGATTCTATGGTTGAGCTTCACCACAAAATAAGGAGAAGTCCAATATTTAAACTTGCTTAATTTATCACTAAATATTTTACCCTATCATAAACATGCACTGGTCCAGGTATTAAATCCAAAGGCTCTTCTTTAAAGTCAAATATGCAGGCTTTGTGACAGCTATTTTCTTCCAGATAATTTAAAGCCATTTAAAAAATCATTCAGAATGACAAGACTCTATTCATAAAACCATGCAGACACACTGGACTGAAAACTCACCTACAAGAGTCTGGTCAGTGGCCTTGGGAAATCTACTTTCTTCATCAAGTAGGGAAAGTAAACCCATTGGCTTTTGCAGAAACATATCTAAGAGGGGCCAGTTATCCTCATATTCAATAACTCTAGCATCCACATCTTCATTTAGGTATTCATTCTATAATAAAGACAAAACCACTTAAAACTGTGAATAATATATAGCTTCATAGTAATTACCTAAAATTTTACTTTGCATATATTAAAATAAATTGCTCCCTTTGACCTTGCTTTTTTTGTGACGGAGACTCGCTCTGTCGTCCAGGCTGGAGTATATTGGCGCAATCTAGGCTCACTGCAACCTCTGCCTCCAAGGTTCAAGCAATTCTCCTGCCTCAGCTTCCCGAGTAGCTGGGATTACAGGCACACACCACCATGCCCGGCTAATTTTTATATTTTTAGTAGAGATGGGGTTTCACCATGTTGGCCAGGCTGGTCTCAAACTCCTGACCTCAAGTGATCCTCCCGCCTCAACCTCCCAAAGTGCTGGGATTACAGGCATGAGCCACCGCGCCCGGCCTGACCTTGCTCTTAAACTGAGAGTATCATTTTATTTTTCTCTCCACATTGCTGCTTGTTCCTTAAAGTCTGAACTGATTATACTCAGGGTAGTAATAAAAGAAGCTCTAGTCTCCATACTAGAATTATGGACATCCTAAGTTTTCAAGATGTAGGAAAATATGTTGTTAATGAGAAGTAACAAAATTATGTTCCAGACTTTACAGAATATTTAACTAGATACATCTTAGAGGTATACTTTCCCCACTGAATCTCTCAAGCACAGGTATATAACTTTTCAATCACAATTCCAGACATTTACGTAGTTACAAGACAGCAGAGAGTTATAGAAACAACCAGTGGATTTAGAACCAAGGACACATAGGTTCATCTCGGCTCTGCCACTTGCCTAGCCACAAAATCCTTTGGAATTTCCTTACTCTATAAACATCTATTTTCTAATCTATTAAATGGGGGTAACAAACCCCACTTCACAAAGTAAAAACATATGGCATATTAATAATAATTTGCTGTTGAGTATAGTGTAATATAAGATGTGTAAAATAGAAACAATGAACCACAGATAATTACTGTAGGGTTAAGGTACCAGCACAGCATAGGTACCTATGATCTACTTTACAAAAGGGACATGAAGGCTTGTGCCCAGTTGGCTTCTATGACTCTGCCTTTACACTGTCCCCAGCCCAGTGCTGAAGTCTGTCAGACAGAGTACATGTGTGACCTCTGAACTACGACATGCAGCCATGCTTGCATGTGGGGGAGTCACTGCTTCTCAGGTGATAAGCAACCATTCCTGGGTAAGTGTATAAATCAATCACTGACTCGAGTGGAACACTATGTGACATTCCCATGTTTAAATTACAGACCATTTTCATTGTTATTTTAATATATTCTTTAATTAATTGAATACTGAAGGCAAGGCATTATAGTGGATGACAGAGAAGTTTAAAACAAGCTCCCGGCCCTCCACAAAGTTCAAATATAATTTGAAATAATGTGAGTAACATAAGATGGATAGTTATGATGTATAATGTACTACAATAGTAAAGAGAAAGAAAAATTTCTGGGAACATCTGCAATGTAGCCAGTGGCAGGTGGGACATTTTGATAAGCCAGAGCTTTTAGTCACTATGGTAGGGGCCTTATGAAGCTGAAATTTCATTTCAAAGGTGTCACCAGGAAAAATAAATGCATATTTTTAAATAAAATGAAATCTAATGCATAAAAATGAGAAGAATAGATGGTCTAAAAGGTGGAGAACCTGAAAGGCATTTAGCTTATCCAGTATAAGAAAATGAAAACGATGACTTGAAGTTTCACAGCTTTTGTATTTGAAGGTAACCTTGGGAGAAGTGAGTAGACCTAGAATTATTTTACTGTTAGACACATCATGCTCACAGCATATTACAATTTAAATGGCAACTGCAAAGTTGAAAACAACTTTTGTCTGTTTTATACAGAAAGTACACGAGGTTAAGGTCTAAACTAATGCATTTGTCATTTCTATTTGCCTGTGTCAAAATCCACTGACTGTTTTTGTGGCGGGTTACACAGAGCAGAGATGAGTGGCGTGGAAAACAATGGGCTCCCATTCAAGACACTTGTTAGTATTAGGGACTTCAGGCAAACCAAGGAAGAAAAAAACGCTATTACTCAGAATTTATAAAATACTTATAGCAAAATTATAATGCCTAAAATAATTATGTATTATATAGCAGTTATGATCCCAAAATACTTAGTTGTTTTCAAGCATATGGAGAAAGAAAGCTCCTATTTCTTCAGAAAGTCCTCTGCTCTGCCCTGTACATTAAAAATATATTTAGGTACCGGCACAGTGGCACATGCCTGTAATCCCAGCACTTTGAGAGGCTGAGGCAGGCAGATCACGAGGTCAGAAGATCGAGACCATCCTAGCTGTCACAGTGAAACCCCATCTCTACTAAAAATACATAAAATTAGCCGGGTGTGGTGGTGGGTGCCTGGAGCCCCAGCTACTCAGGAGACTGAGGCAGGAGAATGGCGTGAACCTGGGAGGGAGAGGTTGTAGTGAGCCGAGATTGCGCCACTGCACTCCAGCCTGGGCGACAGAGCGAGACTCCATCTCATAAAACAAAAAACAAACAAACAAACAAACACATATACATTTAAAGCATAAGGTGAGCAGAGTTACTAACTGTATTAAAGCTGAAGTGTTTAGCTAATGTAATTCCTACTCTCTTCAGACTGTCTGAGTTCCCTTTTGAAAATAGATGAATAATCATTTTATATATATTTTCTTCAGGAAAATCATTAGATTTAGATGTTAGGAAATCCCACACCTGGACAAAGTTGTCCCTTGTTTTTCTTCTTCTTTTTTTTTTTTTTTGAGACAGAGTCTCGCTCTGTCACCCAGGCTGGAGTACAGTGGTGTCATCTCGGCTCACTGCAACTTCCACTTCCCGGGTTCGAGTAATTCTACCTGCTTCAGCCTCCCGAGTAGCTGGGATTACAGGCACCTGCCATCATGCCCAGCTAATTTTTGTACTTTTAGTAGAGACGGGGTTTCACCATATTGGCCAGGCTGGTCTTGAACTCCTGACCTCAGGTGATCCACCTGCCTCAGCCTCCCAAAGTGCTGGGATTACAGGCGTGAGCCACCGTGCCCAGCCTCTCCCTTGTTTTTCATTGAATTTTGAGTCTGAGTCATGAAGCAGCACAGTGGCAGGAAAGCCCACAGAAGCTTGGCCTAAACAACCAGCTTAAATATTTAGGGCCAAACGGCCATTCCAGGAGAGATTCAAGATGATTACATTGAGCCCTCAGACTTGCACAGCAGCATGGAAGGGTGGTCACCATGGGCTGAGACAGGCTGCAAGCGTCCACATGGCTTGTAAATCAGGTGCAAATTTAAGCACAGATTTCTCAGCACAGATGAGTAATACAATGAGGGTTCACTTTCATCATTCAGGTCTCACCTCCTCAGAGAGACCTTCCTTCATCTTCCTAATTCAGCAATTTCCCTTCCTTAACTGGTCACTCTCCATGCACTCTACCATGCTCTGGGGTACTGCTTTGTGCATCAAGCTTTTCTGTATTTTCTATTACATCTTAAAACTGATTAGATGATCACATGGTATGAACATTTTACAGGCACCTGAAACGTGTTTGTAGATTGACTTTTTTTTTTTAGACAATCTGTTGCCCAGGCTGGTGTGCAGCGGCATGATCTCAGCTCCCTGCAACCTCTGCCTCCTGGGTTCAAGTGATTGTCCTGCCTTGGCCTCTAGAGTAGCTGGGATTACAGGCGTGCCTGGCTAATTTTTGTATTTTTAGTAGAGTTGGGTCTTGCCCTGTTGGCCAGGCTGGTCTCAAACGCCTGACCTCAAATGATTCCCCCACCGCACCCCAACCTTGGCCTCCCAAAGTGCTGGGATTATAGGCATGAGCCACCGTACCTGGCCATAGATGGATTTTTGAAAGCTTGAAGAAACTGCACTCTAATAATAAACACTTCTAACTTGCTGCATCCTCACCAGCAATGAATATTTTCATTAAAATATTTTTAATCCTTTGGGAGGCTGAGGCGGGCAGATCACCTGAGGTCAGGAGTTCAAGACCAGCCTGACCAACATGGAGAAACCCCATCTCTACTAAAAATACAAAATCAGCTGAGTGTGGTGGCTCATACCTGTAATCCCAGCTACTTGGGAGGCTGAGAAAGAAAATCACTTGAACCCAGGAGGTGGAGGTTGTGGTGAGCCGAGATCATGCCATTCATTGCACTCCAGCCTGGGCAACAAGAATGAAACTCCATCTCAAAAAATATATATATTTTTAATCTATTTTTGATGGGGGAAATTGTAGCCTATTGTATTTGCATTTCTTTGATTATGTATTTACTTAAGAGGATAGATTTTGGGGGAAATAAAGTAGATACATGCTTAGCACATACTACATACTTAATGCCTGTCAGCTATTATTAGGAGTATTATTGTTTTGAAACCACATAATAAGAAACATGACGTGTTTTGGACTCAGAGGCTTCCTTACAGCATCAGTTGTTGTGATGTTGCTGACGATTTGTGAAGCTAGCAATCAGACAGAGTTAAATGAAGGGAAAGGCTCCAGGACTTTCTTGAAAACATCCTTGGTGTCAGGTTGATGTTTGCTCCCTGGTCTCTTTCCCATTTCCTTCTGTGTGTCCTCTTGGTTGTGGGACAACATTCCACAGGAATCCATTCATGAAGCTGGCATTTGAGTGACTTTCCTGGGGAAATCATCCTCTTGAGTTTGATCTCAGTGGACTGACTTGACAAGGGCAGTCACAACATCAGCTATGGTTTCTGTAGCCCTCGCCTGCAGGTCTAGACTCCTTCCTTGTCAGCTTGCTCACACTGCTTCTATTGCTCTTGCATTGCCTCTCTGTGGCATACGAAGTAAGACTTCTCTTGCCTTTCAATAATATGAGTCATTTTGAAGAAAAATGTAAGCCCCAAGCTTGGAAATTTTTCCTTCTATCACCATGATGATGATATTATTATCATAACATAATCTTATCAGAAGGTTCTTGAGATATGACAAGCTACAGTCTTCAAGTGTTCCTTAGAATTTGACTTTTAACAGAATTCTAAAACATTGTTAGAAGTCAGATTTCTAATAATAAAAAATACAGTTGGAAGACCTAAATGAGGTACCATTAGTTGGGAAGATGGACTAGAATAATGGTGAACTATCGGGGGAACCTGCCCCCAATATTTCAACGTAGGTTCTTTCTATTTTCCATAAGTGTCAGCTGGCTGATAAATAAAGATAAACAGTACAAGGAGAGGAATTTTACAGCTGGGCCACTGGGGGTGACCTCACATATCAGTAGGACCGTGATGCCCACCTGAGCCTTAAAGCCAGCAAGTTTTATTAAGGATTTCAAAAGGGGAGGCAGTGCAAGAACAGGGAGTAGGTCACAAAGATCACATGCTTCAAAGCGCAAAAAGGAGAATGAAGATCACATGCTTCTGAGGAAACAGGACAAGGGCAAAATCAGAAACTCCTGATAAGGGTCCAACAAAGATCACAAGGCAAAGGGTAAAAGCAGAATTACTGATAAGGGTCTATGTTCAGCAGTGCACATATTGTCTTGATAAACATCTTAAACAACAGAAAACAGGGTTTGAGAGCAGAGAACCAGTCTGACCTCAAATTTACCAGGGTGGGGTTTTTCCCCACTCCAGTAAGCCTGAGGGTACTGCAGGAGACCAGGGCATATCTCAGTCCTTATCTCAACCACATAGGACAGACATTCCCAGAGCAGCCGATTATAGACCTCCCCCAGGAATGAATTCCTTTCCCAGAGTATTAATCCTTGCTAGGAAAATAATTTAGTGATGTCTTCCTTACTTGCATGTCCATTTATAGGCTCTCTGCAAGAAGAAAAATATGGCTCTTTTTGCCCGACCCTGCAGGCAGTCAGACCTTATGGTTGTCTTCCCTTGTTCCCTAAAATCGCTGTTATTCTGTTCTTTTTCAAGGTGCACTGATTTCATATTGTTCAAACACACGTTTTACAATCAATTTGTACAGTCAACACAATTATTACAGTGGTCCTGAGGTGACACACATCCTCAGCTTACAAAGATAACAAGATTAAGAGATTAAAGTAAGACAGGCATAAGAAATTATGAAAGTGTTATTTGGGAACTAGTAAATGTCTATGAAATCTTCACAATTTATGTTCCTCTGCCGCAGCTCCAGCTTGTCCCTCCATTCAGGGTCCCTGACTTCCCGCAACAGTGAACTATTTCAAATCTTTGTTTCCTTAGTTGAAGTTCTGAAATTACCCATGTCTGGAATAATTTAAAATATAGAATAACCTACATTTCTAGTTCACAAATAACTTTAGCACTCAGAAATGAATATTTATTGCCCTTCTATGTAGTACCTAAATCTTTAAGAATCAACAATAATTTTATTTTTTATATAGTCTCATCACCTACATTAGTACACACCAGACCAATCAACCTGTACTTACTGGGTCTTTTTTTTTTGTTTTGTTTTTTGAGACAGAGTCTTGCTCCGTGGCCCAGGCTGGAGTGCAGTGGCACGAACTCTGCTCACTGCAAACTCTGCCTCCTGGGTTCAAGCAATTCTCATGCCTCAGCCTCCTGAGTAGCTGGGTACAGGCACATGCCACCATGCCCCACTAATTTTTGTATTTTTATTACAGATGGAGTTTCACCATGTTGGCCAGGCTGGTCTCAAACTCCCGGGCCTCAAGTGATCCTGCTGACCTTGGCCTCCCAAAGTGCTGGCATTACAGGTGTGAGCTGCCATGCCCAGCCAATCTGTACTTAGTGTGTTTTTATTTCTTAGCACCAATCCAGATAGCAGTAGATGAACACTGCTTAAGTAGGCTGACTACATCCTCAAGTAAAAAATAGACAGGTTCTAGAACAGTCTTCTCCCCACTCCCTCTGACACACCACCTCATCATTTTACTATAGGAGAACACTCTCTACTACCTTCTGACAGTTTTATCCAAGCCCAAAGTTTTAAAAAGATTCTTCCAAAGTCACCAATTGAAGTGATTTGAGGACTTTGGCTCGTGACATCTTTCTTTTATAAAAGGCTGGTATATGCAGTGACAGGGAACACTTAGTTCTTTCACAGAACTTACACCTGGGGAACAATGTCATAGCCTTCTCTGATAGGCAAGTTCACCATTTGACACTGCTCCACAGTTGTAGATATTTCAGAATGGGGAAATGTTAATAGCTGGTATATATGACCCTCAATATTCTCCTGTGTTTGTTTTCAAGTCATAAATCAGTATCTCTTATTTTTATAAGTTTAGTCCACTTTTTTATGGTCCTACCCATTTTAGGTCAAGGAAGGAAGAATGAGATTTATATCATGAGATGGCACTGGCAATTCACCTGGGTTTGTGATGCTGTCTTTGTACAGATCACTGGAGAGGATGTGATATACTCAAATTCCAGAAATGTTCGAGGAGTGCCTACTCTGTGTGTGGTTAGGGGTAGATGGGGCCGGGGAAGGTAGAATTTAAAGATCAGAAAGATAGAGTTTCTGTTCTTTTTTTTTTTTTTTTTTGAGATGGAGTTTTGCTCTTTCACCCAGGCTGGAGTGAAGTGGACCCAGTCTCAGCTCACTGCAACCTCTGGCCCCTGGGTTCAAGCGATTCTTCTGCCTCAGCCTCCCGAGTAGCTGGGATTCTAGACACCCACCACCATGCCCGGCTAATTTTTGTATTTTTAGTAGAGATGAGGTGTCGCCATGTTGGCCAGGCTGGTCTCAAACTCCTGACCTCAGGTGATTCAGCCTCCCAAAGTGCTGGGATTACAAGCGTGAGCCACTGCGCCCGGTCGAGTTTCTGTTCTTTAGGACATGGCAAAGATGCTCTCTGCCTTTCCATTCCAACCCTAAAATCATGTCTGAGATTTCTTTGCTTGTGGCTGTATTCTCCTTTTCAGTTGTTCCACCTTCTAGTTCTAGTTCCTTCCTGTGAGGGGTCTCCAGCTGTCACAACCCTTGCCAGCCTCTGCTGCCAGCCTAAGTGCTCCCTGGGATTTCCTGCCTTCTTTTATCCTGCCTTATGTTGATTCTCCTTGGCTTTTCATGTTAAGACTGACTTATGCTTCTTTTCTTTCCTTCTTTCTAATCCAACAGAAATAATCTAATAATTAAATAATAATTTATATTTATGAATTAATAACCTAATAATCTAATAGATTATTCTAATAAAGTAATATCCTATGAAGAAGAAAAAGGTGCTCTTATCTATTTAGAAAGAAAGAAGGAAAGAGCACCTTTTTCTTCTGCACAGGAGATTACTTTACTAGATCCCTGTTCTTTGCTTACTTGTTTGTTCATGAGAAAAACCATGGATAGCTGTCAGAAGCCCTTTACTCTGGTCCTGGTTTCATTTCACTGTCCTATAACCTTGGGCAAATCACAGTTGAGGAGAGGGAGTCATTTTAATCAATGAAATATAGATAACCTATTTAGGTTTCTTCTAATATTTCAGAATGCACAACTGCTTGGATATGTTATAAAACTCAATGAATAAATGTGGTTAAGACTGTGGACAGAACGTTTGCAACAGGAAAGAAGCTACATAGACATATATAGTCCCTGAAGTCTGTATTTTAGTAAAAGAACTCTTACTCACCCCTGCTCAAATGAGTGTGCCTATTCATGAAAACATTGCCCAGGGTAGAGAGAAACCATTGAGAAGAAGTTGCTTATTCTAACCATTGACAAAAATCCTCCTTTATCAAACAGAAAGATTTTAAAGGTTGAAAATCTAAGATTTCTTTAAGGGTGCTACCATAACTCAGGATGAACTGAGTATGTTTTATGTTTATTACAGTGAAAAAAAAACTTTTGCCACTTTTCATTTTGAAATAATTTAAAACTTACAGAAAATTTCAAGAATAGTACAAAGAACTCCTGTGTACCCTTTACATGGTGTTTATTCCACAATTGTTAAGCTTCATCATGTTTGATTTTTCATTCTCTCTTTCTATATACACATATTTTAATAATACTTTAATGAAATAACTTTTTTAAATTCTAAAAAACAGTGATAATACTTGTCCTGTAAAAACGTGAACTCTTGTTATGAAATAAGATTTATGATTTGAAATCTATTTCTTCCTGTATTTTCTATTTGAAGCTGATATTGATGATCCTGTTAGTTTTTATGTTAATGTTAATAGCAAGTCACAGAGAATGCTGGCCATCATTAACTTGAGATGACACAAGTCATTAATTCAGAATATGACAAATAACCTAATGAGAAAGTATTTTGGATAATTCCTAATAAAATATTCATGTTTTATTTTACATCCATTTTACTAAAATTTGAAGAGATGAGTTTTAGAATATTTCTCCCTACAGCAGCTTCCTTATTCAGAAAAAAATATATATACTAATGCATGCTAAGATGAAAATTCCAATTTAGTCACTTTTTGGATATGATACCTGTTTCTCAAAACTATTTAAGAGACATAAAGGATTTTACAAATTTATATTCTATTAATAGGTATCAGCTTAGAATAAGGAGGCATTTGGATTAGAAATTCAGAAATACAGTGTTCTGTATATCAGGATCTCTTTCACCTTAAACTATTTTTCCATTACTGCCATGTTTAAATCTTTACCAAAAAATTGTATTTTGGTTTGTCAATAGTATGCTCTAACCTCACATGTAGAAAACGACAGTACTATCATATGGATCTAGACTTCTAACTATGTATTTCACTGAGAATTACTTTTTATCAAAACTTCTGAAAATTTAGCCAGGTATGGTGGTACACGCCAGTGGCCCCAACTACTCAGGAGGCTGAGGTAGGAGGATGACTTGAACTCAGGAGTTCGATGCTACAGTGAGTCTTGATTGTGCCACTGCACTCTAGTTTGGGCAGCAGGGCAAGACCCCAACTCAGAAAAGAAAAAAAACCTTTTAAATTTAAGAATATCATTAAATCATCAAAATAAGTACCACAAATCCCCACATCACATTAAGGGTGTCGACCAAACTTCACCAATGAAAGAGAAACAGACTAAGTGTGCTACGCAGCTGCCTAGCAGGGATGAGGAACACAGAGCCTGAGAGGCCGTCTGCGAAGCCAGAGGGAGAGAAGAGCAACAGGTCCACAGCCCAGAGCTGCTGCAAGGGTCCCGAAACACCTCCAACCAACCAACCACGTGGACATCAGCTGCCATCTTCAGTGTGTGAAACATTTAAGGAATATTTAATAACCTAACACTTGGTCAAGCACTTAAAAAGGAAGATTTGTTGTATTAAGGGCTTCTCAAATGTATTTGGCTGCTTTGACACTTAAAGGAAATGCTTATCACTTGGAGAGCTAAAATGGGACAAATGTTACCATTTGCACACATATGACTTAATAGGGAAGAAAGTTGAACTTAAAATAATAATTCACACTTTTGAGCAAAACAATGTGAAGACACTGATAAGGGGGTTATTTTTAATCATCCACACATTTTTAAAAATCAAATGACTGGTTTTTACTTTATAATGTAAAAAGTTTTGAAAATGTAGGTATTTTATATTAAGTGAATTTTTATTCTTTGTAATTGCCACAAATTATGTGTTGGAGCCCACATTTAAAATCTCAAACACTGTAAACTTTAGAATGTGAGCAGCTGGAGATGAGAGTCATACACATTACTTTCTGCAAGAGAAGCTAGAGCCATAATTGCAGTTATTGTTTCCATTATGTGCTGTAAATAGTAATAGTTTCCTGCTTCTAAAACTACTTCTGACATTCAGTTCCAAACCCATAGATGCATGTCTAAATGATGTCTGTAAAAGCTCATCCTTCTACAGAAATAAATAGTAATAGCTCATTTAAAAAAAAAAACTTTAGTTCAGTTAATAGTCAGATGTGCTGCTCTAATGGATGAAGAAAGCTTATCCAAAATACAAATAGGCACACATAAATAAGTGGAGTGAATTTTCAGGATTCTAGATCAATACGCTGTAGCATCATACACATGTTCTAGGTGCTCACTGGCCCTTAAGAACAGTGGCATTTGTTCCAATTCAAAGTCATGCCCAGGATTGACCAGTCCTTGGTATGTACTCCCCTTGATTTGAAGTATAAACTTCTAGGGAGCAGGGAGCATTTCTTTTGTATGTTCTATACCACAATGATGATACCACAGTGCAAAATTAAGACAAAGGACAAAAACCACCACTACAGCAGCTGCATGAGAACACTTTTGACAAGGTATGTACATTTCTCATGTGGGATTCTAATATGAGATAGGTGATTCCAGAGAACTTCAGTCGTTATATCACAGTTTGATTACTGTTAAGCTCCCTTTCCGACGGAAGAAAACCACAAAACAAACAAACAAAACCAAAACCTTGGCTACATATTTATCGTGGAAATTCAGCATGAGGGCTATTGTGAAAAAAACACTTCCTTTCTTGGCAATGGAATACTGCCATTTGAGCTGCAAAATAAAAGCCTCTCAGAAAATGGAAGTTGACAGTGTATGACACAATAATGGTGTACGAATGTAATAGCGAAGGCTGAAATATGAATACTATATTTGTGGAATTGATACAATTGAGAGTAAATTATATACTTTTTGGCTGCAACTCATTTAGAAGGGGTTGAGTCTTAAATTTTAAAATAATTACAACTATACTTCTTGGCTGATCATCTTCTATTTGCAGGGTGGGGACATAGATTACCATCTAATTTTCAAACTATTGAGATACAAATAGTATCTTTAGATTTCATTAAAATAAATATACATAAAATTATTCTCCCAGTGCCGGGAAACTGTAAAAGCTTCAAATACTATAAAATATCAAACTCCAGGAAAATTTTAGGAGCTACATATTTTACACATAGAAAAATAATGCTTCTATACACAAGCTCTCTTAACATTCTAAATATCTAGATAATAAGGAAAATAAAGGGATACAAAGTGGATGCTCCAGGTTGTTACTAAGAGATTCTGAGGCATATAGTAACTGTCCATGGGAAAGCAGGCTATAAGAGAAAGGAGGTATAGCTGCCAGTGAGTGGATAATAGAGATTCCTGGATTTAGGAAAATGTTTCAAAGGTAATGCAAACAGGTGGAAACAATTCCAAGAAACATAAAACTATCTACTCTGCATGCTATAGATTGGGTCACCATCATAAATTCTTTCACAAAAAAATGTTTTACTGTAGTTTCTTGATCTTTTTTTAATGGAAGGCAATGGGAAAATGATATTATGATATTCAAAATACCATTGTAAACAGCTTTGCTGGAGTGTCCCACTGTCTATTACAAATACACTGAAATTGGACTAAATAGGAAAATGCTTTCAGCAGACTGTTATTTATGTTCCAGTGTTGTACAACTGTCAATAAAAATAATGTTTATTGGTTTAAGCAGGAACAGAGGTGTTTCATCTGTAAAGGTGCTGCCCAAGACTTGTGCCGAGATCTGGCCGGATCATTTGTAAGTCTCATGAAAGTAAGAACACTATTTCTTTCTGAAATAATAGGCAATAATGGCTCTATTAAACTAAGGAGCTCTCAGTTAGGTCAAATCTGTAATTATATTCGACCAAAAAATGTAGACCAAGACTTTAATTCAAGATTTAATAGCAGTTTCTCATTTACAGAAATTAGTGTAAGTGTGCTCTTTGTCTGTGATAGCTACATACAATTAGTTAGCTTTTCTCAGTTACATTTTCAGCATTCACCTGGGAGTTAGAAAGAAAAAACAAGTACACTCACGTGTTAAAATCAAGAGAGTCATTGACTAATTCTGTATCTTCTGGATAACACATTCAGCAATCTGATCATACTCAACTGCCAATGTCTGGTTCATAAGACTATGAAGCAGAAATTCCTAGATAGTTATTCTAGGAAGGCACCTGAAAGGACTGGAAATTGTTTTAATTCCTCAAAATGCTTTGTATAATCCTGGATTCTAGTTGAATGTTTTATTTTGTTGGGGGAAATTTTGAGTTGTTTTATTTCAAAATCCTCTCAAGGGTATCTTAAAGGGCTTTATAGAATAAGTTTTGTAACAAGCCCTTAGACAAAAGAATTAAGAGCATTGGGATCATGAATGAAATTCAAGGCCAGCAATCAAAGCAACTTGTAGGCCAGGATTGGTGGCTCATGCCTGTAATCACAGAACTTTGGGAGGCCGAGACAGGCAGATTGCTGAGCCTGAGCCCAGGATTTCAAGACCACCCTGGCCAAAATGGTGAAACCCCGTTTCCATGAAAAAATGCAAAAATTAGCCAGGTGTGGTGGTGCATGCCTGTGGTCCCAGCTACTTGGGAGGCTGAGGCAGAAGGATTGCTTGAGCCTGGGAGGCGCAGGCTGCAGTCAGCCAACACCACCCCACTGCACTACAGCCTGGGTGACAGAGTGAGACTCTGTTTCAAAAAAAAAAAAGCAATTTGTAAACTAACATTTTATAAACAGTGAAAAGCAATAATTATTGAAATATCTGTACCTTGGTTAAGGCTAAAACCAGAGTCTACCCAACCACCAAAAGAACAACAGAGATCTACCAATGCAAGTCACTAATTCATCACATGAGCAATGCATGGGGATACACCTGGTCCCATAAAGTTAGCAATTCTGATAGATCATATCAAAAAGTTCAAACCAAAAATTTTTTACTTGTTTTGGTCTCTGGTTCAAATGGATGCTGTGAGTATTGTGAAGCATTAAAGCAAGGCAACATTACTTATTGAACACTTGCTACGTGTCAGCCTCTAAAAAGACAAAAAGAATTAAGACACAATATATGATCTAAAGGAGATGCCTAGTGAGAAAGACAAAAATGAACTAATGACTGATGAGATGAGGAAGGGCCATTCCAGGGGAATTGGGGAGGTCACAGCCAGATACGCCTCAAAGTACCAGATGGGGAAGGAAGAAACGCAATGCAGTGAGTGCTGAACATGCTTTCAAGGAGCTTGGCTGTGAGGGGAAAAGAGAGGACCATGCTACAGAGATAAGCAGAGTGGAAAAGGGCTTTGTTTTTTATTCTGTTTGCTTTTAAGATTTTAAAGATATTTCTTCGCATATCTAGGCTATGGGAGGGCACCGACAGAGAGGAGCAGAGGAGACAAGAAGAGGAAGAGAGGGAGAGGGAATGAATATTTGATGGAACATCCTGGGATAGATGAAAAAGAGCTGAACAACTAGATAAGGTCTTAAATTTATGTCTTCTTTTGGCTTAAGAAATGTCAAAATCGAAATGTTTTATTTTGTGACCACTGTTTTCAAAATGTAATTCCAAAATAAACTCTTAAGAAGCCTAAATATTTTGAATAAAATGAAGTTCATGTACCTCTAATTTAAATGCAAAACAATATAATATTACTTGAAGGAGAAAAATGACATACTGGATGATATTAAATATGACTCCTTTAGATTTAATAAAATAATTTAAGTATTCTTAGTATTACAGTACATCAAATGTGATTTAAGTCTGATTTTTCTCTAAGGAGGAATATTTTTTGAAGCTGATTCATAAATTACACATTGTACCCTGACAAAATGATCATTTCATGGCATTTGCATCAAACCCATTATCTTATATTCTGTTGCCTAGCTACTGGAATTCTGAAGTTTAATGGCTTTTAGCTGGATATTGAAATTTCAAAAGGAATTTCAGCTATGTAGTCTACAGAAAGAAAAACTGTTGGACGCATCTGTCTACTTAAATTTTCAAAGGAAATATCTTCGTTTACAAAGGCTCAGAATTCTAAGTTTTGGAGAAGAGTGTACCGATTTTCAATGGAGGACATTTAACATCACATATCAGTCACACTAAATTCACACCAGTTTTTTTGTTTTTGTTTGTTTTTACTATGGACGTGGAGATAATAAAAATCTTTTGTCTTTCTAAAATGTTTAAGGCATTAAATCTATGGTTAAGGTCCTGCTTCATTTGTACAAGTCTGCCTATAATACATGCATGCATGCATATTTATAGTAAGTACTTAGACTTACCTGTTCCCATGCAAACACATGTTGATTATAATAATACTGAATTTGTTCATTTGCAATGTTAATGCACAGCTGCTCGAAGGAATTTTTTTTGAAATTTTCAAAGCCAAATATATCAAGAATGCCAATGCTCAGCTCATCACCATTCCCACTAGAAGAATTGAAGAGGCATTATTTTGAGTTATTTCCTGAAGAGGTAATGTAAAACAGGGAATCTTAGAGTTACCATTTGTGACTGAGCTAAGAAACTACTATAAGAACATACACTTAGAGTGAAACTTTCTTAACTGAAATAGCTTCTCTCTGTAGCACATAAAGATAACGGCAGATATTGATTTTTATATGAAAATGAAACAATATTTTCCTTGAACTACAGAAACCACTCCGATACTTTTATACACTGAAACAAAAGAAACTTTTTCTTCTCCTAAGAACAAAGTCACAGGCTTGAGTGAGTCAGGAATTACAAGAACAACTTGGGAAGCAATTAGAACACAGCAAAAACATATTCAATAAAAACTCTCCCAGGAAAGCAAAAATTCTGTTAAAAAGTATAGTCTTTCATTTTAGGAGAACAATTTTGAAAATCTTACTAAAAAGATCTTAATTATTTTAAAGAATTGTTATTTGTTTTTGGATCATTTGCTTATAATTTTTTAATATAGAACAAATGGCAAACTGGAGAAATACAAATACATAGGGATTTATTTTTACATTTAAATACTTTAAAATATAATTAAATTTTATTTTACAATTAAGTATTTCAAATACTTTTTTTTTTTTTTACTATTGGTCAAAAGGTTTACTCCTCCCCAAAGAAATATATACATTGTAGAGTTATTTTGATGTGAATTATAAAAAGAAAGTACAAAAGCTTCTCTTTGTGTTCATCATTTAGGTGTTCCAGGGTTACACTTAGTATTATGTAAGGAAGTGATTTGGAAATGACAGTCAGCAACTGCACACTGTGACCTGAAGGATCCGCTCTACATTTGGAGGAAGCAACTGAATTCAAAATCCAGGCTGTAGAATACTTTAAATATGTGCTGGGATGGACAAAAGGAAAGCTATTTGAGTATTTCTGAAAGTTCTTATTTTGAATAATAATTCTGTATTATTGTATGAGGCAAGATGTCTAGTTAAAACTTATGCTGGTTTAGTCAAGATTATTATCCTTTTACAATCTCTTTGCCCCACAGGATCCCACAGAGATAAATATTTAACTCATTGCATAAAAAAGTGTTAGAAGCAGGAGGGACCTTACAAATAATCTAGTTCAGAGATTCTTAAAGTAAGATCTATTAATGGCTTTCAAGAGGAATGGAATCATAAGCGTGCAATATTTTCGTGGGCATATAGAAATATATCTATTTTTTATTTTTAAGTGAAGGAAATAGGCAGTTTTCAAGACGTTCTTAAAAGGCTCCAAGATACACCCCAACAACTAAGACCACTGACTTGTCATTCAATGCCCCTATTTAACAGTTGAGGAGGGAAAGACCCAGACAAATGCAGTAAGTTGCCCAGTGTCCCATAACGAGATAGTGGCAAAGCCCAGCATACAACATATACCGTTTAAAGTCTTAGTGTACAACTTAACAAAGTTGAACTAAATTATTTCAATTGGTCTCCCTTTAGCTTTTAGACTTTCTGTAAAAAATTTTAAAATCTAAGATTTGGATGGTTTTCATTAGTGAATGGAAAGGAAAGTTGCCATTTAGTATATTTAGTATATGTACATTTAGTACATAGGCTACAGTGGATATAGTAGATCCCCCTTCTGGGTAGGTATCATTTAGTGCCAAACATGCAGATGATAATTAACAAAATGAGGCCAAATCTCTAAATATCTTGCCATCTTGCCTACATTTTCTGGAATATACAGATAATAAAAATCCCTGAATATTTTCCATTTTCATATGAATGCTTGACATAATATAGATGACCGTACCAGAACATACAACCATTTTGACCATTACATTGTAATGGGAAAATGGTATAGATAGTACCCAGGAGGTACACAAGCAATTTTGAGAGACACAAAGTTAAGAACATGGAGAAATAATGGATAAGGTCTTAGACAGTTTGACTATACATAGTATAATGGTGTGGTATGTATTTTAGTGAAAAAAATAATAATGAATTGCATACTTGAAATGTGTATAAATGGTCTTTTATGCTTAGTAAGCAAGTGTGAATGAGGTGATCTTATGGTAGGCATCCATCTTGCTTTTCCACATGCAAAATTCTAAAGATTATGCCATTTATCACAGAACAAAGCTTTAGATGGAAGGACTTGTGTCCATGTATAAGCCCTGCCTATAGAGAGCACTCAGTCAGTCGTGGCTGTAATTATCTTTAAGAAGGAAGGATCTAGACTTACAGTCAGATAACAATGCTTACATCATGGCCCTGCCATTTACTATTACCTACATTTATCTAGTGCATTTCTGAACCAAATTTCATTGGAGTTACAGTGAGGCTGTAATGGCATTACAGTGAGAGTTAAAATATGAAAATAAAGTTTTCCTTTATCTTCAAAGTTTAATTTAAACCTTCAAAATAAAAACAAAGGACTGCTGAGCTGACATTTTATACAAGCATAAAATGGTATATGCTTCATGGTACAACTTCTAATTAAAAAAACCTATTAGTTCATAGTAAGATATCACATTTTAAGAATTCACTTTCTATTGTGTTATTTATGTTGCTACAGGTTTTATGTTGCAGCAACTTAAAAATTTTATAGTTAAGTGGCATTATGAGGTGGAACTATTAGGAAGTGAAGCTTATCTACTAAATTATCATTTTAATAATTTAATTACATCAATTATAGAAACATCTTGAAAGAGATCTATACAAAACAATCAATTAGAAAGTAGACTTACATCACCTGACATTTGGGAAAAAAATGTTTCTGTAAAAATTTTTACCTTGGTGATGAGTCATGCTTCAACAAACTGTTAATGCAATTGACTATCCAACTAAAGAGACGTCCATATAAAGTTTTAGCCATGGCATCCCTGACATCGGTAGCTTTTTCTACAGTATTGGGTCGTATAATTGTTTCTCCTCTAGTGACCACACAGTGGGAGGTGAGAGCTTCTTGTAGCTCATCTGCCCGAATGCAAAGCAAAGAAGCACCTGAAAAACAAACAGATGCATTGTTAGAAGAAATTATGGCAATGAGGTCACTCCCCAAAAATGAAAATGTCTTAATCTGCCTTCTTCAAATGACATGAATTAAATGTGTGGAGATTATGTAATGTAAAAATATGATACTATCCAACATGAGTCCTATGTCTCTTCTTGATCATTTTTCTCAACTTTTCTCAGCTGGTTAAACTTAGGTTACTGCATATTATAACATAACCCAAATCACACTGGCTGGCAGAGTAATACAGCTGCATAAGCGAGTGGTTGTTTATGTGATGTCAAATATAGTTTCACTAAATTATGCTAAATAATTTTAAAACATAATGAATAGATTTGGCATAATTTGGATACCATTATTATATACATATTTTCAAAATGTAGAAATTAACTGGAACAGGTTACTTAGACTTCAGGGGTATACCTCAATAAATGTATTTCAAGTACCTTCTGCAATACACAACAGAAAGAGCACAAACTTATCTTGACATTCATGTACTTATACTTGACATTCATGTACATATCATCCTACTTTTTAGTTTCATACTTCAATTACTAAATTTTGTTAAAACTGGATGTTTGAACAAACATTTATTTGGCATTTAATGTTGATTACATTTCATGGGGAATTTAAAATTAGTAACACTTTAATTCCGTGAACAAAACTCATTTTTGAATATAATAAACATCTTTAACCAAAACTATTACATGACAGATTGGCTAATTTTTCAAATCTGTTGTTCTCCTTTTAAAATATTTTGAACATTTTACATTTACTTTTAGCACTTGTGACAAGATGTTTCTTGGTTATATGGCTAAGATTGTTAAACCCTATATTTTTTCATATCGTGGAAGTACGATAGGCTCATTGCAGAAATTTTACCTTCTAAGTTAACATTCTGCATTTCTTTCCTTCTAGGCATATTTACTACCATTAGTCTGCATAAACATTTTATCTCATATAACATCTTATGCATTTCCCATTTTGTTCAATATTGTCTGTAAATATGCTTTAATTTGCTGCATAATATTTTGACAAATATGATAATATATCAATAATTTTAAAAAATGCCAGGATAAATATTTTAAGCATAAATCTGTGTTTATATTTTGTACTATTTTCTTAGCATAGGTTGCCTAAATTCAGCAATTTTTCAAAATACGTAAATATGTAAAAGTTTTTTTTTTTTTTTTTTTTTTGAGACAAAGTCTCGCTCTGTCATCCAAGCTGGTGTGCTACAGCACAATTATGGCTCACTGCAGCCTCAAACTCCTGGGCTCAAGAGATCCTCCTACTTCAGCCTCCCATGCAGCTGGGACCACAGGCGCATGACAACCTGCCTGGCTAATTATTATTATTATTATTTGGTAGAGATAGTGTTTCGCCATGTTGCCCAGGCTGGCCTCGAACTCCTGGGATCAAGAAAGGTCTTTTTTGTTTGTTTGTTTTTTGTTTTTTGTTTTAGATGGAGTCTTGCTCTGTCACCCAGGCTGGAGTATAGTGGCACGATCTCCGCTCACTGCAAGCTCCGCCTCCTGGGTTCACGCCATTCTCCTGCCTCAGCCTACCAAGTAGGTGGGACTACAGGTGCCCGCCACCACGCCTGGCTATTTTTTTGTATTTTCAGTAGAGACGGGGTTTCACTGTGTTAGCCAGGATGGTCTCGATCTGCTGACCTCGTGATCTGCCCGTCTTGGCCTCCCAAAGTGCTGGGATTACAGGCGTGAGCCACTGGGCCTGGCTGAAAGTTTTTTGATATATACTATTTAACTGCTCTTCAAAATCTCTGAACCAATTACACTCCTCTCAGCCAAATAAAACACCAATAACTTCAATTCAATTTCATGGACATCACGGACTATCATTTTTCTAAAATAGCCAATTTGATAGGAGAAAATGTTTTCTATTTATTTGTAATTGATTCCTAGTGAAGCTGAATACTTTTTTCTTCCATATTTTTATTGGTAACTTCTGTTGCTTAGTTTGAAAATTGCAATATTTTCATTGATATGTTCATCTTTTCCTGATCAATTTATATGAGCCTCTTCATAGCTTAAAGAAATGCTTTGATATATATGTTGCAAATATTTTCCCTCAGTTTCATTTGTACTGCAATTTTATTTATGCTTTCTTTTTTTAGTATAAAAGTTTTAATTTTTATGTAGTCAAATATCCACTTTTTAAAGAAAATAATTTGTGCTTTTGATTTTCTACACATAAACTTCAAGTCCTTTCTCCCCTCAATATTATATAAATCAATTCCAGTCTCTCTTATGATTTTTTTGCATTTAAATTTATGTGTGTTTGGAATTCATTCTGATATACAGTATATAAGAATGATTCAAATTCCTCCTCCCCAAAATGGTTAGCTAGTTCCCTACAATACCGATTCCCTAGTGATCTGTGATGCCATTTTTGGTAATATACTTTGGATCTGTTTCTGAACAGTGTCTCCCACTGATCTGTATGTCTATTTCTGTTCCTACATTGTTTATTTATTTGACATACATTTATTGTCTACTACATGCTAGGCATTTTACCTGGGGATAAATTGCTAAGCACAATACTTTATAAAACAAAGCACTAGTCTTGATTATCTTTATCCAGCAAGAATGGGAAACCAGTAAGAAATTTAAGCAGGAAGAGAAAAGGAGAAGGAGGAGAAGGAGAAGGAGGGGGAGAGGGAGGTGATGGAGAGGGAAAGGGGGAGACTGAGAGAGCCCACTGATAGATGGGTTATGTGGTTTCTGAAAGAATTGTGGAGAATGACCTGGAAAAAATCAATTCTTGATGTGAAATGAACAACTGGGAGGTCACTTAGTTCAGGTGAGAGGTGATGTTGTTTTTGATGAGAATGGTGACAATGATGATAAAGAGAAGTGGTCAGATTTGAGAGATATTTATGGGACAAAATGGTCAGAACTGGTGCTTAATTGAAACAAGGCTCTTGTAAAACCATATGGAAATGCAGCCTTGGTTTGGACATAATTCCTTATAACTTTCAATTAGAAATCATTTTAATGTAAATTAATAAAGTTTCTACTTTCCATGAGTGGTTATTCCAGAAAGTATGTTAATTTTAATGATATTCATATTAATATCAACATTTTGTAACTTATATGACTGTCTTCTGTTATGCAGAAATAGGTTCTCAATCATCAAAATCATTTTTTAGTATGGTTGTTTCTAGGTATACTCTTATCTACAACCTATCTCTATTGCAACTCATTCCATTGGCTGCTGCTAGCTCTTCTGAATATGATCAGATGTGAGATTTACATCTTATCAATGGAGTTGTAGGGTTATTCTTTCTACTTCTGATAAGTTAATATCATACATGCCAATTAAAAATTTTTAAATATGGAAAATTAGAACATGTTTCCTTGAGGTTTCCAGGCACATGCCGGTCACTACATGCCAATTCCATACACTTGTGCTACTGTATTATCACATTGGCTCCAGAGACACAGTGGGATAGCATTTATAGGGATGCTGGGGACAGGTCCAGACCAGGATAATCTGGCACTTAGCCCCCTAAAACTACACCATCTCACTCTGTTCCTAAGCATAAATCAGGAAAAAGTATATAAATAAAAATTTGTATCATGATTCTCCATTTTGTGTGTGTGTGTGTTTTGAGACAGAGTCTTGCTCCGTCGTCCAGGCTGGAGTGCAGTGGCACGATCTCGGCTCACTGCAACCTCTGCCTCCTGGGTTCAAGCGATTCTCCTGCCTCAGCCTCCTCGAGTAGCTGAGACTACAGGCGTGTACCACCATGCTTGGCTAAGTTTTGTATTTTTAGTAGAGACAGGGTTTCACCATGTTGGCCAAGCTGGTCTCAAACTCCTGACCTCAGGTGATCCACCAGCTTCGGCCTCCCAAAGTACTGGGATTAGAGGTGTGAGCTTTTGGACGAGGAGTGATTCTCCATTTGTTATTATTAATGAAACAGCAAATATGCAATTATGAAAGCATGTGCCAATATTAAAAATAAAATAACAGGGCATACTAGGCAACACTAAATAGAAAAAAGCTGTGCTGTTGAAGATATTAATGGAAAACCTTAAATTACTGGAAATAATTTATCAAACTCTACTATTAAGAAAAACTTGATTTGAAGCAAATACTATGACATGCTTCTCTTGTGTAGAAATGATCGCAAAATTAATCAACCCAGGATGAATGGCTGTAGAATCCATCTAGTATGGAAACATACAGGTCTTTATTACTTGTAAAATGGTATAGATGCTAAATCTATAAGACAATAACATAATTCTTTTTCAGATCAGTTTACTGAATTTTAACTATACTATCTGTGCTTTTATATCGAAATGTAAATAGCTCCCAAAATAGTTGTAAAAGCCTAGTCTTCAGAAATGTGTTCTACAGTAATCAGTTAATTTGTAAGCATGAAGATGTTTTAAGTAGTGGACTTTAAAATTTTAATTTTACACACATTAAATCTGAGTATTCTTTTAAGGATTCTAGGTTAGCACAATTGCTTGAAATGGTCCTTATGTGATACTTATGGTATGTCATAAGATTTGAAAGATTTCAGTTTTGAATAGAAGGTAATAAAACTTACAGTTCTCCAGGGCTGTATGATTAGAAATGTGGCTCTTGTCAATCTGGTGTTCAGTTGCCACAGAAGAAAATTCAATGTTGCCAACATTCAAGATTGCAGCGAGTATGCTGTATATACTACCAAGTTGCTGAAACACACCACAGAAACATTGGCATCATTCTTTCCTTGAGTACAGCCAACCAGTGACTATGGCTGGGGACAGACTGGAAGAGAACCCTCAGGCCCTTTCATATCTATCCACAGACTATGATGACGCCACACTGAGATCCAAGTAGGCTCAGCCTCATTCATTATTTTAACCTCAGAGGTTAGCATAGTGCCTGTTACTTAAAATAAATTTTAAGTGCTTAAAAATATTTTATAAATGCAAATATGAATAAAAAATAAAAATGAGAAGCTGTTCTCAGAGGAAGTAGAAATGCCTCATTCATTAGGCCATAGATAAATCTATCCATGCAGAATTTAATTTCAGAACTTAGTGTGGTTGTTACCATATGGATTTTCCTTGAGGCCATCTTAAAAGTGAGGCTATATGTATGAATAAAGGAGGACTAAGAAAGAAAAATCAAAAGATCCCAGGACCAAAATCAAAGGATATGTGTCGTTTAAATGTAAGCGTAAGATTTTTTTTTTTCTTTTTTGAGACAAAGACTCACTGTTGCCCAGGATGGAGTGCAGTGGCACTATCTCAGCTCACTACCGCCTCTGCCTCCTGGGCTGAAGTGATCCACCCACCTGCGACTCCTGTGTAGATGTACAGTTGCATGCCACCATGCCCAGCTAATTTTTTTTTTTTTTTTTTGGTATTTTATAGAGACAGGATCTCGCCATGTTGCCCAGGCTGGTCTCGAACTCCTGGGCTCAAGCGATCTGCCCACCTTGGCCTCTGAAAGTGCTGGGATTATTGGTGTAAACCACTGTGCCAGGCCACATAAGAATTTTAGATGACAGTATAGAGTTTATAGTAGTTATTACTTCTTTAACATACATTCCTAATTAAGGTACATCAAATTACATTCAGAAACACATAACACACATATATGATTCTTTTTGGAGACACTGGAGGCATTTATCAAGGAGTCTATGGTAATTCTAGCTCTTCAACTATGTTCATGGTGCAGTGAAGTACAGGAAAGAGGCAACATTCTTTACTGTTTTTACAAGTTGCTGCATCTATTCCAGCCCAGCTCCTACACTTAACAAAGGTGATTATTCCATTCACTCCCATATTCCAAGTCCAGATAAAAGCTGGATATGAAAAAACATCTTCAAGGCATGCATTTACTCATACATAATATACATATATATGTAATAAATACATAAACAACAAATATATTTGTTGAATGAATATATATGTGGGATATCTATTCATTGATCTAATAAAAACATATTTTATGCCAGGCACTGTTCTAGTCACAGGTAATTCAGTAGCAGATAGGCTAAAGATCCTGGTTTCCTTGGGGTGTTCAGGCCGTGGGGAGGCAGACAGTAGGAAAATAAGCAAATAAATAACATGATATGTTCAGAAAAAAAATTACAAGGGCTACGAAGAAAATAGAGCCAAAAAGTGCTAACTTAATAAAGAGGAGAGTTCCTGGGAAAGGATGGGCAGGCTTTTTCAGTTAGGAGGTCAGGGAAGGCTGCCCTTGGAGGAGGCCATCAGGAAGTTGAGGCCTGAATGACAGGAAGGCACCAGACATGAACTATTCTAGGCAGAGGACAGCAAAGGCAAAAACCTTCCTAGAGGAAAGAAGGAAGACATACGAGGGCTGGAAGAGGGTGAGGATGAGGAGGAACAGTGCAGTAAGAACTCAGAGAGGTGAGCCTAGGCAAGACCACCCAGGCTCCCTGGGCCAACAGAAAGAGCTTGGAGCTGGGCACTGTGGCTCACACCTGTAATCCCAGCACTTTGGGAGGCCGAGGCGGGCAGATCACTTGAGGTCAGGAGCTTGAGACCAGCCTGGCCAACACAGTGAAACTCCATCTCTACTAAAAATACAAAAATTAGCGGGGCGTGGTGGTGTGCACCTGTAATCCCAGCTACTCGGGAGGCTGGGGCAGG
The DNA here is from genome assembly GCF_000001405.40 of Homo sapiens. Lineage (NCBI taxonomy): Eukaryota > Metazoa > Chordata > Mammalia > Primates > Hominidae > Homo > Homo sapiens. The sequence continues at coordinate 26,118,740 of NC_000010.11, read as the reverse complement.
AGAATCACTTGAACCCAGGAGGCGGAGGCTTCAGTGAGCCGAGATCGTGCCACTGTACTCCAACCTGGGTGACAGAGTGAGACTGGGACACAATTAAAAAAAAAAAAAAGCTTTGATTTATGTGCTAATTGCCAGAGAAAACTACCAGAGATTTCAGAGTGGGAAGCAACATTATTTTTGTGTTTTAAATGGATGAGTCTAGTTATCCTGTGAAACTGAGTGGACTGGGGCAAGATGGAAAAACTCAGGAGCTACTGCAATGGTCTAGGTGAGAGATAACAGTGGCTTGGATATAACAGTAAATGGTAGAGATGGAAAGAAGTAAATGGATGTAGGGTGTATTTCAGAAGTGTAACAATACATATGCTGATATATTAGATGTAGATCATTTTTCTAAGGAAACTCTGATAAGGAATTAGCATTTGTAATATGTATAACTTGCAATGAAGGAACCAGCATGGGCTTTCATGGCTTTCAGGTGGAAAAATTCATACAGCATCTGACATTGTGCTGTATTTTTCTTGAGGAAACTATAGGCCTTAGGAAAAAAAAAACCCTATTAAAAAGTGGGCAAAGGATATAAACAGACACTTCTCAAAAGAAGACATACATACAGCCAACAATCACATGAAAAAAGCTCAATGTCACTGATCATTAGAGAAATGCAAATCAAAACCACAATCAGATACCATCTCACACCAGTAAGAATGGTTATTATTAAAAAGTCAAAAAATAACAGATGCTGGTGAGGTTGTGGAGAAAAAGGAACGCTCCTACACTGTTGGTGGGAGTCTGAATTAGTTCAACCATTGTTGAAGACAGTGCGGCAATTCCTCAAAGACCTAAAGACAGAAATACTATCTGACCCAGCAATTCCATTACTGGGTATATACCCAAAAGAATATAAATTTTTCTATTATAAAGATACATGTATGCATATGTTCATTGCAGCACTATTCACAATAGCAAAGACATGGAATCAACCTAAATGCCCATCAATGATACATTGGGTAAAGAAAATGTGGGACATATACACCATGGAATACTATGTAGCCACAGAAAAGAATGAGATCATGTCCTTTGCAGGGACATGGATGGACTGGAGGCCATTATCCTTAGCAAAATAGCGCAGGAACAGAAAACCAAATACTGCATATTCTCACTTATAAGTGGGAGCTGAATGATGAGAACACAGGGACACATAGAGGAGAACAACACACACTGGGGCCTATTAGAGGTTGGACAGTAGGAGGTGTGGCACAGGGTAGGAGGAGGGAGAGGATCAAGAAAAATAACTAATGGGTACCAGGCTTAATACCTGGGTGATGAAATAATCTGTACAACAAACCCCCGTGACACACGTTTCCCTATATTAATAAACCTGCACATGTACCCTGAACTTAAATAACAGTTTTTTTAAATGTGTTTTTTTACCCTCGATAAGGATGTTACCGATATAATGAGTATAAAACTGGTCTATGAACTTGGAAGTATATAAAATGATGCAGAATTCCATCATAAAGTTTAAGGGATTGGTTGAATCCAGCAAAATAATGAAGAGGCTTGGCTGTATACAGAGTTGCATCTCCAAATCCTACCTACCCAAACCTGCAGAAAAATTCTTCAGAGAGGTTATAATGAAAATTGAGTAGGAGTAACACCTGAAATATGCCCAGGGGAATGTATGATACACCAAGTATCACAACTAAATATCAGCTGAAAGGTACATCTTGGGGTTCCCCAACTGGATCTGATGAGAACAGACCCAGATCTATGGCTTGGATTAAATGACCTTAAAATAGTGGTTCTCAATTGTGGGGAAAGGAGTAACAACTCTGCCCTCACAGGACATTTGGCAATGTCTGGAGACATTTTTGGTTGTTACAAATGGGGTTGGAGTGCTACTGGCATCTATGGAGTAGGGATCAAGGGTGCTGCTAAACATCCTACATCACACAGGAGAAACCCCACAAGAATTATCTCACTCCAAATGTAAATAGTACTGAGGTTGAGAAACCTTGTCCCAGAAAAATGCAGGATCTAGATTTTGGAGAAAGTCTCAAAATGCTTTGTCCCCAAAGAATAGTCCTGAACTTTTAGTCTCAGCTCATAATCCCAGGAAAATATAAAAATAAGAATAGAGGTATTGAAGTAAATGAAATCTGTAGCATCTGTTGTGGGTTGAATTGTGTCCCCCTCAGATTCATATGTTGAAGTCCTAAGTCCCAGTACTCAGAACGTGGTCTTATTTGGAAATAGGCTCATTGCAAATGTAAATAGTTAAGATAAGGTCATACTGGAGTACAGTGGATTCCTAATCTACTATACTGGTGTCTGTTTAAAAGAACACCATGTGAAAAGACAGACACACACAAGGAGAACACCAGGTGAAGACAAATTTAGGTGGAGATGGGGTGATGGACCTGCCGTACAAGAATACCAATCATTACTGGGGAACCACTAGAAACTCGGAGCGGAGCATAGAACAGATTCTGCCTCACAACCCTCAGGAGAAACAAACCCTGTCCACATCCTAATCTCAGACTTTGAGCCTCCTGTGCTGTCAACAATAAACTTCTGTGGTTTAAGCTACAAAGTATGTGGTAGTTTGTTATGGCAGCCCTAGCAAACTAATGCTTTTTTTTTGTTAAATTTATGAATAAGATATGTAATCTTGGAAGAATCAGTGTGTTTATTCTTAAATATCTAAAACTGTTAATATGTGAGACACAGTAAAGATCATATTAGTGACATAGTAAAGCATCTGACAATTAGTCTTGTGACTTAAATTTAAATACTTATTTGATATTACACTTATGACTTTAATTTGAAAAGCAGAACATATTTTGATTGCAAACTGCATTCAAATGTAAAACAACTTGATTTACTACATTAATAATTTTGAATTATTAGATCTTCTTATGCACTAGTAAGTTTAAGTGCATAAGAAGATGTGGTAAATTATTAGAAAGTTTAGAAGGCACTTATCAGTCCTTGTAAGCCTGCCCTGTCCATCATTTGGAGCATTCAAAAGACTGAGATGTACTAAATTTTTATATAAGTTCAAGTGTTTAAGAGAATTTAGTTATGTTTGTTTAGGGCAATGTAAAGTTATGTTTATGAGTTAAATGAATAAAGAAAAACTGACTAAGATTTTTTTCTATTCTTATACAAAAAACTGTTGGATTCATAAATTGAATAAAATGATGAGTGAGCAGAACTTAAAAGCTTAAGAAAAAATCTAGATATAGGTACATGGTTTCAAAATCATTAATACATACACTGAATTAATTAAATATAAGCAACTGTAAATTGTCCTTTCTGAGCACAAGCATGCCTTCTTTGGATATTAAAAACAACTAACAGGTGAACTGCCTGCATTTAGTTGCATATTTATCTGTCAAGGTGAGGGTCATACCTAGACTCAAAAGCATGATTAGCACACAGCTTGCCTCTGCCATGATCCTCTTCTTGACCAGTCTCCTTGCCTCTGGTCTTGCCACTCGCCGATCCGTCTTCCACACGGCTGTCAGAGTGACTTTTCTAGCAGGCAAATCACATCTTCCTATGTCTCCAGTTAAAATCCTTCAATGGCCCCTATTCCCCTAGCAATAAACCTCCAGCTTCCTACCAAGGCATGAGAAGGAAGGTGCCACATCTTCTTGTGCTTGACTGCCTGTCCATTGTCATTTCCAGCTAGTTTTCTTTGACATATTTCAGCCAGCCAAACTCCTCGTAGGTTCCCAAGCATTCCATGTTATTTTGTTAATTTCATGTCTCAGTTCTGGCTTATGCTGTTCTTTTTTTCCCATTCTGGGGTGTTCATTTTTCCACCCCAGACTTCGTGTTTCCGTGAAATTCTCTGCTCTCATAGAATTTACTACATTTTATTGAAATGATGCCTAGTGTATATTTCTTCTATCAGATTATAAACTTACTGAGGACAAAGACTGTGACTAATTCACATCTCTAACTTTTAGCACAGGGCCTGGTACACAGGTAGTACTCAATAAATGCTTGTCAAACTGTTTTCTTTTGTTTCAATCAAGTGACAGTACAATTTCCTTCACTTTCAAAACAGAATCTTTCTTATTTGTTTTATGTCTCTTAATCTGTGCCTCATTGTTTCTACTTATCTTTCTCAGAATTTTTTTATAAATCTAAATGTCCTCTTCTTTTGACGTCAAACTTTGCATCCTCAGTGAGTGGTTAGAGTTTATGAGAACAAAAAGATCTCACTAAGCCAAGTTGTTTTTTTTCCAAAAGCCAATTAACTTCTCTCAGTGGCAGAGCCCTGTGGTTGGGAAATATATGATTTCCTTTTCAGTGATTTTGTTTTGGGAATGGAAGCAACAGTCCATGCAGGGTAGACTGAGTTCGGTGCACAGAGTTGTTTTGGCAACATGTGCTAAGTCCTTTCTTAGGGCCTCAACCTATACCTGATGCCTAACTGATGCCCATGTGAGAGAGGACTGGGAGAGAGAACAATGACCAGATCTCAAAGTAGGTGGGGGTCATCATGGACCAGGACAAAGTGGCCCATCCCTGGCAGATCTGGCACCATCCAGTCTAATCCTTGGAAGGCCATAGTGTTGATGCTCCTGTTGAGAAAGGACAGGGAGGCAGGCTGGGGTGGAGGGAGGTTGGGGAGGAGGGAACCCAGGATGGGATGTTACTGCAACTCACATACCAGGCAGATAAGAACTGATGGGATAGAAGGAGATGCTCTGCAATCAGCATTTGCAGCTGTTGGTATGTGAGATATTAATATGTTCTCTATTCTTAGGTTCAATTCTGCAGACACTTAAAGCAATAAAACAGCATGAGCAATCTGCAGAAACTAGAAGGAAATTAAATGCCCCTCAATTTTAGTCATGGAATCATAGAGTTCGAAGTGATTCAGAAATTAATTATCCCTTTCCCCTCCTTTTACTGGTAAATAAGCTTAGACCAGAAAGTTTAGTTATTGGACACACAGCCAGAAATAAGCAGTGTCAAGGACTTTAGCCTAGGGATCTTGACTCCCTAGCACAGAATTATTTTTATTTTACCAACTACCTCCTTGGCTGCGTCATTTAGTTCAAGTCATCAATGTTGGCCAAATCATGGCATTCTGGAATTGTAACTTGTTTTATGTTTTTTGATTGAAAAAAATAACTTGGTATCAAATTGTTATTTTTAAGTTATTACAAACAACAAACCAAATGGAATACACACACCCTTTCCATTCTGGTCAAAATCAGTTTTTTTTTGTTTTTTTTTTTGTTTTTTTGAGACGTAGTCTTGCTCTATTGCCAGGCTGGAGGGCAGTGGCACAATCTCGGCTCACTGCAACCTCCACCTCCCGCGTTCAAGCAATTTTCCTGCCTCAGCCTCCTGAGTAGCTGGGATTATAGGTGCACGCTGCCACAACTGGCTAATTTTTTGTATTTTAAAAGAGACGGGGTTTCACTGTTTGCCCAGGCCGGTCTCAAACTCCTGAGCTCAGGCAATCCGCCCGCCTCAGTCTCCCAAAGTGCTAGGATTACAGGCGTGAGCCACCAAGCCTGGCCTAAAACCAATTTTTAAAAATGAAGTGAGTATTTCATGGAAATTCAATCCTTTTTGTGATGCTTTAAAATATTTAATTTCTTTCACAAATATTATTTGATCTTCCCTAAAGACATAACTAATAATCCAAAGAAAACATGCTAGCATGTGATTTTTAGACTATCATAAGAAATGAAAGCGCAATTAAAACAGAAAAAAGGCATTCTCATCTTAGACATAAGACATAAATTTGTGCAAAAAACCCCCCGAAAATTCCCATTATATGGTAAAAATTGTTTCTAAATGAGACAAACTACTCATTGAATCATCAAACTACTATGAATCATCAAACTACCAATCATTTATTTTAAAACTATGGCAGGGAAATGGCTTAGGAAATCATATGGTTTAACGGTTTCAGAGATTTCTAATTGGTGTTATTTTTAGAGAATATCTGAATTTGATTTGCCTGTCATTCCTTTGGATTGTGCTGAATCACAAATGCACACGTGAACTGTAAACTCTGAGAGTATTTAAAGGGACACATACACTTGGGGTGCTGTCAACACCAATGAGAGAGAGAGAGAGCAGGAGAGACAGTGAGAAAAAGAGACTGTATTGGAGAGTCACTCAAATTGTGCTGCAGTAAACTGTGAAGGTCGCATGCTGTGCTTAGAGGATGTCAGAATCATGCCACTTATCTTGATATTAAAGTTGCCTTTTACTATCAAAATAGATTAGAAGCAGCTATTGTCAAACAACATATCCAAGAAAGCCAATAAGATAGCATAAAAATCAATATTGGGGATAAAAAGGAAGTAAATGCTCATGCGGTTTATTTCTACCAAATCCAAACTGGGACAGTTTCTGCTGTTAGATGGGAGGCCACCACACCCTCGGAGAATCACCTTGAACTGGACTAAAAGCCTTCCCAAAATATCTAGCAGTGGTTGTGCTTCAGATCCAAAAACAGATGTTATATTTTCCTTTATCCTAAGCTATATGTTTAGATGTTCAATAAGCATTGAATATGTTTAAATTTGGAATATACAGTTTGAAATAAATAATTATATTTGTCAATAGATGCTAGCTGCAAAACTGGTTTCATTTTAATGTTAGTAAACATTAGTGTTACTAAACCAAGCAAGAGAAAGTAGTTGAGCCAAATATAAGCGAAACACTGCCTCTGATGAGTGGGACTTTGAAGTAAACAAACCAATTAAAAATGATCCTTGCTTCTAAGATAGCAAACTCTGAAAAAGTGAATGTGTAAGAAGCAGATCAACTCTGAAGACAAAAGGCAGGGAAAAGAGCTATGAAGAGGCCCAGCCCCTGGTCACAAGCAGGCACTGTCTTGTTTATTGTACATCTTCCAGTTAGAAGGATGCCCTGAGCTTCTATTAGCTGCTCCCGTTTTCCCCTAACCAGGCATCCAACAGAGCCAGGCACAGTTCACAAGGAGCATCTACCACTAGCAACATTGATCTTATGACCAAAGATTGAGGAAAAGAATGACTGCTGCTTTTTTCTTTATTGACTGAATCCCAAATAAATTGGCTCTGCTTTAAGAGCCAGGACACTGACTGCTTGAATCAGCTTGTCTTCATAGGTACAAACTGTGGGAAGAATGAGGACCCGATTAGGGAGGACTGAGGGAGGAGAAATGATGCAGTGGAAGGGGAGTGGCCAGATTTGAAACTGAATGTTGGCAGCAGGGAAAGATGCACCTGGAAGTGGTCATGCCTAGGAAAGGGTAGGGGTAGGGGTAGAATTAGGGTTAGGCTGACTAACAAGAGCAAAACACTCAAGTGGTCATTTATGATGCCTGGGACATCAGAATTAGAGCATAAGAATGAGACTATATTTAGAACAGGGTGGCATGTGGAGTCTCCTTGGAGTGTGCCCCTAGCTCATCTGTAGTCTTTGGGTGGGGGCCACATATCACCTGGAATATGGCTGAAACTCATGCTTTCTGAGTCAGGGAGTTCCTCTTCCAGAGTTGAAGCCATTATGAACACACTTATTTCTCTAGCATTAAAAATATCACCAGGCACAGCACCTCATGCCTGTAATTCCAGCTACTTGGGAGGCTGAGGCAGGAGGATCACTTAAGGCCAGGAGTTTCAGACCAGCCTGGGCAACATAGTGAGATGCATCTCTACAAAAAATGTTTTAAAAAGTTAGCTGGGCATGGTTGTAATCACCTATAGTCCCAGCTGATCAGGAGGTTGAAGTGGGAGGACAGATTGAGCTCAGGAGTTTGAAACTACAGTGAGCTGTACTACTGCACTCCAGCCTGGGCAACAGAGAGAGATCCCATCTCTTAAAAAAAAAAAAAAAAAGAAAAGAAAACCCAAAAAACGATTTTCCAGAAATATATCAGGGTCATCTCTGACTCCAGGTCCTACAGTTCAGACCTTGTTTCCAAAAGACAATCAGGTAAGGTCAATGGCACAAATTTCAGCATGATAGGATGCCTACCACGCAGACCTCATGGCATGTACAAGGGTATGCACACTCTATCCTTTACACGAGGTATCCATGATAAGTTCTAAATGCTTAGTGATCTCTCAATTGTTCAACTCCTACTCACTCCTCATCATTTTCTTTCAACTCTCAGACAAAAGGTGCTATGGTGAAGCCAATGTTCCTGTCCTTATGTATCATTCCAGACATCCTGACAACCTTTGCTGCTTAATTTTTTTTGGAGGGAGGGAGATGGGGGAATGAGATTCACATACTGGCCACTTAAGAACCAGGTACTGTCTCACTGTAACAAATTACAGCTAAGAGCAAAGTGTGAAAGCTTCTCCAAAAGCCCTCAGAGAAAATGCATTAAACAATGGATTTTTGTTCCATTTTATAGCCTAAAAACCATCTAATGCATTGAGAGAGAAGGGGCTCATTCATCTCCTTTCTGACCTAGAGACCACAGAACCACTGAGTTCCCAAATTACAGCTGCAGTGTAGTAGATATAGAATGGACAGCCTGACTTGTCAATCCAAAGTTCCAGGTAGGGTCCATGAATCAATGGAGAGAAAGCATGATTCAGAAATGAAGATGGTCAAGTTGGAGTCTCTACTTTTAAGCCAAAAAGTCATTTAACTTCAGCTCACGACTTTTTGCGAGTAAAGTGTCTTCCTAAGGATGCATTCAATCTTGGCTTGCCATTGAGTCTAGAGTACAACTTTCTTGTTGTCCTTATAATTCATAATGTTCTGGTAAAATCAGAACTCTTTGGGGGAACTCATTGCAATAACTCCCGCTCTGGTCCCAAGAGGAATTGTTAATAATTCTTGATTGGTGCTGGAAATAGCCTTCCAGATTCCCCTCTGGCTCCTCAAACTCTTTCACCAGTTTCCCTACAAGCAATTAATTCCTCTAGAAACAGAGTAGCAATGTTTATTCAGAATTCAATGAGAGATTCTAAATTCTGGACCTGTAAAAGTAGCCAGGAAAGAGTCTCTTCATCAAATCTGAATTTCTCTTGGTTAAGGAGAAAGCCCATACTAGAAAAGTTTACTTTAAAAGTTGGAATGTTTCACAGCAACAATTGTTTGACTGTAACACACCAGATTATAGTAGTCCCCTCTAATCCATGGTGGATACCTCCCAAGACCTCCAGTGGATTCCTGAAATCACAGATAGAACTGAACTCTCTATATATGTACTATGTATTTTTGAACTGATAACCAACAGGGTTACTAATTGGCTAAGGGGCAGGTAGCCTATACAGCATGGGCATGCCAGACAAAGAGAAGATTCATTTACCAGCATGGAAGGAGTGGGATTTCATCATGCTACTCAGCACAGCATGCTATTTAAAACTGTTTATTTCTAGAATTTTCTGTTTAATATTTTCAAACTGCAGTTGACTACAGGTAACTGGGATTGCAGAAAGTGAAACTGCAGATAAGAGGGTAGTACTGTACTCTAAATATTCATTGTTACAGATACTGTCTGATTTGTCAGTTAAGTCTAACAAAGTTCCTTTCATAGTAATTTTTATTTCTCATTTCTTAAGTTAGAGTGGGCAACTTGTCATATCATTATTCTACATTTTCCATTCTTACATGGATTGTACAAAACAAAATCTCTCAAGAAGTCCTTATTAAATAAGATAGTGCTGAACTAAACAATTGGAATTCCATTTGAATCTATGTATTCTTGTTCTATCAAATAACTGTCTGGAAAATTTCTGGGTTATAAAGTTAGCTTTGGGGAGATGGATCAGTGAAGATTTCTAAGATCTTGATGGACAAAGATGGCACTGGATTTACCTAAACCTCCCTTGTAAGGCAGGGCCCTAGTTTCCAACCAAAATAAAATCCATTTACTCTGCTTCTTCTCCAACCTCACCCAGTTGGTAAAGATCACACTTCATCTTCTAGGGGTAAGGTCTTGAAAACATTCCCCAGTCCCCACCTCCTGTAAGCCTGCAGCAAGGATACTCAAGATGGAGCCAAAAGCTTTCAAAGAGAAGGCAAGACTGAGAGATTCCTGTCTTCAGAGCTGCCAAGAGCAGAATTTCCCTATTTGGAGAATATGCCAAAAGCACTTACATCTTTACAAATATTACTTTTGGCAAGCAGATGATCATGGAACTAAAGTTATTGCTGATAGTCTTCCATTTTAGAAGGGAGTCAACAGTGCCTTAAAAACAGACTACAAAATCATTAGATTCAATAATTTCATAGCATACAATTTGAATAATTTTTATAAAGTTTCACGTCTATTAGCATTTCTACACTTTATATATTGTTGATTAAATTTTCTAATTTTTTTGAGAATAATTGAAGAATTAGTTTTTTGTTTGTTTGTTTTAGCTTAAGCTCTTACTAGAGATCTGATAACCCAAGGGATCTTGGTAAACTTCTTAAGCAGACACATTGACTGTTTAAAGCTGCAGGAGTGTCATTTATGAAAATGAAATCAAAATTCAACAAATTGCGGAAAGAGTTCATCTAAAATTCCAGAAAGAGTTCATCTAAAAGCCTGATTCACATTTAGAGTAAAATCTTCTTTTATCACACACTCTGAATCAATGTAGCAAACAATAAACTGTTACGAGCAAAGTCTGAAAGCTTCTCTAAAAGCCTTAGGCGTCCCTATTAAACACGATACTTTGTTACAAAAATTAAAAAATACAACCTATGGGACATAAGGAAGTGTTTATTACTTGGGGATAAATTTCTAGCCTTAAATGCTTTCATTATTCAATAACAAATGTAAAGAAATAGAGAAACCAAGTATTCTCTTAAAAAAAAAGAACAGAAGAAACAAATGAATAAATTAATAAAAATATAAAAATCAAATTAAAACCAATAATACAGACAATGAAAACATTTATCGGATGGGTAAATGCATCCAATAGCTGTTGTGGTTTTGCCTTTCTCTTTTTTTTAAGATTCGAAACCCCCTTGTAAACCCAATTAAAGATAAAAGAGTAAGGGCAAAAATGAGAATTTCTATTTGGAATGAGAAAGGAAACAAAGCCAGAGATATGGGATTAATTTAAAGTATTATAAGAAAATTCAGCATGAAAATCTATGGCATAAGATTTCATGATAATTTCTTAGCAAAATACAAATAACCTGAAAGAGAAAAACAAATTCAAAAAGATAATTATCATAGAAGAATCAGAAAGGTAATTAAAGACTCAATATCAAAAAGGCCCAAGGGTCAGACACAGTTGAGTTTTACCCTAATCTTTTTTTTTTTTTTTTTTTGAGATGGTGTTTCACTCTTTTCGCCCAGGCTGGAGTGCAATGGTGTGATCTTGGCTCGTTGCAACCTCTGCTTCCCGGGTTCAAGTGATTTTTCTGCCTCAGCCTCCGAAGTAGCTAGGATTACAGGCGCCTGCCACCACGCCTGGCTAATTTTTTGTATTTTGAGTAGAGACGGGGTTTCACTGTGTTAGCCAGGATGGTCTTGATCTCCTGACCTCGTGATCCACCCGCCTCGGCCTCCCAAAGTGCTGGGATTACAGGCGTGAGCCACTGCGCCCAGCCTCTAATCTTTATTTAAGGTTTTAAAAGACATTGTCCCCAGTCTTCTCTAATGATAAGAATTACTTGGGGTGCTGTAATGGCAGCAAATACTAGATCTCTCCCAGAAATTTCTATACGGTAGGTCTGGTTAAGACTCATGTATGTGTGTCAAGGTGCTTCTTGTCTTCAGAGAACATTGGGAACTGATTTTAACTCACATAGGCCAAAGAAAAAAAGAAAAAAGCTCACTGGCATAACTTTAGTAATCAAATCTGATATAAAAGAAAAAAATAGATACATTTCATTGCTAAATATATAGATGCAAAAATTCGAAATAAAATACTAGCTCATAGATACAGAAATTTATCAAAAAGATGATAAAGATGGACTCTATTGGGTTTATTCCAGAAATGTAAGGATATTTAAATATTAAGAAATCTATCAACAGAATAAGGAGGCATCAACAAACTGCTGTAGGAAAAAATATGATTATATCAATAGCAGCTAAAAATAAATTTGGTAAAATTCAGCAGAATTCCTAATAACAACCCTAAATAAAACAGCAATAAAAGGAAATTAATTATGATAAATATTCTTTTCCAAAAAAATAGCAAAACACTAAAACCACTTAAAATCAGAAACTAGACTCAGAGGCCAACTATAATCATTATTACTTAATATTGACTTAGACTAGTCTTAGATGATCTAAGCACAAACAAGAAAAAGAAATGATGACATGACATGAAAGGGGTAAAACTCTTCTTTTTGCTAATGACATGATTATATATCTCAAAAATTCTGCCATTGGAAAATTCATTTCCCTTATAATAAAAACCTTAACATAGTTATTAATAAATTTAAAAATAAGATGCAAGTTCCAGATGAATATAAGTATAGATTATTATTAAAAACTCGAAACAGCATCTAAACAAAGTTGTAAGACAAAAAGTACATAAGTCGCTTCATAATTTGGGATGAGAAGACATACATATCATGAAAATCACAGTGCTCCAAAAATTAATATATAAATTCAATATAATTCTAATTAAAAGTCCAAGTGGGGTTGTTGGAATTGAATATATTGATCTTACAGTTTGTATGGACAAGCAATGCTAAACAATAGCTAAGGAAAATATGGAAAAGAAGAAAGCGAGAGCAGGAATAGCCTTACTAGAAAAACACAGAATCAAACCACTGTAATCAAGACAACAGAATACTGTATAGAAGTAGAAAACATAGATTGATGGCTAAAATAGAGGCATCAAAAATAGATTATATGTCATATAAGGCCTTAATATAGGATAAGTCAATTCTGGCTCTCCATCTGGAATAAAAGAAAAGTGGTGCTCCATCTGGTACCATAAAATAAATTTCAAATGATTAAAGATAAATTTATTTTTTAAACTTTCAAGAAAATCTAGGAGACTACACATACAACCTAGAGTTAGGGGAAAACTTTTTAACTGAAAGTAGAGACCTAGATACTATGAACAAAAACGTAAATTTGTTTGAATAAACGAAAATTTAGAACTTCATTATGGTAAACAAATATGACAAAAAGTAAGTCACAGACAAATTATACAAGTATAAAGAAACATTTATAACACAAATGATAGAAACATATAATGTCTATAATATTCAATGAGCCCTTACAAATTGACATAAAGCATATAAATAATTCAATAAAAGGGGCAACATATATAAATATACAATTCATAAGAGTAAATCTAAGCAGCTGGCAAACAAATAGAAAGATGTTCAAATATATTATTTGTCAAGGATACGCAAATTTAAAACAACATGTTACTTTCACCCACCAGACTAGGAAATATTTAAAAAGCCACAACACATTGCTGGCAGGAATGAGTGGGGGAAGGGTATTAATATGTATTGTTGGTGGAAATGTGAAGTGCTACAGAACTATTGGAAGGCAATCTTGCAAGTTCTATTCAAATTTAAAAAATATACACCTTTTAACCCAGAAATTCCACTACTAGGAACGGAACCTATTCCACAGAAAGAAATGAACCAGTCAATAAGGACATACTTCAGTTTTGCTCATGGTAGCAAAGATCTGGAAACATTTATAGTTATATGCCCAGTCATGGCTGAACGGCTGAATAAATTATGGTAGTACACACTGTGGAACATTATACTACCTTTAAAAGGGGTGATTCAGTGATATATTTGGTGATTTGAAGGGATTTTCACAGGTATTGCTGAGTGAGAAAAATCAGATATAGAAAAGTGTGTGTAATATAATCCCATATTAATAAAACAATGATCATCTCACCATATATATGCATGTGTCAACATCTGCATGGGTGTGTGTGTGTGTGTGTGTGTGTGTGTGTATCTATAAACAAGACTCTGGGACTAGGTAAATAAATATGGAATATTGGACTATGTATACATCCATTAACTAGGGGAGGAGAAAGAGAGCAGATGTAGATTTAAGGAGGTAAGATGGGGAAGAGGGAGCTGAACAAAAAAATTTTTTTAAAGGTGCTAGAAATTGACAAGGTGATCCTTCAAATTTATATTAAAGTTTAAGGGACTGACCCTGAAAAGCCAAAAAAAATTTTAAAAAAAGAACAAAGTTGTAGGAGGATTTATGCTTCCCAATCTCAATACTTATTACATAGCTGCGATACTCATGTGTGATACTGGTATAAGGATAAATATATAAATCAATGAGATAGAATTGAGAGTCCAGAAATAAACCTATATATTTGTGGTTAATTGATATTTGACCAAGAACAATGGGGAAAGGATAATCTTTCCAACAATGGTGCTGGTACACTGAATGTCCAGAAGCAAAGGAATGAAGCTGGATCCCTACTTCACAATATGCACAAAAATTAACTCAAAATGGAACAATGACCTAAATGTAAGAGCTAAAACTATACAACTATAAGAAGAAAGCTTAGGCATAAATCTTTGTGACCTTGGATTAGGCAATGGTTTTCTATACAACACTAAAATCACAAACAATAAAAGAAAAAACAGATAAACTGAACTTCATACAATTTAAAAACTTCTGTGCTTCAAAGGACACCATCAAGAAAGGGAAAATATAACAAATACTATAATTTTTTTTTTTTTTGCAAATCAGACATCTGATAAGGGGCTAGTATACCTAGATTATAAAAAATTTCTACAACTCAATAATAAAAAGACAATAACCCAATTAGAAAATATGCAAAGGATCTGAACAGACATTTATCCAAAAAAGAGCCACAGATGACCAATAAGTACATGAAAAAGAAGTTCAGCACCATAAGTTATTAGGTAAATTCACCCAAACCCTCATGTGATACCACTTCACATTCACTAGAATCACTATAATCAAAATGACAGATAACAATAAGTGTTGACGAAGACATGCAGAAATTGGAACCTTCAGACAGTGCTGGTGGGAATGTAAAATGGTGCAGTGATTTTGGAGAACAGTTGAACAATTTAGTGAAAAGGTTAAACAAAGAGTTACCCTATTCAGCATTTGCAATGCTAGGTGTATATCAAAGATAAATGAACACTTACATCCACACAAAATGTTGTACATGAATGTTCATAGCAGCATTATTCATAATAGACAAAAAGCAAAAACAACCCAAATGTTGCCCATCAACTAATGAATGGGCAAATAACATGAAGTATACCCATAAAATGAAATATTATTTAACAATAAAAAAATGAACTACTGACTCCAAGATGGCCGAATAGGAACAGCTCCAGTCTACAGCTCCCAGCGTGAGCAACAAGAAGATGGGTGATTTCTGCATTTCCAACTGAGGTACCAGGTTCATCTCACTGGGGCTTGTCAGACAGTGGGTGCAGCCCACGGAGTGTGAGCTGAAGCAGAGCAGGGCATCGCCTCACCTGGGAAGCACAAGGGGTCGGGGAATTCCCTTTCAAGCCAAGGGAAGCCGTGACAGATGGTACCTGGAAAATCGGGACACTCCCACCCTAATACTGTGCTTTTCCAATGGTCTTAGCAAACGGCACACCAGGAGATTATATCCCACACATGGCCCGGAGGGTTCCATGCCCACAGAGCCTCACTCACTGCTAGCACAGCAGTCTGAGATTGAACTGCAAGGTGGCAGCAAGGCTGCAGCCATTGCTGAGGCTTGAGTAGGTAAACAAAGCAGCTGGGAAGCTCGAAGTGGGTGGAGTCCACCACAGCTCAAGGAGGCCTGCCCGCCTTTGTAGACTCCACCTCTGGGGGAAGGGCATAGCTGAACAAAAGACAGCAGAAACTTCTACAGACTTAAACGTCCCTGTCTGACAGCTTTGAAGAGAGTAGTGGTTCTCCCAGCACGGAGTTTGAGATCTGAGAATGGATAGACTGCCTCCTCAAGTGGGTCCCTGACCCCTGAGTAGCCTAACCAGGAGACACCTCCCAGTAGGGGCCGACTGACACCTCATATAGCCAGGTGCCCCTCTGAGATGAAGCTTCCAGAGGAAGGATCAGGCAGCAATATTTGCCATTCTGCAATATTTGCGGTTCTGCAGCCTCCGCTGGTGATACCCAGACAAACAGGGTCTGGAGGGGACCTCCAGCAAATTCCAATGACCTGCAGCTGAGGGTCCTGACTGTTAGAAGGAAAGCCAACAAATAGAAAGGACATACACACCAAAAGCCCATCTGTACATCACCATCATTAAAGACCAAAGGTAGATAAAACCACAAAGATGGGGAGAAACTAGAGCAGAAAAGCTGAAAATTCTAAAAATCAGAGGGCCACTTCTCCTCCAAAGGAATGCAGCTCCTCACCAGCAACGGAACAAAGCTGGACGGAGAATCACTTTGATGAGTTGAGAGAAGAAGACTTCAGATGATCGGTAATAACAGACTTCTCCGAGCTAAAGGAGGATGTTTGAACTGCAAAGAAGCTAAAAACCTTGAAAAAAGATTAGACAAATGGCTAACTAGAATAAACAGTGTAGAGAAGACCTTAAACGATCTGATGGAGCTGAAAACCATGGCACGAGAACTATGTGACGCATGCAAAAGCTTCAGTAGCTGATTCAATCAAGTGGAAGAAAGAGTATCAGTGATTGAAGATCAAATGAATGAAATGAAGCGAGAAGAGAAGTTTAGAGAAAAAAGAGTAAAAAGAAACAAACAAAGCTTCCAAGAAATATGGGATGATGTGAAAAGATCAAATCTACGTCTGATTGGTGTACCTGAAAGTGACAGGGACAATGGAACCAAGTTGGAAAACACTCTTTAGGATATTATCCAGGAGAACTTCCCTAACCAAGCAAGGCAGGACAACATTCAAATTCAGGAAATACAGAAAATGCCACAAAGATACTCCTCCAGAAGAGCAACTCCAAAACACATAATTGTCAGATTCACCAAGGTTGAAATGAAGGAAAAAATATTAAGGGCAGCCAGAGAGAAAGGTCGGCTTACCCACAAAGGGAAGTCCATCAGACTAACAGCGGATCTCCTGGCAGAAACTCTACAAGCCAGAAAAGAGTGGGGGCCAATATTCAAAATTCTTAAAGAAAAGAATTTTCAACCCAGAATTTCATATCCAGCCAAACTAAGCTTCATAAGTGAAGGAGAAAGAAAATCCTTTACAGACAAGCAAATGCTGAGAGATTTTGTCACCACCAGGCCTGCCTTACAAGAGCTCCTGAAGGAAGCACTAAACGTGGAAAGGAACAACTGGTACCAGCCACTGCAAAAACATGCCAAATTGTAAAGACCATCGACGCTAGGAAGAAACTGCATCAAAGAACAAGCAAAATAACCAGGTAACATCATAATGACAGGCTGAAATTCACACATAACAATATTAACTTTAAATGTAAATGGGCTAAATGCTCCAATTAAAAGACACAGACTGGCAAATTGGATAAAGAGTCAAGACCCATCAGTGTGCTGTATTCAGGAGACACATATCATGTGCAGAGACACACACAGGTTCAAAATAAAGGTTTGGAGGAAGATCCACCAAGCAAATGGAAAACAAAAAAATGCAGGGGTTGCAATCCTAGTCTCTGATAAAACAGACTGTAAACTAACAAAGATCAAAAGAGACAAAGAAGGCCATTACATAATGGTAAAGGAATCAATTCAATAAGAAGAGCTAACTATCCTAAATATATATGCACCCAATACAGGAGCACCCAGATTCATAAAGCAAGTCTTTAGAGACCTACAAAGAGACGTAGACTCCCACACATTAATAATGGGAGACTTTAACACCCCACTGTCAATATTAGACAGATCAATGAGACAGAAAGTTAAAAAGGATATCCAGGAATTGAACTCAGCTCTGCAACAAGCAGACCTAACAGACATCTACAGAACTCTCCACCCCAAATCAACAGAATATACATTCTTCTCAGCACCATATCACACTTATTCCAAAATTGACCACATAGTTGGAAGTAAAGCACTCCTCAGGAAATGTAAAACAACAGAAATGATAACAAACTGTCTCTCAGACCACAGTGCAATCAAACTAGAACTCAGGATTAAGAAACTCACCCAAAACCACTCAACTACATGGAAACTGAACAACCTGCTCCTGAATGACTACTGGGTACATAACGAAATGAAGGCAGAAATAAATGAAAGCAATGAGAATGAAGACACAACATACCAGAATCTCTGGGACACACTTAAAGCAGTGTGTAGAGGGAAATTTATAGCACTAAATGCCCACAAAAGAAAGCAGGAAAGATCTAAAATTGACACCCTAACATCACAATTAAAAGAACTAGAGAAGCAAGAGCAAACACATTCAAAAGCTAGCAGAAGGCAAGAAATAACTAAGACAAGAGCAGAACTGAAGTAGATAGAGACACAAAAAGCTCTTCAAAAAATCAATGAATCCAGGAGCTGGTTTTTGAAAAGATTAACAAAATTGATAGACCGCTAGCAACACTAATAAAGAAGAAAAGAGAGAAGAATCAAACAGATGCAACAAAAATGATAAAGGGGACACCACCATCAATCCCACAGAAATACAAACTACCATCAGATTAATATAAACACCTCTAGGCAAATAAACTAGAAAATCTAGAAGAAATGGATAAATTCCTGGACACATACACCCTCCCAAGACTAAACCAGGAAGAAGTTGAATCCCTCAATAGACCAACGGGCTTTGAAATTGAGGCAATAATTAATAGCCTACGAATCAAAAAAAGTCCAGGACCAGATGGATTCACAGCCGAATTCTACCAGAGGTACAAAGAGGAGCTGGTACCATTCCTTCTGAAATTATTCCTATCAATAGAAAAAGAGGGAATCCTCCCTAAGTCATTTTATGAGGCCAGCGTCAGCCTGACACCAAAGCCTGGGAGAGACACAACAAAAAAGGAGAATTTTAGATCAATATCCCTGATAAACATCGATGCAAAAATCCTCAATAAAATACTGGCAAACCGAATCCAGCAGCACATCAAAAAGCTTATCCACCATGATCAAGTGGGCTTCATCCCTGGGATGCAAGGCTGGTTCAACATATGCAAATCAATATATGTAATCCAGCATATAAACAGAACTAAAGACAAAAACCACATGATTATCTCAATAGATGCAGAAAAGGCCTTCAACAAAATTCAACAGTCCTTCAGGCTAAAAACTCTCAATAAACTAGGTATTGATGGTTCATATCTCAAAATAATAAGAGTTATTTATGACAAACCCACAGCCAATATCATACTGAATTGGCAGAAACTGGAAGCATTCCCTTTGAAAACTGGCACAAGACAGGGATGCCCTCTCTCACCACTCCTATTCAACATAGTGTTGGAAGTTCTGGCCAGGGCAATCAGGCAGGAGAAGGAAATAAAGGGTATTCAATTAGGAAAAGAGGAAGTCAAACTGTCTCTGTTTGCAG
Source organism: Homo sapiens (assembly GCF_000001405.40). NCBI lineage: Eukaryota > Metazoa > Chordata > Mammalia > Primates > Hominidae > Homo > Homo sapiens. Next base: position 26,099,349 of record NC_000010.11, on the reverse strand, counting down.
ATGACATGACTGTATATTTAGAAAACCCCATCATCTCAGCCCAAAATCTGCTTAAGCTGATAAGCAACTTCAGCAAAGTCTCAGGATACAAAATCAATGTGCCAAAATCACAACCATTCCTATATACCAATAACAGACAAACAGAGAGCCAAATCATGAGTGAACTCCCATTCACAAATGCTTCAAAGAGAATAAAATATCTAGGAATCCAACTTACAAGGGACATGAAGGACCTCTTCAAGGAGAACTACAAACCACTGCTCAACGAAATAAGAGGACACAAACAAATGGAAGAATATTCCATACTCATGGATAGGAAGAATCAATATCATGAAAATGGCCATATTGCTCAAGGTAATTTGTAGATTCATTGCCATCTCCATCAAGCTACCAATGACTTTCTTCACAGAATTGGAAAAAACTACTTTAAAGTTCATATGGAACCAAAAAAGAGCCCACATTGCCAAGACAATTCTAAGCCAAAAGAACAAAGCTGGAGGCATCATGCTACCTGACTTCAAACTATACTACAAGGCTACAGTAACCAAAACAGTATGGTACTGGTACCAAAACAGAGATGTAGACCAATGGAACAGAAAAGAACCCTCAGAAATAATACCACACATCTACAACCATCTGATCTTTGACAAACCTGACAAAAACAAGAAACTGGGAAAGGATTCTCTGTTTAATAAATGGTGCTGGGAAAATTGGCTAGCCATATGTAGAAAGTTGAAACTGGATCCCTTCCTTACACCTTATACAAAAATTAATTCAACATGGATTAAAGACTTAAATATTAGACCTAAACCCATAAAAACTCTTGAAGAAAACCTAGGCAATACCATTCAGGACATAGGCATGGGCAAGGACTTCATGTCTAAAACACCAAAAGCAATGGCAACAAAAGCCAAAATTGACAAATGGGATCTAATTAAACTAAAGAGCTTCTGCACAGCAAAAGAAACACCATCAGAGTGAATAGGCAACCTACAGAATGGGAGAAAATTTTTACAATCTACCCATCTGACAAAGGGCTTATATCCAGAATCTACAAATAGCTTAAACAAATTTACAAGAAAAAATCAAACAACCCCATCAAAAAGTGGGCGAAGGATATGAACAGACACTTCTCAAGACATTTATGCAGCCAGCAGTCACAAGAAAAAATGCTCATCATCACTGGCCATCAGAGAAATGCAAATCAAAACCACAATGAGATACCATCTCACACCAGTTAGAATGGTGATCATTAAAAAGTCAGGAAACAACAGGTGCTGGAGAGGATGTGGAGAAATAGGAACACTTTTACACTGTTGGTGGGACTGTAAACTAGTTCAACCATTGTGGAAAACAGTGTGGTGATTCCTCAAGGATCTAGAACTAGAAATACCATTTGACCCAGCCATTCCATTAACTGGGTATATACCCAAAGGATTATCACACATGCACATGCACACATATGTTTGCATGCACACATGCAAAAAAGACACATGCACACATATGTTTATTGTGGCACTATTCACAATAGCAAAGACTTGGAACCAACCCAAATGTCCACCAATGATAGACTGGATTAAGAAAATGTGGTACATATACAGCATGGAATACTATGCAGCCATAAAAAAGGATGAGTTCATGTACTTTGTAGGGACAAGGATGAAGCTGGAAACCATCATTCTCAGCAAACTATCACAAGGACAGAAAACGAAACACTGCATGTTCTCACTCATATGTGGAAACTGAACAATGAGAAGACTTGGACACAGGGTGGGGAACATCACACACTGGGGCCTGTCATGGGGTGGGGGCAGGGGGGAGGGATAGCATTAGGAGATATACCTAATGTAAATGACGAGTTAATGTGTGCAGCACACCAACATGGCACATGTATACATATGTAACAAACCTGCACATTGTGCACATGTACCCTAGAAGTTAAAATATAATTAAAAAAAAATAAAACGTTAAAGAACTTACTTTAAAAAAAAATGAAGTACTGATACATGCTGCAAAAATGGATGAACCTTGCAAACATGCTAAGTGAGAGAAACCAGTCACAACAGATCACATATTATATGATCCCTTGTATGTAAAGTGTCCAGAAAAAGCAGATTTATAGTGATAGAAAGTAGGGATGAAGTCAGAATTGCATCAGAAATATGCTAATTGCTACCATATTTCTTTTTGGGGTGAAAAATTTATAATATGAAAATATTCTAAAAATGATTATGGTCATGAATACACATCTCTATGAATATACTAAAGGTCACTGAAATATACACCTTAAATAGGTGAATTATATTGTATGGAAATTATATCTTAATAAAGTTGTTATTAAAAAGACTGCACTAAAAAGAACATGCAATTTATATATTTATGTAAAATTATATATGTATTTATATATATATTTCCCATATATGTATATGGGAAATGTAAGTATAAGTAAAATAAAAGGTTAAGAACAAAATGAAATTCAATTATATCTCAAGGCCACTATTTCTTCACTTATAAAGTAAATATTATATTTCCAGTTATTTCATAATGCTGTTTCAATTTATGTAAAGCACTTATGCTGGTATATATTAATCACTCAATAAATGCTCTTAACATTAGTGATGATAAAAAGATACTTTCTAAAGAAGTTCAAGTGTCTTTCATACTTACCTCCATTGTAAAACCTATGACTTTGAAACATTGCTCAATTAATTCATACTGGGATTTATAGAAACTATTATTCATGATGTCTTGTACTGTTCTGAGGTGGTCATTTTGTAGGTACCTAAAAAAAATATAAAAGGAAGGATAAAAGTCTAAAATTAAGGGAAAAGTGAAAGTATTATTGATGAAAGCTCAACCTGGTAGATTACCTGGGAGGCTTATTTTCAGGCAGTTTGTAATGGGCTAGTTTCTTCTTTTCAGCCAAACCAGCATAAATGTAGTAAAAAATATGAAAATTTTTTTCTCCACTGGAAAAAAAGATATTTACAGTAAGGTAGTTAGTAAGAACATTTCTTGCTTAAGTTACTTGACAATATAATTATTTGAACAACGACTGTGAGTGCTGATATGGGCTTTTCTGAATACTGCATTTTGGCTTTCTGTGGTCATTATTGTTGTCATTATTTTCAACAACCACTGTCATTAAATTCCAGAAATTATCTTAATCACTTCATAGGAATCATTCAGTATACATTCGTGAGTGACTTCCAGGCACTGTTCCAGGCGCTGGGGATATAGCAGGAGCAAAACTGTCAAAAATCCCTAACTTCTTGGAGTTTACATGCCAGTGGAGCAGACAGAAAAAGAATAATGTATACAGCCATGCCAGTGGTTACAAGTGCTACATTGTCTCATTAACCCACCATAAGCCCCTGAGGTGGTCATGTGTTTCCTATTTTATGGAGAAGGAAACCGAGGATTAGAGCTGTCAATCTCCCCCAAAGCCACAGAGTTGATGATTAATATGGATTTGAATCAGGTCTATTTGACCCCAAAGCCCACGCCTTTAACCACCTTTTAATATTGTCTTTCTGAGACTCAGTTTTCTCACTTGTATGAGGAATCTCTTTCTTATAAGTCTCAAATCCCATGACTCTGTGATTCTAAGTAGCATAACTAGCATTTTCCAGATGCTGCAATAATGCCATTAAGGGAATATGATTACAACAAGGTAAGTTTCCACTTCAGGATGTTCCACAACATAATTTCTTGGACCTTGGGGTCCCCTCTCCTTCCCTCATGTCTTCCTTCTGCTGTAGTGGGCTCCAGGGAAAAATCACACTTTCAGGCTCTCTGCTGAAACAGCAGAGGATGAACTTCCTGCTCTATAGTTTCCCCATCTCTACTTCCCTGCTTTACTTCCACTCTTGATGAGCCTAGTGGTCAGCTGGGACACCCTGGGGTTTGCATCTCTCTGTGGCATTCCCCTTCTCGTCCTCCCACTAGGATCTCCTCCTGTTTTAGGATGGTCCTCAATCTTCACTTCACTGTTCACTCCATTATCACCAGGCTCACAGGCTGGGGTTGGGGCAGAGTAGGATTCCTTTTACAGTGGTTAAATTAATTATGTCTCAACCAGAAGGACTTGCTGTCTTCACTTTTTTCTATTGTTACTTCTCTTTCCATTGGTATAAAACTGTCATCCCACCACAAAGCTTTGGATGCCACCATAGGGGTTGGGGCAGGAGACACTAAATTGTTGTGGATACTCCCCTTCCTGCCACTTTTGGCAGTGGCCTGAACTGTGCTCTGGGTCCTCAACTCATCACACCCAAACTTCCGGAGCAGCCTGCATCCCCTCTTGCCCTGCTCCTTTCCTTCACCCCCTCCACAGCCTTTATCTGCAAACTTAGGGGGCCAATGAAATACTTTCAGAAAAGGAATTATTATTATTAAGCTTATTTTTAGTAGAACAGAGGAGCCTTTGAATTCTTTTCCATATGAAGTACATGGAACGGAAAAAAGCCCACTTCATGATATGCATAATTACACGCAAATTATTTTACTTAAAAGGTAAGAAAGGATTTAAAAACATTCCAGGGTCTTCTCCCCCTGTATATTATGCAGTATAATCTCAGTGTAGATGGAAATTTACTATTGCTCTCTTTAGAAATTATTCATTCTTGCCGCGTGCGGTGGCTCACGCCTGGAATCCCAGCACTTCGGGAGGCCGAGGTGGGCGGATCACAAGGTCAGGAGATCGAGACCATCCTGGCTAACACGGTGAAACCCCGTCTCTACTAAAAATACAAAAAATTAGCCAGGCGTGGTGGCAGGCACCTGTAGTCCCAGCTGCTGGGGAGGCTGAGGCAGGAGAATGGCATGAACCCGGGAGGCAGAGCTTGCAATGAGCCGAAATCGTGCCACTGCACTCCAGCCTGGGCAACAGAGCGAGACTCCATCTCAAAAAAAAAAAAAAAAAAAAAAGAAATTATTCATTCTTTCAGTATGTAGAAGTTTTCCTCAGAATCAACAGTAACTCAGATATATCCATATGTATTTACTCTTCCAATAATGCAGTGGAGTTTTAGAACAACTGTGGCTTTATTTTATAATCTCTAGTTTTGATCCAAGGTTCTGCCAAAAGCCATCACAAGAATAATTTTTTACAGAAGCTCAATAAGGACTCCAACACATCAGTCATGTAGGTTTAAAATAACATTAAAGGTTTGATACTTGTGACAGACACGCTAATAATTATTGAAGGTACCCTGTTTGGTCTTTCTTGAAAGTTAACAAATTGAAATACTTAATATGAAAGGGTAGAGTTTGATAAGGTGAATAATGCAGATCTCTGGTCTTCCTTGTTAGTATTTCAAAAGGAAGGAAGACATTTCTAAAGAGAAAAGTAACAATGCTATTGGTTAGCATGCATTCTGCACTGAAACTCTCCCCTGAGTGAAGAGAGAGTCGGGGGGTCTTATATAACTAGAGAAGGATAGTTCCATTCCAAAAGAAAAGGGCTATGGGAAAAGAAACAGATTTGAGATGTGTATTCACTTGAATTTGAGATGGTAGCAGGATATGTAGGTAGTTGGCAATTTTAAAAAAAATGTAAATGTTTTTCAGTTTTAAGAGAGGGGGAGAGGTATGTCTTTGGGTGTCAATCACGTAGAGCTCTCTGTTGAGGCCATAATGTCAGAAGAATTTTTGAAGTGAGAGAGTGTAGAGAAAAAACGAGAAAAGCTGCAGGGACAAATCTTTGGTAAATATACAATGTGAGACTGGATGGATAAATCTAAAACAGAAGAAAAATTCAGGGAGGTAGGAGAGGAATCAGGAGAATCTAGTCATGGGGCAAAGAAAAGTGAAGGTTTCAAGAAAAGGGGTGGTCCAGAGGCTGGGTCCTTTCCTTCAGAACCCATCCTATTCTGTTACTTGTTGTGGTCACCAGTGATAATGCAAGTAACACCAACATTGCATACAAGTGAAGTTAGAACAAAACTGAAAGTTTCCTTTAGTTCTTGTCTTTTCTCACCACAAAATAATAAAAACTTCTCTACGACTGGCACAGCATATAATTCAGTTTGCTTTCTTCTAATGAAGCACACTGACTGTGCACTTCACTCATGTACATTGTATCAGTTAAGTGCTAACAATGTGATTGTTAACATTAACTAATACAGTGCAATTGTGAATGTTAACACTGTACTACATTGTTCACAATGTACACTAATTGTACATTGTATCAATTAAGTGTTAACAATCATGATCACATTTGTATCAGTTAAGTGTTAACATTTGTGATTGTTAACAATGTACATTAATTGTACATTGTATCCGTTAAGTGTTAAAACTTAGACAAACAATATTAATGGATTTCTCTTCATCAGTTTACATTTATTGAGAATTATAATTTGAAAAGATCTGGAGATACTATTGGGAATATACTGATCTTCAGCGGACAATCAGAAAGTTAAAGAAACAGGAAAAGAACACACCTCCAAAGCTTACCCGGGGTCACGAACCATATCAAGCTGTGCTTAAGAACACAGAGCACTACAGTATCCCACACTTGCTAATGTTTTCAGGGGTTCCCAGGTCAGGACCGCCTGGGGACAGACATGGGGTCTTGCAAGTTACCAAATATAATTTCTCTTATTGTGGCCTCATTCCTACTTGTGGATCTTCTAACACTTCTTCAGAGTGAGTTCCACTCAGCTGCTTGCAGGAAGGCCCTCAGGGCTGTCTCATATGTGTGTTCACCTGCTTTGCACCCTGAAGCTTACCTGTGCAGCCAAGGCCTCTGACAGCCTCAAACGGTGTCAAAGTACTCACAAGGGTATAGCTTAACTCACCTGTGAAACCTTTGAATCTTCAACGAAGTGGCCAACAATCAGACTTAGAAAGCTAATAATGAAGGTTTGCATTCTTTTTTTTTTGAGACAGAGTCTTGCTGTGTTGCCCAGGCTGGAGTGCAGTGGCACGATCTTGGCTCACTGCAAGCTCTGCCTCCCAGGTTCATGCCATTCTCCTGCCTCAGCCTCCTGAGTAGCTGGGACTACAGGCGCCTGCCACCACACCTGGCTAATTTTTTGTATTTTTAGTAGAGATGGGGTTTCACCGTGTAGCCAGGATGGTCTCAATCTCCTGACCTCATGATCCACCCGCCTCGGCCTCCCAAAGTGCTGGGATTACAGGCGTGAGCCACCGCACCCGGCCGAAGCTTTGCATTCTTAAGGCACTACAGGGTATTCGTAAAACAACACTTTCAGTTTTTCCTTTTTAATCACAGCTCCCTCCTTGTAAACTCTCTCCTCCTGGATATGCAGTCTCCTCAGTCCCCTCCTCTTGCCACCTACCTGCTCAATCTTAGCAGATGAACTCATTTCCTACTTTCATGAGAGACTAGAAACCAATGAGTGATCAGCACGTTTTATATCATACTGTGAGCTGTGTTACCACAGGAATCCTGCCTTACTTGGCTTTATGTCTCCTGTGCCTAGCACACAGTAGGCACTCAATAAATATGTGTCAAATAGACGGATGGCTGGATGGATGCATGAATGGTGGGCTTGGGAGTCAGACAGAAGGATGAGGCTTCAAACTCCAACTCAGTCATTGCCAGCTTTTTGACATTAAGCAACTTATTAAAATTCTCTTAGTTTCTCACTTTTAAAAGAGAAAATGACACCCTGTCACATGACTGGAAGAATTAAAAGAGATAATGGCTGTAAGGTGCTTAGTGCAGTGCCTGACATAGAGTAATTGCTCCATAAATACATTTCCCTTTCTCCACAATGGAGAGGACCATGTCAGCCACTTATTTATGTCTCCTATAGAGTCCTGTTAAGTGCTGGGGACATCAGAGAAATGCAATCAATGCTTGCTGAACTAAACTGTAGTAACAGGAGGAAACTGCAATGGAAATAGCTATAATTTGTATTTATGAGAATTATCTAGCATTGCCTTCAATAGGTTCATCTTATTCTTGAAATTAAGTAGCCTCTTTTAAAATTTTCTCCTTGAAAACTATCTATGTTTAGAAAAGGATTTAAGTCACAAGTTATAAGATAGTACTATCATCATTAGAAAGGTAATCTAAAAATAAATGTGGTCAGAGATTGAGCTGGGATGACATCGCCAGAGGCAAAAACCGAAGAAAAGAACAAAATGTCTTAAAAGAAAGGGTGAGTTCATTAAAAAAAGATACTCGTCTGCTCTAATTCTTCCCTGCTCCTCAAATCATTCTACACTCTTCTTTGTCTTGCTCTGGGACCCCAAGGGCCAATCCCTACAGCCTGCAATTCTTGGGCTCCCTTGCTCTCTGGCTTCCATATGGGTTCAGCCAATAGGAAGCACAGGCAGGAAACAGGCGAATGAAGGAGAGAGAGGCTGGGATGTTATCCCCTTGCTCTCTCCCTGACTGGCTGTGTCCCATTAGGGCCATAGCTCCAGACAGGCAGCCCCTGATCCACAGCTGCAGCTGGCACCAGGCACTAGTGCTGCCCCTCCCTCCACCTGCAGACAGGAAGGCAGCCATGGCTCCTCACCCCTGTTAGTCCATGGGCTTCTCACCATTCATTCTTGGCTCTTCAATGCCCATGTGATCTCTGTAAACAGTTTTCTCAGTTAAAACCCTTGAGCTTGTTCTTTCTGTTCAGTACCCTGATTGATAACAGTGCAATTAAATTTATAATTTGTAAATGTACCTATTAAGAATTCTTCCATCAATCACATGTCTGATATTTTCATATTCATAGGTCACTCAAAGCTCCTCTGGAACTTAAAAATGCAATTAAATTAGGTGAAAGAAAAAACAGATATAAAAATGGAAAAAGTGTTATAAATTAAAGACAGCTGTGCTCAAATTATAACTGAGTTATATTTCCACTTGATTGTGAATTTGGAATTTGGAATGCTTTTCCCCAATAAGCAAACTTGTAAAATTAGAATAGTTCCTTAGGGGGAAAAAAACTACTTAATTCACAGCATGCCTTAAATATAATCCTGACTATGCTATTTCTTAGAATGCATCCTACGATATTTCAGTAAGCATTAATGATATTATTTCTATGGTTACAAGCTCAGGGCCTCATTGTGTAACTCCAGAGTGTTCTGTTCATGTGCTCTTCTATATGAACTGAGTTCCTGCACTCAACTCCATAGAATACACCGTGAATTATATCCCTTGACATTGTGCAACATGGTGGTGCCATCTACCAATTAGTTACTCTTAAGTAGTTCTTCCTGAAGGGCCTGAAGGAGAAGCTTACACAATTATGAAAGCAGAACAAATGGTTTTGAGAACTAGCTAAGTTTCCACATCTGCTAAGATCCCGCGGTCCTTCTAGTTATGGGTGGCAACGGCACTGACACACATGTCCACTGAGTTTTGGGCACTGGACAGACATCAATAAATAGTATCTGCCATTTACTGAACATCTTCAATATCCCAGGTACTGTGCTATATGTTATTTCTAATCAACTATTAACACTACTATTACTACTAATGGCTTAAACTTATGGGGTTCTTAATATATGCCATTCATTGTGCTATATACTGTAGGTACCTTGTCTTAATTGATAGGTAGGTACTAATGCTATTTCATTTTAAAGATGAAAAACAGAGGTGCAGAGAGGTTAAGTAAACTGTTTCAAATCATACATACAATGAATTACAGAGCCAAGATCCTGTAAGAATCTTTAAGGTTTAAATATCTTACCCAAAGTGGATTAAAACGGTGTGGTACCACAGTTGAAAGCCATATGTGTTTAATAATCATTCCTTCCATTTTTTTTTTTTTGAGATGGAGTCTCGCTCTGTCACCCCAGCTGGAGTGAAGTGGCATGATCTCGGTTCACTGCCAGCTCCGCCTCCTGGGTTCACGCCATTCTCCTCCCTCAGCCTCCCGAGTAGCTGGGGCTACAAGCACCCACCACCACGCCCGGCTAATTTTTTGTATTTTTAGTAGAGATGGGGTTTCACCATGTTAGCCAGGATGGTCTCAATCTCCTGACCGCGTGATCCACCCGCCTTGGCCTCCCAAAGTGCTGGGATTACAGGTGTGAGCCACTGTGCCCGGCCTCCTTCCATATTTTTAATTGAAGACCAAAGAGTAATTTTCCATATTAGGAGCTGGACTCCAGGCAACTTCTATTCATGACTTACTCATGAATTGAATGACACCAAGCTTGAAGGCACTTACATTAAATAATAATGTACTAATATAAAACAAGAGCTTATTATGTTACTGTGAATTAACATGACATACTACTACAATAATGTAGAGTATGTTTAGCATAAAACCAACATAAGAAAAATGAAAGATTCTAACTTGCCATGCTTTTAAGCAAAATAATGTAACCACCAGGGTACAAATCCAATGTGTAACGATAGTTTCCTCTTTAGAATAACAAAGATGTTTTGTGAGACAGGAGAGAAACTTTGTCATTAAGCTACAAACCCGCAAAAGGAATTCATTCAACTTAATATCAAAGCATTATGAAGAGTATTGATGGCTTAAATCAGCCAGCAATAAAAGGTCAATATGATAAAGCTCCTTCCTGAATCTTTTATTTGGTCCCTTGTATATAAACATAGGAAGAATAGAATACAAAGATCTATTTATATATGCTAGCATTTAAAACAGAAAAGGACTCAGTTACTTCTAATTAAATTTCACATTAATTTTGTATAGATAAATATATTCTCTGCTATGTCAGAATGGTCTCTAATTTACGCTGTTAGTACCTCTATGATGGGCTTAGGTTTTCTATCTGGCAGCATAAATTTTAGGTTATACATTAATTCCTCTATTGGATGTAACATATATTTGAGAATAAGACAGTGCTGATGGATCTCTTCATTCTCAATAGTAAGTGCTTTGCATATAGTAAGTGATAAATAAAATTTTATTGAATGAGAAAGACATTTTACTATTAAAGTATTATGTTTGCTTCTGCTTCCTCCAAAATAGGAGAGATTTGAAATAAACTTACATAGCTTGGTGGATAACTCGGGATTTTTCCAGGAGATATTCAGAAATCTGTGCTCCCACTACCGCTCCAGAAGAGGTGAATTTCATTTCTAAGTATTTTCCAAATCTGCTAGAATTGTCATTTATAATAGTGCAGGCATTGCCAAAGGCTTCTACCAAATTGTTCACTTGTAAAATCTTCTCTTGCAAGGTTCTGTTATTAGCCTAAATAGAAAATATTAAGATATTTTTAAAAACATAAAAAATTAATTTGGTATATAATGAAATGTCTCTTCTTTGGTAAGCAATTTATGTAGATATAAACATACAAAAGCATGTTCCTGATATATTGGCAGATGTTACATCCTGGTCTATTTTCCCCCTCCCATATGTGGATTCACTCACTTGTTTTCTTAAAAAGGGACAAGGAGATATTCTATACTTTTCTATTCAAGCGCAGTTCTGTTCAGTGCCTGATTTACAAACATAATTTATAAGCAGCCTACGCACATTGAAGTACACCTGTCATTCTGTTATTCCTCCTCCACCTGCGTGGGCCCCCATCCAAATAGTCCCCAAAGCCAGAACCACTTTACTGGCTTCCACAGAAGCTGCTAACCCTGAAACTAAGAGAGGAAAGATAACTCATTAATTCAGAAGCAGAGAGAAGGGAATAATTGTGAAAACTGAGAACAGCTCAGAAGTATGAATGGGAGGAGTGGAAACCAGGTCAAGGTTAGCAGGCTTACATGGCTCTACCTCTATTCCTTCCCCACCTCTTATGCTCCTCTCCTCAAAGAAGTATGTTCCATTTTTCTTCTTTACCACTTCAGTTGAAATTCTACTGAGTAGAAATTTATTTGGGTTAATAGCCAATCACTTTTACAAAGGCATTCCAACCTCTGCCCCCAGAGGTTTAGGGAGGTATTAGTTATTCACAACTTGGCAGAAGTTAGCTTAAGTAGATTTTCAGTGTAATACCTACCTTAATACTTTACCGAGATCAACTATGTTAGAGTTACTGCAAAGTTTCTATGTTGAGGGAGAGCAGTGGTGGCTATTTCTGGAACATAGACTACATTAGAATTTGAGTGGGTTGGAGGGGGCATTCACAATGAAGTTTTGAGGCTGTGTAAGAACTTTGGGTATCTTATAAAAGAGGCAATAAGGTGTGGAAGAAGAGTGTAGTAATTTGGGGGATGAACTTGGCTCTTTAAAATGCTTTGGGCTGGCCTTGCACCCATGAAAAAGGTGAGATAACATTTTCATTGGCATATATTGAATAGCAGTGACCTGTTAAGTAAGATTTGGAAGACTGCATATTTCAAAGGTAAGTTCTATCTACCAAACACCTCGTTTTTGCATCTGGTAAATCCTTATCAAGGACATAAGTAAAAACAAGATAAGATGTGATAAGGGTAGGAATCTGAAAATATATATATACCTATCCCCAATTAACATTAATCTAAAACAAGACAAAGAGATTAGATTAAGAAGTTTGCTGACATCTACAGAACCACATTCACACACAATTAATTTATCATTGATGAGAAACTCTATCAGCCTGCAGATCAGGACAGAATAGCAAAGACCCGTGAGAAAATTCATTCAAGTGTTCAGCTCCTCTACACCAGGATAATATGCTGTGCCTCACTGCCCCCGTGCCCCACATTAAATCTTATCTCACTGTTGTTAAAACCTTTTAGAATGATACTTCTAGAAGTAAGGAGAGGGTGGTTGATGGGCAAGGGGGAAGAAAAGGCTGAGATCAGACACCTGGGGTAGCACCACCTTTTTTTTTTAGGTCTCTCCTGGCTCTTCCACTCCCGAAAGGGTCACAAATCTGGTAAGGAGAGGTTATATTAAGCCACTAGGTCAACACATCTGATAGAAGATACTAAAACCAGTCAATTATTTTTTAACAGCAACATGGAATTCTTCCTACTCATCATTTTGAATTAGGAGTGACATCAAGATGGTTGGCCAGAAGCTCCTAGTGCTCTCCCTCTGATATGGTTTGGCTCTGTGTCCCCACCCAAATCTCATGTCAAATTGTAATCCCCACGTGTCAGGGGAGGGGGCCTGGTGAGAGGTGATTAAATCATGGGGGCGGATTTCCCCCTCACTGTTCTTGTGATAATGACTGAGTTCTCATGAGACCTGATGGTTTAACAGTGGCATTTCCCCCTTTGCTGCCTCTTTCTCTCTCTCCTGCTTTGTTGTGCTTGCTTGCCCTTCACCTTCTGCCCACGATTGTAAGTTTTTTTGAGGCCTTCCCAGCCATGTGGAGCTGTGAGTCAATTACACTTCTTTTCTTTATAAATTACCCAGTCTCAGGTAGTTCTTTATAGCAGTGTGAGAATGGGCTAATACACCTTCAAGCCTCCCCCTACCTGCAAATGAGTAAACAAGTACATTTAAACCAAAATAACTAAAGGAGCACACTGGAGAACAGCAAAAAAGCAGCCAGAAGAAATCCTGTAGAGCACGGAAACCCAGAAAGGCCACATAGAGAAGGAAAAGAAACACCTTACCTTTACCACCTCATGCCCCAAGTGGGGATCAGCTCACAAGCAGGAAGGAAGGACAGCTCCCTGCAAGGAAAAGGTAAGCAAGATACCCCAGCAACCTCTCTCACTACTGTGGACACTTGCAGTCATTGCGACTGGAGACCCCTGCAGTCTGCACAGGCTCTGAGCCTGGCTGAGGGAGCTCCCTTCCACCAGAGCTGAGGCAGCACTCTGCTCTCAGAGGGCCGCAGGCCTCCTGAACACTGAAGTAGTTGCTGCCACCACACATCTCAGGTGAGGTGGCACCTTGCACCCTGAGCCTCCAAGCCTCTGGCACACCTAAGCAGGAGCATCACAGATGATCAAATATGTGGAAATTAAACAAGGTACTCCTGAACAACCAATTGGTCAAAGAAGAAAGTAAAAGGGAAAGTAAAAAAATACCTTGAGACAAACAGCAAGGAAAACACAACATACCAAGCCTATGGAATGCAGCAAAGGCAATTCTAAGACAGAAGTTTGTAGCAATAAATTCCTACATTAAAAAAGAAGAAAGCTCCAAAATAAATAGTCTAACATAATGCCTCAAGGAACTAAAAAATAAAGAAAAAGCTAAAGCCAAAATTAGCAGAAGAAAGGAAAAAAAATCAAAATCTGAGCAAAAATAAATCAAATAGAGAAAGGAAAAACTATAAAAAGAATCAATAAAATGAGTTTCATTTTTGAAAAAATAAGATTGACAAACCCTTAACTAGTCTAAGAAAATAAGAGAGATGACTAAGATAAGTAAAATAAAAAATGAAAGTAGAGAAATTACAACAGGTGTATCAGAAATAAAAAGGATCATAGGGACTATTATGAACAATTATCTACAAGCAATTTGGGTAGCCTGGAAGTAGATAAATTCTTAGAAAAATACAACCTACCAAAATTGAGTCAGAAAGAATTAGAAAGCCTGAACAGACCAAAAACAAATAAAGAAATTGAAGAAGTAATCAAAACCTCCCAACAAAGAAAAGCCTAGGATAAGGTGGCTTCACAGCTGAATTCCACCAAACATTTGAAGAAAATCAATACCAATACTTCTTAAACTCTTCTAAAAAGTAGAGCTAGGCCAGGCATAGTGTGGCTAATGTCTATAATTCCAGCATTTTGAGAGGCCAAGATGGGAGGACAGCTTGAAGCCAGGAGTTTGAGACCAGCCTGGGCAACAAAGTGAGACCTCATCTGTACAACGAATTATAAAATTAGCCAGGTGCAGTGGCACATGCCTGTAGTCCCAGCTACTTGGAAGGCTGAAGCAGAAGGGTCGCTTGAGCCCAGGAGTTCAGACACTGCAGTGAGCTGTGATTATGCCACTGTACTCCAGCCTGGGTGACAGAGTGAGACTCTGTCTCTAAGAAAAACAAATAAATAAATAATTAAAAAAATAGAGCTAGAGGGAATACCTTCAACTACATTTATGAAGCCAGCATTACGTTACTACCTAACCCAGATAAAGGCATCACAAGAAAAGAAAACCACAGGCCAATTTCTCTGATGAACACTGATGCAAAAATCCTCAATAAAATATTAGCAAACCAAATCCAATAACATATTAAAAAGATTATACATCATGTCCAAGCAAAATCTATCCCTGGCATGCAAGTCTAGCTTAACATATGCAAATCAAACAATATGATTCAACATATTAACAGAATCAAAGATTAAAACCACATAATCATCTCAACTGATGCAGAAAAAGTATCTGACAAAGTCCAACACCTCTTCTTTTTTTAATTTTAAAAGTGGAAGCTGTATTCAATTTTTCCTATGAGATTACAAAAAGAAAAGCATTTACTAAGGTATAACTCATAAGAGGCCTTTCTATAGCTATTATCTTTCTATTGACAGAATGTCCCAGATTCTTACGAACTATCTAGAAATTGCTGGTCTTGCTGTGATTTCCATTAAGTAGCAGTATTCTGCAGGAAGAAAAAGGACATTTTGGAAGGAATGAAATATTCTTTGGCATCACCATTTTCATTCCCAAAGAATACAGGAGCTACCTACAATTATATAAATTTTTCTTAGGCAATAGAAAAGCAATATTAAGCAAAGTGGTAATAAGTTTCTTTACGTTGAGAAGACACATTTTTTAATATTTTTCAACCACAGAATAATCTACATCATATATATGAGTTATAGAAGACCATTTAACATACCACAACATCTTTTCTTGATGTGGACTCTCAACAGTTTAGGTATAGAAAGAAAGTTCCTCAGCATAATATAGGCAATTTATGAAAAATTCACAGCTAACATTATAATCAATGAGGAGAAACTAAAAGCTTTTCCAATAGTATCTGTTACAATGCAAAAAATGCGCACTCTCTTCACTTCCATTCAACATAGTACTGGAAGTACTAATAAGAGCAACCAGACAAGATAAAGAAATAAAAGGCACCCAAATCAGAAAGGAAGAAGTAAAATTATCTCTACCATAGAGCCAGTTACCTACAGTCAACCATGGTCTAAAACTATTAAATGAAAAATTCCAGAAATAAATAATTTCTAAGTTTTAAATTGCATGCCACTCTGAGTAGTGTGATTAAATCTGTGCCACCCCACTCTGTCCCACCTGGAAAGTGAATCCTTCCTTTGCCCAATGTATCCATGTTGTATATGCTACCCACCTGTTACCCAACTTAGTAGCCCTCTCAGTTTGTCACAGTATCACAGTTCTTGCAGTCAAATAATCTTTATTTTACTTAATGGCCCCAAAGCACAAGAGTAGTCATGCTGACAATTCGAATACAACAAAGAGAAACCATATTTGCCTGCTTGAAGTGAAAAGATGAAAGTTCTTGACTTCATAAGGGAAGAAAAAAAATTGTATGCTGCGGTCTACTATCTGTGAAATTGTGAAGAAGGAAAAAGAAACTTGTGCTAGTTTTACTGTCACATATCATATTCCAAAAGTCATAGTCACAGTGCATGATCAGTACTCAGTTAAGATTAAAAGGCATTAAATTTGTGGGTGGAAGACATGAACAGAAAATGTTTTCTGATTGGTGTCAGTGGTTGCACCAGAAAGCATTGAGCCTATACAAAGAAGTCAGCAAGGGATCCCCTGAAACAAGTGAAACTAAGGTATTCTGAGAGAGAGAGAGAGAGAGAGAAAAAGAGAGAGAGAGAAAGAGACCATATTCATATAACCTTTATTACAGTATAGTGTTATACTTTATTTTTAGTTATTGTTAATCTCTTATTGTGCCTAATTTATAATTTAAACTTTATCATAGGGATGTTTAGGAAAAAATAGTATATATAGGGTTTGAAATTATCTGCAGTTTCTGGCAACCACAAGTGTATCTTGGATCATATCCCCTGTGGGGTAAGTGGAGACTACTGCATTTGCAGATAACATGATCCTACCTGTAAAAAGCCCCAAATATCCCAAAAAAATAACTGTTAGAAGTAATAACTCAATAAAATCTTAGGATACAAAATCAACATATAAAAGTAAATAACATTTTTATAAATAAATAACAACCTAACTGAAAAAGAAATCAAGAAAGCAATCCCATTAACAAAAGCATAAAAACAAAACATTAGGAATAAATTTAACCAAGGAGGTGACAGATCTGTACACTGAAAACTATAAAACAGTGATGAAAGAAGTTGAGGAAGACACAAATAAATGAAAATTTATCTCAGGGATCGGAAGAATTAATGTTGTTAAAATATCCATACTACTCAAATATACAGAATCAATGCAATCCTTATCAAAATCCCAAGGCATTCTTCACAGAAACAGAAAAAAACAATCCCAGGAAGGGTCAATCATCATGGCAGATGGGAGACAGGACTAGATTGCAGCTCCAGAAAGAGCAGCGTGCAGAGGCTTGCATTGTGAATTTTAGCTCCAGATCAACTGCAAGAACAAACCAGCAATCTCAAGAGGACCCATAGATCCTCTAAAGAAAGCGGATTGCTCCTGCAGGACCCGGGAGACCCTCCAAATACTGTGAGTGTCCCAACTGCAGAAGTGGGAAAGGAAGACCCTCCTCTCCCGAACACACATCCCCACTGGAGAAGCTGAGAAGGTGAAGGTCTGTTTGTGGGAGAAGTTTCTGGCTTTACACGGAACTGAATCCATTTGGAGAGCCAAGCACAATATAGGGGTAGAGGAAGCAGCAGAAAAGCCCTGGGAGCTTCCTGGGTCCCCTAGCAGGCCACTCCTGCCTGGCACCACAGGGATCCAATGGTAGGGTGGTCAGAGGAGCAGGAGGTAAAACTGCACAGGAAGAAGGAAATCTTTAGCTGAACTTTGTAACAATTTGAATGGGGCGAGAAGTCTGGCCCCAACTCGGGGGAGGGTGCCAATCTGGTGTGCAGACCCCACAGGCAGGGAAGAGCCAAGCACTTTTCTTTTGCAGCTGGGAGGAGGATAGCCTGCGGCAGGTTTTCAAGCCCATTTTCACCCTCTACCTAGAAATGGACTCGGAGTTGTTGCGGGGGCATGGTGGGAGTGAGACCCGCCCTTCAGTTTGCATGGGAGCTGGGTGAGGCCTTTGACTGCCAGCTTTCCCCCATTTCCCTGACAACCTGCATGACTCAGCAGAAGCAGCAATAATCCTCCTAGGTACACAACTCCAGTGACCTGGGAATCTCACCCCCATCCCACACAGCAGCCACAGCAAGACCCGCCCAAGGAGAGTCTGAACTCAGACACACCTGGCCCTGCCCCCGCCTGACGGTCCTTCCCTACCCACCCTGGTAGCGGGGGCGGGGGGGGGGGGAAGGGCATATAATCTTGGGAATTCTAGGGCCCCACCCACCGCCGGTTCCACCCCATACTACCACAGCTGATACTTTCTGGAAAGTGCCACCTCCTGGCAGGAGGCCAACCAGCACAAAAATAGAGCATTAAACCACCAAAGCTAAGAAACTTCATGGAGTCCACTGCACTCCCCCTACTACCTCCACCAGAACACGTGCTGGTATCCATGGCTGAGAGACCCATAGATGGTTTACATCACAGGACTCTGTGTGGACAACCCCCAGCAGCAGCCCAGAGCTGGGCAGACTCGCTGGGTGGCTTGACCCAGAAGAGAGAAAACAATCACTGCAGTTCAGCTCACAGGAAGCCACATCCATAGGAAAAGAGGGAGAGTACTACATCAAGGGAACACCCTGTGGGACAAAAGAATCTGAATAACAGCCTTCAGCCCTAGACTTTCCCTCTGATAGAGCCTACCCAAATAAAAAGGAACCAGAAAACCAACCCTGGTAATATGACAAAACAAGGCTCTTCAACACCCACCCCCGCCCCGCCTCCCCCCAAAAAAATTACACTAGTTCACCAGCAATGGATCTGAACTGAAAAAAAAAAAAAACCCAGATTTACCTGAGAAAGAATTCAAGAGGTTAGTTATTAAGCTAATCAGGGAGGGAACAGAGAAAGGTGAAGCTCAATACAAGGAAATCTGAAAAATGATACAAGAAGTGAAGGGAGAAATATTCAAGGAAATAGATAGCTTAAAGAAAAAGCAATAAAAAATTCAGGAAACTTTGGATACACTTTTAGAGATGTGAAATGCTGTGGAAAGTCTCAGCAAAATAATTGAACAAGTAGAAGAAAGAAATTCAGAGCTCGAAGACAAGGTCTTCAAATTAACCTAATCCAACAAAGACAAAGAAAAAAGAATAAGAAAATATGAACAAAGCCTCCAAGAAATGTGGGATTATGTTAAACAACCAAATCTAAGAATAATCTCTGTCCCTGAGGAAGAAGAGAATTCTTAAGGCTTGGAAAACATATTTGTGGGGATAATCAAGGAAAATTTCCCTGTCCTTGCTAGAGACCTAGACATCCAAATACAAGAAGCACAAAGAATACCCGGGAAATTCATCACAATAAGGTCTTCATCTAGGCACACTCTCATCTCATCAGGTTATCCAAAATTAAGATGAAGAAAAGAATCTTAAGAGCTGTGAGACAGAAGCACCAGGTAACCTAAAAGGGAAAGCATACAGATTAACAGCAGATTTCTCAGCAGAAACCTTACAAGCTAGAAGGAATTGGGACCCTATCTTCAGCCTCCTCAAACAAAACAATTATCAGCCAAGAATTTTGTATCCAGCGAAACTAAGCATCATATATGAAGGAAAGATACAGTCTTTTTCAGATGAACAAATGCTGAGAGAATTCACCATTACCAAGCCACCACTATAAGAACTGCTAAAAGGAGCTCTAAATCTTGAAATGAATCCTGGAACCACATCAAAACAGAACATCTTTAAAGCATAAATCACACAGGACCTATGAAACAAAAATATAAATTAAAAGCAGAAACAAAAAAACAAAATCAAAAGTACACGAGCAACAAACAGCATGATGAATGCAACCGTATATCACATCTCAATACTAACATTGAATGTAAATGTCCTAAAGGCTCCACTTAAAAGATACGGAACTGCAGAATGGATAAGAACTCAACAATCAACTATCTGCTGCATTCAGGGGACTCATCTAACACATAAAGACTCACATAAACTTAAAGTAAAGGGGTGGAAAAAGGCATTTCATGCAAATGGACACCAAAAGCAAGCAGGGGTAGCTATTATTATATCAGACAAAACAAACTTTAAAAGAGACAAAGAGGGACATTATATAATGGTAAAAGGCCTTGTCCAAGAGGAAAATATCGCAATCCTAAACATATGTGCACCTAACACTGGAGATCCCAGATTTATAAAGCAATTACTAATAGACCTAAGAAATGAGATAGACAGCAACACAATTATAGTGGGAGACTTCAATACTCCACTGACAGCACTAGACAGGTCATCAAGGCAGAAAGTCAACAAAGAAACAATGGATTTAAACTATACCTTGGAACAAATGGACTTAACAGATATATACAGAACATTTCATCCAACAACCGCAGAATATACATTCTATTCAACAGTGCATGGAACTTTCTCCAAGATAGACCATATGATAGGCTATAAAACGAGCTTCAATAAATTTAAGAAAATTGAAGTTATATTATACCAAGCACTCTCTCAGACCAGAAGGAATAAAACTGGAAATCAACTCCAAAAGAAACCTTCAAAATCATGCAAATACATGGAAATCAAATAACCTGCTCCTGAATGAGCATTGAGTCAAAAACAAAATCAAGAGGGAAATTAAAAAATTCTTCGAACTGAACAACAATGACACAACCTATCAAAACCTCTAGTATACAGCAAAGGCGGTGCTAAAAGGAAAGTTCATAGCCCTAAATGCTTACATCAAAAAAACTGAAAGAACACAAACTGACATTCTAAAGTCACACCTCAAGGAACTAGAGAAACAAGAACAAACCAAACCCAAACCAAAGAGAAGAAAGGAAATAACCAAGATCAGGGCAGAACTAAATGAAATTGAAACAAACAAACAAAAAACCCCACAAAAGATAAATGAAACAAAAAGCTGGTTCTTTGAAAAGATAAATAAAATTGATAGACCATTAGCAAGATTAACCAAGAAAAGAAAAGAAAAAAATTCAAATAACCTCATTAAGAAATGAAACAGGAGATATTACAACTGACACCACTGAAATACAAAAGATCACTCAAGGCTACTATGAACACCTTTACACACATAAACTAGAAAACCTAGAAGAGATGAATAAATTCCTGGAAAAATACAACCCTTGTAGCTTAAATCAGGAAGAATCAAATACTCTGAACAGACCAATAACAAGCAGCAAGATTGAAATTGTAATTTTAAAATTACCAAAAAAAAAAAAAAAGTCCAGGACCAGATGGATTCACAGCAGAATTCTACCAGACATTAAAGAAGAATTGTTACTAACCTTTTTGACACTATTCCACAAGATAGAGAAAGAAGGAACTGTCCCTAATTCATTCTATAAAACCAGCATCACCCTAATACCAAAACCAGGAAAGGATATAACCAAAAAAGAAAACTACAGACCTATATCCTTGATGAACAAAGATGCTAAAATCCTTAACAAAATACTAGCTAACTGAGTCCAACAACATATCAAAAAGATAATCCACCATGAT
This sequence comes from Homo sapiens, assembly GCF_000001405.40. Lineage (NCBI taxonomy): Eukaryota > Metazoa > Chordata > Mammalia > Primates > Hominidae > Homo > Homo sapiens. The sequence continues at coordinate 26,077,853 of NC_000010.11, read as the reverse complement.
CAAATGGGTTTCATACTAGGGATGCAGGGATGGTTTCACATACACAAGTCAATAAATGTGATACACCACATAATCAGAATTAAAAACAAAAATCACAAGATCATCTCAATAGATGCAGGAAAAGCATTTGACAAAATCCAGCATCACTTTATGATTAAAACTCTCAGAAAAATTAGCATACAAGGGACATATCTTAATGTAATAAAAGCCATCTATGACAAACCCACAGCCAACGTAATACTGAATGAGGAAAAGTTGAAAGCATTCCCTCTGAGAATGGGAACAAGACAAGGATCCCCATTCTTACCACTCGTCTTCAACATAACACTGGAAGTCCTAGCCAGAGCAATCAGAAAGAGAAAGAAATATAGGGCATCCAAATCAGTAGAGAGGAAGTCGAACTGTCACTATTTGCTGATGATATGATAATTTACCTTGAAAACCCTAAGGACTCCTCCAGAAAACTAGAACTGATAAAAGAATTCAGCAAAGTTTCCAGATACGAGATTAATATATACAAATCAGTAATTCTTCTATATACCAACAACAACCAAGTGGAGAATCAAACAAAAAACTCAACCCCTTTTACAACAGCTGCAAAAAAAAAAAAAAAAAAAAAACCTTAGGAATATACCTAACCAAGGAGCTAAAAGACCTCTACAAGGAAAACTACAAAACACTGCTGAAATAAATCATAGATGACATGAATGGAAACACATCCCATGCTCCTGGATGGGTAGAATCAGTATTGTGAAAATGACAATACTGCCAAAAGCAATCTACAACTTCAATGAAATCCCCATTAAAATACCACCATCATTCTTCACAGAATTAGGAAAAAACAATTCTAAAATTCATATGCAACCAAAACAGAGCCCACATAGCCAAAGCAAGACTAAGCAAAAGGAACGAATCTTGAGGCATCACACTACTTGATTTCAAACTACAGTATAAGGCCATAGTCACCAAAACAGCATGGTACTCGTATAAAAATAGACACATAGACCAATGGAACAAAATAGAGAACCTGGAAATAAATCCAAATACTTACAGCCAACTGATCTTCAACAAAGCAAATAAAAACATAAAATCTGGAAAAGACACCCTTTTCAACAAATGGTGCTGGGATAATTGGCTAGCCACATGTAGGAGAATGAAACTGGATCCTCATCTCTCACCTTACACAAAAATCAACTCAAGATGGATTCAGGACTTAATACCTGAAACTATAAAAATTCTAGAAGGTAACATTGGAAAAACCCTTTTAGACATTGGCATAGGCAAGGATTTCATGACCAAGAACCCAAAAGAAAATGCAACCAAAGCAAAGATAAATAACTTGGACCTAATTAAACCAAAGAGCTTTTGCATGGCAAAAGGAAAAGTCAGCAGAGTAAAGAGAAAACCCACAGAGTGGGAAAAAAAATCTTCACAATCTATACATCTGACAAAGGACTAATAACCAAAATCTACAATGAACTCAAACAAATCAGTAAGAAAAAAACAAACAATCTCATCAAAAAGTGGGTTAAGGACATGAATAGACAATTCTCTAAAGAAGATGTAAAAATGGCCAACAAACATATGAAAAAATGGTCAACATCACTAATGATCAGGAAAATGCAAATCAAAACCACAATGTGATACCACCTTACTCCTGCAAGAATGACCATAACCAAAAAATCAAAAAACAGCAGATGTTGGTGTGGATGTGGTGAACAGAGAACACTTCTACACTGCTGGTGGGAATGTAAACTAGTACAGCCACTATGGAAAACAGTATGCTGATTTCTTAAAGAACTGAAAGTAGAACTCCCATTTGATCCAGAAATTCCACTACTGGGTATCCACCCAGAAGAAAATAAGTCATTATTCATAAAAGATACTTGCACACGCCTGTTTATAGCAGCACAATTTACAATCGTAAAATCATGGAACCAACCCAAATGCCCATAAATCAATGAGTGGATAAAGAAACTGTGAGATACATATAGATATATATGAGAGAGACACATATATATCATATATATGAGAGACATATATATATCATATATATGAGAGAGACATATATATCATATATATATGAGAGAGACATATATATATCATATATATGAGAGACATATATATCATATATATATGAGAGAGACATATATATATCATATATATGAGAGAGACATATATATATCATATATATATGAGAGACATATATATCATATATGAGAGACATATATATCATATATATATGAGAGAGACATATATATATCATATATATATATATATGAGAGACTATTACTGTAAGTGAAGTAACTCAGGAGTGGAAAAACAAACATCGTATGTTCTCACTGATACATGAGAGCTAAGCTATGAGGATGCAAAGGCATAAGAATGATACAGTGGACTTTGGGTACTTGTGGGGAAGAACTGGAGCAGGGCAAGGGATAAAAGACTTCAAATATGGTGCAGTGTATACTGCTTGGGTGATGGGTGCACCAAAATCTCACAAATCACTACTAAAGAGCTTAGTTATGTAACCAAATACCACCTGTATCCCGATAACTATGGAAAAATTAAAAAAAATAAATAAAAATTAAAAAAGAAAAAATCCAAAAATTTGTATGAAATAATAAAAAACCTCAACTAACCAAAATAATTCTGAGGAAGAAAAATTTAGAGCCATCATTACTTCCTGATTTAAAACTACATGACAAAGTTGATAGTAATAAAAGCAGTATGGTACTGGCATAAAAACAGACACATCAACTAGTGGAATAGAAATGAAAGCCCTCAAATAAACCCAAACATTTACGGTCAACTGATTTTTGACAGGGGCACTAAGAGGACATCATAAAGAAAGGATAGTTTTTCAATAAATGGTGCTGGGAAAACTGGATTTACACACACAAAATAATGAAATTTGATCCTTATCTTATACCATACACAAAAAATCACCTCAAAATGGATAAAAGATCTAAATATCAGACTACAAACTATAAAATTTCTAGAAGAGAACATAGAGGAAAAGCTTCTGGACATTGGCATTGGCAATGATTTTTTGGATATCACATCAAATGCTCATGCAAAAAAAGCAAAGAAAGAAAATAAGACTATGTCAGAGTCAAAAGCTCCTGCATGGCAAAGGAAACAATCACCAAAATGAAATGGCAGCCTGTGGATTAGGAAAAAGTATTTGCAAACGATATATTACATGTTATATTATATATAACATTATTGTATATATAATTAAATATAATATATATTATATATTTTATATATATATAAAAGAAAAAAATGAAGTATATAAAACTTCAGCAATAAAAAGTGTGACACTGGTGCATGAACAGACACTAAGGCCAAAGGAGCAGAACAGAAAATCAGAAGTAGACCAAACTGCATGAGGATATTTAGTATAGTATAAGTGTGGCATCTCAAATTTATGGAAAGAATGGGTTTTTAATAAGTGGTATTGGGATAACTGAATAGCTATATGACAAAAAGATACAATTTGATCCATTCATGGCAGTATAAATCAGAATAAATTCCAAATGCATAAGGAAAAAAGTGAATTAAATTCAATTAAGTAGTTGTTTTGAACTATGCAGCCTCACTCTTTTATAGAGAGATTAGGTTTAACCTTGAACCTATTGGTGTTTTGCAACACAAGATTCCTATAATCACAGAATTGGCAAAAATTTTAACATGACTAATTATAACCATATAGATCATAATAAAAATTTTTACAGGCATAAATTGTAAACAGTTTTTTTTCTTTTTTGGCCATTAATGTTATTAAAATACAATTTTATCTTACTTTAAGATCTTTACCTGGAAAATCAAAGTGTGTATCCTCAGCTTCCTTTTTTGAAAACAATTAAGGTATAATTTACATACAGTAAGAGTCACCCTTTATACTGTACAGCTCTGAGAGTTTTTACATGTGCCATCATGTAATCCCCATCGCAGTCTACATATAGGATAATTCCTTCACCACCCCAAATTGTCTCATGACTCTTTGCAGTGAACCCCTCTCTCCACCCCCATTTCCTGATAATCACTGATCTGCTTCTGTCTGTATTGTTTTAAATTTGCAAGAATGGCATGTAAACTGAATCACACAGTATGCAGTGTTTTGATTCTGGCTTCTTTGACTTGCATAATGCATTTGAGCTTCATCTAAAAATAATTATTTATTTATTTATTTATTATCATTATTATTATTATTATTTGACACGGAGTCTTGCACTGTTGCCCAGGCTGGAGTGCAGTGGCGCAATCTTGCACTGTTGCCCAGGCTGGAGTGCAGTGGCGCAATCTCGGCTCACTGCAAGCTCTGCCTCCCAGGTTCATGCCATTCACGTCTCCCAGGTTCATGCCATTCTCCTGCCTCAGCCACCCAAGCACCTGGGACTACAGGCGCCTGCCACCACGCCTGGCTAATTTTTTGTATTTTTAGTACTGACGGAGTTTCAGTGTTAGCCAGGATGGTCTTGAACTCCTGACCTCTTGATCCACCCGCCTTGGCCTCCCAAAGTGCTGGGATTACAGGCATGAGCCACCACTCCCGGCCTCATCCAAAAATAATTAAATGGAATTCATTATTGCTTGTATCAGTGTTTGTTCTTTTTCCTTTTTTGAGACAGGGTCTTGTTCTGTCACCCAGGCTGGAGTGCGGTGGTGCCATCATAGCTTACTGCAACCTCAACCTCCTTAGCTCAAGCAATCCTTCCACTTCAGCTTCCCAAGTAGCTGGGACTATAGGCATGTGCCATCATGCCTGGCTAACTTTTAAATTTTTTCATAGAGGTCTTGCTATGTTGCCCAGGCTGGTCTTGAACTCCTGGACTCAATGTTTATTCCTTTTTATTGCTGAGTAATATTTCACTGTATGAATGTACTATAGTTTGTTTATTCCACTTTCTGGAGTTTGTAAATAAAGTCTCTATAAATCTTTGTCTATAGGTTTCTGTATAGGTTTTCATTTCGTGTGAATAAGCACATAGCAGTAAAACTGCTAGGTTGTATGGTAAGTGGAGCTTATAAGAAACATCCAAACTGTTTTCCAAAGTGGCTGTACCACTTTGCATTCTCACCAGAAATATATGAGCATTCCAGTTGCTCCATATGAAACCCAATAGTCCCACAGATTTTTTTTTTTATAAACATAGAAAATTGACCCTTCTGGTCTTGGAGCTTGAACTTTACAATTTGTTTTATCTGAGTTCCCTCCTGATGAACCACCTTCAGGCCTCTCAAAAAAAGTATCAAAGAACTGAAACTCACTAGATCACCACATCCAGACAATAAGATGCAGACCCCACATTCATCATTATTGCTTCCTTGTCTCTCCCTAGTTTCTGTGTTCTTACACATTCTTACATGTCTTCCCTGTTATGTAAACCCCTAGTTTTAATTGGTCAAAGAGATAAATTTGAGACAGCTCCCATTTCCTGGGTGCAGCACCCGATTAAAGCCTAGTTCTTTGGCAATACTCATCATCTCAGTCATTGGCTTCCTGCGCAGCAAGTAGCAGGACCTAGACCAAACCCCTGGTGTTTTGGTAACACATATTGATATGGTTTGGCTCTGTGTCCCCACCAAAATCTCATCTTGATTTGTAATCCCCACGTGTCTAGGGAAGGACCTGTAATCCCCTCATGTCAAAGGAGGTGACAGGAGGTGACTGGATCATGGGGCAGTTTCCCCCATGCTGTTCTCATGAGAGTGAGTGAATTCTCACAAGATCTGATGGTTTCATAAGTGTTGGGCAAGTTCCTCCTTCTCTCACTGTTCTCTCTCCTGCTGCCATGTGAAGAGGGTCCTTGCTTGCCCTTCACCTTCTGCCATGATTGTAAGTTTCCTGAGGCCTCCGAGTCATGCAAAACTGTGAGTCAATTAAACCTCTTTCCTTTATAAATTACCCAGTCTCGGAAAGTTCTTTATAGCAGTGTGAGAATGGAGTAATACACATATCTTTTTCAGTACTTGGTATTGTTAGATTAAAAAACACTAGCCATTTTAGCCATTTTAATAGTTTTGTAATAGTGTTTTCTTGTGGTTTTAACTTGCATTCCCAAATGATACTGATGTTGAGCAACTTTTCATTTGTTTACGTACCATACATATCCTCTTTGGTGAAGTGACTGTTCAAACATTATGTTTGTTTTTAAATTGTCATTTCATTTCTTATTGATTTGTATGAGTTTTTTTCATATACAAGTCCTTTACTAGTTGTGTGTCTTGCAAATATTTTCTCTGAGTCTGTGGGTTGTGTTTTCATTTTTGTAACAGTGTCCTCAGAGAACAGACATTCTTAATTTTGACAAAATCAAATTTTTCCATGTATAAATTATGCATTTTGTGTTGAATCTAAGAACTCTTTACCTAACTCAACATCACAAAGAACTTTTCCTACGTTTTCTTGTAGAAATTTTATGGCTTTTGGTTTTATGTTTAGATCTATGATCCACTTTGAGTTAAAAATTTGTATAACATGTGAGTATAGATTAATGTTCTTTTTTTTGTATGGGCCTATCCAATTATTTCAACACTATTTGTTGAAAAGACCACCTTTCTTAATTAATGAATTTTACAACTTTGTCAAAAATCAATAAACCATATATGAGTAGCCTCACTATTTTGTTCAGTCAATCTGTATGTCATCCTTTCTTTAATGACACACTGTCTTGACTATTGCAGCTTTACAGCAAGTCTGGAAATAAGGTTGCATGAATCCTCCAACTTTGTTCTTTCTCAAGATTGTTTGGTTATTCTAGCTCCTTTGCCCTTCAATATATATTTTTGAGTCACCTTGTCAATTCCCACCAAAAAAAAAATCCTGTTTGGATTTTTATTGTAATTGCATTATATCTATAGATCAATTTGTAGAAGACTGACGTCTTAATAATATGGAGTCACTTAATCCATGATCATGTTATATCTCTTCGTTTATTTAGGTCTTTTATTTCTTTTAACTCTTTCAGTTTTCAGCAAACAAATCTTGCACATATAATATTTAGATCTACATAGTTCATGTTTTTTTGATTTTATTGTTAATGGCACTTTTAAGATTCAATTTGCAATTGACCATTACTAGTATATACATATGGTATGTAAACACAATTGATTTTTGTTTGTTGACTCTCTTTTAACCTGCTAGCAACAAAAGGAGAAAAAGTAAAGAAAGCATTCAATAAATGCACTGGGACTAAAAACAATGAAAATCACCTTTATAAGCCTTGCCTAATAAGTGTGATAAAAGTTAGAAAATCCTCAAAACAGAGTACATGCTTTTCATATTGCTCATTATTTTAAACTCTCAAAGGATAACAACTGTATTTTAAAATTTCTGTACATTATTAAATGTGAGATACTAGAGAATATTAATCTAATCAGTTATATTAAGTTATGAAATTCAACAAATATTTCTGATGGGACAGAGAAAAAAATAAATTATACCTTTCCAAGCACTGTCAGCTGCTGAACTAAAAGATGAGCATTTTCAGTCTTTCCAGCACCACTTTCTCCAGAAATAACAATGCACTATACATAGAAAAGAAAACTGTGAGAAGACCTTATCCTCAAAATTAAGTGACATTTAAGTAACTAAGAGGTAAATTTCTAAGAATGGGAGACTCTTCTTACCTGATCTGAATTATATGTTATCATAGATTGATATCCTAAGTCAGCCATTGCAAAAATGTGAGGAGGACTGGCAGTTCTCTTTGATCCAATATATAGTTTGGAATGCTAAAGGTTAAAAAGAATACATTTTGTAGGGCTTTTTGTTTTTATTTAAGTCCTGAATTATTTACAAATATAGCTCCAATTTTTAAAGCAAAGTATAAATAAAAACACCATTTCATTCCACCAAAACATTATTACATACATGTTACACACATATTGCACATATATCTAAATGTATAACTATGTAAAATAAGAGCCTGACACAAAACAGCCCAGAAATATGATATGACATAAAGTAATTTAAAAGATTCTGCATTCCACTTCCAAAGCAGAATGTAAGGTTTCAAAATTCCATTATGTATTTAAATGAAAGCATACATTAAAAATAAGACGATCGGGTTTCAGTTTGTTAACTGCTCCTTGGACATAATAATGTCTCACACATGATAACCACTTTTTTCCTTTCACGTCATTTAACATACATTCTCTCATTTGATTTGTCCAAGATCACACAGTGAATTGATAGCAAGATTGCACCAAAACCCGTATCTCCTGAAACATAGGTCAAGGCTCATAAATTTACTGTTATTTCTGTAAATTTTAGGATGGCAAAAGATGACAGAGATATGTACTTTTCACACACAAAAACAACTATTAGGAACAGTATTAAATAAGTTTCTGGAGTACACAAATAGCCAGAAGAGAATGAGTCCAATTAAAAATGAAAAACAACCTTGTTTAATTCCAGAATAGTATTCTATATGTAAGCCACCAGTGGTTAAATAATTGATAATTATATATTCATATTCATAAAACATGTTTGTGATATTAATGAAGCCAATAATACATCAAAAGGAATTTTTAACTCACAGTGACAATTTTTAAAGCCATTAAGTATGTATTATCTACATAAACAATGTAATTATACTTTTGACGCTCCCATACTCAGTTCAGCGGCAGACATACATTAAGTACATACCTTTTTAAGCAGATTTAAGTATATGCTTTTAAAGGCATCTGTTTAGTGATACAATATTTAATGTAGAGCCGTTACCAATAACTGAATGTAATTAACACTCTGGCACACGCATTTGGAGAAAGCAAGACCACAAACTGCACCCAGATTGACTCTATCTTCTATTTTTCCTAGTTCTATGTTTTAACAAAAATTATGTAACTGTTTATTCAAAATACTGGATAAAATTTTCTGGCATTCATTTAAATTAATTTAAGTATCTGAATGTATAATTATGTGTATGAAGTAACAGAATGCACCCCATACGACATACCTTTGTGGAGTAAAGACCCAGACTCTGAAAAGGGTTAAGAGCAATGAGTATGTCTCCCACATAGACGTAGATCTGATCTCTGGAATAACACTTCTCAAGTTGCTCTGAGACTGTATTCTGCAATAAAATAAAATAATTTCTCCTTCTTAAAAATTATTTGTGGTCAACTACAATTTAAAAAGTAAACAATAATAAACAGAACATCTGGAATCTGGACGAAGGATTAGAAAAACAGACACACTGATAGTAAAAAACATGTAACATCAGCTCTGCAACTACTCATTCACTTGACAGCCATTTTCTTTGGTTTTGAGAGCCACAGAGGATGTCATTGTTACCTGCATTTTCCAAAGGACATATTATGTGTCACAGGAATTTTAAATATATAATGCTTTCAAGAAAAGAAGTAATAGCACTAAGTGATGTAAAGATTAAAAACGAAGTAAAGAGAAAAGGGAAGGGAAGATAAAGTGAATATGATTTAATTCCAAATCAAGGTGATCCAGTGGCTTTATGGAATGTCCTAGTCCTTTTATTTTTTCAGACTTTTGGCTTTATGAAGTACTATGAAAAATTTTAAAATGTAATTTTCATAGTTGATAAGTCATTTGAGTAAATGAATTGATTTTGATAATGTCGGAAACCACCATTTACAGTACATGACACAAGAGAGGAGCAAAAGATCTTAGGTCCAAAAAGAAACTAAAAATAAAATATAGACAACAGAAACAAACCCACCATTTAATATATTAATATCTTGGTCAACAACATGATTAGTGAAAACTTCTTTGCAATCCACAAGCCTAGGAATTCACATTATTAAAAAATTTTATATGTAAGAATTCAGAAAGGTGCTGCAATCTCTGACTTGCCAACATGATTTGATTTCAAGATGTTTGATGTTCTTGAGATTATTTTGAGGAAGTACTTGAGTTGTTTATGCAACCCTAAATTTACCAAATGACTACCTCTATTCAGAACTTACCTCTTGATTGGTACATTTCTGAGTCAAATGCTCAGGCATGTATCAGCAGTGTAAAAAAAATAAAAAGGTGTTCATCAGGCAGGACAGAAGTCCTGACCTTCTGCTAAAAAGAGGGCATTTATTTCTCTAATGATCTGACTACGTGGAACAAAGAAGGGTGAGGGGAAAGTAGGCTGAGACTAGAATTTAATAGCTTGGATCTCTACCTTCACAAAAATGTTTGAAATACTTCTGAGATAATTAGAATAAGGAGTTCCAAGCAGAATTCAATACCCCCGAAAGATAAGCTGTGTGAAACAAGGGTTTTGTGATCCCATGAGGAAGAACACTGACCATGGTAACAGACAGGCTGTTGAGGTATCCCAGAGTTTCTGGGTACAGCCACTAAGAGCTGAAACAGGAGAGGACAAAGCGGGAGGCCACCACATGGTGGTTACAATAGGCTGACTGCTCTTTGAATACAATAAATCATATCTTTGAGACTCCCACAAATAATGAAAAAGAAGGAAGATCTGTGGCCTAACAACTTACACTGCGAGGACCTCACCCCTATCAGTTGAGCATCAGACAAAAATGAACACTAGGCTGGAAAGATCTGGAAATTTGAGTTATATAGATTAAAACTGAAGATAAGTGAAATAATAGGAAGCTAAGAGACAAAGAAAGCATGAGACTTACAGATGGGAGACATGGGCAGAGTGAGTGTTAAGATTCTTAATAACCATCATAATCTATATATTCCTTCCCCTTCTACCAATACCCGTGTCTTCTATAAATTAACAAAACATCTGGAATGTCTAAGTTTAATTAAACTGAAATTCTTACCTCATCCAAAATTTCTAGGGTTGCTAAATCATCTACATCCTTCAGATTGGATATTAGAGGTCGGTTGAAGTTCCCTTTCTTCGTGTGAATACGTTCACGTCTGTGGAGAAAAACGCTTTCTGATTTAAGAATTGATTACTGCTCATAGTGGAAAAAAGTTTTAGATACATATGATACTGAAAATCCTCTAGGAATCTGTTTATTAAATTCAATGATAAGATACCAGAAAATAGCCTAATATATTTGATCTTTACTGTTTGTTTACTCCTTTCCATTGGAAAAATGCAAATTACAGAATTTACTTCATGGATGATCAAGAGTACATAATTTCCTTCAAGAACTATCTTTATATAATTTGTTTTAAAGCTTCCTCTAAATTTCTGTGTGATTGAATCTGTTACAAGGTGATGAGGCTGAAGGGTTTGAATTCATTACATTCCTAATTTTGTTGGAGATAGTGTTAGGTCATTGGTGATCAAGGTATGGTCATTTTTAATTACTATTCAGCAAAATTTAACAGGAATACAAAATAAATCACATTATAAATTTTCAAAAGGTTAGATGTGTGTAAAAATAGATTTCATGTACCAAAAAGTTTATTTTCAAAGTAAAACATTTCAACAACTTTCAAAAACAGCATAAAGATCTTGATTTAACACAAAGGAGAAGTTGCTGAGATAAACACAATGGTTTATTTAAACTTTTCTGGACATCCATTTTATTTTGGGGATGATTGTATTTCTGGTATTTATTTTTGGACATACTCTTAAGTATCTGGATTTGCCCCTTGGTAAAAGGGGAAGGAATATATAGATTATGAGGGTTATTAAGAATCTTAACACTTACTCAGAAAACTGTAATGGTTTCTTATTGCTTAGAAATTTAAGCCTATTAATAAACTGCCTGTTCCCCTATCTAAGCCCACTGCTCTTTTTTTTTTTTTTTTTTTTTTTGAGACGGAGTTTCGCTCTGTCGCCCAGGCTGGAGTGCAGTGGCGCGATCTCGACTCACTGCAAGCTCCGCCTCCCGGGTTCACGCCATTCTCCTGCCTCAGCCTCAGCCTCCCGTGTAGCTGGGACTATAGGCACGCGCCACCATGCCCGGCTAATTTTTGTATTTTTAGTAGAGACGGGGTTTCACCGTGTTAGCCAGGATGGTCTCGATCTCCTGACCTCGTGATCCGCCCGTCTCGGCCTCCCAAAGTGCTGGGATTACAGGCGTGAGCCACCGCGCCCGGCCCACTGCTCTTTTTGTATACTATAATAGCTTCTGTCCTCTCTCATTTAGGGAAGGACATCACTCCCACTGCTTTTTCTCTCATTCCTACATCATTGAATTTTCTCTGTTATATCACCCACCCCACAAACAACAACAAACTGCCTCCCCTGACTTCCAGTTTCCTCCATCTGCTGTTCTATTTCTTTGCTTTATAGTAAAAATCCTCAAAAGAATTATGTATACTTTTTTTTTTTTTTTTTTTTTTTTTTTTGGAGATGGAGTCTCGCTCTGTCACCCAGGCTGGAATGCTGTGGCGTGATCTCAGCTCACTGCAACCTCCGCCTCCCAGGTTCATGTGATTCTCCTGCCTCAGCTTCCCGAGTGGCTGGGATTACAGGCGTGGCCACCACGCTCAGCTAATTTTTTTGCATTTTTAATAGTGACAGGGTTTCACCATGTGGGCCAGGCTGGTCTCGAACTTCTGACCTCAAGTGATCTGCCCACTTTGGCCTCCCAGTGTGCTTGGATTATAGGCGTGAGCCACCATGCTCGGCATATACTTAGTTTCTTCAGGCTTTCATCTTGACACTCTGTGGAAGCAGCTTTTGTTAAGGACTCTATTGACCTTTACATTGCTAAATCCAATGGTCAATTTTAAGTCCTCATTTTACCTAATCTACCAGGCGCATTTAACAAAGGCGTTCTTGAATACCTTTGCCTTGGTTTCCTGTAAGTCTCTCTTGATTCTCTTCCTTAACTCACTGGTATCTCTGTCTGAGTATCTTTTTCGGTTTTTTCCTTATCTTTCTGTTACATTTTGGGGGTCTCCCAAGTTTCAGTTCTTGAAGTTATCTTCTTCTCTACATTCACTTCCTTATATCATAGCCTTACACACCACTCATTCACTGATAACTACTACTCCAGACTTCTGCATCTAAATGCTTATTTGATATTTCACTTGGAGAGACAGACACATCCCAAACCACACTCCTAAATACTCTGTCTCCAAACCTACTCCTTCCTATGATTCTTCATCTCAGTCAACGGTGACTCCTTTCTTCTGATTGTTCAGGATGTTAGAGACATCCTTGGCTTTTCTGTTTCTCACAGCCCTCATGCAATCTGTATACAAATTCCATCAGCTCTATCATCAAATTCTATCTAGGGCTAGACATTTCTCCCCACCATCCCCCCACTATATTTCTTCTCACTGCTGCAACAGCCTCCCAAGAGGTTTGCCTGCTGCCATCTTTACCTTCTGACACTCTTCCCAACACTGCAGCCAGAGTGATCTTTAAAAAAAATGTCAGATCATGTCACTACTCTGCTCAAAGTTCCTGATCTTACCATTATTACTCAAAGGAATATCCAATGCCTTACCATGGCCTACAAGGCCCATATGATTTGTGCATCTGTGCCTCCCTCAATACCCCTATTATTTCTCTAACATCATCTGTTTCTAATATCCCTCCTACTCAATTCTTTCCAACCTCATTGGCTTCCTTGCTGTTTCTTGAACACATTAAGCATGCTTCTACCTCACAGCTTTGGTATTTGCTGTTCCCTCTGAGTGGAATGCCATTTTCTTTGGTATCTGTAAAGCTCTTTCTTGCTTCCCATGGGCTTCTTTCAATATTATATTAATCAGAGTCTTTTCCTGGTGAGCCCTTGTCAATTAGTGGCTTCTCTCCAGAATCTCTCATCACCCTTTTCCTGCTCTATTTTTAGCCATTGCCTTCTCCCCCAATTTTCCTCATCACCTCTCATATTCTACCTTGTCCTCTGTCTTCTCCTATTAGATTGTAATTAATATAATGCCAATCTAGATTTTATGGTACTAGTAAGACAGAGTACCTGTATTGTTCACTGCTGTGTCCCCAGCAGCTGTTAACAGTGCCTGGCATGCAGTAGGCACTCAATAAATAGTTGTTCAATGACTAATTATAGGAAACTCATTCAAGGCCTTCCATAACATTACACAATCTGTCTTTCCAGTGTATTTGCCAGAAAATACGCTTTTACACTTTAGCTTAACTGGACTTGTTTCTGTTTCTTAAACTATACATCCCTGTGCTTTCTTCACCTGTCATTTTGTTCTTGTTGTTTCCTCCTCAGCCCAATCTGTATGATAAAACTTTATTCACTTTTCACAATCCACCTTAAATGTCACCTTTTACACTCCTCAGCACAATTCTACACATCCTTTAGGATAGATATCTTAGTTAAATGTCATTTCAGTCATTCATTTGTGTGCTGGCCTTATACCCTTTACTAGATTGTAAATTTCCTAGGATAGGAATATCTTTTCAACATATGGTGCTGGAACAATTGGACATTCACATGCAAAAAAAAGTGACTCAAGACACTGACCTTTCAGCTTTTACAAATATTAACTCAAAATAAATCACATATCTAAATGTAAAATGTAAAACCATAAAACTCCAGAAGATAACATAGGAAAAAATCTAGATACCTTTGGGTTTGGAAATAAGTTTTTATATGCAACACCAACAATATCATCCATGAAATAAAAAATTGATAAATTGGGCTTCACTAAAATTATAAACATCTGCACTGTGCAAGTTTATTTTAATAAAATATGAAAACAAAAAATTCTCTCCAATCACACTTCTTTGGACTGTGTCATTTTCCTGCCAGGACACTGACTACTAGATCCAGCCAGCCATTGACTTCTCTTCAGCTCCAGTGTTGCAGATTTCTGGTCACAGAACTCACACATGAAAGATTAGAATTTTCCCTCCACTGGACCCTGGAGTTACTCATTAATTATTTACCCCTCCGCAGGAGACTTCCTAGCTCATTTTAGATAGCAGTCGTCCAAAAATGTCTACCTTTCAAGCTTCCAATATCTATTTTCCCTCTTCTTCAATGGGAGCTAATACAAACTCACTCAAGTTCCTTCCCTTTTATCTCAAAATGTTAGTATATTTTCATCTATCTTCTCCTCATATTCCCTCACCCCCATACACACTTCTTTTTCACTTTCCAGGGTGGAAGTGCCACCTTTCTTTTCCAGGGTTAACCCGCCCCACCTGTCTTTCGATTTTCTTTCCTGTGTAGCTTGCTGTATCATGCCATCAGAAGCTTCCTTTCCACAGATCCATATTCTCAGTTGATCACATCTTCTATCATCCTAAGGTGTACAGTCCTCAATTTGCTGCTTTCTTGTTAAGAAAATAAAACCAAGCCACAGACTGGGAGAAACTATTTGCAAATCATGTTTCTGATATTAAAAAAAAGTATCTAATGACAGAAATAGTGTCTTATACCTATTTGCAACTCTTAATTAGATTCCTCCATAATTTTTTTTTTTTTTTTTTGAGATGGCATCTCACTCTGTCGCCAGGCCAGAGTGCAGTGGTGTGATCTCGGCTCACTGCAACCTCTGCCTCCTGGGTTCAAGCAATTCTCCTGCCTCAGCCTCCCGAGTAGCTGAGACTACAGGCGCGCTACCATGCATGGCTAATTTTTGTACTTTTAGTAGAGATGGGGTTTCACCATGTTAGCCAGGATGGTCTCAATCTCCTGACCTCGTGATCTGCCCACCTCAGCCTCCCAAAATGCTGGGATTACAAGATTCCTCCATAATTTTTTATGCCACTTAAAAAAATTATACACTTGTGTAGATAATTTAGTTAATATTTGAAGTCCTTACTAGAATGTAAGCATCAAGATCTGCAAAACTATGCCCTTAGCTTCTTGTTGTATCCCATGAATAAGGAGATTGTTTAGAATAGTGTAGTTTCTCGATAAACTTTAGTTGAATGACTAAGTGACTGTATATCCCCCCACAACGTCTGGCATGGAATTTGCACATAGTTGGTCTCCACATTTGCTGAATTGAACAAGTATCATCTCATTTACTCCCCTATTTTCAAAGCGATTCTTATAAGTATAACCATTTTTGATATATTCTTTTTAAGACAAAAGAGGAAGAAATCCAATTATCCATTTAATTGAAGGGCCCTGAATTTTCTGTTTTTATGGACCCATTTGGCTGCTACAGACTGTTACTGGAGAACGATAGGGAGTGGATGGTGAGGAGCAGAGGGATCAATACTTGGCTGGTTGGTGCCCTCACTCTTCCACTCTTGTGAATTCATCTTCTATGATGTTTTTGGTATTAGCCGTCAAAAACTTAGAAAAGATTTGGTCATTGTGATGATTAAAACAACCTCAGATGGCTCCCTATCTTCTATGGTACAACTTAAAACTTTCTTGGCATGGATTTCATGGGCCTTCACAATCTTGCCTTAAACAACCTTTCCAACATTATTCTCCATCAGCTCCGTACAGAAGGGCTCTTAATATACCAAGCATTTTCAAGACTCTGTACTTTGTTCATTCCATTTCTCTACCTGGAATTATTTTCCTTCCATGCTCAGCAAAATTCTACGTATCCTTCAAAGTTAGTCTTAAATTACCCTCTCTGTGAAGACACTGCAGGTCTTTCCAGAGAGAATACACCACTAGTGGAGAAGTTCTCATATTTAATGAAGTCTATACATGTTCATTGTTCCTGCTATACCTTGAGAAAGTTGTGTGTAGAAATCAAGTGTTATTCATCCTTTTATGTCTTGATACAAAGCTGCAAAAAACAAGGTGTCGGCCGGGCGTGGTGGCTCACACCTGTAATCCCAGCACTTTGGGAGGTTGAGGCGGGTAGATCATGAGGTCAGGAGATCGAGACCATCCTGGCTAACACGGTGAAACCCCGTCTCTACTAAAAATACAAAAAAATTAGCTGGGCGTGGTGGCAGGCGCCTGTAGTCCCAGCTACTCAGGAGGCTGAGGCAGGAGAATGGCATGAACCCAGGAGGCGGAGCTTGCAGTGAGCTGAGATTGCACCCCTGCACTCCAGCCTGGGTGACAGAGTGAGACTCCGTCTCAAAAAAAAATAAAATAAAATAAAAATAAAAATAAAAAGTTGTCTTGAATCTTCATTACCTTAATTCAATACCCATGTTTGCCTGAAACCAACTGAATGTTTGAGGTTTGGATAGAAAATAGCTTTAAATCATTTTTCTTTGTATAATATTGGGCATTTCTTAAAATGAGTAAGTCCATCTACCTTTTCGCAAGAACATCTAAGTGTTTCCATCATCTTTATACATCAGTGAATATCTAATCAATCATGACTGCTTATTTTTCTGGTTAATTTTCATGTTTCCAGTATTAAATAAGTTTTAAAATATGCATACATTGATTTGTCAGATTTAGCTACATGCCAAGTGCCATATATTAGAATTGTAAGGAAAACATATTTTGATATGGAAATTTATGGAAAGTGAGAGCTGTGAATTTTGGAAGGGCATTGGCTTTAGAATATTCTTGTATCACTGTCTTTTGTTTGTTTGTTTGTTTGTTTGAGATGGAGTCTCACTCTGTCACCCAGGTTGGAGTGCAGTGGGGAGATCTCGGTTCACTGCAACCTCTGCCTTCCAGGTTCAAGCGATTCTCCTGCCTCAGCATCCCGAGTAACTGGGATTACAGGCACCCGCCACCATGCCAGGCTAATTTTTGTATTTTTTAAATTTATTTATTTATTTATGTATGTATTTATTTATTTATTTATTGAGATGGAGTTTCGCTCCTGTTGCCCAGGCTGTAGTGCAATGGCATGATCTTCGCTCACCACAACCTCTGCCTCCCGGGTTCAAGTGATTCTCCTGCCTCAGCCTCCCAAGTAGCTGGGATTACAGGCATGCGCCACCATACTCGGCTAATTTTTTGTATTTTTAGTAGAGATGGAGTTTCTCTACGTTGGTTAGGTTGGTCTGGAACTCCTGACTTCAGGTGATCCGCCCGCCTTGGCCTCCCAAAGTGCTGGGATTACGGGCGTGAGCCATCACGCCCAGCCTAAGTTTTGTATTTTTAGTAGAGATGAGGTTTCACCACTTTGGCCAGGCTGGTCTCAAACTCCTGACCTCAAGTGATCCGTCCGCCTCAGCCTCCCAAAGTGTCATTGTTGTTTTAATAAAAATCTAAGTATGCAGTTCAATCCAACTCATATTTATTGAGACCCTGCCACGTGCAAGCATTTTCCCAAGTGTTGTGGGGTTACTGAATGTGGAAAAAAATCCAGGTTGTACAATCAATGAGTTTCAAACTAGTGGGAGATGTGAACACAAATATTTTTAAAAAACACAAAGTATACGGCAAATGCCAAAATTAAAGTAATATATAAAGTGGAAATAGCAAGGAGGGAAAATTAATTCCATTTTGGAACAGTGGATACAGTTCTTAGCAGATTTAGCATTTAATCTTGGTCTTTAAGTAGAAGTAGGATTCCAGTAACCTGAGGAAGAGTGTTTGTATGTAGGGGTGGTGACTGATGGGTGAAATAAATTAATATATTTCATCACATCAATAGGCTAAAAAGTAAAAATGACATGATCATATCAATAGATGCAGAGAAAGCATCTGACAAAATTCAACCTCTTTTCATGATAAAAACTCCCAGTAAATGAGCCACAGAAGGGAGCTTCCTTAACTTCATAAACAACATGTAAAATAGCCTACAGTTACAATACATAATGATGAGAAATTAGAAGCTTTCCTGCTAAGATCAGAAACAAAGCAAGGATGTTCTCTCTCTACACTCCTTTTCATTATCATAGTGGAAGTCATAGCTAATGCAATAAGACCAAAAAATGACTTAAAAGGTATACTGATAGAGAAGAAAGAAATAAAACTATCTTTGTTCTCAGATGACATAATTGTTTATGTTGAAAATCTGAAAGAGTCAGCATAAAAACCTCCTGGAATGAATAAGCAATTACAGCAAGGTTTTCAGACACAAGATTAATATAAAAAAGTCACTGCTTTCCTATATACCAGAAATGAATAAGTGAAAATGGAAATTAAAAACACAATACCACTTACATTTGCACCCCCCAATGAAATACTTAAGTATAAATCTAACAAAATACATACAAGAAAATTACAAAACTCTGATAAAATAAAACAAGAACTAAGTAAATGGAAAGATATTCTATGTTCATGGATAGGAAGACTCAATATTATCAAGATGTCAGGTCTTTTCAACCTGCTTTACAGATTCAATGCAATCCCAAGCAAAATCCAAACAAATTATTTTGTGGATATTGGCAAACTGATTCTAAAGTTTATATGGAAAGTCAAAAGATCCAGAATAGGCAACCAATATTGAAGGAGAAAAAGCTGGAGGACTGACACTGTGCAATTTCAAGACTTCCTATAAAGCTACAGCAATCATTCATTGCTGGTGGGAATGAAAAATGGTACAGCCAGTTTGGAAGACAGTTTGACAGTTTCTTATAAAATGAAACATGCTCTTGCCATACAATTCAGCTACTGTGCTTCTTTCTACCCAAATGAGTAGAAAACCACACAAAAACCTGTACATCGATATTTATAGCAGCTTTTTTCATAATTGCCAAAACTGGAAGCAACAAAGATGTCCTTCAGGAAGAAATAGGTAAATACATTCTAGTACATTCAGACAATAGTGTATTTTCAGTGCTAAAAGGCAATGAGCTATCAAGCCATGAAAAAAACATGGAAGAAATACAAATGCATATTGCTAAGTGAAAGAACTTAATCTGAAAAAACTACATATATGAGTCCAACTTTATCACATTCTAGAAAAGGCAAAACTATGGAGATGGTAAAAAAGATCACTAATTGACAGCAAATTAGAGGACACAGAGAGATGAATAGGCAGAGAACAGAGCGTTTTTAGGTCAATGAAACTATTCTGTACAATGCTACAATTGTAGATACTTATCATTATACATTTGTCAAAAGCTATTGAATGTACAACACCAATAGTGAATCTTAATGTAAACTGTGGACTCTGGATGATAGGGATGTGTCAATGTAGGTTCACTAATTGTAAAAAAGTACCACTGTGGTGTGGGATGTTGACAGTGGAGAAGGCTGTGCCTACCTGGGGGAAGGGGACACATGGGAAGTCCCTACGCCTTCCTCTCAATTTTGTTATGAACTTTAAACTGCTCTTAAAAATAAAGTTGATTTTAATAAAAAGTAAAAACAAAAACTCTCTTCAATCACACTTCTTTGGATTGTGCTATTTTTGCTTCCAGGGCACTGACTAATAGATCCAATTAGCCATTGACTTCTCTTCAGCTCCAGTGTTGCTTATTTGTGGTCACAAAACTCACGACTGAAAGATTTTAGTTTTCCCTCCACTGGACCTTGAAGTCTACTCATTAATTATTTTACCCATCCAGAGGGTGACTTCCTAGCTCATTTTACATAGCAGTTGTCCAAAAATGTCTACATTTCAAGCTTCCAATATCTATTTTCCCTTTTCTTCAATGGAAACTAACACAAACTCACTCAGGTTCCTTCCCTTCTATCTCAAAATGGTAGTATATTTTCATGTATCTCCTCTTCACATCCCTCCCAACTTCTCTGTGACTTCCAGGGTGGAAGCATCGCCTTTTTTTTCCAGGGTTAACCCTACTAATTTGTCTATTGATTCTTTATCTGTGTAACTTGCTCTATCATCCTATCAGAAGCTTCCTTTCCACCGGGTCCATATTCTCAGTTGATCAAGTCTACCATCCTAAGTTGTCCTTTCCTCAATTTGCTGCATTTTTCTCAAATTTTAACAATCTCCTTGTCAACTTTTCAAAGGACAATCTTAATTCACAGAACCCTTCCTTATTTACATTCACTCCTCAACTCACTAAACTCTGGCATCAGCACTGCTATCAGCCTCTTGAAAGTAAAATGACCTTCTTATCGTCCTATTCAACTGCCCTCTTTAGATTTCATTCTATTCAGTTCCTCTGTGTCCTTTAACTTTATTGATCTACTGTCTTGAAATTCTCTCCTCTGTAGCTTTCATGGCATCTATTTTTTTTTTCCTCCTGTCCTTCTTACTGTGCCTCACCTCAATTATCTCTACCTCAGTCAATGACACCATCATCTCCTTCATGGATATGGAAAAAATGGAGTTTTGAGAAATTTTAAAGAGATTAAAATGATATAATTTGGTGATGTAGTGGATATAAGAGTTGAAAAAGATGGAGATTTCTGGTGTGTACAATTAAATAGATGATGGTATCTGTCAATGAGATAAATACTAGAGGAGTTTCAGATTTTGTGAGGGAAGATAGCGCTTTGCTTCTGGGCATTTGGAACTTGAACACATTTAGGACATCTGTATTTCTCAGTAATAATGCCATCCCCTGACCTAGTTTCCTCAGCCTCCAACACTAAAGCTCTCTACATTCTGTTTATAGCAGATCATCACTGTCTCTGGGACATATGCCCTGCCATTATCCATTTACATGTGCTATAGATATGTTTGGTATCTTTTTAAAATATTTATCCTCCCTGGCATTCTCTGAGAATCTTGGTTCTGTGGTTTAGTATTTGACGTTAACTTTGGAAAATTCTCAGTCATTGTTGCTTAAAATATTTGTTTCCTCCTCTCTTCTCTTGGTATTCCCATTATGTATATATCATACCTTTTTTAGTTATTCCACAATTCTTAGATCTTCTATTCCAGTTTTTCAATCTTTTTTCTCATTGCCTTTCCATTTCAGACATTTCTATTGATATATCTCAGAGATTGTTTTCTCCACTGAGTCCAGTCTACTAATGAGCCCATTAAGGTTGTTCTTCATTTATGTTACAGTGCTTTTGATTTCTAACATTTCAAATTCCTTCTCAGAATTCCCATCTCTCTACTTACATTGCCCATCTGTCCTTGCAGGTCATCTACTTCATCCACTAGAGCCTTTATCATATTAACTGTGGACTTACAAAAAATTCCTGGTGTGGTAATTCAACATACCTGCCATATCTAAGTATGGTTCTGATGCTTGCTCTGTTTCTTCAAACTGTGATTTTTGCCTGTTAGTATGCCTTGTAATTTTTCTTTGATAGCCAAGACTGGGTAAAAGTAACTCCAATAAATAGGTGTTAATTCATGTGTTGGTAACATGCTACAGGCATAAGGGAGTGGAAGCATTCTATAGTTATATGATTAGGTTTCAACCTTTTAATGACAGTGACTTTCAACTGTGATCTTCACAAGTGCCTCAGTCTCCTCCTTCTCTACTCCCCTCCTATTCCTTAGGAAGGACAAGAGGAGGGTAAACCATGTTAAAAGGAACAGAATGCTCTGCCATATTTTTAAATGGCACTTTTTCCTCTCTCCCTGATGTAAACACAAAGGGATTTTTCTCTGAAATTTACTGTGAGAACCTGACTAATCTGGAGGTAAAACCCATAAAAGTACGGAGGCCACCTGTGACTGGAATCTCCTACAGTTTTTAACTGTCAGACTGAGCCTCCAGCAATTCATCGATTACAGTTCAAATTTTCCCACCCCACTAATTGCTCCCTTGGATGTCTCTGCTTGCATGTTTCTGCTCCAATAAGCTGATATTTTCTGTATTTTCCTACCTGTGGGGAGTGGTTTACCCTGTAACCTTATTCTCTGATGGATCCAATTAAGAGTTGTTGATTTTTCATTTTGTTCAGTTTTCACTGGTTGTTAGGATGGAGTGACAACTTCTAACCTCCTTAAATGCTGGAGCAGAAACTGGATAAAGAGCCTGTCTTTATGAAGGTGTGGGCACTGATAAAGGAAACAAACAAGAGCTAGTGAAGATCCCTCTACAGCAACTTTCACTACCCTTGGCCAGAAGCTGCAAGCGGAAGAAGTGGTTTCCAAAAGCCAAGAGAGAGCTGTAGCTCTAGGGTTAGCACCACTGGATAGAAGCTGCTGCCTTAGGTAGATCCTGGCCATTGTCACTTCCAATCTGCAGGTGCTTGATTGGTGCAGCACACCAGGGTCAGCTTTCCAGGGCACAGGGCAGAGTGAAGAAGCAGGAAGTAGACCTATGTATTAGTTTCCCATTGCTGCTATAACAAGTTTATCACAAATCTTGTGGCATAAAACAATGAGTATTTATTCTCTCACAGTTCTGCAGGCCAGAAATCCCAAATCAGTTTCATCTGGAAATTCACCGTGTCATCAGCAGGGCTGGTTCCTTCTGGAGACTCTAGGGGAGAATCATTGCTTTGCCTTTTCCAGTTTCTGGAGGCTGTAGGCATTCTTCGGTCATGGCTGCATCAATTTAACAGCTGCTTCCATACTCATATTGTTTTCTCCCTCACTAACCTTCTTGCCTCTGTCTTATAAGGACTCTTATGATTATATTTAGGGCCCGGCCACTAATCCCGGATAATTTCCCCTTCTCCAGATCCTTGACTTAATCACAACTGCATGGTTCCTTTTGCCAGGCAAAGTAATATTCACAGATCCCAGGGATTGGACCTAGGTGTCTCAGAGGGTCGTTACTCAGCCTACCAAAATCTAGAAAGGCAAATGGAAAATGTACAGAATACAGAAATATTGGCAGGAAGCTAAGAAAACCTGGACCGTATGTAAAAACAGTTTGGAGAGTTTTCCATGAACTGCTGATTGAATACATGGGTGAAAAGGTGGGATTTCTTCATTAAACAATATTGTGCTCTCCATCTAAATCCTAGAGTATTTAATAAAATCATAAATGTCTATTTCTAAAGCAAAACTTCCATTGCTACTACACTGATCTTTAAGCCACCATTGTTTCCGACCTTGGTTATTGCATATAGTGAGAATGATCTTTTTAAAACATAACTCAAAAATGTCACCCATCTGGTCAGTACCCTCCCATGTCACTCACTCAAAGTAAGGTCTCTTATAATCTGATCCCACACCCACCCCATTGCTTCTCCCACCGTATCTCCTAACAGTGTGTCCCCAATTACTCCTCGCTAGCTTTCTCGATCCCTCTTGGCCGAGCCTCTAACACCTGGCTCACTCCTGCCTCAAAGGCTGACTCTTCTCTCTGCCCAAAGAGCCACAAGCCTAAAGTACTTCTCTTGATTGCGAGGTCTGGGATAACCACCATTTTCAACATCGTAATCCCACCCTCCAACCCTGAGGACTTCCAGTCCCTCTTATATTGTTCTATTTTTCTTTCATTTCTTTTTCTTTTTTTGAAACGGAGTCTCACACTGTTGCCTTGGCTGGAGTGCAATGGCGCGATCTCAGCTCACTGCAAACGTCACCTCCCAGGTTCACGTGATTCTCCTGCCTCAGCCTCTTGAGTACCTGGAATTACAGGCACACACCACCACACTTGGCTAATTTTTTGTGTTTTTAGTAGAGACGGGGTTTCACTATGTTGGCCAGACTGGTCTCGAACTCCTGACCTCGCGATCCGCCCTCCATGGCCTCCCAAAGTGCTGGGATTACAGGGGTGAGCCACCGTGCCCAGCTGCTCTATTTTTCTTTAGCATGCATCACCATGTGATATACTACACTGCTCAATAAACTTTTTATATGTATTGTCTGGGTCTTCCAATAAGTATGTAAGTTCCATGAAAACAGGTTTTGTTTTGTTTTATCACTGACTGACATACCCTGTACTCCTAGATCAGATTCTCACAAATGATGGATGCTCAAAATATATTTGAGTGAATAGTTTGCCTTTACTAAATGTTCATCTACTGTGAAACCAAAGAAAACGTATTTTTATTTTTACACTCTGGTTATAAACAAATTAAATATTCTAAGACAAAGAATATATGTACTTTTCAATGTATATGTGTATATACACACATACATATATATATTAAATATGTTTCAAGATAATTTTATACTTTTAATATTTGCCTTTTGCCTTCGTTTTATAGAAGTGCTTTCCATTCTTGTTACTTTCCCACTCTTTCCATTCTTGTTACTTTTTTCAATGTTTTCTTTCTGTAAGACTTGGAAAAAGCAAAGTCGGAATCCTTCTATAAGAATTTTGTCCTCTTGTGAAAAGTACAACTTGTTAACCATATTATATTTTTCATTTACTCTGTAATACTGGAGAGACATAGTTTCAGACTATAAATATTTTCTTTCAGTGTTGTCAAAGGTCACAAATACCCTTAGGGGTGGTTAATATAGCTTTATTTGTATTTCTGCTCTAAAAATTGAAAAAAAAACAACTATTGTTGCCTGATGTTAAATTTTTATCCTTACTATTTAGTTGTACTGTTGTAATGAAACAGCTTTATTTGCTTTTACTTTGCTTTAAAATACTCTTGTAAATATCAAGCTGTATCACCTAAGGTGATTAAGGAGCCACTGGGGTAGAATAGCAATCTTTTGTTAAACATAAATCCAAGCAATGGTTTTGTATTCATTTCCTTATCCATCTTTAAATTCCAGTAACATGAACAACCAACGTTGTCTACCAGCATTGGTAGTACCGACGGGAGTACAGGCTCTCCCTGGTGTGCCCTAGGAGATTAGATTTTATTTATCTGCAGTTTGACCCCTTTGACCTGGTATGTAGTTTTGAAATGATGGTGGAGAAGGAAGCACACACCAGCCTGGTGAGCCATAGCACTGGATCAACGCTCAATACCTGGAGTGACAGATATCATAGTGACCAAGCCCCCAGTAAGTCTTAATTGCCCTCTTCATTCCTGGAGACTTTTCTCTTTCACATTTACTTCTTTAAAGATGTACTTTAATCTGGGCTGCACAGATAAATATATATTCATAAAATTTGTAGCAATGTTGGAAAGAAGGATGGGATTGGAAAAGTGATACATGAAAGTAGATGAAAATCCGTACATGTTTAGCTATGTATGTACTTGTGTACCCACACCCTTAATTTATTCTAAATCTCTATAAGAGCAGTGTCCCTACTTTTTTCTAGGTGGACACTAAAGCATATGAAATAACTGAAATCCAAGAGATTTTATACATAGTTTGCATATTCCTATGTGATACTCTATACCTTATAATGTTATTGCACATTTAAAATCAGTTCTTGAGTTTTCTTTTCTCTAATGCTTCTTGCTCATTCATTACCATAATGAAGATTTCTTACTCCAGGGCACATTTTATGTAAAGGATCAGATAAATATTTTCAGCTTTGCAGCCCACACAACCTGTGTTACAAATACTCAACCCTGTCATTATGGCATGAAAACAGCTACAGTCAACACATAAATGGATAAGCATAGCTGTGTTCTAATAAAACTTCATTCACAAAAATAGGTGGCAAGCCTGATTTGACCTATGAGCCATTAACTGCTGACCTTGTAATAGGCAAAAAATCTGGAGAAAAGAGGAGTCTGAAGTGGGGGATGGCAAGCCGCTATCAATCATCTGTGGGTCACAAAATAATTTTAAATATATATTTATATTTAATATATAATGTTTTATATATACTATATATTAATATATAAAATAATATTATAGATAGTATATAATATATATATGTATTAAAGATCAATGCATACTTTATGACTGGGAGAGTGAAACTATTTTAAAAAACTAAACCATAAAATGTCTAGTATATTAAAAATTTACAAGCCAGTAGCAACGATTAGTATTTTTCTATATGCTCACCCAATTAGATGTCTCCTTTAATGCAACTGATGTGTATAGAAATCAATTTTTAAAGCATTGTCTTTTCCCCAATCATTTAGACTTCTATTTCAGAAAAATATTAAATTCTTTCTAATCTCCAATTTTTAGTGGCTTCTGGCATTATAAGCTTTTCTGACCACCATCCTTCATGTATTTGATACAGTGATAAAGAATATTACGTGATGTTTAAGGGTCTTATTAAGTTTTTCATGAATGCTCCACTTATTTGCTTATATATAAATAGAATATCTCTAGAAATATATGCAAGAAATTGGGTATGCTGGCTGCCTCTGTGGAGGGACATTGGTGGGAAGGCTTTTTCACTGACTACAGCTGTGCACTATTTTAATATGCACGGATTACATATTCAAACAACAGAAGAAAAGATATGTTACACTCTGGTATAAATTTTGATTTACAACTAAGGAACAACCTAAAGAAGTGATGTATGATCCTTTATTTATGAGTTGGACAACAGGCACAATCCTACCTGTTAAGAGGAGTAACTTCATTAAGTCTGTTAGCAAATTTTAAGCAACATCTACCATATGGAAATCCCTTTTGGGTGGCTCTGGGCTGGGTGAGAGGATTTGTGTGCTTTTGAAAAGGAATCAGATGTCTGGAGGCTAAAGAAAAAAAATGTCATACTGGGAAATTTTGCGTGTTTACGCTGTAAATGTGACTTCTCTCTGCTCTGTATTATTTTAGATAGAGCGACCTGAGTTTTAGATGTTGAAATAAATCTGATATCTGTGTTGGCAAGACTATTTGATGGTTATTCTCCATCTGCAGAATTCCTGACATCTTTCTTCACTCCACGCTTAGCTTAGAGACAAGTAAAAGCATAGACACAAGTAAAAAAACAGCAAAGAAACACAGTTTCTGTAAGTAGAATTTTGTTGCAAAGATGGAGTGGCACAGTCCCTTTAACATATAGAGCTGTATTACCAGAGCCGCTGCAAGTTTCTGTGGGACAAACACCATTACAGGAAAATAATCTGGTTAATGGCTAGGAAGGTTGATGGTGTTTACCTTTTCCAAGAATCATTAAATGGCATGATGGGTCACTGGTGAGTGTATGATTGTTTTTATTACATTGATTTTTTCCAAGTATAAAAATAATGGCTGGGTGCGGTGGCTCACACCTGTAATCCCAGCACTTTGGGAGGCCGTAAATATATTTGTACAGAAATATTTTTCCTCTTCCTTGGCAAAAGAACAAAATCTGTTGGGTCAAAGGATATAAATTTTTGTAATCTTTTATCTAATTATAAAAGTAATGCATGTTCATTATGGAGAACCTAGAAAAAAAAGACTAAAAAGACATTTCTTTTACAGTCCTCTGTACCAGAACTCTCAACTGATGACCATAACTCACACCTCACTGAGCAACTATAAACAAGTAGAAAGAATTTCAGCTGCGTGCGGTGGCTCATGCCTGTAATCCCAGTACTTTGGGAGGCTGAGGTGGGTGGATCACGAGGTCATGAGATCGAGACCATCCTAGCTAACATGGTGAAACCCCATTTCTACTAAAAATATAAAAATTAGCTGAGCGCGGTGGTGGGTGCCTGTAGTCCCAGCTACTCGGGAGGCTGAGGCAGGAGAATTGCTTGAACCCAGAAGGCAAAGGCAGTGAGCTGAGATTGCGCCACTGCACTCCAGCCTGGGTAACAGAGCAAGACTCCGTCTCAAAAAAAAAAAAAAAAAAAAAAAGAAAGAAAGAAAGAAAGAAAGAATTTCATCTTTGCATCACTCTGCCTCCTTTCTGGTTCTAATGGAAAAGAAACTGTCTCTGCTTTGAGCAAAGGCTAACTTTTCTGCTGTGCACTTGCTGTTTCCAGGATCCACTGCTATAATGATCCCCTCTCATATGTATCATCAACCTCCTCCTTCCATCAGCATACAACCTGTGCTCTAGTATCTCCCATCTTTAAAATTATCTCCTTTGATCCCCTATCCTTTCCAGCTATTGCCCTATTTCTCATCCCTTCATAGCTGAGCTTCCTAAAAGAGGAGTTCATATTCCCTATTTCTCCTTCCTCACCTTGTCTCTCACCTCCACCTCTCCTGGCTAGGACTGCCTGGTTAATACCCTTCAACTGAGGCTCTTTGGATGTTTTCTCATGATTAGACTGAGGTGCATTATACAGGAAAGGTTACAGTGTTTATCTGCCCTTCTCTGTGTTTATATCAATGAGTATGTCATCTTGATATGTCCTTCACCCCACTCTACAGAGGTGGCTCTTGTCAAGGTCATTAAATAACTCTGTGGGGCCAAATTCAATGTTACACTATTTTCTTGAATGTTCAGCACTACTTGGCAAAGTTGACTATTCTCTCCAAAACACTCAGGTTACGTGGCTTGCAACAGACCACATTCTCTGCTCTTCCTCCCTTGAGGGCTACACTCCCTTAATCTCCTATTGTGGCTCCTCTGCTAGTGACTAAATGTTGTTGTTTCCCAGAGCTCTGTCCTGGGCCTCTTTCACTTTTCTTTCTTAACACTCACATTCAGTGACCTCATCCAATGCCGTGGCATTGAATACTTCTTTAAGCAAACAACTCAAAGCATTATCTCCAACATGGATTTCTCCCCTGAAGTCCAGACTACTATATCCAACTGCCTTCTTGATAACTCTACTTTGATATTTAAATGGCATATCAAATTTAGCAGGACCACAATAGAATGCACGACCACCCTCAAACCTATATGAATAAATACAAGAGAATTACACTATCATTCATGGACAGGGAACAACATCTATACTTTAGTCTGGGCTGCCCAGGTGCTGTCAGGCTTTATATACACAGACCACACACACACACACACATATGTATATATGTATGTATATAATCTATAGCACAAGTTCCCCTTGTGGGAATAGACATGAAATAATAATATTCCATTTCAATTTCTAGTTCCAAGACTGGCATTGTCACGGTTAGGTATTTACTTATTTCCCTATCTTTCTTTCTTTTTGCTAAAACATTGGAAATTTTGACTTCAGATTTTTCGCTTAAAAAAAAAAAACAAGCTGTATTTATATAAATGTATACTACCTAACTGCAAAGTAAATCAGAATCTTCCAAAACTACAAATTCTGTTAAATATAATACTTTTTTTCAGAGATTAGAGAAGTAAATGGGAAAGCAAACAAGATTAGGGCAACTGAACAGCCAGAGATAAAGCCCTGTGTTCCTGGCAGTAAGGAATGAGGGGCATGTCAGTTTGAATTCTACTCAAAGACTAAATTATTCTGACCTAAAACTACACTACTGTCCTTAAAAAATATTTCTCCCCCTTATCTGTCATTGCTAAAGTTATATCTACTCTAAAGCACAATTTTCCAGTAAGGTACTGTCAATAGATTTATTACTAAGGCCTTTGATATAATGACAAAAATGTATTTAGAGTATTAAAAATGTGAAGGCACCCAGGGAAAACAGTTGCTCTGCACTCCATTCAACCCATGCATCTTGTTTCACTGCAAAAAAAAAAGAATACAAATTTTATCATCCGTACTCAGTGTCCGGCCTCCTATGGGGCAGAACTCAATAGTAAATGTAAGTCTATGCAAATGTGTCTTTTCTTTCTTTTTTAATTTTTTTATTGAGATGGAGTCTGGCTCTGTCACCCAGGCTGGAGTGCAGTGGTGCAATCTCGGCTCACTGCAAGCTCCACCTCCCGGGTTCATGCCATTCTCCTGCCTCAGCCTCCAGAGTAGCTGGGACTACAGGCGCCTGCCACCACGCCCGGCTAATTTTTTTTGTATTTTTAGTAGAGATGGGGTTTCACCGTGTTAGCCAGGATGGTCTTGATCTCCTGACCTCGTGATCCACCTGCCTCGGCCTCCCAAAGTGCTGGGATTACAGGCGTGAGCCACTGTGCCCGGCCGGAAATGTGTCTTTTCTTATGACACCAATAGTAAAAATGGATTCAGTCAAATCCTAGGCATTGCTAATTTGAAGGAAAAAACACAAAAACTTAGTATTGCAATATTTACTGAAATTCATAATGTAGGTTAAAGCTCTTGATAACCCTTTAGGTTATATGTGTCTTTTTTTCTCTCTCTACAATAATTTTTTTCTGGCCAAAAGATGTATACTCAGAATTTTTCAGTAAATTTTGTTATTTTTAGTAAAATGTGTTTTATTTCTTTGTATTTAAGTACACATATTTGTTGGATTCATCTTATTTTGTCCCATGAAATCAAATGTAATAGTTTTCAGAAATCTCTTTGAACAAAATAATTATAAAATTACAAGAAAATGTACAAATATTTTTGAAACAAGTAAACAATTGAGTCCATTTAATGAAGCTAAAAACAGGTAATGCTATCAGTAAAATAATTAATTATTTCTAGAACATCATTGGAAACATTTACATTACAGGAATTTGGGAATCTTACCTAAACCTTCAGAATTTGTAAAGTGATCTGAATAGCTGATAAAATTTAAGTGTTCCTATCTGTATTGAGCATATTTTAATACTAACTACTAATGAAAAATAATATTTCATTGAATGATGCTAAAGGTACCAAAGAAACAACTAATAAATGATTCCACGTGAACTTCAGAGAATCATGTTACGATCTCATCCTTGTATATATTTACTGAATGTATTTATATGTGAATGCAATCTTATATGAAAGTACTTTGGGTTACAAAATTTTTCAGGCTAAATCAGGATCCAGATTACAAACAATGAACCAGGGATAGCTTTTAACTCTACTGGGTTCTCTATTTGTGTACATAGCTAATATCACAGATGGTAATCTATTTTGGGTTGTAAAGCAAATGTATTCAGAATTTTCTCAGGCTCCTGATCCACGTGTCCACGTTGCACAACTCCAGGGAGGCACCATTAATGTTCCGTTTATGTGCTCCAGGGTGAGGGCACTGATGTGGAATATGATATGAATAGAGCCTCCTGGAGTTGTACAACATGGGCCACCAGTGTTGAAAATACAGTTTTTCCTCTGCTCTCACACCACAATTAACACAGAAGACTTCTGTGGCCAGATGTGTGTAGTTTTTTCTCAATGCATCAAGCAAGCAATCAGTTTTGCAACAGACACCAATAGACCAATAGGTGTCCTCCAACCCATTTCAATTCTGTCACTATCTACCTGGAGATAGTATCAGATTACACAGGTTGACGGCTCAGTTCTACTAGACTGTTCCCCAGTTCCAACATTAATAGCAAGCCACAGGTTGTTTTACCTGTGCTTCTGACCAACGCTATAAATCAGGGTTCCCATGACCGTCTCCTTGGGTTTGATTAAGTTGCTAGAGTGCCTCGCTTGCTTACACTTACTGGTTTATTATAAAGAATATTACAAAGGATACAGATAAAGAGATGTGTAGGGCAAGGCATGTGGGAAGGAGCTTCCATGATCATGTGCCACCCTCCACATGAATGAGTTCTTATTCACCTTCCTGCAAGAGCTCAGCTAGCCAGAAGTTCTCCATACCCTGTCCTCTTGGGCCTTTTATGGAGACTTCACTGGATAGGCACAAATGAAGCATGGACAACCTTGTAGAAACGAGATTGGATAAAGAGTGGGTCTTATGATCTGCAATCAGAGAAGGTAGGTCAGATAATTTCTTTACGGGCAGCCCCAAGACAGAAAGGTGGGTAAAGATTTTATTTTTGGTCTCTGTGGCCTGCTTGGGGAGCAAAAGGAGCAGATGAAAGGAGGACCGGGGAAGGTCAGAAAATGAGATTCTGTTTCCTGAGGACTGCTTCTGAGACCTAAAGCACCCCAACACTATAACAAAAGTCTGTCTGTCACCTTTATCACTCTGAAGCTGTTCCAAAGCTGCTACATGAACCAAGGACAAAAAGCCACATACTTCAACAAAAGATATGCTTATTGTTTTAGTCACTCAGGAAATACAAGGACTATGGAAGTTATGGACCAGGAACTGTGTTATGTGTGCATGTTTTCATACATACATAATGAACATTATCTATCTATCTATCTATCTATCTATCTATCTATCTATCTATCTATCTAATGCCACCCATACAAGTTAGGGGTACAATAAGTGTCATAACACTAGTAATCAAATTTTGCAGGCTGATTGTTATCACATGCTAATGTGGGACTTCTGTCACTTTACAAAGTCCCCCTAAGTATGTCTCACAAGTGCTCATGGACAAGTCTGCTTCAGCCAGACACCACTGGTACTCAGTCCTCACTTAGCTGGACATTGGTCTCCTTCCCACTTTGCTGGGCAGATGGTGGCTGGCACCCTGTTAGTCACTCTGGGTGTTCTTGCTGCTCCTGAGCATATGGAGTCCTTGCTGGCCAGGCTCAGCATTGCTCAGCCAGAGAAGCAGTGTCTCCATTTGCTCTGCCAGGGATTTTGCTCCTCTGCTGCTGAGGCTCTGGGTGGATACACTGCTGCTGTGCTGGACAGCCTGCACACCAGGCATGCCATGCCCTTCTGCAGCTCCATTCACCCAGGAGTCAAATAGATGGATCTGTTTGTTATGTGTTATATTCTATATGTTATGTGCTAATTGACATGGAAAAGCACAGCTGCTTGTACCCTCCTTTTACAGGTTGAGTGAAACAGCTTTCAGTTCTTTCAGTTTTTACTTGTAGCCCCACCCTTCCTTAGGACACAGATATGTACCCCATTGGTTGGGCTAGGCTTGAGATGGCTTTTGTTAAGAGCCAATGTGTATATTCAGAGCTCTGACTCCCTCCAATCATTAAGGCTTTGCTACTGGGTCAAATTAGTGCTCTTCTCCCTAGCATTAGTTATATACAGAGACCATGTTATCCTTGGCAAAATGACTCCCGCAAGGCCAACCCATCTTATCACTGCAGAAAGCAAAACTAGGCTGAACTCAGCTGACACTCACCCAAAGAAGGAGTATTTAAACCAGCCCTAGCCAGGGGGAATCGCCCATCCCCGTGGTCAGAATTTGAGATTTGGCAAGCCTTGCCAGCATGGGCTACAGTGCTCTAGGGTGCTAAATAAACTTGAAAGGCAGCCTAGGCCACAAAGACTGCAACTCATAAGTAAGTCCTACTGCTGAACTGGGCTCAGAGCCAGTGGGCTAAGGGAGTGTTTGCTCCACCCCTTCTCCAATGACAGGCTGCACAGCTCACAGCTCCAAAACAGAATCTTTCTTTCCACTTGAGAAGAGGAGAGTTAAGAGTAAAGAGGACTTTGTTTTGCATCTTGAATACCAGCTCAGCCATAGTAAGATAGGGCAGCAATCAGAGTCATGAGGTCCCCTTTCAAGGCCCTAGTTCCCAAATGACATGTCTAGACTCAACCTGGGCCAGAAGATATGCTGCTGACTTAAAGGGAAGAACCAAGACCTGGCACGACCCATCACCTGCTGACTAAAGAGCTCTTGGGCCCTGAATGACCAGCAGTGATACCCAGATAGTACACCATGGGCCTTGGGTGAGACTCAGACTTGTTGGCTTCAAGTAAGAATCAGCACATTACCAGCTGTGATGGCTATGGGCAGAAGACTCCTTCTTGAGAAAAGCAGAGGGAAAAGTAAAGGGGACTGTGTCTTGCATCTTAGGTACCAGCTTTGCCACAGGGGCATACAGCATTAAGTGGGCTCTTGGGGTCCCCATTCCAGGTCTTGAGTCTGGGACAGTATTTATGAACCTGCCCTGGGCTGGAAAGGAGCCCGCTGCCCTGAAGGCTAAGTCACAGGCCAGGCAGCATTCACCATGAGCTGAATGAAGAGCACTTGTGCCTTAAGTGAACATTGCTGGTAGCGTGGCAGTACTCCCTAAGGGCCTGTGGTGGTGGTGACCATGGGGTGAAGCTCCTCTGCCTGTGGAAAGGGGAGGTAAGAGTGGGAAAGACTGTGTCTCATGGCTTGAGGGCCAGCTCACCCACACTACAATAGAACACCAGGTAAGTTTCCAAGGTTCTTGACTCCAGTCCCTGGATCCTTGATGACATCTCTGGACCTACCCAGGGCCTGAGGGAACTCACTGTCCTGAACTGAAGTAAGGACATAATCCTGGCTGGCTGTGCCACCTGCTGATTGTAGAACTCCAATGCCTTGAGCAAACATAGGCAGTAGCCAGGTAGTGGTTACAGTGGGCATGGGGCAAGACACAGTGCTATGCTGCCTTCAGGTCTGACTCAGTGCAGTCCCAGTAGCCACCAGGGTGCTTGTGTCATCTCATCCCTAGATCTAGCTCAGAACAGAGAGAGAGAGAGAGAGAGAGAGAGAGAGAGAGAGACTCTGTTTGGCAGAAAGTACAGGAAGAGAACAAAAGTCTCTGCTTGGCAATCCAGGAAATTATTCAAGATCTTATCCAAGTACTTCTATGAGTCTGCAAGAAGCACAGAATCACTGGGCTGAGGATGTCCCCTAATACATATATGGCTTAGATCACAACAGCCCAGTCCTTTCAAATGCCTGGAAAGCCTTCCCAAGAAAGATAGGCACAAACAAGTCCAGACTGCAAACACTACCAGAAATAGCTAACTCTTCAATGCCCAAATATAGATGAATGTCCACAAGCATCAAAACTATCCAGGGAAACATGACCTCACCAAATAAACTAAGTAAGTCACCAGGGACCAATCCTGGAGAAAGAGAGGTATGTGACTTTTTTAGACAAAGAATTCAAAATAGTTGTTTTGAGGAAACTCAAAGAAATTCAAGATAACACAGAGAAGAAATTCAGAATTCTATCAGATAAATTTAACTAAGAGATTGAAATAATTAAACATAATCAAACAGAAATTCTGGGGTTGAAAAATGCAATTGACATATAGAAGAATGCATCAGATTTAACAGTAGATTTGACTAAGCAGAAGAAAGAATTAGTGAGCTTGAGGACAGGCTATTTGAAAATGCAATCAGAAGAGACAAAGGAAAAAAGAATAAAAAACAATAAAGCACAACTACAGGATCTAAAAATACCCCCAAAAGGGAAAAATGTAAAACTTACTGGCTAAAAAGAGGAAGTAGAGAAAGAGGGGTAGAAAGTTTATTGAAAGGGATAATTTCTCAAATCTAGAAAAAGATATCAATGTCCAAGAAGAAGAAGGTTATAGAATGCCAAGCAGATTTAATCTGAAGAACACCACCTCAAGGTATTTAATAATCAAACTCCCAAAGGTTAAAGATAAAGAAAGGATCCTAAAAGTAGTGAGACAAAAGAAGTAAATTACATAAAAGGGAGCTCCAATACATTTGGCAGCTGAATTTTTAGTGGAAACCTTACAGGCCAGTAGAGAGTGGCATGACATATGTAAAGTGCTGATGGAGAAAATATTTTACCCTAGAATAGTATATCTGGCAAAAATACCCTTTAAACATGAAGGAGAAATAAAGACTTTCCCACACAAACAAAATTAGGGATTTTATCAAGAATAAACCTGTCCTACAAGAAATGCTAATGGGAATACTTCAATTAGGTAGAAAAGTATTTTAATGAGCAATAAGAAATCATTTTAAGGTACAAAATTTGCTAGTAATAGTAAGTACAAGGAAAAACACAGAATATTATAATACTGTAACTATGGTAAATTATGGAAGACTAAAAGATGAACCAATCAAAAACAATAACTACAATCATGTTTCAAGACATAGACAGTACAAGAAGATATGGACAGAAACAACAAAAAGTTAAAAAGCAGAATAATGAAGCAAAGCGGTAGAGTTTAATTAGTTTTCATTTTGTTTGTTTGTTTGTTTATGCAAACATTGTTAAGTTGTTATCAGCTTACAATAATGGGTTATAAGATAGTATGTGCAAGCCTTGTGGTGGCCTCAAATCAGAAAACATATAGCAGTTATACAAAAAATAAGAAAGAAATTAAATCATACCACCAGAGAAAATTACCTTCACTAAAAGGAAGAGAAGAAGGAAGAAAAGAAGGAAGAGAAGACCACAAAACAACTAGAAAACAAATAACAAAATGGCAGGAGTACTTCCTTACTTATCAATAATAATATTGAAAGTAAGTGGACTAAACTCTCCAATCAAAAGACATACAGTGGCTGAATGGATAAAAACAACAACAACAGCAACAACAACAAAAACCCAAACTAAAACCAAATGATCTGTTGCTTACAAGAAACACACTTCATCTAAAAAGACACACATAGACTGAAAATAAAGGAATGGAAAGAGGTATTCTATGCCAACCGGAACCAAAAAAAGCAGGAGTCACTATACTTATACCAGACAAAATAGATTTCAAGACAAAAACTATAAGAAGAGACAAAAAAGGTCACTATGTAATGATAAAGAGGTGAATTCAGCAGGAGGATATAACAATTGTAAATATATATGCACCTGACACTGGAGCACCCAGATATATAAAGCAAATATTAGAGCTAAATAGAGAGATAAACCCCAATAAAATAACAGCTGGAGACTTAAATACTTCACCTTCAGCATTGAATAAATCTTCCAGAAAGAAAATCAGCAAAGAAACATCAGACTTAATCTGCATTATAGATGAAATAGACCTAATACATATTTATAGAACATTCATCCAATGGCTATAGAATACACATTTTTCTCCTCAGCACATGGGTAATTCTCAAAGATATATGATATGTTAGGTCACAAAACAAGTCTTAAAATATTTTTTAAATGGAAATAATATCAAGCATCTTCTCTGACCACAATGAAACAAAACTAGAAATCAGTAACAATAGCAATTTTGGAAACTACACAAACACATAGAAATGAACGCTTTTCCCATTTACCCCAAGAATACTTGCTAGTGGTGCTTGTGGCTGCAGTGTTTACCCTAAGATAACTTTGTCATGAAGTATTTTGCATTTCTTATTATTTTTGCATCTCTCTGGTATATTAACTTCGGAAACAAAAGATAACATTCTATTTATAGCATTCTGGTTTTGGTAGTGGTACTTTCATTTACAAAATATAGTAATTCTCAATTGCTGAAAATGTCAAATCCTAGAAAACACAGCATCCCTCCAAGTGATGTTAACATCGTTCTTGAACAATTGTTGGCTGAAGATTCATTTGATGCATCTGATTTTTCCAAAATAGACAATTCTGATGATTCAGACTATTCTAATGTTAGTTCTGTTTTGAAATAACTCCAAGAAGAGTTTTTATATATTTTATTTTCACATTGAAAATCAGTCAGATTTGCTACAGTCTCAAAAAACATGTTTATGTAAAATTAAATGAGCAATAGCAGCAAGCTGTACTTAAAAAAAAAAACAGGAAAAGGGTTAACCAATATGATACTAAACAACCAATGGGTCAATGAAGACATTAAGAAGGAAATTGAAAAAATTCTTGAAATAAAAATTATAATTTTCGCACAACATACCATAACCTATGGAATACAGTGACAGCAGTAATGGGAGGGAAATTTATAGCTATCAGTGCTTACATCAAAAATTAAAAAAAAACTTCAAATAAACAACCTAATGATGTATGCAAGAGCTAGAAAAGAAAGAGCAATCTAAACTCAAGATTAGTAAAAGAAAAGAAATAATAAAGATCAGAGCAGAAATAAATGAATTGGAAAGAAGAAAACAATACAAAAGATCAATGAAACAAAAAGTTGATTTTTTAAAGATAAAGAAAATTGACAAACCTTTAGCCAGACTAAGAAAAATGAGAGAAGACCCAATTAAGTAAAATCAGAATTGAAAAAGGATACATTACAACTGATACCACAGAAATTCAAAGGATCTTTGGTAGCTAATATGAGCAAATATACATCAATAAATTGAAAAATTTAGAATAAATAAATTCCCAGACACATACAACCTACCAAGATTGAACCATAAAGAGATCCAAAACCTGAACAGACCAATATGAAGTAATGAGATCAAAGCCGTCATAAAAAGTCTCCCAGCAAAGAAAAGCCTGGGACCCAATGGCTTCACTGCTGACTCCTACCAAACATTTAAAGAACTAATGCCAATCCTCCTCAAACTATTCTGAAAAGTACAGGAGAAAGAAAAGCCTATAGGGCAATATCACAAATGCATCTTGACGCAAAAATTCTCAACAAAATACTACCAAACCAAATTCAACTACACATTTTGTAATCCCAGCACTTTGGGAGGCCGAGACAGGCGGATGACCTGAGGTTGGGAATTCGATACTAGCCTGACCAACATGGAGAAACCCTGTCTCTACTAAAAATACAAAAAAAAAAAAAAAAAAAAAAAATTAGCCGAGCCTGGTGGTGCCTGCCTGT
Source organism: Homo sapiens (assembly GCF_000001405.40). Taxonomy (NCBI): domain Eukaryota; kingdom Metazoa; phylum Chordata; class Mammalia; order Primates; family Hominidae; genus Homo; species Homo sapiens. Next base: position 26,039,179 of record NC_000010.11, on the reverse strand, counting down.
AATCCCAGCTGTTCAGGAGGCTGAGGCAGGAGAATCGCTTGAACCCAGGAGGCGGAGGTTGTGGTGAGCCGAGATCACGCCATTGCACTCCAGCCTGGGCAACAAGAGCGAAACTCCGTCTCAAAACAAACAAACAAACAAACAAACAAACAAACAAAAACTCATTCATTATGACCAAGTGGGATTTATCCCAGGGATGTAAAGATGGTTCAACATATGCAAATCAATCAATGTGATACATTATATCAACAGAATGAAGGACAAAAACCATGTGAAAAATTAAGCATCAATTTAAATGACAAAAACCCTCAAAAACTGGATTTTGAAGAAACATACCTTAACAAAATAAAACGAACATATGTCAGATCCATAACTACTATCATACGGAATGGGGAAAAATTTAAAGCCTTTCCTCTAAGATTGGGAATATGAAAAAGATGCCTACTGTTATTCAACATAAGTAGTGAAAGTCCTAGGTAGGGCCATCAGACAAGAGAAAGAAATAAAGGGAGTCCACATTGAAAAGGAGGAAGTCATATTATCCTTGTTTGCAGAGGATATGACGGTATACTTGAAAAAACCTAAACAACTCCACAAGAAAACTATTAGAACTGATAAATCAGTAAAGAGTGCAAAATCAGCGTACAAAAATCAGTAGCATTTCTATATGCCAACAACAAACAATGTGAAAAAGGAATCAAGAAAGTAACACCATTTACAATAGCTACAAATAAAATAAAATGCCTAGGAATTAACCAAAGAAGTGACAGATCTCTACAATGAAAACTACATAACTGATCCAAGAAATTGAAGGGGACACCAAAAAATGGAAAGATATTCCATGTTTATGGATTAGAAGAATCAATATTGTTAAAATACCCACACTACCCAAAGCAATCTACAGATTTAATTGCAATCCCTGTCAAAATATCAATGACATTCTTCACAGAAATAGTAAAAACACTGCTAAAATTTATATGGAACCACAAAAGACCCAGAATAGCCAAAGCCATCATAAGCAAAAAATAACAAAACTGGTGGAATCACATTACTTGACTTCAAATTATACTACAGAGGCATAGTAACCCAAACAGCAGGGTACTAGCATAAAAACAGACACATGGACCAATGGGACAGAATAGAGAACCCAGCGATAAGTCCATAAATCCACAGTGAGCTCTTTTTTCACAAAGGTGCTGATATGGCTCTGTGCCCCGACCCAAATCTCATGTTGAATTATAATTCCTAATGTTGGGGGGAGGGACCCTGTGGGAGGTGACTGAATCATGGGGGTGGACTTCCTCCTTGCTGTTGTCATGAGATCTGGTTGTTTGAAAGTGTGTAGAATTTCCCCCTTGACTCTCTCACTCCTGACGCCATGTGAAGATGTGCTTGCTTCCCTTTCGCCCTTCCACCATGATGGTAAGTCTCCTGAGGTCTCCCCAGTCATGCTTCCTGGACAGCCTGAGGAACAGTGAGTCAATTAAACCTCTTTACTTCATAAATTACCCAGTCTCAGGTAGTTCTTTAGAGCAGTGTGAGAATGGTCTAATACAGGTGCCAAGACCATACAGTGGGGAAAAGACAATCTCTTCAATAAATGGTGTTGGGAAAACTGGGTATACATATGCAAAGGAATGAAACTAGATCCCTATCTCTCACCATATATTAAAATAGATTTGGAAGTATCTATTAAAAAATTTAGAACAAAATTTCAAAACCTTTATCTCAAAAAATCTTCCATGTTAATTGGTTCTCCAATTTTTTTCTCACAGTAAGTAATAAATAGCTAAACGCACTATTGTGTCTGTTGAACATATAAAGCCATATCAAGGCATTCTATTTCAGATCTCAACCCAAACTCTTCAATTCAAAATAATATAAATTTATTGAGCACTTACTACATGCAAAGTACTAGACTCAGCACTGGAGACATAGATGATTAAGATTTGTAAAATACAGATGCATGTAACTATCCACAAAATGCTGGTGACTGCTAACATTGTACAGGTGCTTCATGCTTTTTATTTCATTTCATTTATCCTCTCACCTTTACCAGATAGGTGTTATTGGTGTCCTCATTTTATAAACAGGTTGTAACTGTGTCTAAGAGAGGTTCAGTAACTTGTACAGAGTCACAAAATTAGTTCATGGCAAGACTAATAGACGGCAGGATTGGGACTCTATCCCAGGTGTGTCTAACTGAAGAACAAAGTGATGTATGACCACAGAGGAAAGGAAGTGTAAACACATACTTGTAACTTCTGGGAAAGGTTTCTCAAAGGTGCCAACAGTTGGAGACTGGTTTTAAGTATATTCCCAAGAACAGAATGAAGGTGGGTGAGATTTCAAGGAGAGAACACTCCCTGAGCCAAAATGGAGAGGAATCAAGATGCATAGCAGGTTCAGCAACCAGCAAGTGGCCCCAGGGGCTACAGTATGGGTGGATCCACAGGGAGAGATGAGCAAGTTGGTCCTTTTAGGAACACTTACTGTCATCGGCAACTTGTGATGGGAGCCACTGGCGACTTGTCATTTTAAGCCTAAATGAAACTAAAGACTGAAAAGTAGATCACATAGAGCACACAAAATAACAGGCTAAAAAAAGTCTGAGAGTGCAGTACAACTTACAGTATTAATTACTAGAGAAAATGGTCCAGGCCTTTTTTTCACTGAATGCAGTTTTGTTGGCCCCTGCTGAGAGCTTGGCTACTAATAACATAGGCAAACTCCAAAACTCGTCATAGGCATGAGAGACTCTTTCCAAAAGAAATGAAAACATCACTATGTTGATGATTTCAACACCCATATCAATATGTCATTAAACCTAGTTCCTAAATTATCATTTCCCAAACATTTCAAGGATAAGTTAGATACCCATCTTAAACTTAGTTTTTCCACACTCTGTATCCTTAATTTAATTAAAAAAATAGTCTTAGGGGGCTGGGCGCAGTGGCTCACGCCTGTAATCCTAGCACTTTGGGAGGTCGAGGCGGGCAGATCACGAGGTCTGGAAATTGAGACCATTCTGGCTAACACAGTGAAACCCCATCTCTACTAAAAAAAAATACAAAAAAAATTAGCCAGGCGTGGTGGTGGGCGCCTGTAGTCCCAGCTACTTGGGAGGCTGAGGCAGGAGAATGGTGTGAACCCGGGAGGCAGAACTTGCAGTGAGCCAAGATGGCGCCACTGCACTCCAGCCTGGGCGACAGCCGGAGACTCCATCTCAAAAAAAAAAAGTCTTAGGCAAAACATGAACAAAGATTCCTTGACCATTGAATATTCTACTTAGTAATGCAAACTCTAACTGCAGTATACCAAAGAAATAAAATAAAATTTAAGTGTAAATGCCCATTGTGAGTAAACCATACAAAGTGGCTCAAACAAAATCTGTCCATCAGTTTTGTGACCGCCAACTTCTGACACCAGTGAGGAAAAGAGAAATTAGTAAAAGAGCTAGTCTGAAAAATCATTATACTTGAGTTACAGCTTTGTTGGCTATTGTCTCAGAAGGCAGGATTCAATTTCTCTGGGATTTAGTTTCCTGATCTCTAAAATAAGGATCCACATTCAAAGTTCCTTTCCAGCAAAAATAATCTATGATTGTATAATTACTTGGCAGGGGGGAAAGTGGTATGATAAAGACAGGAACTGAACTAGGTATTTAGCACAAGTGGGCAGATTGCATGATGGTTCTTTACACTGTTTCATTTTGAAGCAACAATGTAACTTATTCTCAGAATTATTTACAACTTTTTTGTAGTATCAGCAACTGCTTCTTCTTCTTTACTTGAATTCCTTTATTTAGTGCTACTTAGGAGCAGAGGTACTTACAATGGCCTTCTCCAGGGAATAATTATTCAATTGCCTATTCCTTTTAAAATTCCTGGAGACCACGTTAAAAAGCCATTTAGTTTTTATTCTGGGAGCTTTTCTGGAAGAGGAAGTACTGAAGACTGACATAAGGAAATATTTAAGACAGGAAAGGGTAAGTTATTATTTCTTTTCCAAATTTCCTGGTCCTAGAGGGATCCTTGCTATATTCCCCAGCTTTATCTGTTTCTTCCTGAGTTGTCCATCTTGGATGGACACAGCTACCAGTATATTCCTTTACGAGACCTTTCCTTCTAGCACTGACAGGGACATTTCCTTTACTTTTTATTTTAGCCAAGATAAGATGGGAATTTTCTAAAATAAAATCTTACTTAGAATATAAGCACAAATGATGTGTGCGCACACACACACACACACACGCTTCATGTAAAAAAAACACAAAAACATAGAAACAAATAAATGTCCACATATATTAAATATACACCAATATTAAATATATATCAATATATTAAATATATAAATATCCAGACACTAGCCCGTCTTGCCTATTACAGCTTATTAAATACATAATTTTGAAGCAAATCCATCATCCTTTCAACACTGAAGATTCAACATCAGCCTTTGTTAGTATTATTAATATAATTATCTTTATGTGAACTGTAGCTCCTTTTCTATTTTTTTCTAGACTAGCGACTAGATCTGGTCATAGCAAATGGCCATGTATTTTAATGATGGAGCTATCATTATCCAGTTTCTTGATTCATGATAGATTCCTATCTAAATAAAAGCAAACTCTAGGTTATCTTGTTTTCAGAACGGTGCTCTCCTGTTTCTAATTTTAATTTGAGATACAGTCTTTACTTCATCTATGGGGCCATTAGAATCGACTTACACTGAACTAGGTGAAGAAAAATACTCCTGTCTGGGTCCCTAGCTTGAGTGGGCTGCTGTAGACAGTGGCGTTGCCATCCTGGCAGTCCAAGGCAGGGGTTGGGATTCAAGTGTCCATAATAAGGTCTGGGCACCCACTCTTGTGTAATGGAAGATGGCAAAAGGACAAGACCCAATTAAGCACATTTAGAGATAGATGATCATTAAACAAAGTTGGGACCAACTCCCTCTACCTTCAAAAAAATACCATATTTTAAAGTTAAAAAGAAACATATGAGAAAATGGTCATACTGGGAACAAGCAAAATGAATCCAAAATTATTGCTGTAGTCTGCCTTGGTGTATCCATAATTTACCTTTTAGAACCAACAAAAGGGACACAGGTGGCTTAAGAGCTGGCGATGGGGTACTCCCCACTGTGGGCTGTCATGGACACAGGTCAAACCTCTCAGTCTGACTTTCAGTGCTCTCAGTGGTCTGGTCTCTGTATACCTCTCCAAACCTATTTCTGGGTTTTCCCCTTACAGCTTGATTAAATGCTTGCCTTTCTGTCAGCTTATCTCCTTGATTTTATGATTTTGCTCAGGCTGTTTCTCCTGCTATAACGTTCATCTTGTGATAACTCTATCTTCACATGATTCAGTCCAGTTTATCCCTCATGGTGCTGATTCAAAGGCGACCTCCTGGATAAGCCCTCCTGCCCCTGCTAGTGGAAATGGGATTGAAACTTTGTATAATGGTTATTTATGTTCTTGTCTTATCCTGTTTACTAAAAAGTTAGCCCCAGAGCACAGGCTCTATAAAGGATTCAGCTGTCAGACCTCTGTGTAGAACCTTTATCTAGACCTTTATACAATGGCCTCAACAAATGTTGAGACAACATGGATGTCATCTCAATCCGCGATTTCTAGGGTAGCAAAGATTATAGCACAATTGGTGTTGAGTGGGATCGTAAGACATTTAGTCCTGGTTTGGACTAAAAATGAAAAGTAGGAGAGAGGAATAGGTTAAGATAATCCCTGGATTTCTGGTTGGCATAATGAGATAAGTGGTGGTGCCATTAATAAGAAAGGGAACAGCTGGGTGTAGTGGCTCATGCCTGTAATCCCAGCACTTTGGGAGGCCGAAGCGGGTGGACCACGAGGTCAGGAGTTTGAGACCAGCCTGGCAAAGATGGTGAAACCCCATCTCTACTAAAAAAACAAAATACAAAAATTAGCCGGGCACAGTGGCGGGCTCCTGCAATCACAGCTACTCGGGAGGCTGAAGCAGGAGAATCGCTGGAACCCAGGAGGTGGGGGTTGCAGTGAGCTGAGATCGTGCCACTGCACTCCAGCCTGGGTGACAGAACAAGACCCTGTCTCAAAAAAATAAATAAAATAAAATAAAATAAGGGAACAAAGAACACAGATGGAATACCATAAGTTTAATTTTGGACATGTTGAGTTTGAAGTATCTTTCAGTCATGTGGAGATAGGAATTGAAAACATAGTTATCAGAAAAGCAGTGGGGATAGCATTTTTAAAGTCTCATGTGTCAAGGAAAAGCGTATATGTTCCAAAGGGTGAATAATTCTCAACATGACATAGTCACAGCCATTAAAGAAAAATTATCTTGCCCAGAAAATAGAACATAAAATGGAGTCATGCATTGTGCCACATGGAAGGAACCCTATTATTACTTCCTATTTTTTTGTTTTCTCTTTTCATTGTTCTGTTTTGTAAAATCAAAATCCTATTTGAGCGAATTTACATTACATAAAGTCCCACGCCTAATAAGGAATTGACAGCTTGGGCTGTGTGTTTTTTTTGTTGGTTTTTTTTTTGTTTTTTTGTTTTTTGAGATGGAGTCTCACACTGTCGCCCGGGCTGGAGTGCAATGGCATGATCTGGGCTCACTGCAACCTCCGCCTCCCTGGTTCAAGCGATTCTCCTGCCTCAGCCTCCTGAGTAGCTGGGATTAGAGGTGCCTGCCACCACACCTGGCTAATTTTTTGTATTTTTAGTAGAGACGGGGTTTCACTATGTTGGCCAGGCTGGTCTCGAATTCCTGACCTCGTGATCCACCCGCCTCGGCCTCCCAAAGTGCTGGGATTACAGGCGTGAGCCACGGCACCTGGCCGGTACTTTTAACACTGATTGGATGGTCAATTTTTAGTTTGTCTTTCTTTTGTTAATCCTTCCACATATGTCTCAAATATGCCTTATATTCTGGCCTGAAAACCATAGATGCTGGGACAAGTGGACTAGTTGCAACAGCACCACAAATACAGCCAGTATGTTTGGTCTAAGAAACCAAAATTAGTAAGAAAAAGGAGTTACTGAATCCTTTTTATTTCTATGAAATTATATGCAAAATATAACAATCTATAAATATCAAAGGTAATTGCCACTGGCATATTGAGAGCATCAAGTAAAATATTAAAGTTATTTTGCATTGTATATAAAACACAAAAGAAATTTAAGATGTTAACATGTTAATAATATGACTTTCAAAAAAAGGAAGTTTTAATTTGGAATTTGTTATTTAAGTAGATGCTGGATTAGATATTTTCTTTATTTATGAGGAATGACAATCATAGCTTAAATAATTTTTTAGGCAAATGTTCAAGATATATAAAATAAAGAACTGTAGGAAGTGTTAAATATTCCATACAGGAGGTAGATGTGGTGGCTTGTGCAAGTAAGCTCAGCTACTCAGGAGGCTGATGCAGGAGGATCACTTGAGCCCAGAATTTTGAGGCCAGCCTGAGCAACAGTGAGACCCTGTCTCTAAAATAAAATGAAATAGAATAAAAAATATTCCATATAATGGCTATCCACCTGTTGCTTCAGCAGCTCAAAAATACCCTTCTGCTGTGGGGAAGAAATTTCAAAATGGTTAGCAGGTAGGACTCTGCCTCTCACATAGAAACTGGAAGTGAGCTGAGACCAAGTGTCTTTCACCACCTACTTTCACCTACAGTGTGGGCCTGTGACCTACACGTGGGCGATCAGATGGTCCAGTATGGAACTTAGAACCTCAAGGAAGCAACATAAAGCTCAAAGTCAGTTTACGAATATTTTGAGTGGGTTGTAGCATTCAAGAAACTAGTGTCACTGCAGGCAATGTTAGAGAAAGGTGGGTGGTTTTCAGTGGCAGCCTTTTAGCTGGTGATTCTTGAGGAAGGACAGTTGAAGCCACCGGCTTTCATGACTAAACCTGGCTCTCTCCCATCCTCTCCATTCTCTGAGCCATCCAATGTTGTCCGCTAAACTGCTTTACTTTTTAAGTGGGCTTGTATTGTTTTACTCAAGAATTCTGAATTAGCACATTTCAGTTACAAATGACTTTTATCTATTCCCATTAAATCAGATAGTCAACTGTTTAAAAATACTGGATTCATAAGAAAAATTTTCTTTCAAAATATTTTATAACTAGAGTTTCTCCCAATTTAGTCTGCCTTCTAACATTGTCAATTTTAACTCGTGTGAAAAATGCTTTCCCGTTTTTTGAGGAGTGTATTATAACATGGTCTTAATTCTTCAGAATAGTTGAATAAGTTAGAAAAGTGATGTGTTTTATATTCAGGTCTTGACTTAAAATAGAAAGTTCTCATATCCATTCCATAGTATCTCCCAACACTCCACTTTTCCTCAACAAGGAAGTTTATATTCAGTTTGTATTCAATTTATATTAGGACCATTTTCTTTAAAGCTGAATCTTTAATTTTTAAAAAATTATACTGCCAAGCACATACCTTCAGTTCTAAAGGATGACATCATGTACAAAAAGAAAAATGTCAGCTTTGAGTTAGCTATGTTGATTTAATACAATCAGATTTTTTGATCCATTTTACCAACATCAGAAACTGTGACAAATCAAGTTATTTTTCGTGATCTTCAAGAAGACAGCTTTTGTTTAATGTGTTGCCAGTGGCATAACCAAGCCTGTTTTCTTTTGCCTGAGTATGTCTCACACTTTGGGACTAGTGTGAATATGAATGCTGAGGGCAGGATAATCTTCCCTCCTCCTTTGAACTAAGATCCATGGTCAAGAGAGTGTTGTGGGTAAAGATTCAAGTTCAACTCCCACCTCTTCCAAACATACGTTTATAAAAAATAAAATATTTCTTACACATTAAAAAAATAAAGTAAAAAAGACAAAGATATTTTCTAAAACAAGATGAGCATTAGAGACGACCTAACAGGGCAAACAAAAGCACCAGGTAAGAGGGCAGAAACTATAGGCTGATTCAAAGTCTGGCACCAAAAACGGGAAAAAGAGGCCTGGAGAGTAAAGGAACTGAAACACACATTCACAATGAAGGCCTTGACCGAGGTGTGGTGGGAAGAATGGGGCTGAGTGTGGGGTCCCTTGCCTGGGAAAAAGATTGAAAAAACTGCCGCTTCTTCCTTTTATATGGAGCCAGGTGCTTGAGATGGCAGGATGGAGAGACATAAGATCTACTTCCCACTGGCTCAGCAACTGGATCTGCAATTTCCTTCAAATCACAATGGGCCCTGGGGAATCTTGAAACCAGATAATGGCAAAGGCAAAACCCTCCAAATAGAATGCAGAAGGAAAGAAAAACCAAAATAAAAAACCTCCCACTCAAGATGAGAAGGCAAACTAAAATTCTGAACCCTAGACTAAGGAAACCAAATATTAAATAAACAAATGAACTCAATAATCAGGACAATTCACCTGTGTTGAAATGCAAATCTGAGAGTTACTGTTAAAAAGTATGTTTAAGATCAAAGAGAAAAAAAGCGGAATTACATTCCCCCAAAAGAAAAAATGAATAGCCAGACATAAAAAGTCAGATATGAAAAGAGTGATTAACAAAAAACCACTCACCAAGTAAGAAATTATATAAATGAAAACTATAGATGTTGATGTATAATAGATATCAGCACGAAAAAAATATTGGTATATAAGATATCTAGACTAGGCCCAGTTCTATGAGAAAATTAGTGAATTGGGAAACAATTTTGAAGAATTCATTCAGAATATAGCAGAGATTGATAAATGGGTGACAAACATGACAGAGAAATTGCAAGACATGTGAGGTAAAATACGAGGTTCCAACATTTATGTCTCAGAAATAAAAAGTGAAAAGAATGAGAGAGGATCAATATTTAAAAGAACAACTGAAAAATTTCCATAACTGAGTACATCATGAATTCTCATACTGAAAGCATATTCTGAATTTTTAACAGGATAAACAAGACTACATCTTGTGTCTCAGAATCAGAAAGTGTTGAGCATAACACTGTGCCCAATAATCACTGAAACTTACAGCACAAGCATGAGAATCTAAATACTGTGTAGTGCAACCATTCTCACGATGTTTGAACATTGAGAGACAATTATTTATGGGTCTCTCAAATTTCTGCATGTCTTATATTAGCTTTTGTTCCAGACTATATTTTCAATAATGTTTGTATAGCAAACAGCCTTGGAAATTAAAAATACTAGGACAGATGGAAATCTTATCTGGTGTCCAGGATGGTAAAGCTAATGTTTCCTCCAAGGCAAAATTTGGGCAAGCATGCAAGCAGCCCCTATTTAAAAGATTGGAGTTTCCCAAGTTCAGGATTTCCCAGTTATGAGGCAAGCCAAGTGTGGACACAACATCCACCTATTCCACATTTCCCCTAGGACTCTAGGGGGCAAGGAGAACCAATGTGAACATAAACTCATGCTGTCAGCTCGGCAATGAGTAGTAAAGTCCTTTGTCTCTCATCCATGAATCTTGTGTCTTCTACCAGCATTCATGAAACTGTGGCAAGCCAAATTGTGAGCTTGCAGGTAGGGTAATATCTCATATCCTTCACAGTTCTTGACATTGAACATCCTACACAATGTGAATACACTTCAATTTCTGTTTATTTTGATTATTGGTTGTCTGTTTCGGGAAGAATGAGGTTGCAGCAGATTATGAAACTACATTTACACAAAGATAAAAAGATGGGCATGGATGACCCATGATTATCTCCTCATTATAAACTACATATCTGCTTCTTTCTTTTGTCACTTAATTCTTCCTCATTAAAGGTATATCAGGTCTGTCTCTGCAGCAAGGCTGTAAACTCAAACAGGCAAGGATTATTATCTCCCAAGATCATCCACAATCATTAGTCCATTTACTCCTGTGAATTAAAGCTTGGGCTTTAAGATCAGAATTTGAATCCTTGCTAAGTCATTTATTTCCTGTGCAGCCTTGTGCAAGTTAATTAACCTCTGCAAACTTCAGTTCTTTTCAGCTATGAAAATGGGTTATCATAAAATATTTTCCTCAGACTTGTTGTAAAATCACATGAGATAACATAATGAAGTCCTAATACAAAATCTGGCACATAGTAGGCATTAAACAAATGGGAATTAAATGTGTATATTCACAACAGGAATTCAAATAAGTAATGTCTTATTCACTTCTTCCAACTCCCTAAATAGTGATATGTTTCTGGGATGAAACAAATAGGATTTTCAAGAATAAAGTGAAATTATAAATTTAACTTTAATAATTTTTTGACTTAATAGTACTATCTATAGAAATTTATCTTAAGAAAACAGTAAGAGATTAATGTACAACTGTTCATTACACAGTTACTTGAGAGAGTAAAAACAATTAGTAACTACCAAAATGTATGGGATTATTTAAATTAATCATTAAATTGTCAGGCAAGGGAATGCTATCTAGCCATTAAAATGTTGTGTTAGAAGAATGTTTAATTATATGGATATTCACTATTCAGTGAAAGAAGACAGTCTCTGGGACACATATAATACTATTCCAATTTTGTTTTAAAAATGTTTTAAAATGTTTGGCTGGGCGCAGTGGCTCATGCCTGCAATCCTAGTCTTTTGGGAGGCTGAGGCAGGTGGATCACTTGAGTTCAGGAGTTCAAGACCAGCTTGGGCAACATGGCAGAACCTCGTCTATACTAAAAATACAAAAATCAGCCAGGCACGGTGGTACATGCCTATAGTCCCAGCTACTTGGGGGTCTGAAGAAGGAAGATCACTTGAACCCAGGAGGTTGAGGCTACAGTGATCAGAGATGGCACCACTGCACTCCAGCCTAGGAGACAAAGTGAGACCCTGTCTCAAAAAAAACAAAAAAGTATATCCAACAAGAAGAAGATATTAAAAGGTTACAGATTAAAATGTTATACTTGATTATTTTTCCATTGTATATTTCTCTGTGACTTTTAAATTTCCTAAAATAAACTTATATACTATTTAAAATCCCAATAGGATGTACGAAGATATTTAAAATGATCTTTAAATATAATTTAACCAGGGAAAATGAACAAATAATAGTGTCAAAAGGTCTTTCAAGTTTTATGGTTTTTTTAAATCCCAAATCTAAGATATCTTACTTTATAGAAAAGCAGAAAATACAAGAAAACATATACCAATACAAAAATGATCTTTTGAAGTTTACATTCTTTGTTCTTACAAAGTTGTTTAAAAAGTGCAGCCTGTCACGCCTGTAATGCCAGCACTTTGGGAAGCCGAGGTGGGCGGATCACAAGGTCAGGAGATCGAGACCATCCTGGCTACACAGTGAAACCCTGTCTCTACTAAAAATACAAAAAATTAGCCAGGCATGGTGGCATGGGCCTGTAATCCCAGCTACTAGGGAGGCTGAGGCAGGAGAATCGCTTGAACCCGGGAGGTGGAGGTTGCAGTGAGCCGAGATCGTGCCTCTGCACTCCAGCCTGGGCAACAGAGCAAGACTCTGTTTCAAAAAAAAAGAAAGTGTTGCCTGTAATTTTACCAATATTGAGAGGCATTTCAACAGGTGACATTCACTTTTCATGTAAGTCCCCATTACCTCCAAATTTTATTCACCTTAAAAACTAATACATTGTTAAACTGTTCAAAATCTTTCAATAATCTCTGGATTTTGGAATCAAGATATTATTTGATTACCTGGCCTTTTCTGTGCCTCCCATGCATTGATGGATGCCAATGAATTCCGTTAGTTGTTTTTGTAGCATCACATCTTTGCCCTCAATTTGAGTAATGAATTTATGCTGTAAAAGTTCTGACACTGTTGGACGCTTTTCATAATCTTTAGTCAAGCACCTGCACTGGCAAAAAAGAACATGCAATTATTAGATAAGTTAGAGTTTTGAAACTATTATTCATATTCCTAAAAATTAATCTAACACACGAGAGTGATGCTCCTCATAAATGCTCAGCCCAAGCTTAAAATATATTAATTGCAATTTTTAATCTCTCAAAAATAGCTAACTGCAATATGATGAAACAAATGTTTGTGAAAGTGCACACATCTGTGAGTGATTAAGCTGCAGTGATACCAACTTTCAACTAAATACCACTTCTGTCGTCTCCCAGTAAGGATTATTGCATAGTGATAATTAAAATGTCTCCACTGCAAAGTCTCCTTTACAAGTCAGTAGCTGCAGATAAATGACAATGAAGTCATTATAGTTCTAATGCTTATCTAAAATTAAAACAAACAATGCAGTTTCCCTTCACAAATGCTTTTAAAGGCTTCTCAATTGATCTGTTTCTTTCTATGTGATAAAACTGCTAACCCATTTGAGAAGGCCACTCAGCTAAGGATGTTTAAATTCCATGTCAATATGTATTTTTTGAGGTCATACAGCAGATGTACTAATGCCTGTTGTACCTCTTGATAGGTTCAACCAGAGCATATTCATGAGAAAGGATAGGACTAGTGAGAGCACCTGAAACAACAGCACAGGAGGAGCATTTGAACAAATGTAGAAAGTTTAACCAGCTGTGACAGCTGACTTTGAATATGTAAAAGAAGGATTCAAGTAGTTTTCAGTGGTCACAAGGGGTAAGAGAACTAGAATTGGTTGGTGGAATCAAGAGAGAAACAGCTTTCAGATCAGTCTAAGGAAGAACTTTTCAAGAGTGAGGCTTATCAAAGTAGAATAAGCTGCATTAGGAAATACTATTTTGATTGGAGATATTTAAGTATAGATTGGACAGCCACTGAGTGCACATGTTTGAGAAGGATTTAACCTCTGGATATAAACTTGGGCTGTACAACTTTCCAAGACCCCTTTAACCCTGCAATTCACAGAGTCTACGATTATGAGAAAACTGGGCTGTCATTTGGGGATATTAAAAAAAAAAGAAAAAAAGCATAAAAAGATGAAACTCATGCCTTGGCTTGAGTAGCGCCATTTCTAATCGGTATTATGATAATTAGGCAATTTATTTCATTGAGCTTAACCAAAAATATATTTCCCCGGAATGCTAAAATATGCTAAGGAATAAGAATGCCAGTGTCTAAAAAATAAGAACAAGTGCTCTTAGTTTTCCATTAATTTAACAGAATGCATTAATTTCTGACATCTGTAGTAATTGTATCTATGTATTCAGAAGAGGCACATATGAAATTATTTTATTCACGCAAAACTTTATCAAATCTTTAATGTGTACTAGGCACTCTGCTAGACACTGGAGTTACTCTGCTAGACACTGGAGTTACAGTGACAAGTAAGGCACATTCAGTGCCCTAGAGTTGCTTACTGTCTAGTTATAGAGAAAGATGTCAAAACAGGTAAGCTAAATACAACTGGCAATGTTACTAGAGGAAGACAAACCAAATCAATAGCAACCAGGACAGAATACTAACTGCTTGGCAGAAACCAGGAAATGTTTCTCAGAGGGGAAACTGCAAGAAATACGTCAGACACTAAGTTCCATTGAGGATCTGTGTGGAAGCATCTACAACTCCATAAGCAAAGGAGAAATATGATCCTTTTCAGACAAGCAAATGCTAAGGGAATTTACTACAACCAGGCCTGCCTTATAACAGGTCCTGAAGGGAGTGCTAAATATGGAAAGGAAAGACCATTACTGGCCACTACAAAAACACACTTAGGTACACAGACCAGTGACACCATAAGCAGCCACACAAACAAGTCTGTATAACAACCAGCTAACAACATGATGACAGGATCAAATCCACACATGCCAATACTAACATTGAATGTAAACAGGCTAAATGCCCCAATTAAAAGGCACAGAGGATAAAGATGGATAAAGAAGCGAAACCTAATGGTATGCTAAGAGACCCATCTCATATGAAATGACACCCATAGGCAAAACACAGGCGAACAGAAGAACATGACCATTGATTATAAAGGGTCCACAGAAGCATAGCTATTGATCAGTGAATAAACATGACCCTAAGGCCATTATCTGAGCAATGATAAATTCACCCAACATTTAAAAGACACTATAGATGCTTCCTTTGAAGAAAATAATAGAAATCTCTGGGGCTGTTTAACAGATAAGAAGAAATAGGAGGAGATTTAGTTATAGCAGGAGGGAATATCTTTGGTTTTTTAAAAGACTGTTTTTACTCACTTGCTTATGAAGTCATTGAATTCTGCTGACCATAGCTCAGGCTGCCTTAGTTTTGGGGGTGGATTCCTAGAAAAATAAGAATCAATGTTGGATTCTGTATATTGGTCAGTCAGTGTAAAATGAGAGGCAGAGCCAGATAGACTAATGCAATCCTAGGTTCTGCCAGTTGTAATCAAGGATTCCATCTTTTCCCAATTCCAAGACAGATAAATCATTACTCATCTTTCTTTATACAAAATGACACGGTCTTTGTTTCTCTGTAAGCACTTAACATATGACCTGATTTTTCCAACTGTTATTATTTTTTCTTTTAAAGAGTCTTCTTGCTTTTACTTAGCTCTAGGGGGAAACATCAATACTTAACAGAATAGAAACAATAGATACTGGGGAAAGGTATTTTTTTCCTATGAGTCCCAATGAAGTCTCTGAGGAACATCCAGGGAACACAGAAGTGGCCTGTTTGGAATATGGAGGAAGGTGTGCCAGGGAGTCGCACAGTAGAATGCCCTTATGAGTTGTTGTTCTGTTGTTACTGGACACACGGCAGGAAACATGTTACAAAGTGTCAAGGAACTGAAAAATACTATTAGCGATAAAGCTGTGAATACAACTTTAACAATTTTATTAATTCCTTTCAGTTTAAGCTGAACAAATATATTTTTTGGCACATTCGTTGAATACAAAGGAACATCATTTGAAAATGAGGCTGATCTAACTCTGTAATCAAGCAACATTGATCAACCATGATAGTTGAATTTGCTGAAGTGCTGCTTTATGTTAATTCTAACAGCTCTTTGTTTTCATTAGTGAAATGGAAATACTTTGTCTTCAGTTCTGCATTACTCCTTAAATAGCTTATAATGAAATTAATGTACAGTTTGTACAGGCTCATTAAAGAAAAGTGCAGCTACTCATCTACCCCAGATCAGGACTAAGCTCATTTCACAATCCTTAGGACAATTTGAAGATTGCTAATTTGCACATTAAAAGAAGTAATTCTTTTCTCCAGAAATGTTGTTTTGTTTCTTGTCCTCCTGAAAATTTCCTTTTATGAGATTTATTGGCTTGCTTTGAATAACAAAGTTTGGATTATTTCAGAACACTCAGAACTGGGTAGCTTTTCAGATTCCCTTTTTCTCCATATTACCATAGTCAGTATTCTTGGAATTCCACTGCTGGTAGACATAATTAAGAAATAACTAAGATGATGCAGTTTCTAGAATTACTTTGCACATTGCCTGTTACCTAGGTACAATATCTATCAACAGTGTCATCCTTCCTTCATGTGGCATTATCATCAAGAGTAATAACATCAGACTAAATATGATGGTTTAATCCACAGTTAAAACAGCTAAGGCAGTACAGAACTTCACCTTACATACTGAATGACAATAGGAATTAGAAACTACAGATTTTTTTCCTGCTTTCTTCAAAATTAATGAAATGTCTTGGATTTAGTATAGAGGTTTTCCATTCTTTTCCATAATGTTGTTTCTCCACTTAACAAAATAAGCAGTATGTAAAGGATGATATATAGCCAAGGTATTATAATTTGGAACATCTAGATAGGACAAGAAATTCAAAGGCAAAATTAAAAATGAATTCAAATGTTTTAGTCTTATAATAATTTAGTTAGATGCCAAATATTCTAATGTTTTGGAACCCTGTCACCACAGGCTCTGGCTGTGCACTGCATTATAATTAAGGCAAAATCCTTAAAAAGATATTTAAAAATAACACCTTTAATAAATATAGGCAGTCTTTTCACATTAGTTATCTGAAACATCAAGGGACTAACCACCACTCATAGAAAATAGTGTTTAAAGAAATTAGTTTATAGGATAGTAGGGGAAAATCTGTTGAAACACACATGAAGGAGTGGGGGGCCACATAAATAGTCAAGTGCTTTCATGGCACCAAAAGAGGTTATTCTTCTAAATTTATTGTTTTATATTAACATATTCAAAATACTAACATGTTTAAAACCATTATTTTCTGGATAAATTTTATATATAATTTTCTTAATAATATTATTTTAAAGTTCTGAACAAAGGGAAATCTTAGCAAGTAGTAAAAAATTACTAGATTGGTAGGTAAAGCAAAGCAAAACACTTGCACAGGCTATGGACTCTGATGCCTCACTGACTCATTGGGGAATGGATAAAGGGTGGGAGGAACTGCTATTTTCTGAAATCAAATCCTAGCAAAAGAGAGAAAGACACACTGATTATCAAGAGAAAGCTCTTTTACTTAGACCAGGGAAATGCAACTACTGAACAAATACAATGTCTCAGAAGAAGCAGAATAATATTCCAGGATCTTCTGCTCCCAACTTGTTGGAATATATCTGAACGTCTCCATGAAGAGCATGATGAACACTTGGTGGCTGGAGGAAGTAAATCGGGCTGCAGATACTGGACCCAATGTTAGTCATCTGACCTTGGTATTTTGAAGAGTGCTCTCATGGGATGAAGGTCAGCTAGTGGAGGATCTCCATCACCCAGCTCAATGGCCGTGATACCCAGGGACCAAGTGTCACATCTGGCGTCATAAGTGGTATCCAATTGCTGTTCACATGCAATCACCTAGTAGAAAACCACACCATCAAAAGGTGAAATTTGTGACTTTAACAAGCATGTAATAAAATACTTAGAACAAAGCATTAAGTATTTAAACTGGTGAAGTTTGATAGCTATAAGTAAAGACGAAGGCAGTAACTTAGGAGGAGAATAAAAGATCAAATTATTATTGGTAGTAGTATTTTTGTTCTGGGAACAGATAATACCTTAGGAGGTTTAAAATATAAGGGAAGAAGCCTATGAAAAATATTTTTGAAAATATGGAACAAAAAGAGGAAAGAAATCGTGTCCCAAATGGAAAGGGATGGGATCAAATGCACAGCTAAAGATTGGGCAGTGGTAGTCACTCAATAAATGTCTATTGAGGGAATGGGCAAAGATGAAGGCTATGTTTTTGAAGAATTAAAAGTGGAGGAAATAAAGGTAAATATGCTTGAGGGCTGTCTAGTTAGATGGCCTTGGTCTCTACTGGCAACTAGAAGGCAAGGCTACCTAAGGGAGGAATAAGACAAGTTTGGAGGAATGCAAAAGGTTTAAGCCACTAATAAAAGAAAACTAAATAAAAATAAACCTTGATGTGGTTTTACCAACAGCCTATCTGGGGCCACCCTAAATTGTAAAACTGCAACCAGTTTTAAAACATGTCAGTAATCGAAAGATGTAATTGAGAGTCAAGGAAAAAAGAGGAATTTGTTTTTGTAATTTTATAAGATTGTATTAGATAGAGAAATTATTGCATTGATTACTTCCCAATTTAGTTCTAAATGTGTAAGTACAAATGCAGATTGATTGTGAATGGTAATTATTAACATCAATAAACACAAAAAGGAAATTCAACTTTACATTTTAAGAACCATTTTTTGCATTTTTAAAATTTTATGTTTTGTACATGCCAACCCACAAGAAAAAATAAAAGATATTTTTAGAATGATGGCAGATGTAGAATTGTGTCATTTAAATACAGTACTGTAAAATGATATATAAAGTGAAAAATCTAAGGCCCTTTTAGGAATGATATCTCACCTTCTGACTTCACTTAACATCAGGCTTAACACATTTAAAAAATCCATGTGTGGGCACACTAGAATTCAGTTGGTAAGATTTACACCCATGTCATCCAGGAAAGGTGACTACTTCATAAATAAATCTTTATTAATACCTGACACTAATGGCAATGACAGGAAACAGTTTAGTTATAAGCATATCAGTGTGATTAAAAAGTAAAAAGAAGGCAATGATAAACACAACATATCGGGCAACAGACACTCTTGAGAGGAGGCAAGGAGTTGGGATAGAGGAAGGGATAGAGGCCAATGCATGCTATTGGTAATATTCTGGCTCTGGCGTGGATGGCGAGTTTATGGGCAAATAAGAAGACCATTAACCAATTCATTTCTAAGTACCTGAAGGACAATAATAAATTATGCATGTGCATATATGTGCATATATATATGTCTATATATAAAGACAGAATAGTTTCTCAACTTAAGAGTTAGTTTGATGGGACATCATCATACACAGTGCTTGTTAACCTTTTCTATGAAAGTATTTTTAATATCACATGAGAGTGAACTGCTGAAATCAGAGAGCACAGCCTGAAGTACTGAGGGAAACAGTAAAGTCCTAAGTTTTACATTAAAAATTCATGTGGCAAATATTCATAGGAATATTGCTCATAATAACAAAAAGTGATAAACACCCAAATGTTCATCAACTGACAAATGGATAAACATAATGTGGTCTATACATACAATGGAATATTATTCAACTCTAAAAATAAGTGATGCATTAATACATGCTTCTACATGGATGAACCCTGAAAACATTACACTAGGTAAAAGAAGCCAGACACAGGGCCATATATTGTATGACTCAATTTATTTAAAATACCCAGGCCAGGTACAGTGGCTCACGCCTGTAATCCCAGCACTTTGGGAGGCCAAGACAGGCGGATCACAAGGTCAGTAGATCGAGACCATCCTGGCTAACATGGTGAAACTCCATCTCTACTAAAAATATAAAAAATTAGCCAGGCGTGGTGGCAGTTGCCTGTAGTTCCAGTCTCTACTAAAAATATAAAAAATTAGCCAGGCGTGTTGGCAGGCGCCTGTAGTCCCAGCTACTCGGGAGGCTGAGGCAGGAGAATGGCGTGAACCCAGGAAGCGGAGCTTGCAGTGAGCCGAGATTGCGCCACTGCACTCCAGCCTGGGGGACAGAGCGAGACTCCGTCTCAGGAAAAAATAAATAAATAAATAAATAAATAAATAAATAAATAAATAAATAAATAAATAGAATAACCAGAAAAGGCCAGTCCACAGAGACAGAAAATAGATTAATGGTTGCTTAGAGTAGGAGAGTTTAGGCAAAGATGAGGAGTGAATGTTAATGAGTACTAGGTTTCTTTGAGGGGGAGCAAAAACGTTTGTGATGATTGTGATGATGATTGCACAGCCCTGTGAATATACATTAAAAATCAGAATATTGTATGTGTTAAATGACCTAATTCTATAGTTATACCTTTATAAAGCTGTTAAAAATTCAAAAATGCATTCATACGAATTTCTCATTCTGTTGTCTAATATAACTTTGTTTGCTAGAGTGTAAAAATAATGTCTTTTGCCCCATCATTTTTTTCCTAAGGAAAATTATTTTTCAGGATAATACATTATTTCATGAATTTACATGTGTGGTCAGAGGATATCTACCCATATAGGCTCAGGTGAATCTATGTCCCAGTTTGCCTTAGACATTCTTGTTTAATGCTTGTAGTCCTAGAATCATAATAAATATCACCCCCTTTCGCTCTCCAGGGTGTCCTGGTTTGTATGATAAGTTGTACAGTCACCTACTACAGTCGCTAATTCCCTTGTTACCTTCATCCTGGCAGAGGATGTCTTTATGTAACCAGCAAATGCTACTTTTGATATAGAATTTAATTTAAACATGCCAATCAAGAATTTCACTTTTCAAGTGATAATTGATTTGAACAACCTTGCCTCCTGGGCTCTAAAAACACTGAAATACTTCTATGCCATTATGGTGAATATATTTATATTTGTTCACCTTATTGCTTTCTAATTCTTAGAAATCTGCTATTAATACCATAGAGTGGTAGATATGGAATATCTTGATTAACTAGAAAGCTGATTATTTAAAATATGTTCTTCAAGTTTAGAAAATACTTATTACAGAGAGATGAATATAATATGAACAAAATCTCAAACATGTATTTCCATGACAGCTTGAAAAAAACTGTAGTGAACCTTTTTTCATGTTTATTATATCCATTAGTTTGCTAAGCCAGAAAGAACTTTCAAGCCCTACTGTGCTACTATAGGTTTATTAATAATAAAACTGACATCAGAAAAATTACTGTCTAGTAACTGCATATTAATAAGTGTTTTTACTAAATGGAAATTTAAATATTGAATAATGGCTTGTTATAATAAATAAACATACAAAACCCATAAAGCTAGGATATTAATTATATAATGATATTATATGTAATATTATTTATTATTATATTAATATATGCAAACAAAATGCAATATTTGGTATTATAACTAGGTTCTTATTAACTTCTCATTTTTGTAATTTTTTGGTAAGTTTTAAAAACACTAGTAATATATCAGAACAAACTCTAAAGAAACTCTCCTTTGAGATTCTCCTATTCAATTTTTGTTTTTGCTTCTATGACTATACTTTATATTTTTACTCTAAGATATGCTCCATGGTAAAAAAATTTTTTTAATCCATTGTGGATTTTTTTAAGTTTCTTAAAATACTTCATTCTCTGTCCATATTTTGTATTAAGTTTACATTTTAACTTGTTTTGCAAGTAATAATTAAACAAGTATTCAAATAAAAACAGCATACCAGCTTTTAATCCTCAAATTTAATTATAAGATTTGAAAATATTAATATAGTATATTAATTACTTCTCCTCCCTTCACTCCCTAGAAAACTGGAGATAAATAGCAGCGCTTTCCCCAACAGTTGTAGAGAGAGTCTTCAAAAATAAGGGTCCTTCATAAGTGATAAACATAATTTAAAAGATTAAAATCATTAATAGTGATGGGGGGAGAAGATGACTCTTGAAAACTTTTTCCCTCAACTATTTTAGCAGTTTATCTGCAACCTCCCAAAGGTAATGATGTAAAGAATTTATTAAAGCTGAGCATAGCCCCCAGGCAGAGTGACTCAACACAGGAACCTGCCATATGGGTTAATGGACCTGAATCTGATCCCACAAAGGCTAGGGGTTCCGATAATATTATATTTCTACTATAATTTTAAAAGATAATGTAAATATCATTAGTACAGATACATGCTAAACACCTAAATTTAATGAAAAATCAAACCTGGAAGTAGTTTCTCTTTACATCATCTGGTTTACTCATTCCCTCTTTCATTGACTCGTGTTCATTCACAGCCCATTTATTGACCACCTCCCAGGTGCCTCCTCACACATGCAAAATTCTCACATGAAAATAACACAACTGAGAGTTTCTTCTGTTATATTCCAAAATGCTTACAGAGATAGAGTACACATAAAAAGGAAAGTCAAACAGGATCAGCTATTACGTTTGTCTGCCTCAAAACTCTATCTGACCTCAGGAGCCATCCAAAACGGTGTTCCTACGGATGTGTTCCGACGGTGCCGGGTACTGGTGAGCTGTGCAGACACACCTAGAGGAAGAGACAAGATGTACTTTTTTGCATTAATTACTCATATAAAGAGCTTTCAATTGCTATAATCTTTTTTGCAAACTAATATTAAAATTCCATTTCCTCAAACCTGCCAGTGGACCTAGTGTCACATTAAAGGATCCTAAATCAGGATTTCTGCAGAGCCAAAAACCAGAATGGTGCTCCTACTTTCTCTTTCTCAACTCCAAATCCTGCTCCTTCCTAAAGCCCCATTTCAAGTCTTAATTCCCCCATGCTGGCTTTTAATCTGCTCCAATTATACTGATCCCTATTTCTTTCTATCTTCTACATTGTAAACGATTTTACATATTTTGTCATGTAATTGTTATTTGAATGGCGTGCTTCCTCCCTGCCCTCTTCCTGTCCCTGCCCACTAACAAATTCCAGTGAGTTTGAGAATGTCCTATATGGTGTTATGCACATAGTAGGTGACTTGTGAATCTTCATAAAATTATTTTCCATCTACCAACCCTGGGCAAATCACACCTTATCTGACTGGAAGTTTCAAATTAACTATATCTATTTAAACCAACATCATTAACAGAACGAGTTCTCTTCCTTTAGAGAGATTACAGACTGAAGAGCTACAGTAAAGAGGTATAATCAAATATTTCAGTCATGTCATTCCATTAATTGCACCTTGTTAGATACACTCATAACTGACCTTCAAGAGAATTAGGAGTACAGTTTCTTTTCTCCATTTTCACACTCCTGCTCCTCACACAAGGGGTCCTGGTTATCTGACTGTACAGAGCTCCTACCCTTCACCTTGCTCTGGACTTGATGGGTTAAACCCAAATCATGGGCTTTTACTACCTGATTTCCCTGCTTTGAAAAGTGCCTCCCCAAAGTCACATTAATTTTAGGCTTTGGTTGCTTATCTTAAAAGCCAAGTAGAGGAAAGGTACTAAAGGAGATTTAAAATGGAAATATATTTTATTTCTCCAAGATGGCATTTGACTTTTACCATGAAATTCAACGGCCATATGCAACCAAATGGGTGTTTCAGTATTGGAAATATACTTAGACAGAAGAGTGAGGAGTGTAACATTAAAAACAGGACACATGCCCAACTATGAACAAGTGACAGAGGAAGGAATTTACTAAATTTCATGTTTTTTGAGTGCTATGCAATGCCTGTTAAACATCAAGATCATTAAACTAACACAAAACTAGCTTCACAGCTAGAAGATAACTTAATGGTCATGAATTCTAACTTGCTCATTTTCAGGTTAGTAAACTTAAGCTGGAAAGAAAAGTCACTCTTCTGAGGACAAATGATATTTTTACTTAGTGTAAATTCCCACAAGAAAAATAGCTAAGATAGAAAAATGCAAAATTCTATTAAAATGATTGACATAAATCACTTTTAAAGGCAACAGGGATCCAAAATATGGGTTCAGGAGCCCTAGGAAGTAAAGAAGATTAGGAAAATCATCTTGTCTAGAGAGTAACTAAAGGAATAAGTCACCAAGATAAACAGTTACATAATCATCTCAAGAGAGAAGCTGCTGATGGGTGGAAAATTCCAGGCAGAATGTTGGTATAATGAGAAGATACAGAAAGGAAAAAGAGGTCAAAAAGGACCAAGGCTGAACAGAAAACAGGCTAATAGAAAGAGCAATAATCTATTAAAAGTCAAAGCCACAGGAACATTATAGAGGTTTAGGTTTATGTTAATGCTTCTTCAGTCGTTTGCTTTGCTAGGGAATTTTCAGGCTATTTTAGTTCTGTCCAACAAGGCTTCCTGGGCTATTCCATGGCTGTACAGCAACTCCATTCCCTATCGCATAAGTGCTATTTCTAGGGATAGAAACATGCAGGCTTTATTCTTGTAGTCAAGAAAACTCTTAGGATCTTAGAAAGACAGCAGAAACATCAAATATGTGTTTTCTATTGTGGCTCAAATAGACCAGACAACTTCTGGGAACTCAATTTGCTATAACCCTTGACATCTCAATAGAGCAGAGAGAAAAGCATAGTTTTTGTCATTGTTAATAACAAAATACTGTAGGAATGAGAACTGAAACTATAAAAATATAGAATTTTGTCAACATAAAGGGGTCATAAATTGTATTATACCATCTAACATTATTATTTTGTTGATGAGGTTAAGACACTGTGATAGTTAATTTTATGTGTCAACTTGGGAGGGCCATGGCTATTTTAGGTCATCCAACAATGCTTCCTAGACTGTTCCATGACTGTACAGCCACCCCATTTCCTATTGCATAAGTCAAACAGTATTTGGTAAGACTATATTCTGGATATTTCTGTGAAGGTATTTTTGAAATCAGATTAATATTTTGAAATCAGATTAATATTTAAATTGGTGGATTTTTTTAAAGTTAAATAAGACTTTTATATTGGCATGCAGTAACAAGCAAAAGTTTTGCTCTCCCATTTCTGAAAGTTATATGAAGTTTAAAACCTAGTTCTACAGTTGACATTTTTAAAAGGCCTAAGACTTCCACATTGGTTAGACAACTCTTCGCTTAAAATAGTTTTTATTTATTTTTTTATTTCAATAACTTTTGATGTACATGTGTTTATTTGTTACATGAATGAATTATACAGTGGTAGATTCTGAGACTTTAGTGCACCCATTACCCTAGTGGCGTATGCTGTACCTAAGAGGTAGTTTTTTTATCCCTAGCCCCACTCCCGCTCACTCTCTTCTGAGTCTCTAAAGTCCATTACATCACACATGTATGTAATACATACTCACAGCTTAGCTCCCACTTATAAGTGATAATATATGGTTTTTGGTTCTCTACTCCTGTGATATTTCACTTAGCATAATGGCCTCCAGCTCCATCCAAGTTGTTACAAAAGACATTATTTTATCCCTTTTAATGGCTGAGTAGTATTCCATGGTGTATACATGCAACATTTTCTTTATACATTCATTAGTTGATGGGCACTTAGGTTGGTCCCACATCTTTGAAATTGTGAATAGTGCTGCTATAAACAAACAAGTACAAGTGTCTTTTTCATATAATGACTTCTTTTCCTTTGGGTAGATATCCAGCAGTGGAATTGCTGGATCAAATGGTAGATCTACTTTTATTAATAGCTCTTTAAGGAGTCTCCATACTATTTTCCATAGAGGTTGTACTAATTTACATTTTCACCAGCAGCGTGTAAGTATTCCCTTTTCCCCATATCCCTGCCAACATCTATTGTATTCACACTTTTTAGTAATGGCCATTCTTGCAGGATTATGGTAGTATATCTCATTGTGGTTTTAATTTGCATTTCCCTGATGATTAATGATGTTGAACAGTTTTTCATGTTTGTTGGTCTTCATATATTTTCTTTTGAGAAATGTCTATTCATGTCCTTTGCCCACTTTTTAATGGACTTTTTTTTTATTGGTAATTTGAGTTCCTTGTAGATTCAGGATATTAATCCTTTGTTGGATGCATAGATTCCAAATATTGTCTCCCATTCTTTGGTTTGTCTGTTTATTCCGTTGATTATTTATTCTGCTGTGCAGAAGATTTTTAGTTAATTAGGTCCCATTTATTTATCTTTGTTTTTGTTGCATTTGCTTTTGGGGTCTTAGTCATGAATTCTTTGCCTAGGCTGATGTCTAGAAAAGTTTCTCCAATGTTGTCTCCTAGAATTTTTAATAGGTTCAGGTGTTATATTTAAGTCTTTGATCCATCGTGAGTTGCTTTTTGTATAAGGTGAGAGATAGAGTTCCAGTTTCATTCTTCTACATGTGGCTTGCCAGTTTTGCCAGCATCATTTATTAAATAGGGTATCTATTTCCTAATTTATGTTTTTGTATGCTTTGTCAAAGATCAGTTGGCTGTACGTATTTGGCTTTATTTCTGGGTTCTCTATTCTGTTCCATTGGTCTATGTGCCTACTTTTATACCTGTACCATGCTGTTTTGGTAATTACAGCCTTGTAGTATAATTTGAAGTCCAGTAATGTGATGCCTCCTGATTTGTTTTTTGTTTTTGTTCAGTTTTTTTGTATTGTTTTGTTTTTTGCTTAGGATTGCTTTGGCTATTTGGGCTCTTTTGGGTTCCATATTAATTTTAGAATCATTTTTTTCTAATTCTGTGAAAAATAATATTGGTATTTTGATGGGAATGGCATTGAATGTGTAGATTGCTTCAGGCAGTATGGTCATTCTCACAATATTGATTCTTCCAATCCATGAGGATGGGATACATTTCCATTTGTTTGTGTCACCTATGATTTCTTTTGGCAGTGTTTTGTAGTTCTCCTTGTAGAGATCTTTCACCTGTTCAGTTAAGTATATTCCTGAGTATTTTTATTTTGTTTGCAGCTATTGTAAAAGGATTGAGTCCTCGATTTGATTCTCAGCTTGGTCGTTTTGGGGTATAGCAGGGCTACTGATTTGTGTATATTGATTTTGTAACCTAAGACTTGACTGAATTAGTTTATCAAATCTAAGAGTTTTTTGGAGGAGTCTTTAGGATTTTCTAGGTATACAATCATATCATTTGCAAACAGCCAGGTTTGACTTCCCCTTTTCCAATTTGGATGTCCTTTATTTCTTCTCTTGCTTAATTGCTCTGTACTTCCAGAACTATGTTGAATAGGGGTGGTGAAAGTGGGCCTACTTGTCTTGTTCCTGTTCAGGGGGAAAGCTTTCAACTTTTCCCCATTCAGTATGATGGTGGCTGTGTGTTTGTCATAGACGGTTTTTATTATTTTGAGATAGGTGCCTTCCATGCCTAGTTTGTTGAGAGTTTTTATCATAAAGGGATGATGGATTCTGTTAAATGCTTTTTCTGCATCTATTGAGATGATCATATGGTTTTGGGTTTTAATTCTATTTATGTGATTCATTACAGTTATTGACTTGTATATGTTAAACTATCCCTGCATCCCTGGGATGAAAACCACTTGCTTATGATGAATTATCTTCTTGACGTGCTGTTGGATTCAGTTAGCTAGTATTTGGTTGAGGATTTTTGCATCAATGTTCATCAGGGAAATTGGTCTGTAGTTGTGTCCTTTCCAGCTTTTGGTATCAGGGTGATACTAGCTTCATAGAATGATTTAGGGAGGAATCCTTCTTTCTCAGTCTTTTGGAATAGTTTCAGTGGGATTGGCATCCATTCTTCTTTGAATGTCTGATAGAATTCAGTGAATAGGTCTGGTCCTGGACTTTTTTTGTTGACAGTTTTTAAATTACTAGTTCAATCTTGCTGTTTGTTATTGGTTTAAGGTTTCCATTACTTCCTGATTCAATCTAGGAGGGTTGTATGCTTACAGGAATGTGTCCATTTCCTCTATGTTTTCTAGTTTGTTGAAATGATTTTTAAATAATGTAAACTAAGTATATAAATCATAATTTTCTTTTTTTTTAAACTTTTTTAGACATGGTCTCACTTCCATCGCCCAGGCTAGAATGCAGTGGTGCAATCACAGCTCACTGCATCCTCAATTTCCTGGGTTCAGGTGATTCTTCCATCTCAGTCTCCCAAGTAGTTGGCACTACAGGCGCACACTACCACACCCGGCTGACTTTTATTTTGTATTTTTAGTAGAGACAGGGTTTCATCATGTTGCCCAGGCTGGTCTTGAACTCGTTGGCTCAAGCGATTCACACACATCTGCCTCCCAAAGTGCTGGCATTACAAGTGTGAGCCACTACCCTGGGCCAGGAATAATCATCTTTAATATGTAAATAGACCTGTGAGCCAGGGAGGCAGAGGTCGCAGTGAGCCGAAAGATTGCACCACTGCTCTCCAACTTGGGTGACAGAGTGAGATGCTGTCTCAAAAACAAAAACAATCCACAAAGTAAACAGAATGCTATATTTGACAATCTTATTTAATTAAATAGTATTTAACAAATATATGCAAAACTCTTCAGTTAGTATATTTCAAAACCATTGTAAATCTCTAGCAAATGGAATATTAAAGTGTGCCCTTCAGCAAGTCATTTTGCTTCTGTAGGCTCTTGTTTTCTCATTGTTTAATTTAGGGGATTGGAATAAATAAGTGATCTTTATTACTTTTGGATTAAAAACTACTTAGTGAATCTTGGCGGGGTGCGGTGGCTCATGCCTGTAATCCCAGCACTTTGGGAGGCTGAGGCAGGTGGATCGCGAGGTCAGGAGTTCGAGACCAGCCTGGCCAATATGGTGAAACCTCGTCTCTACTAAAAATACAAAAATCAGCCGAGTGTGGTGGTGTGTGCCTGTAGTCCCAACTATTTGGGAGGCTGAGGCAGAAGAATCGCTTGAATCCAGGAGGCGGAGGTTGCAGTGAGCCGAAATTGCGCCTCTGCGCTCCAGCCTGGGCAACAGAGCAAGACTCCATAAAAAAACAAAACAAAAAAAAAAAAAAAAAAAAACAACTACTTAGTCTATCTCATGGATGCTATATACTTTCACATCAAGAAATTCATATTCAGACATTTTGCATATAACAAGGTTAAAAAATCTTTTGAGGTTCCTGTACTTTATACCAAATGATATTTAAGCTTCTTTCTAGCTTTAAGATTCAATGAGTCTCTACAGCAACTCAAGGTAACTGGCTCACTCCAACCACCTTTCCAATCAATATTCATGTGATTTCTCTTGGAAGTCCATCCTCTCCAGTCTTCCTGGATCTAGATCTTTTCCTTTCTTTAAAACTTAGTTCATATCTGATAATAAAGATAATTATATGGCTTTCTTTAAAGATCTCAACATCACACTGTTTGCTGCATTCTTCTTGGCTTTGGACATATGAACTATGCACCTAGCTCTGTCTGCATCATTCAATCCTGGATGACTATGTACATGTGTACATATGTCCAGTACTGGACCTTAGCTGTAGAGAGTATACAGCATACTTCTCATTCATGGTACACTATCATCACTGATACCTTGTCTTATTTTTCCATTTCCTTTTTGCCCCATTTACCTGCTCCATTGTCCTCTCTCCTGCCCACCACAATTTCTATTAACTTAAAGTTCTTCAGAGATTAAAATTTTAGAGCTGCAGACTAAGATATTTTAGTTCTAGTCCAAAATACTTGTTTTACAATGAGAAGGACTGAGAAGCAAAGAAGTCATTCTTAAAAATATAAGTAAAGTCCTCTTGGTTTACCTGAAGTTATCACATCATAGAGAAGCACACTTGGTAGCTCTTAATAAAATTTCTACAGCTGTGTTGAGGTCAGACAAGGGAGGTTAAGGCTTCTGTTTTTGAGTGAACTTGATAGCAACATAAAAACTCCAGAGGTTGCTCTGCACACCCGCACCTGAGGAGTAGGGAGAAGAGACTGTTTCTCCAATGAGAGAGTAGGAGGCAGCAAGCAGTCTCAGCTCTTGCCTTTCACTTACCTGTCCCAGTTCCAGTCCCCTTGGGCCTGCTCTCTCATTTGTGAGACTGCTTTTTGTATTTGGCCTTTTTTAAAAAATTTATTTTATTATTATTATACTTTAAGTTTTAGGGTACATGTGCACAATGTGCAGGTTAGTTACATATGTATACATGTGCCATGCTGGTGCTGGTGTGCTGCACCCATTAACTCATCATTTAGCATTAGGTATATCTCCTAAAGCTATCCCTCCTCCCTCCCCCAACCCCACAACAGTCCCCAGAGTGTGATGTTCCCCTTCCTGTGTCCATGTGTTCTCACTGTTCAATTCCCACCTATGAGTGAGAATATGTGGTGTTTGGTTTTTTGTTCTTGCAATAGTTTACTGAGAATGATGATTTCCAATTTCATCCACGTCCCTAAAAAGGACATGAACTCATCCTTTTTATGGCTGCATAGTATTCCATGGTGTATATGTGTCACATTTTCTTAATCCAGTCTATCATTGTTGGACATTTGGGTTGGTTCCAAGTCTTTGCTATTGTGAATAGTGCCGCAATAAACATACGTGTGCATGTGTCTTTATAGCAGCATGATTTAGAGTCCTTTGGGTATATACCCAGTAATGGGATGGCTGGGTCAAATGGTATTTCTAGTTCTAGATCCCTGAGGAATCGCCACACTGACTTCCACAATGGTTGAACTAGTCTACAGTCCCACCAACAGTGTGAAAGTGTTCCTATTTCTCCACATCCTCTCCAGCACCTGTTGTTTCCTGACTTTTTAACAATTGCCATTCTAACTGGTGTGAGATGGTATCTGATTGTGGTTTTGATTTGCATTTCTCTGATAGCCAGTGATGGTGAGCATTTTTTCATGTGTTTTTTGGCTGCATAAATGTCTTCTGTTGAGAAGTGTCTGTTCATATCCTTCGCCCACTTTTTGAGGGGGTTGTTTGTTTTTTTCTTGTAAATTTGTTCATTGTAGATTCTGGATATTAGCCCTTTGTCAGACGAGTAGGTTGCGAAAATTTTCTCCCATTTTGTAGGTTGCCTGTTCACTCTGATGGTAGTTTCTTTTGCTGTGCAGAAGCTCTTTAGTTTAATTAGATCCCATTTGTCAATTTTGGCTTTTGTTGCCATTGCTTTTGGTGTTTTAGATATGAAGTCCTTGCCCATGCCTATGTCCTGAATGGTAATGCCTAGGTTTTCTTCTAGGGTTTTTATGGTTTTAGGTCTAATGGTTAAGTCTTTAATCCATCTTGAATTAATTTTTGTATAAGGTGTAAGGAAGGGATCCAGTTTCAGCTTTCTACATATGACTAGCCAGTTTTCCCAACACCATTTATTAAATAGGGAATCCTTTCCCCATTGCTTGTTTTTCTCAGGTTTGTCAAAGATCAGATAGTTGTAGATATGCGGCGTTATTTCTGAGGGCTCTGTTCTGTTCCATTGATCTATATCTGTGTTTTGGTACCAGTACCACGCTGTTTTCGTTACTGTAGCCTTGT
Source organism: Homo sapiens (assembly GCF_000001405.40). Taxonomy (NCBI): domain Eukaryota; kingdom Metazoa; phylum Chordata; class Mammalia; order Primates; family Hominidae; genus Homo; species Homo sapiens. The sequence continues at coordinate 26,007,986 of NC_000010.11, read as the reverse complement.
AGTATAGTTTGAAGTCAGGTAGTGTGATGCCTTTAGCTTTGTTCTTTTGGCTTAGGATTGACTTAGCGATGCAGGCTCTTTTTTGGTGCCATATGAACTGTAAAGTAGTTTTTTCCAATTCTGTGAAGAAAGTCATTGGTAGCTTGATGGGGATGGCAATGAATCTATAAATTACCTTGGGTAGTATGGCCATTTTCACGATATTGATTCTTCCTACCCATGAGCATGGAATGTTCTTCCATTTGTTTGTATCCTCTTTTATTTCCTTGAGCAGTGGTTTGTAGTTCTCCTTGAAGAGGTCCTTTACATCCCTTGTAAGTTGGATTCCTAGGTATTTTATTCTCTTTGAAGCAACTGTGAATGGGAGTTCACTCATGATTTGGCTCTCTGTTTGTCTGTGATTGGTGTATAAGAATGCTTGTGATTTTGGCACATTGATTTTGTATCCTGAGACTTTGCTGAAGTTGCTTATCAGCTTAAGCAGATTTTCAGCTGAGACGATGGGGTTTTCTAGATATACAATCATGTCATCTGCAAACAGGGACAATTTGACTTCCTCTTTTCCTAACTGAATACCCTTTATTTCCTTCTCCTCCCTGATTGCCCTGGCCAGAACTTCCAACACTATGTTGAATAGGAGTGGTGAGAGAGGGCATCCCTGTCTTGTGCCGGTTTTCAAAGGGAATGCTTCCAGTTTTTGCCCATTCAGTATGATATTGGCTGTGGGTTTGTCATAGATAGCTCTTATTATTTTGAGACACGTCCAATCAATCCCTAATTTATTGAGAGTTTTTAGCATGAAGGGCTGTTGAATTTTGTCAAAGGCCTTTTCTGCATCTGTTGAGATAATCATGTGGTTTTTGTCTTCGGTTCTGTTGATATGCTGGATTACGTTTATTGATTTGCGTATATTGAACCAGCCTTGCATCCCAGGGATGAAGCCCACTTGATCATGGTGGATAAGCTTTTTGATGTGCTGCTGGATTCGGTTTGCCAGTATTTTATTGAGGATTTTTGCATCAATGTTCATCAAGGATATTGGTCTAAAATTCTCTTTTTTGGTTGTGTCTCTGCCTGGCTTTGGTATCAGGATGATGCTGGCCTCATAAAATGAGTTAGGGAGGATTCCCTCTTTTTCTATTCATTGGAATAGTTTCAGAAGGAATGGTACCAGTTCCTCCTTGTACCTCTGGTAGAATTCGGCTGTGAATCCATCTGGTCCTGGACTCTTTTTGGTTGGTAAGCTATTGATTATTGCCACAATTTCAGAGCCTGTTATTGGTCTATTCAGAGATTCAACTTCTTCCTGGTTTAGTCTCGGGAGGGTGTATGTGTCCAGGAATTTATCCATTTCTTCTAGATTTTCTAGTTTATTTGCGTAGAGGTGTTTGTACTATTCTCTGATGGTAGTTTGTATTTCTGTGGGATTGGTGGTGATATCCCCTTTATCATTTTTTATTGCATCTATTTGATTCTTCTGTCTTTTCTTCTTTATTAGTCTTGCTAGCAGTCTATCAATTTTGTTGATCCTTTCAAAAAACCAGCTCCTGGATTCATTAGTTTTTTGAAGGGTTTTTTGTGTCTCTATTTTCTTCAGTTCTGCTCTGATTTTAGTTATTTCTTGCCTTCTGCTAGCTTTTGAATGTGTTGGCTCTTGCTTTTCTAGTTCTTTTAATTGTGATGTTAGGGTGTCAATTTTGGATCTTTCTGCTTTCTCTTGTGGGCATTTAGTGCTATAAATTTCCCTCTACACACTGCTTTGAATGTGTCCCAGAGATTCTGGTATGTTGTGTCTTTGTTCTCGTTGGTTTCAAAGAACATCTTTATTTCTGCCTTCATTTCGTTATGTACCCAGTAGCTAGTTGGGGCATCTAGTCCTTACAACTAAAAGATCGTTGACTGAAACCTACAGCAGTTTCTATAATGTTAAATAGCTTAATTCGACTTTGAAAAATAGTCAGTTTTGGAACTCCTGAGCCCACAGGTTCTGCTTGAATCATAAAGCTCTAAAATAAAGAGTCCACTTATTCATGGTTCAACTTTACATAATAATTATAAAGACCTTGCCTTTCAAATAAGGTAAAAGTCGCCTCCTCAAAGTACAAAAATGTATTCTGGATGAGTAATATATTAATGTTTTATATAGTTATGAGCATTTGAAAACTCTGCCAGCTTTTAAAATGGTTTCCCCCTAGTTTCTTTTTCAGTGTATTATTTCACTCTATAAAGCACTAGCTCTCAAATTTTCAAGATTCATAACATTCAACTAATATGTATTACATATATACATATATATACACATATACACATAATTTCAACCTTAGAGAAAAGTTGGCAAGAAAACTACAAAGTACTTTTATTCCTGAACCATCTGAGAGTAAGGTGGGCTACATAATGCCCCTTCACTCCTATATATTTGTTTGTAATTGCCACAAACAAGGATATTCCCCTTACACAACCTTCAAAATCAGGAATTTTAATGCTGATACACTTCTATCATCTACTCTACAGAGCCCATTCAAATTTCATCAACTGTCCTAAATATGTCCTTTAAAACAAAATGATCTAATCCGGGATTATGTGGTGCTTTTAGTTGTCAAGTTTCTAATCTCCTTCAATCTGGAGGAGTTCCTCAATCTTTTCTTGAATTTCATGAACTTAACATTTTTTTTTAAGATTTCAGGCCAGTTGTTCTATAGACTGTTCCTGAATTTGGGTTTGTTGTATATTCCCTCACGATTTTATTTTTGGCAGGAACATCACAGAAGTGATGCTGAGGTCTTCTCATTGCATCCTCTCAGGTGCTGTGTGGTTTGCATTCATCTCATTACTAGTTATGTTTGCTTTGAGCACTTGATTAATGGTTGTGTCTGCCAGTCTTCTCCCCTGTAATCTTTCCCTCTTTCTTTTGTAATTAATTAGTATTTTGTGGAGAGATATTTCGAAACAATTAAGCTACCCTATTTCTAATCAAAACTTAACTCACTAGTTTTAGCAGCCATTGAAATTTTTGGATGAATTAATTATTACATAGATGGTTACCAAATGATGAATTTTAAAATTACACGATTTCTTCTATCTTTACTCATCAGCATTCTTCTGTAAGGAAAAGCTTTTGCTTCTCCCCATTCATTTAATTATGTATGTATTTATGACAGTATGGATTAATGGAGTTTTTATTGCATTCAGTGAATTACTATCATTACCAGCAATATTAGTATTTTGGTGCTCAAACTGTCCCAGATCTAGAGAGTAAGAATTGCTTCAAGTTGGTTTCTGTGTGCTTCTGACATGTCTCCATCATTATTTGAGTATTTCCTTATTTGGAGGGCACAGTAAGTTCCAGGGTCATCTCATGGAGCCCTAAAATCAGCCTTTCTCCAAGAATCCTTGATTCCTTTTAGTTGAGAATTACATTTAAAAACCAAAAGCTAGGTGCTAGATGTGCTCTCTTAATACCCTGTTAGTGGAATTAGCTAGGTAATATGTACACACACACTCACATGCATTCACATTATATTTATTTTTATATGTTTATATATATTAATATAAACAGATATTAAATATATATAAAATGGTGAGTTCACATTGATACCTCCAATTCCAACCCAACATCACTATAATTCTTTTCTGTAACAGTAAGAAACCTGCCGCCCGTTGTCCTCAGTATATCTCCTGACTGTATCAGGCCTCCTTTAGGTAACCAGTCTCTTCTCTCCACCCTGATCCCTATGCAGATACCTTTCTCATCTACAGGAAGTTCGTCCCCATACAGGATCATCCCCATCACCCTACATGGATGTGCTTCTCATCCCACTTGGGGACCCAACACTCCCTGCCAGCAGATACCTTCCTTACCCCTCTCAGACTCCAAACTGCCTACTGAGCTGCACCTGGACTCCCATGCTTGCTTGTCCCACCCAATGGCTTTTGTTCTAAATTATTCATAAAGAAAGGAAGGATTGAAGGGCACTCCATAATTTTTAAGTTCGGGTGTACTGCCTCACTTGGTGCTAAAAAGTGGGTTATTAATAAACAAATCACAGCTTCTCTTTGACCTACATTATGCATTGGGGATTTGGTCTAAAATGGGGCATGTGGGTAATAAGAGATTTAAAACCATAAAATATTCTGTCATAAGAATGAGGTCTAAATAAATCACAAAAAGTACATTCTGTACTTTTGTATTGAAATGTTAAGTATCCTATTAGAAATGAAGTTCCCCAGAGAGAAATCCGCAGAAATAAGAACTAAGGGCTGTCCTTTAAATTTAGTCTCTTTCATTTTCTATTCAAGATAAAGATTGTTTTTTTTCAGACATTAGTTCACTTGCCTGAAGGGATCTATCTCCTGGGAAGTCATATTATTGATTGACTGATCATATACCAGTAATGGCTAATACATTTCATTAATAATATTTATAACCTCACTTGTCATTTTGCTCTCTGAGGTATCTGGTGATTTTTTGTAAAAGTATACCCCACTTAATAAAAAACTAAAAGTTTTTCTTAAAGGCCGTATTCATAATGAGCATTAGCAAACTGAATCTTACTTTTAGTGTAATTAGGTAGCTTCATATTTAAAGTAATACTGAATTTATTCTAGCAGAGGGTTACTGTTTTCTTTTTTGGAAACATAAAGAGGCACCTCTTTTGGAAACTCAGATTTTCATTATTTAGCAACTATTTATTAAGCACCTACTATGTGTATAGCACTGAGCTATAGGCTAAGTAGGAATATTATCTCATAATAATGGTAACAGTTTAGATTTTCTGAATTATGAAGTATCAGCAATTATACTAAGTAGTTTGCCTCTGGCATCCCATTTATTCTTCACAGCAACCAATCTTAGGAGGCAGAGACTTTTTCACACTTGTAGATGTGCAGGTTGATGCCCTTGCAGATTCTGTGTGACTTTCTCATTGTCACATAATTATATGGCAAGTCTTCCCCCTCCTTCATTCATTCATTAAGTACTTTCAAAATGTTAGCACTGTACCTGGTTCTAGGGACAAAGTGACAAAGTGATAGACCAGAGAAATCTACAGCTTAGCAGAGAAAGTACTCAAATAAAATATGATTACAGTGAAGTCTGACAACTGGTTGGCTAAATGAAGTACAGGGCGTTGGGGAAAACTTGGGCAAGCAGAAGTTAGCTGGGTGCTGTTAGATATGAATTCTAAATTTCTTTTCAAAGAATCAATATGTCAGTATGTTCAATTCTTTGCCTTCTACTTTTAAACTTAACTTCCTCATAAAGCAACCTTTTTCAATTACCTCCTCCACCCTGACTCATTTCAATCACCTGCTCCACCCTGACTCATTCCGATTACCTGGTCCACCCTGACTCATTCCGATTACCTGGTCCACCCTGACTCATTCCGATTACCTGGTCCACCCTGACTTATTCCGATTACCTGCTCGGTCATAACCATTTTTCCTGCCAAACCACTTACCCCATCACTCTCTTTAATTTAGCCAATCAGAATTAGTTTAGCCTGTGCGGTCTAACCCTAGCCAATAGGGGAACGACACAGCAGCAGGGGCCACGTGCATCAGTGATAAGAACCCCTTCCCCTCCCTTGTGCAGGTGTGCGCTCACCATTGCTCCATCTCTAGGGGTGCATCCTTCTATAGAAGTAACTTGCCTTGCTGAGAATTAAAAAGAAAATTTTATATTTGAATTATATTCGAGTGCTATTTCTTTTGTGGTACTGAAACTTTATATATAACAGTGCAGAGGAGAGGGAAGGTTTCTATGCAGGGAAAGTATCATGTGTGTAACTGGTCAAAATTCAGAATCTACTCTTAGATACACAGAGAAATTGCAATTTCTTCGTTTTTACTATAACTATTATGGCTTTTCCCCAAGCTCATGCCCACTGGCTGGAAGAAAAATAAAGCTCAGTTAAATTCAATAAATCCATAAGTCCTTTTAGATAGGGTTCAGTCTCTCTTGGATAAAAGTGTTTTCTCCATTTCTCAGATGGCATCCCTCCTCAGAAAGGGTCTCACTCTGCCACCCAGGCTAGAATGCAGTGGTGCAATCACAGCTCACTGCAGCCTCGAACTCCTGGGCCCAGGCAATCCTCCCACCTCAGCCTCCTGAATAGCTGGGGTTACAGGTACATGTGACCAAGCTTGACTAATTTTTTAAAATAAGTTTTTGTAGAGACAGGGTCTTGCTATATTGCCCAGTCTGGCCTCTAACTCCTGGGCTCAAGTAATCCTCCTGCCTCATCCTTTCAAAGTGCTGGGATTATAGGCATGAACCACCATGCCTGCCCCTCCTCCTTCTTTTAAGACCTTGTGTCAGGAGAAAAGAGAGGGTCCTTGGGCATGGTGGCTTTCTAGTTTAAGGGGCCATATGCTTTTGTCTGCCTAGCCGCTAGGTGCCCTACTGGGCTCCCAGGCCGTAGTCTGCCTCCAGGGAGCTTGTGGTCTGTTCCTCTCATGCAGAGAGCACTTCCTGTGGCTCCTCCTGCAGATTAAGTCTGTTTGCTCCAGTTAGAGCTGAGAACACTCTGAGTTCTGGCTGACTCCCATTTAGACACAGCAGAGCTGGCCCAGGGGATCTGCCCAGTGCCTCACTGTACACCCACCCCCCTTATCTTCTGAAAAACCCCTTCTAGAAACTTTCCAGCCAGATTATCAATTACTTTCAGGTTTCTGGAAAACTAAAGCTAAGGGTTTGGAAAAGCTAACTTGAGTCTTTCCACTATCTGATCATTCTGCCCCTCCAGGTTAGCAATGATGTGGCTCACCGCAGACAGGAATGCCGCAGATTCTGAGTGGCTTCCTCAGGAATGGCGAGTGAGAGTGGTAGGAAGTGTGAGGGTGACATCATTTGGTTCTGTGTCCCCACCCAAATGTCATATCAAATTGTAATTTGGGGGAGGGACCTGGTGGGAGGTGATTGGTTCATGGGGGCAGATTTCCCCTTGCTGTTCTCGTGATAGTGAGTTCTCACGAGATGTGCTTGTTTAAAAGTGTGTAGCCCTTCCCCCATCACTCTCTCTCTCCAGCCACCATAGTAAGATGTGCCAGCTTTGCCTTTGCCCTCCTGCCATGATTGTAAGTTTCCTGAAGCCTCCCCAGCCATGCCTCATGCACAGCCTGTGGAACTGTGAGTCAATCAAATCTCTTTTCTTTATAAGTTACCCAGTCTCAGGTAGTTCTTTATAGCAGTGTGAGAATGGGCTAATACAGAAGGTAAGAGCTCCTTCCTGCCCTCATTATCTTTTTAAAAGCTCATCTCCTACACTCCAGCCTGGGTGACAGAGGGAAACTCTGTTTCAAAAAAAAAAAAGCTCATCTCACTGCCCTGCTTCACCCTGTTTGATCTTTCCACAATGACCCCGTCTTATAAAAAAAAACCCTGTGGTGTATCCCTGAAAACTTCTCTCCATATGCTAAAGAGAAGGTAAGCAATTTAGACAGATTTTCCTCAGGAGATAGGCTTTCCTCAGGAGATAGCCTTGCTATAAATTCCTATTTTTGAATGCTAAAAACTGAATGTTACCTCAATCATTTTTTTTGCAATTTGCATTTCTTCTAGAATAAATGTTCATTATTTTCCCACTGCCAAACAGAGTGATGCCTCAGGCACACTGGGGTGAAGATCATGTTATCAGGCAGGAAAAAAAGAAAAAGCACGTCAATAAATTTCGAAGTATTTTCCAAGTTACAAGTGTAAGAGCTCTGACTGGGAAAGATTATGGCACATTTAAGGTAGTGAAAGATGTGGACCTGGCTAATAGGTAATAGGAAGAGAGGGTACCTGATTAGCACCAAGAGATATAAAGAAGTTATTACTCATTAGTTGCTTACTCTGTTCCAGCACGGAGGATCATAAGGAAAAGCCTTCCCCAAGGGATGGAGATACTGAACAAGGTAGTCGCAGGATCAGATGTGTTTTTTGAAAGGATCCCCCTGGCTGCAGTGTGGAGAAAGGATTGGAAGGAAAGGAAGGAGATTAGGATGCAGGGAGTTCAGTAAAGTATAACTGCAGGAGCCCAGGCAAGAGATGAGGGCTAGAACTAGGGCAGGAGCAGTAAAGATGGAATTTGGCGATATCTAACAGAGAGACAAGTTTTGTGTCTAAGTTGTATAAGTGGGAGGTGAAAACAAGGGAAGACTCGAGGATGAGCTTAAGATTTTCGTTTTGAGCAATGAGTAGATGTGGGCGACTTTCTAAGACAAGAAACTCTTTATATGTAGCAGATTTCTAGACAGATGAGGTGGTGCAGCTCCATTTTGGACATTCTGAGTATGAGGTGCCTGACAGCTATCTAAGATCTTCAGTACCCAATAATGAGCTGATAGTATAATTATGAAGTGACAGATTCAAATAAAATTGATTCTATAACCCTTTACTCCCAGCTGTAGCTTTCTCTGAAAATTTGATTTAAAAATAAAATGAGGACATTGATTTTCAGTTTGATTCTGCAGGTTGTGGTTTACCACATCTTGTTCTTTCTGCCCTCAAGAATTTTCAGTATAAATGTACACCCCTACCATCCTCAGGTTTTAATTCATACAACAACCTACTAATCACCATAGGCAAACTGAATCCATGTCCTCTTACTGTGGAGAATAGAAATATTATAAGTACTATCTTATATGTAATTAATAATATTTTGGTGTCAGATACTAGGAATGCATTTCATAAGCAACTGGCCCTCTTTTCTAATTATTGCCAAAAATCTATAAATCAAATAATATAAGACCAAAGCTCTCATTTTGTTAACTACTCCAATTTATGATGTTTTAAAAAGATATCATATAAAGGCCAGGCACGGTGGCTCACGCCTGTAATCCCAGCCCTTTGGGAGGCCGAGACGGGTGGATCATGAGGTCAGGAGATCGAGACCATCCTGGCTAATATGGTGAAACCCCGTCTCTATTAAAAAATACAAAAAATTAGCCAGGCATGGTGGTGGGCGCCTGTAGTCCCAGCTACTAGGTAGGCTCAGGCAGGAGAATGGTGTGAACCCAGGAGGCAGAGCTTGCAGTGAGCCGAGATCGTGCCACTGCACTCCAGCCTGGGCGACAGAGTGAGACTCCATCTCAAAAAACAAAACAAAACAAAACAAAAATATATAAAAGGTTGCCTTATTTGTTATCTAAGTATATGTTTTCAATCTAGTTTATTTTGGAGGAAATCATAGGAATTTACATTTCTCAAAGCTTCTGGTTTACCAAATTTTTCTTTAATAGCTAAAAAGTTGTTTATTGATACTTGTTTTAACAATTTTCAATCTATGCTATACTTACTGTATCTATTTTTTAGAGGAAGGGAATTGTGAGATCCCAAGTTAAATAGCAAGTTCTCCATTTGAGTCTGTCTTACAGGGTAGACAAAATTATTTTCTGGAGAGAATAATGGCCCCTCCTATGAAGCAGTGAAGAATGATTTGTTGTAATTTCAAGCAGAAGCCCTTATTAGTACACTAACCCAGACAGATTGCTCAAGGCTCTGAATTCAACCAGAAACATAGACTAGCTGCACCCCAGTTATTAATCAGGAATTCACAAATTCACTGCTGCTCAGAAGTTTTCAAATGCACAGGTGAGAAAAACAAAGCATAGGCACATGCATGTTTGAGGATACACTATTCATCCATTCCTCTCTAGATGCTCTGAAATTCATTCCTGGGCTAAGCCAAAATACTTAGATATTAAAGAAATTTTAAAAATTAACCCATTAACTTGCTGAGCTTTAGTTTCCAAAATGCAAAATGAAGGAAGACTCATTCATTCAACTAACACTCAGTGGACTTCTATACTCAAAGCATTAGGTCTACGAAATAGACTAAGACACAGTCCCACTTCTCAAAGACTCTGTCTGTCCACCTATATTTCTAAGTATCTTTATCTATAAAGACCAAATGTATAATTATAATTCTATACGATAAATGCAAACAAGGAAGTATACACAGGTTACAGAAACACAAGGAGGGATACCTTACCCACCTACAGTGCAAAAGGGAAGGAGAATAACGACTGAAGGATACTGAGACATCTTCAGGATTACTGTCATCCATTCTCACAAGAAAGTTTAGTAAATATGGAAATTTATTATTTCACATAACAAAAGGTCCAGAGATAAGGTAGGCTCCAAAGTTGATTGACTTAGTGCCTCAATTATGTTATCAAACACCCCCATTCTTCCCCTCTCTCAGCTCTGCCTTTCTCAGAGCTGGCTTTCTGCTCAGGACAGAGCATCTTAGTCACAGGTAACTGTAGCAGTTTCCGGCATCACTGTATGACATGCAAGGGTCCTGAGGAAGAAAGAGACCATCTTTTCCTGTTTCTCCTTAGGAGGGAGGAAATACTCCCAGATGATAATGAAAATTTCCCCTCACATCTCAAAATCCTGGATTTGGATATATGTCCATTTGCAAAGCAATCACTAGTAGGAACCATGAGATTGTCATTATAGGCTTACAGTAATCATTTGAGATGCTGTCTGTTTTAGAGGATCAACTACGCATGTTACTACACTGGTGTTATATGAGCACAAACTAGCTGACTTGAAAGAAGTTACCCTTTCTTCTGGGAATCTCTCATTTGCCAAATTATCTCTGCACTTCTTACCTCAATAAGATACTACTGATTTTTCCTCTATTTCCAATACCTAGAAAGGAAGGCCATTCGAAAAAGATCAAATCATATCATACTAGTTCATTATGGAGTTAAAACTCATGCATTTTAAACAAAACTTACCAAAATCTACTAGTTTCACTCCACCTTCCGTGGTCAATAGAATGTTATTGCCTTTCACATCTCTGTGGATAGTTTTGTTGTTATGCAAATGTTGAAGTCCCTAGAAGATAAGAAATATATAATGACTCTTAACAAAAGCATCAAACAATAAAAATTTTCAGATGATGTACCTGTACAAAATCAATAGGAAACACATAATAAAATTAACATTCAGACACTCAAATGTTTCACATTGAGTTAGTCACATCAAAGAACATCATTTCCACTTTGAATTATATAAAAATTCACAGAATCAAAGCATGCTCCTTAATTCTTAGCAAATATCGTATTACAAATGTGTGAGTTTCAATGGAAGAAAATATTTCATATACCTATCTAAGATAATGGCCAAAAAACCCTATTATTAGTTTTCTACCTTCATCACTATCACAGTCTCAGAAATACACTTAAGAGGTCAGAATTCAGGATCCTGTTGGTCCAATGAAAGTAAATTTGTAGTGGAAAAAAAGAATTAGCTATGCTGAACATGTCAGATTTTGCATATATTCTTCCATCAATAAATACTAATGTAGTATCACTAGTGACATTTTTCTAAAAATAGGATCTACATTTTTTAACTGGAACTGCTTCATAATTAATGCACATACAATTTAAATTGCCTTACCATTAGTGCTTCATGTAAAATATAGGCAATTAGAGGCTCACTCATTCTTTCACCCCTCTTCAGAAATCCTTTCACAAGGTCAGTCACTGATCCTCCACTGCAGAGCTAAACAAGAATATTTTAAGATGGCTATTAAAAACATGTGACATTTTATGTTCTTTCTAGAAAAGTTCTTCCAAGACATTTTTAAAAGTGTTCCAATGTTCTCTTTCAAATGATTAATGCCATTATCTTTATGCTTTCATAAATAAAATGAATATATAAACTTAGACTTGTGTAAAATTAATTCCTAGAACACAATTTTCACATGAATTAATTTTTAGAAGATAATTTGGAGAAGCATGAGCTTGATTTTCAAATGCAAGGATAAGAATTATGGGGAGGGGCACCCGCCATTGCTGAGGCTTGAGTAGGTGAACAAAGCGGCCAGGAAGCTGGAACTGCGTGGAGACCACCACAGCTCAAGGAGGCCTGCCTGCCTCTGTAGACTCCACCTGTGGGGGCAGGGCATAGCCAAACAAAAGGTAGCAGAATCTTCTGCAGACTTAAATGTCCCTGTCTGACAGCTTTGAAGAGAGTAGTGGTCCTCCCAGCATGGAGTTTAAGATCTGAGAACGGACAGACTGCCTCCTCAAGTGGGTCCCTGACCCCCGAGTTGCCTTTCTGGGAGGCACTCCCCAGTAGGGGCAGACTGACACCTCACAGGGCCGGGTACCCCTCTGAGACAAAACCTCCAGAGGAACGATCAGACAGCAACATTTGCTGTTCAGCAATATTCGCTGTTCTGCAGCCTCCGCTGCTGATACCCAGGCAAACAGGGTCTGGAGTGGACCTCCAGCAAACTCCAACAGACCTGCAGCTGAGGGTCCTGACTGTTAAAAGGAAAACTAACAAACAGAAAGGACATCCACACCAAAACCCCATCTGTATGTCACCATCATTAAAGACCAAAGGTAGATAAAACCACAAAGATGGGGAAAAACCAGAACAGAAAAACTGAAAATTCTAAAAATCACAGCACCTCTCCTCCTCCAAAGGAACGCAGCTCCTCACCAGCAATGGAACAAAGCTGGATGGAGAATGACTGATGATTTGAGAGAAGAAGGCTACAGAGGATCAAACTTCTCCAAGCTAAAGGAGGAAGTTCGAATCCATCGCAAAGAAGTTAAAAACCTTGAAAAAAGATTAGACAAATGGCTAACTAGAATAACCAATGCAGAGAAGTCCTTAAAGGACCTGATGGAGCTGAAAACCACGGCACGAGAACTACATGATGAATGCACAAGCTTCAGCAACTGATTCGATCAACTGGAAGAAAGGGTATCAGCGATTGAAGATCAAATGAATGAAATGAAGCGAAAAGTTTAGAGAAAAAAGAATAAAAAGAAATGAACAAAGCTTCCAAGAAACATGGGACTATGTGAAAAGACCAAATCTACGTCTGATTGGTGTACCTGAAAGTGGCAGGGACAATGGAACCAAGTTGGAAAACACTCTTTAGGATATTATCCAGGAGAACTTCCCCAACCAAGCAAGGCAGGACAACATTCAAATTCAGGAAATACAGAGAACGCCACAAAGATACTCCTCGAGAAGAGCAACTCCAAGACACATAATTGTCAGATTCACCAAGGTTGAAATGAAGGAAAAAATATTAAGGGCAGCCAGAGAGAAAGATCGGGTTACCCACAAAGGGAAGCCCATCAGACTAACAGTGGATCTCCTGGCAGAAACTCTACAAGCCAGAAAAGAGTGGGGGCCAATATTCAACATTCTTAAAGAAAAGAATTTTCAACCCAGAATTTCATATCCAGCCAAATTAAGCTTCATAAGTGAAGGAGAAATAAAATCCTTTACGGACAAGCAAATGCCGAGAGATTTTGTCACCACCAGGCCTTCCCTAAAAGAGCTCCTGAAGGAAGCACTAAACATGGAAAGGAACAACCAGTACCAGCCACTGCAAAAACATGCCAAGTTGTAAAGACCATCGATGCTAGGAAGAAACTGCATCAACTAATGAGCAAACAACCAGCTAACATCATGACAGGATCAAATTCACACATAACAATATTAACCTTAAATGTAAATGGACTAAATGCTCCAATTAAAAGACACAGACTGGCAAATTGGATAAAGAGTCAAGACCCATCAGTGTGCTGTATTCAGGAGACCCATCTCATGTGCAGAGACGCACGTAGGCTCAAAATAAAGGGATAGAGGAAGATCTACCAAGCAAATGGAAAACAAAAAAATGCAGGGGTTGCAATCCTAGTCTCTGATAAAACAGACTTTAAACCAACAAAGATCAAAAGAGACAAAGAAGGCCATTACATAATGGTAAAGGGATCAATTCAACAAGAAGAGCTAACTATCCTAAATATATACGCACCCAATACAGGAGCACCCAGATTCATAAAGCAAGTCCTTAGAGACCTACAAAGAGACTTAGACTCCCACACAATAATAATGGGAGACTTTAACACCCCACTGTCAACATTAGACAGATCAACGAGACAGAAAGTTAACAAGGATATCCAGGAATTGAATTCAGCTCTGCACCAAGAGGACCTAATAGACATCTACAGAACTCTCTACCCCAAATCAACAGAATATACGTTCTTCTCAGAACCACACCGCACCTATGCCAAAACTGACCACATAGTTGGAAGTAAAGCACTCCTCAGCAAATGTAAAAGAACAGAAATAATAACAAACTGTCTCTCAGACCACAGTGCAACCATACTAGAACTCAGGATTAAGAAACTCATTCAAAACTGCTCAACTACATGGAAACTGAACAATATGCTCCTGAATGACAACTGGGTACATAATGAAATGAAGGCAGAAATAAAGAAGTTCTTTGAAAGCAATGAGAATGAAGACACAACATACCAGAATCTCTGGGACACATTTAAAGCAGTGTGTAGAGGGAAATTTATAGCACTAAATGCCCACAAGAGAAAGCAGGAAAGATCTAAAATTGACACCCTAACATCACAATTAACAGAACTAGAGAAGCAAGAGCAAACACATTCAAAAGCTAGCAGAAGGCAAGAAATAACTAAGATCAGAGCAGAACTGAAGGAGATAGAGACACAAAAAACCCTTCAAAAAGTCAATGAATCCAGGAGCTGGTTTTTTGAAAAAATCAACAAAATCATCAATAGACCACTAGCAAGACTATTAAAGAAGAAAAGAGAGAAGAATCAAACAGATGCAATAAAAAATCATGAAGGGGATATCACCATCAATCCCACAGAAATACAAACTACCATCAGAGAATACTATAAACACCTCTACGCAAATAAATTAGAAAATCTAGATTAAATGGATAAATTCCTGGACACATACACCCTCCCAAGTCTAAACCAGGAAGAAGTTGAATCTCTGAATAGACCAATAACAGGCTCTGAAATTGAGGCAATAATTAACAGCTTACCAACCAAAAAAAAATCCAGGACCAAATGGATTCACAGCCGAATTCTACCAGAGGTACAAGGAGGAACTGGTACCATTCCTTCTGAAATTATTCCAATCAATAGAAAAAGAGGGAATCCTCCCTAACTTATTGTATGAGGCCAGCATCATCCTGATACCAAAGCCTGGCAGAGATGCAACAAAAAAAGAGAATTTTAGACCAATATCCCTGATGAACATCAATGCAAATATCCTCAATAAAATACTGGCAAACCGAATCCAGCAGCACATCAAAAAGCTTATCCACTATGATCAAGTGGGCTTCATCCCTGGGATGCAAGGCTGGTTCAACATATGCAAACCAATAAACGTAATCCAGCATATAAACAGAACCAAAGATAAAAACCACATGATTATCTCAATAGATGCAGAAAAGGCCTTCAACAAAATTCAACAGCCCTTCATGCTAAAAACTCTCAATAAATTAGGTATTGATGGGACATATCTCAAAATAATGAGCTATTTATGACAAACCCACAGCCAATATCATACTGAATGGGCAAAAACTGGAAGCATTCCCTTTGAAAACCGGCACAAGACAGGGATGCCCTCTCTCACCACTCCTATTCAACATAGTGTTGGAAGTTCTGGCCAGGGCAATCAGGCAAGAGAAAGAAATAAAGGGTATTCAATTAGGAAAGAAGAAGTCAAATTGTCCCTGTTTGCAGATGACATGATTGTATATTTAGAAAACCCCATTGTCTCAGCCCAAAATCTCCTTAAGTTGATAAGCAACTTCAGCAAAGGCTCAGGATACAAAATCAGTGTGCAAAAATCACAAGCATTCTTATACACCAATCACAGACAGAGAGCCAAATCATGAGTGAACTCCCATTCACAATTGCTTCAAAGAGAATAAAATATCTAGGAATCCAACTTACAAGGGATGTGAAGGACCTCTTCAAGGAGAACTACAAACCACTGCTCAGTGAAACAAAAGAGGACGCAAACAAATGGAAGACCATTCCATGCTCATGGGTAGGAAGAATCAATATTGTGAAAATGGCCATACTGCCCAAGGTAATTTACAGATTCAGTGCCATCCCCATCAAGCTACCAATGCCTTTCTTCACAGAATTGGAAAAAACTATTTTAAAGTTCATATGGAACCAAAAAAGAGCCCACATTGCCAAGTCAATCCTAAGCCAAAAGAACAAAGCTGGAGGCAACACGCTACCTGACTTCAAACTATACTACAAGGGTACAGCAACCAAAACAGCATGGTACTGGTACCAAAACAGAGATATAGACCAATGGAACAGAACAGAGCCCTCAGAAATAATACCACACATCTACAACTATCTGATCTTTGACAAACCCGACAAAAACAAGCAATGGGGAAAGGATTCCCTATTTAACAAATGGTGCTGGGAAAACTGGCTAGTCATATGTAGAAAGCTGAAACTGGATCCCTTCCTTACACCTTATACAAAACTTAATTCAAGATGGATTAAAGACTTAAATGTTAGACCTAAAACTATAAAAACCCTAGGAGAAAACCTAGGCATTACCATTCAGGACATAGGCATGGGCAAGGACTTCATGTCTAAAACACCAAAAGCAATGGCAACAAAAGCCAAAATTGACAAATGGGATCTAATTAAACTAAAGAGCTTCTGCACAGCAAAAGAAACTACCATCAGAGTGAACAGGCATCCTACAGAATGGGAGAAAATTTTTGCAATCTACTCATCTGACAAAGGGCTAATATCCAGAATCTACAAAGAACTCAAACAAATTTACAAGAAAAAAACAAACAACCCCATCAACAAGTGGGCGAAGGATATGAACAGACATTTCTCAAAAGAAGACGTTTATGCAGCCAACAGACACATGAAAAAATGCTCATCATCACTGGCCATTAGAGAAATGCAAACCAAAACCACAATGAGATATCATCTCATGCCAGTTAGAATGGCGATCATTAAAAAGTCAGGAAACAACAGGTGCTGGAGAGGATGTGGAGAAATAGGAACACTTTTACACTGTTGGTGGGACTGTAAACTAGTTCAACCATTGTGGAAGATAGTGTGGTGATTCCTCAGGGATCTAGAACTAGAAATACCATTTGACCCAGCCATCCCATTACTGGGTATATACACAAAGGATTGTAAATCATGCTGCTATAAAGACACATGCACACATATGTTTATTGCGGCACTACTCACAATAGCAAAGACTTGGAACCAACCCAAATGTCCAACAATGATAGACTGGATTAAGAAAATGTGGCACATATACAGCATGGAATACTATGCAGCCATAAAAAAATGATGAGTTCATGTCCTTTGTAGGGACATGGATGAAGATGGAAACCATCATTCTCAGCAAACTATGGCAAGGACAAAAAACCAAACATCGCATCTTCTCACTCACAGGTAAGAATTGAACAATGAGAACACTTGGACACAGGAAGGGGAACATCACACACCAGGGCCTGTTGTGGGGTGGGGGGAGGGGGGAGGGGTAGCCTTAGGAGATATACCTAATGTAAATGACGAGTTAATGGGTGCAACACACCAACATGGCACATGTATACATATGTAACAAACCTGCATGTTGTGCACATGTACCCTAGAACTTAAAAGTATAATAAAAAATATATATATTAAAAAAAGAAATACAACTCTTTTACCTTAAAAAAAAGAATTATGATTCTACAAATTATTCTCAAATTTTAGGATCTAGGGCTTAAAAGCATTATTGATTTATGATAGTTTAATCAATAGTGCAATAGATTATGTCACCTCAAAACAGTTATATACCATTTTGTATGTACATTAATTTAAAAATTTGAAAAAATTTCAGGATACATTATTATTACAGTAAGTATTACAAATAATATCTTAGAAAATTACCCAGAATATCATGTACCCGTACATACTTTGGCATCCTCCTTCCCCTCCCCACACCCAAAACAGGGAGAATATACATACAAAAACAAGAGGAAGGAACATGGTAGGGGAGTTTTCCACATCTGGGTTCTCCAAAGTTACGTAATATTAAATATCACAGAAAACTTTCAAAAGAGCTGTATGTTTGCAGAACAGAGAAACACTGATATTAGCAGCAAATATTAATTAAAAATGGAAGATAACTGGATAAATGGCCCTGGAACAAGAGAACGTCCCAGTGAAGCACTGACCCCACAAATCCTTGATCCTCCAATCCTTAATACTTCAGCCTTTGCCATCAGCCTTGTCACACATCCCACGGCTCCTTTCTGTGGTTTCCCTGCCCATCACCCTGACATACGGGGCCTCCTCCTTTCCCACCTGCTTGGGAACTAAAGAAACCATCATTTCCCTGACTCTCTTCTAACCCAAGTCAGAAGGTGAAAGCAAATTGAAAAACTGAATGAATTTTCTCATGCAATTTTTCTAATGTGGTGATTAGATTTTACTGGATGCCTGAACACTTATAGTACATTTTGGATTAATAATAATAGTTAAGATGAATTGCATACTTACTTTGTGCCAGGCACATTTCTAATCAGTTTACATGATTATCTCTAAACCTCACCACTGTCTGAAGTAGGTAGTATCATCTTCATGTTAAACATGAAAAAACTGAGGCACATTTATATTTGGTGTTTTTCTTCATTCAGAGAAAACTTCTTTCAGGTTATACAGGAGTATGTGCAGCCTAGCATTCCAAGACTTGCATTTTTCTTCTGTATCAGGAAGGGTAATACCCTTTTAGCTGCATAAACAAGAGTGTTGCTGCCCTGGAAGCCGAATAAAAGGTCAGACTGGCTCCACTGTGGCCTAGTGCTGCTGGCTCACAAAAGTACTCACAATTGATTGAAAAGAAATTGTATCTTTTAAATTGCAAGCTGCTTTAAAAAAAAAAAAAAGCCAAAAAACTAAGTTTGGCTGGGTGCAGTGGCTCACATCTGTAATCCAGCCCTTTAGCAGGCCAAGGTGAAAGGATCACTTAAGGCTAGGAGTTAGAGACCAGCCTGGGTAACACAGTAAGACCCCTGCCTCTAAAAAAATTTTTTTATAAAAATTAGCCAGGCATAGTGGCACATAGCTGAGGTTCAGCTACTTGGTAGGCTGAGGCAGGATTGCATGAGCCCATGAGTTCGAGGCTGCAGTGAGCTACTGCACCCCAGCCTAGGCGACAGAGCGAGACGCTGTCTCTAAAAAAAAAGTAAAAAAAAAAAAAAAAAAAAAGAGTTTTAGGGCTGTGTTTTAAACTTCTAAAAGCACTGTAGGGAGACTAAATTTATCTTCCTATTTCTCCAGTGTGGCCTCTATTTGGCTGTACTTTCTGCAATTGACTATTATGTTAACACAAGAGTAAATATTTGGCTTCTTTGCACATTCTTTTTCTAAATGCTGTTTTAATGGGTTTTTTAATTCCTTTTTTTTAATGCTGAGTATTCTACTGAATGGATGAACCACTGTTTATTCATTTATAAAACTGAAAGGCATTTTAATTGTTTTTGGCAATTATAAGTAGAACTGCTATGAACATTCACGTACAGATTTTGATGTGAATATAAGTTTTCATTTCTCTTGGGTAAGTACAAAGAGAGGAAACTGCTGAATCCTATGGGTTATATATTTAACTGTCTCTGCATCAGCCAGACTGTTTCCCACGGTGGCTATGGCTATACCATCTGCAGCCCCTCTAGCAGTGTATGAGAGTTCTAGTTGTTCCATATCTTCATCAGCACTTGACATTGTGAGGTGTTTCATTAAAGCCATTCTATTTTTTTATTTTATTTTTATTTAAATTTTTTTTAAATTTCAATAGGTTTTTAGGGAACAGGTAGTGTTTGGTCACAAGAATAAGTTCTTTAGTGGTGATTTCTGAGATTTTGGTGCACCCATCACCCGAGCTGTGTACACTGTGCCCAGTGTGCTGTCTTTTATCCCTCACCACCCACCCACACTTTCCCCCGAGTCCCCAATGTCCAGTGTATCATTCTTACGCCTTTGTGTCCTCATAGCTTAGCTCTCACATATGAGTGAGAATATATGATGTTTGGTTTTCCATTCCTGAGTTACTTCACTTAGAATAATGTAGAATAATGGTCTCCAATTCCATCCAGGTGGCTGTGAATGCCATTATTTCATTCCCTTTTATGGCTGAGTAGTATTCGATCATATATATATATCACATTTTCTTTATCCACCTGTTAATTGATGGGCATTTGGGCTGGTTCCATGTTTTTGCAATTGCAAATTGTGCTGCTATGAACATGTGTGTACAAATATCTTTTTCATATAGTGATTTCTTTTTCTCTGTGTAGATACCTAGTAGTGGGATTGCTGGATCAAATGGTAGATTTACTTTTAGTTCTTTAAGGAATCCCCACACTGTTTTCCATAGTGGTTCCATAGTGGTGTTGATGGGAGTGTAAAAATATTCCCTTTTCAATGCTTCCATGCGAACATCTATTATTTTTTGATTTTTTGATTATGGCCATTCTTGAAGGAGTGAGGTGGTTTCACATTGTGGTTTTGATTTGCATTTCTCTGATAATTAGTGATGTTGAGAATTTTTTCATATGCTTGTTGCCCATTTGTATATCTTCTTTTGAGAATTGTTTACTCATGTCTTTAGCCCACTTTTTGATGGGATTTTTTTTCTTGCTGATTTGTTTGAGTTCTTTGTAGATCCTGGATATTAGTTCTTCGTCAGATATATAGATTTTGAAGATGTTCTCTCACTCTGTGGATTGTCTGCTAACTCTACTGATTATTTCTTTTGCTGCGCAGAAGCTTTTTAGTTTAATTAAGTTCCATCTATTTATCTTTGTTTTTGTTGCATTTGCTTTTGGGTTCTTGGTCATGAAGTCTTTGCCTACGCCAATGTCTAAAAGGGTTTTTCCCATATTATTTTCTAGAATCTTTATGGATTCAGGTTTTACATTTAAGTCTTTGATCCATCTTGAGTTGATTTTTGTGGAAGGTAAGAGATGAGAATCCAGTTTCATTCTTCCATATGTGGCTTGCCAATTATCCCAGCACCATTTGTTGAATAGAGTATCCTTTCCCCACTTTATGTTTTTGTTTGCTTTGTTGAAGGTCAATTGGCTGTAAGTATTTGGCTTTATTTCTAGGTTCTCTCTTCTGTTCCGTTGGTCTATGTGCCTGTTTTCGTATCAGTACCATGCTGTTTTGGTGACTATGGCCTATAGTGTGGTTTGAAGTTGGGTAATGTGATGCCTCCAGATTTATTCTTTTTGCTTAGTCTTGCTTTGGCTATTTGGGCTCTTTTTTGGTTCCATATGAATTTCATGATTTTTTTTCTAGTTCTGTGAAGAATGATTGTGGTATTTTGATGGAAATTGCATTGAATTTGTAGATTGCTTTTGGCAGTATGGTCATTTTCACAATATTGATTCTACATATCCATGAGCATCGGTTGTGTTTCCATTTTTTTGTGTCATCTGTGATTTCTTTCAGCACGGTTTTGTAGTTTTCCTTGTAAGAGGTCTTTCACATCCTTGGTTGGATATATTCCTAAATAGTTTATTTATTTATTTTTGCAGCTGTTGTGAAAGAGTTTGAGTTCTTGATTTGATTCTCCACTTAGCTGCTGTTGGCATATAGCAGAGCCACTGATTTGTGTACATCAATTTTGTTTCCTGAAACTTTGCTGAACTCATTTACCAGTTCTAGGAGCTTTTCGGATGAGTCTTTAGGGTTTTCTAAGTATAAGATCATATCATCAGCAAAGAGTGACAGTTTGACTTCTTCTTTACTGATTTGGATGTTCTTTATTTCTTTCTCTTGACTGATTGCTCTGGCAAGGAATTCGAGTACTATGTTGAATAGAAGTGGTGAAAGTGGGCATCCCTGTCTTGTTTCAGTTCTCAGGGGGAATGCTTTCAACTTTTCCCTGTTCAGTATAATGTTGGCTGTGGGTTTGTTGTAGATGGTTTTTATTACCTTAAGGTATTTCCTTTCTATGCCAATTTTCCTGAGGGCTTTAATCATAAAGGGATGCTGGATTTTGTCAAATGCTTTTTCTGCATCTATTGAGATGATCATGTAATTATTATTTTTAATTCTGTTTATGTAGTGTGTCACATTTATGACTTACATATGTTAATCTATCCCTGGATCCCTGGTATAAAACCCACTTGATCATGGTGAATTACTGTTTTGATATGCTGTTGGATTCAGTTTGCTAGTATTTTGTTGAGGATTTTTGCATCTATGTGCATCAGGGATATGCAGTTTTCTTCTGGTCTGCAGTTTCCTTTTTTTGTTATGTCCTACCCTGGTTTTGGTATTAGGGTGATACTGGCTTCACAGAATGCTTTAGGGAGAATTCCCTCTTTCTCTATCTTTTGGAATAGTATCAATAGGATTGGTACCAATTCTTCTTTGAATGTCTGATAGAATTCAGCTGTGAATCTGTCTGATCCTGGACTTTTTTTGGTGGGCAATTTTTTTATTACCATTTCAAACTTGCTGCTTGTTATTGGTCTGTTCAGAGATTCTATATCTTCCTGGTTTTATCTAGGAGGGTTACATATTTCCAGGAATTTATCTGTCTCCTCTAGATTTTCTGGTTTATGTGCTCAAAGGTGTTCATAGTATCCTTGAATAATCTTTTGTATTTCTCTGGTATCAGTTGAAATATCTCCCATTTCGTTTTCAATTAAGCTTATTTGGATCTTCTGTCTCCTTTTCTTGGTTAATCTTTGTCTAACCAGCTTTTTATTTCATTTATCTGTTGTTTTTGTTTGTTTGTTTGTTTGTTTCAATTCCATTTAGTTCTATTCTGATCTTCATTATTTCTTTTCTTCTGCTGAGTTTGGGTTTGGATTGTTTTTGCTTCTCCAGTTCTGTGAGGTGTGACTTTAGATTGTATATATTTGTGCTCTTTCAGAATTTTTTTTTTTTTTTTTTTTTGAGACAGAGTCTTGCTTTGTCACCCACGCTGGAGTGCAGTGGCATGATCTCAGCTCACTGCAACCTCTGCCTCCGCGGTTCAAGTAATTCTCCTGCCTCAGCCTCCCAAGTAGCTGGGACGACAGGCACACACCGCCATGCCTGGCTAATTTTTTGAATTTTAGTAGAAACGTGGTTTCACTGTGTTGCCCAGGCTGGCTGCAAACTCCTGAGCTCAGGCAATCTGCCTGCCTCAGCCTCCCAAAGTGCCGGGATTACAGGAATGAGCCAGCAAGCCCGGCCTCAGACTTTTTGATGTAGTAGGGATTTAATGCTATGAACTTTTCTCTTAGAACTGCTTTTGCTGTATCCCAGAGTTTTTGATAGGTTGTGTCACTATTATTGTTCAGTTCAAATAATTTTTTCATTTCCATCTTGATTTCATTGTTGACCAATGATCATTTAGGAGCAGGTTATTTAATTTCCATGTATTTGCATGATTTTGAGGGTTCCTTTTGGAGTTCATTTCCAATTTTATTCCACTGTGGTCTTGATATGGCTTTGATGACTGTAGGAACACCAGGGTTTTTGGTTTTGTGCTGACAGGACACAGACACACGTGGAGTGGTTTCAAAGAGCGAAAAGTTTAATGGGCAAGAAAGAAGAAGAGAACAGCTTCCCTGTACAGAGACAAGGGAGGGGGGCTTGGAACAAAAAGAAACACCATGTGTGGCAGAAAGGTAGTTTATTGTATCGGGAGGCTGGAGGAGGTGGTTTCTGGTTTGCATAGGGCCCAGGGGATTGGTTTGACCAGGTGTGTTATTTATGTAGCCTGCGAAAAACCTGGCCCCTTTACCTTAAGTTTTTGCGAGTTCTTATGTGTTAGGTGAGTCTTCTGAAGACAACAGAAACTTGGTTGGTAAATTCTTATCCATTCTGTCACTCTGTATCATTTAAGTGGAGTATTTAGGCCATTTATATTCAATGCTAGTATTGAGATGTGAGGTACTATTCTATTGATCATGCTATTTGTTGCCTGAATACCTTGATTGTTTTTCATTGTGTTATTGTTATATAGGTTCTGTGAGATTTATGTTTTAAGGAGATTTTATTTTGTTGTATTTGGAGGATTTGTTTCAAGATTTAGAGCTCCTTTTACCAGTTCTTGTAGTGCTGGCTTGGTAGTGGTGAACTCTCTCAGTATTTGTTTGTCTGGAAAAGACCTTCTTTCCTTCATTTATGAAGCTTAGTTTCTCTGGATACAAAATTCTGGGCTGATAACTGTTTTGTTTAAGGAAGTTAAAAATTGGACCTCAATCCCTTCGAGTTTGTAGGGTTTCTGCTGAGAAATCTGCTGTTAATCTGATAGGTTTTCTTTTATAGGTTACCTGATGCTTTTGCCTCACAGCTCTTAAGATTCTTTCCTTTGTCTTGACTTTAGATAACCTGATGACTATATGCCTAGGCAATGATCTTTTGTGATGATTTTCCCAGGTGTTCTCTGAGCTTCTTGTATTTGGATGTATTTGCTAGATCTCTAGCAAGGCTGGGGAAGTTTTCCTCAATTATTCCCTCAAATATGTTTTCCAAACTTTTAGATTTCTCTTCTTCCTCAGGAGCACCAATTATTCTTAGGTTTGGATATTTAACATAGTCCCAAATTTCTTGGAGGCTTTATTCACTTTTCAAAATTCATTTTTCTGGCTGGGTGCAGTGGCTCACACCTGTAATCCCAGCACTTTGGGAGGCCGAGGCGGGTGGATCACAAGGTCAGGAGATCGAGACCATCCTGGATAACACGGTGAAACCCCGTCTCTATTAAAAATACAAAAAAAATTAGCTGGGCGTGGTGGCGGGCGCCTGTAGTCCCAGCTACTAGGGAGGCTGAGACAGGAGAATGGCATGAACCCGGGAGGCGGAGCTTGCAGTGAGCCGAGATCGCACCACTGCACTCCAGCCTGGGTGACAGAGTGGGAATTTGTCTCAAAAAAAAAAAACAAAAATCATTTTTCTTTGTCTTTGATTAATTAAAAAGCCTTGTTTTCAAGCTCTGAAGTTCTTTCTTCTGCTTGTGCAATTCTGTTGCTGAGACTTTCAAGTGAATTTTGCATTTCTCTAATTGTGTCCTTGATTTCCAGAAGTTGTGATTGTTTTTTATTTATGCTATCTATTTAATATTTCACTGAAGAATTTTCCTTTCATATCCTGTATCATGTTTTTAATTTCTTTAAGTTGGACTCCACCTATCTCTGGTGCCTCCTTGATTAGCTTAAAATTTGACCTTCTGAATTCTTTTTCTGGCAATTCAGAGATTTCATCTTGGTTTGGGTTCATTGCTCGTGTGCTGGTATGATCTTTTGGCGGTGTTAAAGAATCTTGTTTTGTCGTATTACTAGAATTGTTTTTCTGGTTCCTTCTCATTTGGGTAGACTATGTCAGAGGGAAGATCAGGGATTTAGGGGCTGCTGTTCAGATTTTTTTGTCCCACAGGGTGCTCCCTTGATATGGTGTTCTCTCCATTTCACTAGGAATGGGGTTTTTTAATACCCAAATTGTAGTTATTGGTTTTGCTCTTCTGTTTCCAGCCACCCAGCAGAGCTACCAGGCTCTGGGTTAGTACTGAGGAGCGTCTGCAAAGAGTTCTGTAATGTGATCCATCTTCAGGTCTTGCAGCTGTGGATACCTGCACTGGTGGAGGTAGCAGGGGAGTAAAGTGGGCTTAGTGAAGGTCTTTGGTTGTGTTTTTGTTTAGTGCACTGGTTTTGTGTTGGTTGGCCTCCAGCCAGGAGGTGGTGCTTTCAATAGCATATCAGCTGCAGTCCTATAGAGAGCATGCAAACTTGCCCTAGGGACACCTGGATAGGTATTCAGGTTTCTCAGGTGGTGAGCAGGGCCATAGAGCTTCCAAGAGTTTTTGTCTTCCAAGACCTTCCTCTTTGGCTACCAGAGTGGGTAGAGAAAGACCACCAGGTGGCGGCAGGGATAGGTGTGTCTGAGCTCAGCCTCTCCTTGGGTGGGGCTCGCTGTGGCTGCTGTGGGGCATGACGGTGTAGTTCCCAGTCCAGTGGAGTTATATTCCCAGGGAGATTATGTCTGCCTCTGCTGAGTCACACAGGTCACCAGCAAAGTGGGGGTAAGCTGGCATGCACAAGCCTCACCCAGCTCCCACACAGCCTGCAGTCCTAAAGGCCAGTCTCACTCCCACCGTGCCCCATCAACAGCACCCAGTCTATTTCCAGGCAGCTGGTAACCAGGGCTGAGAGCTTGCCCCAGACTACGAGCCTCCCCATTGAGAAAGCAAGCAGACTCACAGTTTTTTGGCATCTCAGGGAACCTGAAGAGGTGATCCAGTTCCTTCAAAATGTCTCAGATTTCCTGGTATATTCCTGTGGTAGGTAGTTCTTGGAGTAAAACTTCATGATGTGAGTCTTCACATGCTGCTCTGTCTGTCTTGAGTAGGAGCTGCAAGTTAATCTTGCCTTCTATCCACCATTTTAATCCTGTTAAAGCCATTCTAAATAGTACTAGTATCTCATTGTGATTTTAGAGTAGATTTTCCTGATGACTAATAACATTGACCATCTTTTCATGTACTTATTTGCCATCCATATAATTTCTCTGGTGAAACATCCAATTTTTTGTTCATTTTTTCACTGCTTATTTGCTTATTGTTGAGTTTTGAGAGCTCTTTATATATTCTGGATATAAGTCCTTTATCATAATAGATGTTTTGGAAGTATTTCCTCCAACCCTGTGGCTTGCCCTTTTATTTTAAGTGTCTTTTGAAGAGCAGAAGCTCTAAATTGATCATTTAAAACAAATTCATAAAATGTGCCTTTTTGTGTCTAAATTTTTTTTTTCCTAATTCAAAGTCACAATTTTTTTCTCCTGTAATTTCCTTAGGAACGTTATAGTTTTCAGTTTTACATACAGGTAGGTCTGTGATCCGTTTTGACTTAATTTTTGTATATAGTGTGATGTATGGTATGGTTGGTATATGGATGTCAAATTATAACAGTACACTTTTCTACTAGTGGTAAGTGTCCAAGAAACAGGAGATACAACCCTGAATTGTGTTTAAAATCTAGTTGCAAACACCAAGAATGGGGAAACGTTAAATGCATATTGCTGAATGAAAGAAGGCAATCTGAAAAGGCTACATACTGTGTGATTCCAATTATATAACACTCTGGAAAAGGCAAAAGTGGAGATAATGAAAAGATCAGTAATTGCTAGGGATTCAGGGGAGAGGGAGGGATGAATAGGTACAACACAGACAATTTTTAGGGCAGTGAATCTACTCTATGCGATACTGTAATGATTGATACAGATCATCATACAGTTGTCAAAATCCATAAAATGTATAACAGTAGGGAACCCTAATGTAAACTATGGATTTTGGTTAATAATAATGTATCATCCTTGGCTTAGTTGTAACAAATGTACCACACTAGTACAAGATGAAGCTTATATAGCTCTTTACTTTCTGCTTAATTTTTCTGCAAAATTAAACTGCTCAAAAAATAAAGTCTACCAATTTGTTTTAAAAACACAGTTGCTAACACCAAGAATATACAAAAAGGACCTGAAATAATATGAAGCACACAAAATTAATCCAAGTTCAATATAAATGAAGTGCCCCTAGAATGTCTTCTCCAGAATGAAATCATTCTACTCATGACTGAATTTTATATCCAATACATTTTTAGACAAGTGAGGTATTGACACATTTATATATAAATGTGTTCATAATGTAATACTTTTGATTAAGAAAGTGGAATTTAGAAGAATCATAATTTATTCCTTTAAAATCAACAAGTATTTATTGAATTGTTACTATATGCAAAACACTGAGTAGGTGCTCAAGTGCATCAAAGATGACTAGGACCGCTTTTTCTCAAGAGGCTTAAAATACAATCAAAATAGTGAGGGTTTTTTGTTGTTCTTATTGTTGTTTGTTTGTTTTGCCTGGAAGAGATTTTATAAGCATTATGTGGGGTTTTTTGCTTTTTTTTTTTTTTTGAGACGGAGTCTCGCTCCGTTGCCCAGGCTGGAGTGCAGTGGTGCGATCTCGGCTCACTGCAAGCTCCACCTCCCAGGTTCACCACATTCTCCTGCCTCAGCCTCCCGAGTAGCTGGGACTACAGGCGCCTGCCACCACGCCTGGCTAATTTTTTGTATTTTTTAGTACAGAAGGGGTTTCACCGTGTTATCCAGGATGGTCTCAATCTCCTGACCTCATGATCCACCCGCCTTGGCCTCCCAAAGTGCTGGGATTACAGGCGTGAGCCATTGCGCCCGGCCTTTCCTTGTTTTTTGTTTGTTTGTTTTGCCTGGGGGAGATTTTATAACCAGCGGACACTTCACAATGTTTGAAAATATGTTTTACTGTCAAGGCTGTGAAACTGCTATTGGCATCTAGAGGCCAGGAATGCTGCTAAACATACAACAGTGCACAGGAAAGGCCCCCACAACAATTATCCAAGCCACAATGTCAACAGTGCCAAGGTTGAAAAAGCCCCTCATTAGAGGGAAAACACACAATTACCTAGACTGTATGTAGGTCTTGAATTATAGTTATGTGGTAAAAGAATTATGTGCAAAGTACTATAGAATTTCACAGAGACTGGTAACATTGAGTTAGAATGGAAAAAATAAAAGGTTTTAAAGAGAATATTAAATCTGCTGTCATATATGTTGACAATAGTTTTCTACAGATTGTTTTGGTATGTTTCCTTTGGTTATGATGTCTTCTGGAACACAGAAGTACACTTGGGAGGGTGGGTTGGGTGATTCAAATTTATCAACTTTTTTCTGTATGGTCACTGTTTTCTTTTTTTTTTTTTGGTAATAGAAGAAAAGCTTTTCTCCAAACTAAGATAATATTTTGTGACCCTGGTAAGATGGTGATTAAATCATTTTCTTACTACAACTACTTAAGCTTACTAGATTTTTAAAAACAAGTATGTATACAAAAACCAAAGCAGGAAATTTTTAATAGTTAAAAAAGAAACAATGCTATTCACTCTAATAACTGCAAACACTGTACTCTAATTCTGTAGAAGCCACTGAGTTGGCTTGTAGTGCAGGAGATATACCCTCACAATTGATTGTATACTAAAATGCAGTGAGTTGCTCTCTTCAGAAAGAAAGACCAGTTAAAGTCACACTAGAATGTGAGGTGAAAGACATGAATACCAATTCTCTAAGAACTCCAAAATGATTTCATAATCCTCTATTTTACAGATCTAAGCAAACAATGTGGAAAAAAATTACAATCAAACATTTCCAGACAATGAAGTAGCAGACGAGAGGCAATAATAATAGTCTGCACATACCAAACATATGACCCACAATTACCACTAGCAACAATAGTACCATATCAAAGGGATAAAATATGCAAATCTTTCTGAAAATATAAATATAGAAATCTAAAGCATATAAACAAATTCTCCCCATGAAATTTGTTTTGTGGCTTGAATGTCACCTGATAAATTCCCTTAAAATGTTATTAGTTATCTGAGCAATTCAACTAAGATAGTAATTTCCTACATAGGATCTATAATTCTATATTCTGTAATATTCTTATATTCTTATTTATATTAGCTAAGTATTTTATAGAAATAATAAAGTACAATTTTAGGTGGTATATGACTTCATTTGATATGGTTTGGCTATTTCCCCACTCAAATCTCATCTTCAATTTCCATGTGTTGTGGAAGAGACCTGGTGGGAGGTAATTGAATCATGAGGGCAGGTCTTTCCTGTGCTGTTCTCCTGATAATGAAGAAGTCTCATGATATTTGATGGTTATAGAAAGGGGTGTTTCCCTGCACAAGCGCTCCTCTCTTTGCCTACTGCCATCCACGTGAGATGTGACTTGCTCTTCCTTGCCTTCTGCCATGTTTGTGAGGCTTCCCCAGCCATGTGTAAGTACAATTAAACCTTTTTCTTTCATAAATTGCCCAGTCTTGGGTATGTCTTTACTGACAGTGTGAAAACAGATTAATACATCATTCCTATTCCAAATAAACATAGCCACTTAATTTTTCAAGACAAAAGACACTTCAATAAAAACAAACTCAAAATCATTCTCTAAGTTTAACATATGAAAGGAATAGAATAAATTATTAAAACAAGATATTCAAATTTTACTTATAAATCACACAGTATATTTGAAAATATAAAAAGCCTTATATCCTTTATGTCTTCTACTACATCGTTTGCTATACATGTTATTAAAAAAAAATTCACATTAGAAGCCAGAGATTTGGGAGTAAATAACAAAAAAACTATATAAAATTGCAAAGAGATAGCAACATTGATATCAGAAACAGAACCTCCCCACTCCTGTCTCCCCAAAATACTGAGACTCTTGTATGTGATACTTTTGGATATTTCTATCTGGAAGTGGAAGTGAGATGGTGGACAAAGAGAAAGGAGAAATGCCTTTCTCTTTTGTGCATCTATTTTGTAAAGAACACATACCTAAGGTTTGTTAACATCTAGTATTTAGGGCTTAGTAAGTTAGTCAATGTAAACCTAAACTCTTGCTCTTCAAAGTCACAAAATTCTCATTTTATATAATATGAAACACAAGTTTTATTCATTCATTCATTTTATTTAAGTTACACTGAGAAAAAATACACCCCACTTATTTTAATTTTTAAGAGATTAGGGACAGAAAATCACAAATGACAAAATTTTTAAAATCAAATATTTTCTCAGTCATTTTGCTTTGAATGTATATTGGTTTATCTGCTTGACTATGGCTGTATCTGCTGTTAGGGAAACCACTAGGTGAGGCTCACATGAACCTGACCAGGAGAAACTGAAGTTCTTTATAATCCCCTCCCCTTGAATGCTGCCCAACCCCTCCTGTACCTGTTTCATACAAGGAATTTATTTCTCTGTTACCAAAGTAGGATCAGTGGTTTAGTTTTCAGAACAGAAAAAGTTTTCTGAATGAAACTTCAAGAGTTTGATTAAAATGGAAAAGAAATTGGAGGAGGAAGTGAATAGACAAACATGGAAATTATTAAGCAGACTGTTGATAACTAAATATCAATACACCACAAATGACTTTGTGTCTGAAAATCTTCCTAAAGAACCTCCAGATATGAACATACCATGAACTCTCTAATTCTTCATTTAGAATTAGTGAAATTTCAAATATGGTCTTTTGCAAAATATACTTTTCTTCAACCAGCATAAAATGTCCTTCTTACATAAAGAAAAGTAACAAGATAATATTCAAACTGAAATATGAGTTTTTAAAAATAAATATGAAGAATTAAAATATCTTAAATGAAAAGTAAATACCGTATAATTAGGCAACAGATAATAAAAAATAAAAATGATATTGTTTCCCTTTAAAAATAATTGCATCCAGGTGAATGAATTATGTCGTATTTAGCCTATGCAATTTTTAAATCACCAAGATAGACTAAAAGGGGGATTTTATAATAGTAGACTGAAAAATAATTATGTATAGTTTTGCAACACAATGCTAAAATAGACCTTAGTGTTCTTTAATCAAACAAAATTGAAGTATAATTTTCCTAAGCTAGAGCTACACTAATTAAATAACAGAGCAGCACTGAAAATGAATTCTCTACCCTAGCTGTAGTCAAACATTACAAAACAAAACTAAATCAAAAGGTATAATATTATATAAACAGATCATTGCAGCTAACTTCCAAAGACAGCCTTTGTTAAGTTCTCTGAATGTATTCTGTCTTTAGGAGGGGACATGAGATTTTTACTCAAATTTCTGAAAAATGATTGCTAATTTCTATAGTTGGCATTACTGGCTTTGTTGTTTTTCAATTGTTTTTTGTTTATTCTAATAATGTTTTAAGGCCATTAGCTTAGTCTGACTATATTCTGTGTGAGGCTACAAAAGCAGAAACTGTGATTTTCTAATATTCATTCCCGTTTTCACTTTGCTCATTATAAAAGTGCTATCAATATTCATGCTTGAGTCTTTTGGAAACACTAATCTTTAGCAAATGCCTACAAGTGAAACTTCTGGATCATGTGGTAGGCGTATATGTCACATTATAAGACACTGCTGTATGTTTCCAAAGTAACTGAACTGTTTTACACTGCCATAAGCAGTGTATAAGAGTACAATTGGCTCTGCCACCTCACCAATACTCAGTACTATCAGTGTTTTAATTTTAGCCATTTTAGCAAATGTCTAATTGCATTTCATTGTGGTTTTAATTTAAATTTCCCCAAAGACTAAAGATTTTGAACATATTTCATTTATATGGTTTTGTACAATGTCCAAAGTTCTAGCTTACTACCTTTAAATTGGGTGGGTACACTTTATTAGATAAAATTCCCACTATTCCTAGTGTGCTGACTGTGTTTATCACATATGGGTATTGAATTTCGGCATGTCTTTCATGATTTTTTTCCACTTTGATTCTGTTAATGCAATTGTGGTGCAGAGAATTTTTAATGTTTTAACAAATGCATTTTAATGTTTTAACGAACTTGCACTCACTCCTGAAATAAACTCCATTCAGTCATGATGTATTAATATTTTTATATATTGCTAGATTTTATTTGTTAATACTCTGTGAAGTACTTTACATCTGGGTTCATGTGGAATGTCAGACTCAATTTTCTTATGATGTCTTTGTCTTCTTTCAACATTGTTGAGAAATAAAAGTTAAATCCTAAGCATCTCAGACAACTCAATAGACCCTCTCTTGGCCAAGTAGACCCTAGAGAAACCTTAAAAACAGTCCCAGCCATGATGGGATAAGTTGGACACGTGTTGTTACACCCTCTTCTTTGATAACTGCCGTTACGCTTTCTTTCCTAAAGATTAAACAGAAAGCAGCCCTTTTGAGATACTTGCTCCATTATTTAATTCAACCAACTGCTTAATGCTACCCCTCACTTTTGTGGTTTCAACACAGCAACTAACTAGCATTCCTTTCTGATAAGAGACTGCCTGATCCTGGAGTGGTTCTGGCCAGTCTTCTGAGGCTGCATGCACTGAGGGCCTTCCTGTCCTCTGCTTCACCTTTTCATGTATAGGACCTAATTGTAGTACATTTAAATGCTACATCTCCATCCCAAAGCAAACACAGAATGCATATTACATACAAGATAACCTACTGTGCGTGCACATGCCTCCCCTTCATGAATATGTATACTTAGCCAACTCATTCAGCATAAATTCCTGTCTTATCCTTCCCTCCCTCAAAGTGCCTGCTTTTGGCTTCTACCAGAGGCCACACTTCCCAGCCTACAGATGGCTAGCTTGCAGACTGCAACACTTTATAAGAAATAAAGCTTTCTTTTCCAAATGTATGAATCTTCCAATTCTTCAGTTGACAGTATAATGCTGGCCTCATAAAATGAGGCAATAAGACTGATTATTTCTTTCTTAAATATTTTCTAGGACTCTTGTTTCCAGAATGGTGGTGTGATGAACTCATCAATTCATTCTCCAGTGAAGCAACCATAACTACTAAAAATTGGAAAAATAAAGAGCCATTTTAAGTTTTTGGAAATTGTCATAAGGGCATACAGTCAGCGAAGAAACATTCAAGATCATAACACAATCTCAGTTAGAACAGTAGGAGTCTGTGGCATTTGAGCCATCCTCTCCCTCAAACATCCCCAGCCAGTTCAATGTGAAACAAGGTGTCACTCTAAGAGATGTGGGCCCCTGTCTCTGCTGCCAGCTCCTGAACAGTGGCTCAGAGAGTTGGCCCAGAGGGAGAGGCAGGTCATAAGAACAAAGAACTCCAAAGCTCTCCGCAGTGGTTCTGACTGTATTTGGGAGACAGTGTGGGAAAATTAAAGCCTAAGAGTACTCTTGAAAAGAGTGAGATTTTGATAATTACACTGAGGCTGGTAACTCCATGAGAGCAACAAGCTAACCACAGACTGGACAGCTTAGCAAATAGAATTATTTTTTGAATTTATACCTTTTAAAAAATTATTTAAGTTCCGGGATACATGTGCAGAATGTGCAGGTTTGTTACATATGTAAATTTGCTTAAGTTTCTTGTAGATTCTGGATATTAGTCCTTTGTTGGATGCGTAGATTGCAAAAATTTTTTCCCATTCTGTAGGCTGCCTGTTCGCTCTGATGATAGTTTCTTTTGCTGTACAGAAGCTCTTTAGTTGAATTAGATCCCATTTGTCGATTTGGGCTTTTGTTGCAATTGCTTTTGGTGTTTTCATCATGAAATCTGTGCCCATGACTATGTCCTGAATGGTATTGCCTAGGTTTTCTTCGAGGGTTTTTACGGTTTTTGGTTTTACATTTAAGTCTTTAATCCATCTTGCATTAATTTCTGTATAAGGTGTAAGGAAGGGGTCCAGTTTCAGTTTTCTGCATATGGCTAGCCAGTTGTCCCAGCACCATTTATTAAATAGGGAATCCTTTCTCCATTGCTTGTTTTTGTCTGGTTTGTCAAATATCAGATGGTTGTACATGTGTGGTGTTATTTCTTAGGTGTCTGTTCTGTTCCATTGATCTATATGTCTGTTTTGGTACCCATACCATGCTGTTTTGGTTACTGTAAATTCAACATCCCCTCATGTTAAAAACTCTCTATAAACTAGATATTGATGGAACACATATCAAAATAATAAGAGCCATTTATGACAACCCATATCCAATAAAATACTGAATGAGCAAAAACTGGAAGCATTCCCTATGAAAACCAGCACATGATGAGGATGCCCTCTCTCACCACTCCTTTTCAACATAGTATTGGAAGTTCTGGCCAGGGCAATCAGGCAAGAGAAAGAAATAAAGGGTATTTGAATAGGAAGAGAGAAAGTCAAATTGTCTGTTTGCAGATGTCATGATTCTATATTTAGAAAACCCCATCGTCTTGGCCCAAAAACTCCTTAAGCTGATAAATAACTTCAGCAAAGTTTTAGGATACAAAATCAATGTGCAAAAATCACAAGCATTCCTATACGCCAACAATAGACAAGCAGAGTGGCAAATCATGAATGAATTCCCATTCACGATTGCTACAAAGAGAATAAAATGCCTAGCAATAGAGCTAACAAGGATGTGAAGGACCTCTTCAAGGAGAACTATAAACCACTGCTCAAGGAAATAAGAGAGGACCTAAACAAATGGAAAACTATTCCGTCCACATGGATGGAAAGAATCAATGTCATGAAAATGACCATACTGCCCAAAATAATTTATATATTCAATGCTATTCCCATTAAACTACCATTGACATTCTTCACAGAATTAGCAAATAGAATTTTTAAAAAGAAACAGCTAAGAAGAACTGTCCTGGAATCAAAATGAACCTCAAAGCTAGCCACAAAAAGTACTCCTGTAAGGAGTCTGCAACTTAATTGAATCAGATTGTGAAACAATTCATGCCCCAGGACACTGCTGGAAACAACAGAGGAATCAGCTGACAATTAGTGGAGCCTAATAACTGGGGGTGGCACCAACAGAGGCAGACAGATTAATAAAAAGACCAGGGAATGAAACAGTCATAGAAAAGCCCTGTTAAAATCACTGTCATTCCAGGGTGATTGTACATATGCCCTAAGCTGTGCTTGCTGAAGAGTGACATCAAAGGCTTCATAGATGGGGAAAATAGATTTTACTAAAATAGTCCAGCCAAGTCACTAAACAAACAGGCAAACAACAAGTTCCCCACCCAGGGAACTTAGTACGAAGACTTCTTATAATAATTTAAGCAAATTTTCTGAAATGTACAGTTTTCAACAACAACAAAAAAATAAGACATGCAAAGAAACAGGAAAATATCATCCATACACATGAAAAAAAGAAGGGCTTGTGAGCGGGCCCAGTCATTGGACTTAGTGGACAAATATTCCAAAGCAAAGATATAAATATGTTTAAAGAACTAGAGGAAATCATCCTTACAGTAGCAAAGAAAGGTTTGATGGTAATGTCTCATCAAATATGGAATATCAATAAAGAGAACACTCATCATTCATAAAAAAAGAACAAAGTGAAAATTATAGATTTAAAAACTACAGTTATGGAAATGAAAATTTCACTACAGGGACTCAACAGATTTGAATTGGGATTATAAAATATGAAAAAAAGAAGAAGGAATGAAGGTAAATGAACAGTTTCAGAGAAATATAAGCATACATGTAATGACAGTATGAGAAAACAAGAGAGAGAACAAGCAGCAGAAGAAAAATCTTTGAAGAAGTAATGACTGATAATTTTCAAATTTAATGAGAAGCATTCAGGTAGCTCAATGAACTCAAATAAGATAAATGCATGTAGTCCCAGCTACTTGGGAGGCTGAGGCAGGAGAATTGCTTGAACCCGGGAGGCGGAGGTTACAATCAGCTGAGACTGTGCCACTGCACTCCAGCCTGGGTGACAGAGTGAGACTCTGTCTCCAAACAAACACACAAACAAAAAAAGATAAATGCAAAGAGGTCCAAGCTAGTCACACAATAGTAAAAAGGTTGAAAGCCTATAATAAAAGGAAAATCTTGAAATTAACAGAAGAAAAATGAATTGTCACATATTAGGGAACTAACAATGTTAACAACTGACTTCTCATTAGAACTATGTAGGCCAGAAGGCAGAGAGATGACATATTCAAGGTGCTAAAGGAAAAAATACCTTACTAAGACTATCATACTCAGCAAAACTCTCTCAAAAATAAAGGGGAAATGAAGACATTGCCAGGTAAACAAAATTGACAGAACTCACTGTTAGCAGAACCAACTTATTAGAAATACTAAAGGAAATTTTTTAGAATGAAAGTAAGTGATCTCACATAGTGATCTGGATCTACACAAGAAAACAAAGAGCACTAGTAATGATAATTATTTTATTAGAGAAAAATGAAGATATACTGTAAATGCATATTTCTTCCTTTTTCTCTTAACTTATTTAAAAAGCAATTGTATAAAACATTAGGCATATAATTGTATTGTTGGGCCTACAATATATAGAAATGTGACATATTTAACAATTGCATAAGAGAGGTGGGTTGGAGCAAAGCTGTACTGAAATAATCACACCAGGCAGGAACTCAAATTCACAGGAACAAACTAAAAGAACTGGAAACATTAAATAAGACAGATAACAAACTATAATTAAATACTTGTTCTTCTTTCTTCTGCTTTTCTTTAAAATATAAAAAAAATGCACGGTTCTACTATTTACTGATACAATGTGTATAACAATACAGAATGAAAATGAAAAGGGAATAGAGCTAGAGCAATAATATTTCTATATCTCTCCAGAATTAAGTTAGTATAAATATTTGACAGAATTCACCAGTGAAGTCATTGGGCTTGGTATTTTCTTTGTGGAAAGGGTTTTAATTATTAAGTTTCTTTTATTAATATAAACTATTTGCATTTTCTATTTCTTCTCATATCAGTTATACAACTCATGTCTTTCCAGAAAGACCCAAGACACTAAATTACCAAACTTATCAATATAAAGTTGTTCATAATATTTCATTAATATCATTTGAATGTCTATAAATTCAATAATAATTTTCCCCATTTGATACTTAATATAAATAATATGTATTTTCTTACTTTTCTCTGGATCTGTCTAAAGAGATCAAGTTTATTTACTTTATTAAGAGACAACTCTTCCTTTCATTCTATTATTTTTGTTTATTTTTTACTAAAGTGATTTCTACTATTATCTTTATTACTTCTTTCATTTAGGTTATATTGGATTTAATTTGCTTCAATTTTATTAACTTCTTAAGGCAAAAATCTATATAACCGATATTAAATCTTTTTTTTCTAATATACATTACAGGGAGGTGCAAATGCCCTTCTAGGCACTGCTTAAATGCATTCTACACATTTGATATGTTGCATTTCCATTATTCCATTCAAAATATTTTCACACTTTTCTTTTGATTTCCTCTCTGACCTAAAGTTTGTTTTTGAGGTGTGTGATCTAATTCCCAGGTATTTGTTAGTTTTTCTTATATTTTTATTTTATAGATTTTAATTTAATTCCATTATGGTCAGATAATATTCTTTTATGATTTTGACTCTTTTAAACTTGTTGATATTTGTCTTATGGTCCAGAATATTTAAATTTTATGTATCCTCAAATAATTTTCTACTTGTTTTTTAAATTACTGAGGAAATGATTTTGAAATTTCCATTTAATATTGAGGATATGACTATTTCTTTTTTCATTTCTCTTAGTTTTTGACACATATAATTTTAAAGCTTTGTTATTAAGCACACACAAACTAAAAAGTGTTTTCTCCTCTTGATGAATTGAACTTTTTGTCATTATGAAATGTCATCTGTCTCTGATTATACTGCTTGTCTGGAAGTTACCTTGCCTTATATTAAAATAGCCATTCCAACTATTGAAATGAATAAAATGAATGTTTTCATTGTACAGCTTCTCCATCTCTTTACTTTCAATCTATCTATCTGCATGTTTCTATTTAAAGTGTGTTTGTAGTTGGGTATTACAATCCAGTCTCATAATTTCTGCCTTTAAATTGTATAGTCTAAATCATATACACTTAATGTAATTATAAATATAACTGGGTTTAAGTTTACCACATTGCTGTATTTGTTTCTATTCGTCTCTTCTTTGTTCTCTTTTCCTATTTTCCTACTTTCTTTGGGTTGAATATTTCTAGTATTCCATTTTGTACTCCACTAGCTTATTAGCTATACTTCATTTTATTTTTTACCAGTTGCTTTAGGGTTTACAATATGCATCTTTAACTTATCACTATCTACATTAAAATAACATACCACTTCACATATAAGACACTTTAATTGTATACACTAGTCCCCCATTATCCACGGATTATATGTTCCAAGACCTTCAGTGGATACCCAAAACCACAGATAGTACTGCACCGTATATATACTATGCTTTTTGCTATACATATATCCTATGATCAAGTTTAACTTATAAACTAGGTACAGTAAGAGATGATAACTACTAGTAAAATGGAACAATTATAACAACATTCCAGCAACACTACTCCTGCATTCTGGGGCCTTTTTTAGAGATGGAGTCTTGCTCTGTTGCCCAGGCTGGCTGGAGTGTACTGGTGCAATCTCGGCTCACTGCAAGTTCCGCCTCCCGGGTTCAAGCCATTCTCCTGCCTCCCGAGTAGCTGGGACTACAGGTGCACGCCACCTCACCCGGCTAATTTTTTGTATTTTTAGTAGAGATGGGGTTTCACCGTATTAGCCAGGATGGTCTTGATCTCCTGACCTTGTCATCCGCCCACCTTGGCCTCCCAAAGTGCTGGGATTACAGGCGTGAGCCACCATGCCTGGCCTGTGGCCATTATTAAGTAAAATAAGGGTTACTTGAACATGAGCACTGCAATACTATGACAATCTGATAACCCAGATGGATACTAAGTCACTAATAGGCAGGTAGCATATACAACATAGATATGCTGCACAAGAAGATAATTCACATTCTGGGTGGGATGGAGCAGGACCACATGATATTTCATCATGCTAATCAGAAAGGCACACAACTGAAAATGTGAATTGTTTATTTCTGGAATTTCCCATTTAATATTTTCAAACAGTGGTTGACCACAGGTGACTGAAATTGTGAAAAGCAAAACCTTGGATAAGGGTAAACTGCTTGTACTTCCAATTTTCCTCCTCTGTCCCTTTGCTATTTACACTGGTTATAACTTCACAATATAGAGTTATAATTGTAGTTCTAAAAAGCGTTTTTTCTTTCAAAGATACAACAAGTATAAAATCAAATGTTTCATATCTGCCCTATATTTACCACTGATGGTGATTTTTATTCCTTTCTGTAGGTATGACTTTTCACCTGGAATCATTTTCCTTCAGCCTAAAAAATGTTCTTTGACATTTTTTATAGTGCAGGTCTCTGCCAGTAAATTCTTCATTTTTTCATTTGACATAAATGTCTGTTTTAATTTTGTCTTTATTTATGAATAACATTTTCACTGAATACAGAATTCAAAATTGAAGGGACTTTTCTTTCAGTCCTTCAAAGATGTCATTCCATTGCATTTGATGACAAACCAGTGGCCATTCTTATCTATGACCCCTAAATGTAATGTGTCTTTTTTCTCTTGCTGCTTTTATAATCCTTCTCATTAGTTTTCAGCATTTGGATTATGACATACCTTAGTGTGGCTTTCTTTCTCATACTTGAGTGATTTTTGACCTTCTTCAGCTTCTTAGTGCTCAGCAAATTTAGAAAAATTTCAGCCATTATTTAAATGATATCCTCCAC
The DNA here is from genome assembly GCF_000001405.40 of Homo sapiens. Classification (NCBI taxonomy): domain Eukaryota; kingdom Metazoa; phylum Chordata; class Mammalia; order Primates; family Hominidae; genus Homo; species Homo sapiens. The sequence goes on along the minus strand of NC_000010.11, from coordinate 25,968,007 downwards.
CCCCTACACCCGCCATTCTCAGGCTGCAATGACACATAGGTGAGACTACTAGGTAATGTCTCATAGGTCACAGAGACTTTTCTCTCCAGCCTTATTTTGATAACTATGCTTCAGTTTGAACAGCTTAAATTTTCCTGCCTTCAAGTTTACTGATCTTTTCTCCCATATGCCTATTGTGCTGTTAAACCTGATTCTTATGAATTTGTCATCATATATATTATATTTTTAAGTTTTAGAAGTTCTATTCAGTTCTTTTTTCTATATTCCATTTCTTTCAACATTATGTTCATGTTTTTCTTTAAATTGTTGAACATATTTATAACTATTTTAAAGTACGAACCAGCTAATTTCAACATCTCTGTTACTTCTGGGTCTGACTCTATTGACTGATTTTTCTTCTGATAATGGGCTGCATATTCCTGAATCTTCACATATCTAGTGATCTAATATTGGAGCTGGATATTCTTAGTGTTACATTATTGAATTGTAGATTTTGCTGTCTTCTAATAATAAATGTTGAATTTTGCTCTGGCAGGCAGTTAATTACTTGTGGATCAACTTGAACTTTTCAGGTAGCTCTTATTCTAGGGCTAGTTTAGTCCTTCCTCCAATGTATAACCTTTCTGGAGGGTCTCTATTAAATGTCTCAGGCGTTCAGTGAAGTTTCCCCATTTTGGCTGGTAGTAACTCGAGCATCTCTCAATCCTGCACAAACTCCAGTAGTTGTGTGGATTACAGCCCTACATTGATTCTTTCTCTGGTAATTATTCTTTGCCAAACTGCCTGAAGTCACACTCTACATATATCTATGTGGGTTTTCAGTTAAATATTTTTATGTACTTATTTAGATTGTGTAGATAATCTTTATGTAGATTTTCAGAGCTTTTTTCTGCATAACTTCCTCTTCTCTGCACAGTCCAGTCACTCTGCCTTTCCAATTTCTTCAGTGCAGCAACAGTTGCTTTGATCTCCTTGGGAACAGCTTCCTTCTGCCTGTGCTCTGGAAACTGCCTCTATGAATAATGATGAGGTAATTGTAGTGTTCGCCTCATTTATTTCCTTTTATCAATGTCACAGTCCTAAGTCTCTTTTCCAATATTTAAAAAGTGTTGTGTTTTTAAAAATATGTTTTGTCTAGCTTTCTCGTTGTTTATGGTACAACAGCATGTCAATACCTGGTCTGTCATGACCAGAAGCAGAAGCCCCAGAATGTTTTTACGTATACTATAATTTGAGAACCTCTGATAGAGTTTCTTGGACTTTCCTTTCATAAGAATCACCTTTGTGCTTGTTTAGAAAACCACAGTTTCCAAGACACCATTCTTGCAGTTTTTGCTGCATGGGGTTCAAGATATTGAGATTCCTTTCATAAAAGTAGTTTGGGGGCTATTTCAAAGAATAAAGGTACTAAAACTGTTCAGTTTTTTTTTGTTTGTTTTCAGGTAGCAGATTAAAATGCTGCCTCCTCACATAGAACTTCTTTGACTACTCTTTTCACAAAAGGTTTTCTCTTTCCTATCCTATCAATGTCCCCTTTTATATTCTTCATAGCACTAATAAACACAAATAACCACTTTTAAATTTAGCTTTAAATTGTCTTCCTCCACCACTATACAGCAAGTTCCATGATGGCAGAGTGTCTTGTTCTCTATTCAATATTGAGAACCTACCAAAATGGCTGGTGCAGAGTAACAGATTACTATTTATAGAATAAATAAATTATTAGATGAATAAACTTCAGTTCTGTAAACTTACGCACACACGTAATAAAATGACAGAGGTCATCTTTTCACATGCTATGGAAGATACCTCTTCAAAGTATATCGTGGCTTCAGGGTTTAGAAACCAGGGAGCGGGGGCAAGATGGCAGAATAGAAAGTTCCACCCATTATCCCAGTCCCACCCCCTCGCAAGGACACCAAGTTAATAACTATGTACACAGAAAAAAACACCTTCTTAAGAACCGAAAATCTGGTGAGCACCCATAGTATCTGGTTTTAACTTCATATTGCTGAAGGAGGCACTGAAGAGAGAGAGAGAGAGAGAGAAAAAAAAAAACAGTTCTGAATCACCTATACCACCCCTTCCCTACCCCGGTAGCCAATGGGTGGTGCCCAGAGTTTCTCTGGGTGCTGCAGGAGGGCGAACACAGCAATTGTGAGGCATTGAACTCAGTACTGTCCTGTTAGAGCAGAAAGGAAAAGTAGGGCAAGCTCAACTGACGCCCACCCACAGAGGGAGCATTTAAACTCAGCCTAGGCAGAGGGGAACTACCAATTCCAGCAGTCTGAACTTGAGTGCCTGCAAACCTCGCTACAGAGGTTTGCAGGTTTGCACTCTATATATTCAAGTAAACTTGAAAAGCAATCTAGGCCATGAGGACTACAAATCATAAGCAAGTCCTAGTGCTGCACTAGGGCCCAGAGACAGTGGACTCGGGGATCACGCAACGAACTGAGACACCAACTGGGGCAGCCAAGGGAGTGCTGGCATCACGTCCCTTAGCCCCAGGCTGCACAGCTCAAGGCTCCAAAAGAAACCCCTCCCTTCCCCCTGAGGAGAGGAGAAGGAAGAGTGGCAAGGACTTTGTCTTGAATCTTGGATACCAGCTCAGCCACAGCAGGACAGGGTACCAATCAGAATCATGAGGCCCCCATTCCAGGCCCTAGCTCCCAGATGACATTTCTAAACACACTCTGGGCCATAAGGGAATCTGCCGCCATGAAGTAAAAGACCCAGTGCAAAAGAAAATATCCTCCAAAGGGCAAATCTAAGAGTTATTGGCCTTAAAGAGGAGGTAGAGAGAGACAGGTGTAGAATGTTTATTCAAAGGAATAGTAACAGAGAATTTCCTAAACCTAGAGAAAGATATCAATATCCACGTGCAAGAAGGTTGTAGAACACCAAGCAGATTTAACCCAAAGAAGACTACCTCAAGGCATTTAATAATCAAACTTCCAAAGGTCAGGGATACATAAAGGATCCTAAAAGCAGCAAGAGAAAAGAAATAAATAGCATACAATGAGGTTCAATACTTCTGGCAGCAACTTTTCAGTGGAAACCTTATGGGCCAGGAGAGAGTGGCATGACATATTTAAAGTGCTGAAGGAAAAAGAAAACAACTTTTACCCTGGAATAGTATATCCAGTGAAATACCCTTCAAACATGAAGAAGAAATAGAGACTTTGCCAGACAAACAAAAGTTGAAGGATTTCATCAATACCAAACCCATCCTACAAGAAATGCTAAAGGGAGTTCTTCAGTCAGAAAGAAAACAAAATTAATAAGGAATAAATAATCATCTGATGGTACAAAACTTACTGGTAATAGTAGTACACAGAGAAACACAGAATATTATAACACTGTGACTGTGGTGTATAAACTACTCTTATCCTATGTAGAAAGACCAAATGATGAACCAATCAAAAATAATAACTGCAACAACTTTTCAAGACATAGTACAATAAGATATAAATAGAAACAACAAAAAGTTAAAAATCAGGGGACAAAGCTAAGCTAAGGTGAGTTTTTATTAGTTTTATTTTTGCTTGTTTGTTTGTATATGCAAAGTGTGATATGTTCATCTTAATTCCTATGAAATATATTAATGTACCAAATTCTGGATTCCAATAAAATACTAATAAAATATTAATAAAAACTGGGACTACCACCTAATAGACATTTTCTAATGTGTGCTTTTGTAGTGTGTAAAATTTTCACATTCCTTTTCCAATGTGTAAACTAGAAGTATTTTAAAGGTATTATTGTTGTATAATATAATTGGCTCTTTTAGGTATACAGTTGGATGTATTTTAGTAATCATATACAATCATGTAACCACTAAATCAAAATATAGAACACTTACTTCACCCTAAAATGCTTTAAAAATCTAGGGGGAACACTATAGCACACTAGTAATGTAATCAACAATAAATCTATGATAACAGAGAAAATAACTTACCAGAAGAAATATTTTAATGTGTACAATAAAAATCTATTAATTTATTAAATAGCAAGACATCACTGGTCACCTCATATTTTCTTACCTCTGAAGTAACACTATAAATGTGCATGCCTATTCAAAGAAGATGCTTTTTCCGGCACTGAAGTACAATTAGGAAAGAAAGATATATAAGAGTTATATATATTATGTATAAATTTCCTAAGTTAGAAGAGTATAAAGAAGTACATTTAGGCCATGTTTCTATCCTGCCCTTTAAACAAACAAAAAATGAAACAACTCTAGGTAATTGGCTGTCTGTTCTACTGCAAGTACACCAAATAATAGCCTTTTACATGAGAGGTGGGAATGGTGGTTCCAGCCTTAAGAACATGAAAGGAATCACACTGTGAGTCTGCTACTCCACTGCAATTGTGAACTGCCAAAGGGAAGAAGGAACAATTCTGTGCCATCTAAGTAACTCAGCAGCCCAGTTCCTCACTCCTGCCCTGTTTCTCCTGACCCCTCACAAATATACAAGTCCGCAAAGGCTTTATATTCCCTTCTGTGTACATGTTATCCTCCAGGGCAGTAGCATTAAAGGGTTAATAGCTGAACAAACAGAAAGCTCACATTCATTCTAACTTATCTTCTTTCTATCATTCCATGTTTCCTTTCCTCAAGGCAGGCCTGATATTACTAACTAGATGTAAGTATAAAAACAGAACAACCAATAATGCATGACACATGAAAGTAGTATTTATGTCTATAAAAACCACTTTGATGACCGAAAATGTGCATTTGAGAGGCTTTATGACTATTTACTGAATTTTCGTGCTTTGAAATACCACCTGTAATTGGCAGTCTTTAGTCTCCTGAAAAGGATATAATTTCAAAGAGAAAAATTGCTATAATTGGGGAGCAATGAGAAAAAGCAATGTCACTATTATGAATGAACAAATCAGGACCAATTCAAATGAATAATAGAATGTAGTCTGTAGCACCACTGTGAAAGGAGCAATTATAGCTAAGATTGGATTATGAGGGAAAGGGTCTTTTAACAGAAAGATGTCCTAACTCTGAATTTTGGATTCATTATGGCTGAAGGCACACTAAGCAAACAGCTCCTGAGAGAGAAGCCCAGATTTCCTTACCTACTTAAAATGTGGTTGTTCATCCAACCAAGAAGGGGAAAATTACAATTAAATCTCAGTTCTCCCCTTTGTGTCCATCAATAGCAAATGCCTTATATGAGACTGATTTAACTCAATTTTGATTCTGTTTTACGGTCTCCCGGTTCAGGTAGGAAGCATTTGAAGAATCCTACCCGAGTCCTCATCTTCCCAGCTCCCCTCCACGCTTGATACTGATCCCCAACAGTAGATATCAGGGGTAAAAGGCAGTGCAAAGTCAAAAGAAGTATTTACATCTCACTAAACAAGTCAGTCAAGAGATGTGATAGCAACAGGCAGAAAGGAATATACATAAGGTATTTCAAAATGAGGCATAGGTAGAAACAAACAGAAAACATTGGTTCTCCCTTTATGTCTACATCATTAGGAAAACCTAAAATATTGAATGACAACAAAACTCCCCGTAGATGTTCTATAAAAAACTAAATTAGTTTCCACAGCATAAAACTTCATTCAAGTGTATAACTGGAATTTCAGAGGGCCAGCAACTAGTGCCCTTTTACTAAACCTAGGTACCATTTAGATTCTCAAAATAAACATGCAGAGAATTAAGATGAAAATAACTCCTAAACAGAGTCCTTGTATATCATTCATGCTCAAAAACTTATAAAATAACAAATGAGGGTAAAATAAATAAAAGAGAAAAATCATATCAGAAAGCAAAAGAAATAATTTTAAAATTGTAACTAGAGAAAACAGACTGCCCAGCAAGATCTGGCACATCATTATTCTTAGGATTTCAACTCTGGATTGAAATATAAGTAAAGTGATTTTTCGTTGTGAAAAGCATCTCACAGGAGTTTCTCTAGGCTAGTATGGCCATCCACACACACCAGGCTTAGAATGAGGACAGTAACTCATTGCTCTGATACATCCCCTCCAGTACTCACCTTCTGTATGTAGATTCACATTAAAAGCCTAGCACTGTTAACATGATTCTCTGGGTAACATTACAGCCACTGCCCCTCTTTTGGTACCCTCATGCAAAATAATTTAAATGGACTTTATTACAATGAAAGGTATAATTAGCAGTCATGTTGTACTACAAAGCATTGATGCCACAAGCCAATTTTCTGAAAGTGCCTCTAAAGCAGCACCTGCACCATTCATGTTTATAAATCAGGTAATTGTACATCTAGCCACTTATGTGTATATGTGATTAGTCTAATTTACATATGCAAATCAATTATCTTATATACAGTTTGCCAACTTCTTGCTTTCCTTAGCCTTTTTTTTCCCTCCACTTTGTAAATTCAAGTAGATCAGATTTTGGAAATACCATTTTATTAAACTAAATTTATTCTTTTTTTCCAAAGTCATTTAGAGATATTTCCAATATCTCCATCTGATAATAAATTATAAGGACAAAATTCAAATAAATTGTAGCGACTCTACTGATTCATTATATCTGGATGTTGCTTTACTTATAAGATATTCCCAAAACATTTTAATCAATCCAACTCATTTTAATCAATCTGCTCTCTCAAAAAACATTTAACTAATATCAGGAGTTTCCAACTGTCTCCTAATTCCAGGTGAGAAATGCCAAGATATTAGAATAGGGATTTAATAGGCATAATAACAATGAATGATCTCATTCAATATTTTTAAGCCCTGGGAAAAGATTTACACCTTATTTTGTTGGCCATTTAGGCCAATATTAGACAGAATACCTGAATCTCCACTTAAATGCACATCTGCCAATGATTCTATACATGGAAGAAAAATTAAAAATTCATTATCGAAAATGTTTTGAAGGATATAAACAAAAATTATATTCAAGATTACATCAAGGATTATGTACAGCAGTACTTCTCAAATATGCAAACACAAACAAGAATTAAACTCTAAAATTATCCATTAATGTAAGGCAAAATGGTTTAGGTTCATAATTTATATTCTATTATTTGGTAACTAAGCTTAGATGAGTAAAAGTTTAGCTTTGCTTTTATATGTGATTTTGCTAAAAATACAAACCTATCTCAAACTAGAGAAATAAAAAATGCAGTTGACCCTTAAACAACAAGGGTTTGAACTCTGTGGGTCCACTTACATGTTAATTTTCTTCCACCTGTGCCAACCCTGAGACAGCAAGACCATCCTCTAATTTTCTTCAACCTGTGCCACTCCTGAGACAGCAAGATCATCCTCTCCTTTTCTTCCTCCTCCTCAGACTATTCAATGTGAAGATGATGAGGACAAAGACCTTTATGATGATCCACTTCCACTTAATGAACAGTAAAAATATTTGCTCTTCCTCATGATTTTCTTAATAACATTTTCTTTTCTATAGCTTATTTTATTGTAAGAATACAGTATATAATACATATGACATAAAAATATGCATTAATTGACTGTTTATGTTATCAGTAAGGCTTCTGGTCAACAGTAGACTATTAGTAGTTAAGTTTTAGGGGAGTCAAAATTTACACTTCGATTTTTCAGTGCATGGGAGATTGTCATCCCTAACAATTAAAAGTTAGGGTCAACTGTAATATTGAAATCATAGATAAATTGTCTATTTTTAAAGAACATACATGGCTATTTAATTTTGTAAAATAATATACAGCATCAGATGATGAAAGATTTTTGAAAATACTATTATACATTTTGAAAGGCTCCAGAGCATAAAGTTGGCAAATGAAATATATAAATTTATTTCCTCTTACTCATGAATCTCCATTAAAACACTAGTAAAGGAATAAACAATTATAACCACAAAGAAAAAGAGGACAGAAAAAAGGAGAACACTGAGCAAAAAAATTCAATAAATTTTGCAATATGGAAAGCAGATAAGCAAGCAGTAACTGATTTAGCAGTGCAGAGGAAGCCACAAACTAAGATCCTTTGTGTGGTTCTTTTGCGGTCACCTGAACAGATTAACCCAGATAGTGCTAGGGAATAGTAGAGGTGGAGAAGCAGTTGAGGGGAGCAGGGCAAAAAGCAAGGGGTCATTTGGAAGTCTTTAATCAAAAGACTCGAAACCCTCTTATCACATATGCAAAATATCAACATTCAGAAGCCTGCCTGAGCAGTACACACACAGACACACACACACACACACACACACACCCAGGTTAAGAGACTGGAAATTTTGTTCCCTGCTGACACTGAACTGGAGGGATTCAAGATTTGGTGACATCAGCAAAATGGGTAATCTGGGAGAGGCACAAATTACTACATGATGAGCCAAACAGAGAAAGAAACTTGAAAAGAGGAGGCCAAGGGATCCAGGAACCAGTGGTTCCATCAAGGTGGGCAGCAGAGAGATATCAAAGAGGTCAGACACATGGTAGGTCTCCAAACAAGACTGGGCAGATGAAGCGCTCCAAAAGTGTAATGAACAATATTGCCAAAATTAAGAACATGGATTACTAAATGAGGCAGTGTAGAAGCTCAGCCATTCTTCTAGGTATAGCAATCACAACAAATCAAAAGTGTGGACTGCTCAGGAGAAGGTGGCACCACTAAACTGGGTCTATGTTTTTATTGCTTTATCTCATCAACCCTTTGAAACTATGTTTTTTATTACTCAAGTGAATGTATTTACTTTGAAAAACATAACAATGATTAAAACTATCTGAAGTTACATTAAGTAAGAATATAGGATAATTTCATAAGTAATGTTGTCAACAAATTTAAACATACAAAAAACATACACTCCTATTCAACATAGTATTGGAAGTCCTAGCCAGAGTAATCAGGCAAGAGAAAGAAATAAAGGGCATCCAAATAGGAAGACAGGAAGGCAAACAATCCCTGTTTGCAGACGACATGATTCTATATCTAGAAAATTCCATGGTCTTGGCCCCAAAACTCCTTAAGCTGATAAACAACTTCAGCAAGATCTCAAGATACAAAATCTACGTACAAAAATCACTAGCATTCCTATACACCAAAAACAGTCAAACTGAGAGCCAGATAAAAAACAATCCCACTTAAAATTGCCACAAAATGAATAAAATACCTAGGAATACAGCTAACCAGGGAGGTGAAAGCCAGATAAAAACAATCCCATTTAAAATTGCCACAAAATGAATAAAATACCTAGGAATACAGCTAACCAGGGAGGTGAAAGATCTCCACAATGAAAACTGCAAAACATTGCTCAAAGAAATCATATGACAAACAAATGGAAAAACATTCCATGCTCATGGATAGGAAGAATCAATGTCATTTAAATGGCCATACTTCCCCAAAGCAATTTATAGATTCAATGCTATTCTTATCAAACTACCAATGACATTCTTCACAGAACTAGAAAAAAACTATTTTAAAATTCATGTGGAACCAAAAAGGAACCTGAATAGCCAAGGCAATCCTAAGCAAAAAAACAAAGCTGGAGGCATTACACTACCCAACTTCAAACTATACTACAGGGCTACAGTAAACAAAACAGCATGGTACTGTTTCAAAAACAGATACATGGACCAATGGAACAGAACAGAGAGCCCAGAAATAAGTCTACACACTTAAAACTATCTGAACTTTGACAAAGCTGACAAAAACAACCAATGGGGAAAGGATTCCCTATTCAATAAATGGTGCTGGGATAACTGGCTAACCATATGCAGAAGATTGAAACTGAATCCCTTCCTTACACTATATACAAATATCAACTCAAGATAGATTAAAGACTTAACTGTAAAACCCAAAACTATAAAAACCTTGCAAGACAATCTAGGCAATACCATCCATTCTGGACATAGGAACCAGCAAAGATTTCATGATGAAGACTCCAAAAGCAATACCAACAAAAGCAAAACTTGACCAATGAAATCTTATTAAACTAAAGAGCTTCTGTATAGCAAAAGAAACCATCAACAGAGTAAAGAGACAGCCTACAGAATAGGAGAAAATGTTTACAAACGATGCATCTGACAAAGGTCTAATATCCAGCATCTGTAAGGAACTTATATTTAGAAGGAAAAAACAAACAACCTCATTAAAAGTGGGCAAAGAAAATGAACAGATACTTTTCAAAAGAAGATATACATGTAGCCAATAGCATATGAAAAAAGCTCAACATCACTGATCATTAGAGATATGAAAATCAAAACACAATGAGATACCGTCTCACACCAGTCAGAATAGCTATTTTTAAAAAGTCAAAAAATAACAGATATTGGTGAGGTTTCAGAGAAAAGAGAATGCTTATATGCTGCTGGTGAGATTGTAAATTAGTTTAGCCATTGTGGAAAACAGTGTGATGATTCCTCAAAGAACTAAAAACAGAACTACCATGAAACCCAGCTATCTATTGCATTACTGGGTATATACCCAAAGGAATAGAAATTGTTCTACCACAAAGACACAGACACATGTATGTTCATTGCAACACTATTCACAATAGCAAAAACATGAAATCAACCTACATGCCTGTATTAGTCCATTTTCACACTGCTGATAAAGACATACACGAGACTGGACAATTTACAAAAGAAAGGTTTAAAGGACTTATGGTTCCACACGGCTGGGGAGGCCTCACAATCATGGTGGAAGGCAATGGGGAGCAAGTCACATCTTACATGGATGTCAGCAGGCAAGGAGAGAGCTTATGCAGGGAAATTTTCCCCTTATAAAACCATCAGATCTCATCAGACTTATTCACTATCATGAGAATACCATAGGAAAGACCTGCCCCCACGATTCAGTTACTTCCCACTGGGTCCCTTCCACAACACATGGGAATTCAAGATGAGGTTTGGGTGGGGACACAGCCAAACCTTATCAATGCACATCAATGGCAGACTGAATAAAGAAAATGTGGTACATATACATTGTGAAATACTATGCAGCCATAAAAAAGACTGAGATCATGTCCTTTGCAGGAACATGATTGGAGCCAGAGGCTATTATCCTTAGCAAACTAATGCAGGAAGAGAAAATCAAATGTCACATGTTCTCACCTATAAGTGGAGCTAAATTATGAGAACACATGGACACATAGAGAGGGACAACAGATACCTGATGGTAGAGGGTGGGAAGATGGTGAGGATCAGGAAAAATAACTAATGGGAACTAGGCTTAACACCTTGGTGATGAAATAATCTGTACAACAAACCCTGTGACACAAGTTTACCTATATAACAAACCTGCAAATGTACTCCTGTACTTAAAATTTTTTAAAAGGAAAAAAAGAAAAAAACATACAAAAATGAAGCAAATATGTTAAATATTAAGAATTTTTTAATAGGATCAAATATTTTCTACAATGATCATCTATTATTTGTAGAATCATTTAAAAACCATAATGGAGACCAGGCACTTTAGGAGGTCGAGATAGGTGGATCACTTGAGATCAGGAGTTTGAGACCAGACTGGCCAACACAGTGAAACACTGTCTCTACTAAAAATACAAAAAAAAAAAAAAAAAAAATTTAGCTGGGCATGGTGGCATGTGACTGTAATCCCAGCTACTTGTGAGGCTGAGGCTCGAGAATCACTTGAACTCAGGAGGCTGTTGCAGTGAGCTGAGATTGTGCCACTGCACTCCAGCCTGGGCAACAAAGCAAGACTCCATTTCAAAAAAAAAAAAACCATAATAGAAAAATATGAATATAAAGTCTTAATATAATTTATATATGATTATTGTGCCTATTACACTTTGGCTGTGTCCCCTCCAAAATTCATGTGTTGAAACTTAATGGTGAAAGTGATATTGTTAAGAGGTGGGACCTTTAAGAGGTAATTAGGCCATGAAGGCATCTTCCTCATGAATGCGGTTTTAAGATCCTTATTAAAAAGACGCTCCACACAGTGTTGGGCTCTCTTGCCTTCTGCCTTCTGCCATGTGAGAACACAGCGTTTCTTCTCTCCAGAGCATGTAGCAACAAGGTGCCATCTTGGAAGTGAACAGGCCTCACCAGACAAGTGAACCTGCTGGTTCCTGGATCTTGGACTTCCAGCCTCCAAAACTGTGAGGAATAAGTTTCTATTCTGTATGAATTACCTAGTGTGTGGATTTTTGTTATAGCAGCACAAACAGACTAAGACAATGCCACTTCAGGAAAAGCAATGAAACATTCAAAAAGAAATAAAATACTCAAATGCTAATAAAACAATGATGAACACAATAAATATATGCTGTTATAGCTGTCAAATAAAGGTATCTACTGTCTCTGAATTTGATAAAAGCAATTTAAAAAATTCTAATAGATTTTATTAGAAATAATGTTTACCACACTTGAATAATGTTCAATGAAAATCAGAAAAATGGAATTATTCTGGGACTGACAGTCACCTTAGTGCAGGAGCTGCTAGTACTCCTGCCTTAGAGAGGATTGCTTAAGTGTAAGAAAAACTACTCTCAGGATTGGAAAGGGCAGACACTACAGCTTTCCTTTAGCAACTTACTCAGTATCGACACCATTTTAAGTAAGTTTTCTTCCCTGTAAATATAAATATCTGGTTCTGTAGCTCAAGTCATTAGCATTCAATAAAGACAGAAAAAGAAAATCATAGCTCACTATTTTTGTCTAATGAAGCCTCAACTTAACATTAATTTTTTCTTATATCCTAGCACCTGGCACAGAGGCTTATCACATGTTAATGAAACAAAATACAGATGAATAAATAAATATAATGAAATCCCTTTTAATTTTTCTGTGGGAAAAATAATCTCAGTTTATTTGGTCTTTTATTGTGGAGTCATTTCTTTTTAATATTTACTAGTCTTTGTGGCTTTCCTTCAATTTTTTGATGTTTCTTAAGAAGGCAAGGCCAAAACTAGGCACAACATTCATGGCTGGTCAGGAACTTATCAGAACTGTTTTTATGATATCAATGTTACATAAATAGTATAACAAGTCATTTCAGAACCACACTCTAAGTTTCCACCCATACAAATGATGCTGACACACTTACCTCAAGAACCAACCACAGCTTGTCTCCATTTACTTTATCCTTCTTAAAGTATATCCCATAGAATCTGACCACATTAGGGTGGTCAGAAAGTGCTTTTAAGATGTTATATTCTGCTTCAATCTCTTCGTCAATATCCTAGTTTCAAAAAGTCATAAGAATAGAACTGTGAGAAAACCATGAGTAATGTCAAAGAAACAGATTATAGAATACCAAATACAGAATTTCATTATGTCAAGGTCATAATAGTTTTTACTGTGCTTAGTATTATGTATTGTAATTTCTCATTACATAATTTAAGGGGAGAGATTGTGATTTTCATGCTAATCAAGTGAATCTCAAGTTATATTAATTTCATCAAATTTTAAAATGGATAAATAAAATGTTATTTTTATTTGCAATTATAAGTAAACATCTATGGAGAGCTACTCCAGATGATTTTGCTTTTTTGTATTATTAACTTTGTTACAAGGGCAAAGCCATTGACCTGAAATAATAAATTTTAGGACTGGAAATCTGGTTCATTTTGTTTCTTTGGAAAATAGGATATTTAGAAGCTATCCAAAAATCAGTCATACAAACAATAAATTCCCACTTTTCCAAAAAACTCAAATAGAGTTAAGTTATAAAAGATTGCACAAAACCTTTAGTGATCTAAAGGTCCATTCACCAAAAGAAGAACAGGTTGCTATCTTATCAATCAGAATGAAAGACAGCCACTTAGACATATTTCTAGAAAATCGCATATATATGAAACAATTCATACAGCAATAAATAAGAGAAAGCCTTATTAATACTGCTTTTACAGTGACATTTAATGCCTATGTTGTTTTATTATAGAATCATGGAATCATAGAGGTAGAAATTTAAATCTGAGCTCTAATTTTAAAGGCATAAAGTTAAGCCCTGAGAAGTTGAAGTCAGAGCTGGTTACTGTAAAATCCAGATATAGACTCCGAGCCTGCTACCTTCTCATCTTACTCATTCAACTCCTCTCTTGAAAAGAAAATGACTGATTAAAAATATGTAAGAGTAAGACTCCTTTAATTTAAAATAAGCAAATCTTTGCAAGATGTTTGGATGCATTTAAATTTATTTAAGATTATAATCTCTTGGTTATAAATCTTTTTTATTTGACTTGTGACATGATGAAGAGTAAATAAATAATTCTTAGAAAAATGTATATGTACTGTGACAAGAATGAAAGCAAAAGGATAAATTAAGCTTAATAGTCATGAAATCAATATTTCATTAAATTATACTAAATAGGGGGGACTTATAAGGCTTGTAGGTATACCATATGTGAGTAAATTATGAAAGAATAGTCGTTACATGGATTATAAGCCATTTGTTCTCCATTAAGAAGGAAGAGAAAGAGATACACTATGGGGCCAGACAATGGGATTGGGCTGAATTTCTTTCTCTTGCTGCCACACACCTGAATCCCTAATGCAAAGGCTACAGGAAAGAGAGGTATAGTCACTTTGGTAGAACTTAACTTGTACCTCTGTTCCTTCAGTTTAAATGCTTAGAAGTTTCCAAGAGAATGTGAAGACATTCAGCAACAGTTAAGCCTGGGCATACTGAGTCTCATTTTTTTTCCTCCAGTGTATTTATTTAATTTATTGCTTTAAAATAAACCTCCCCTACCTTTCTCCTCTGCTCAAAATAATATGGAAGAGTGTAGTTATAATGGGTTTAGCAGAAATAAACTATCAAAAAATAAAAATAAAAAAAGAAACAGCAACCCTAAGACGAACAAATGGAGACTCAGAGACCTTTTGCAGCATCTCACAGTTAGTAGATGAGTGTAACAAGGACCTAGCACTCTGATGTCCTCTCTATACACATTACATCATTTTCATCATGCCATGCTCCCATCATGTGTGCAAGAGTCTGTTAATTGGAGCAGTTGCTTTCAATAGATGTTTGGGGAGCATCTGATTACTGAGCTCATTCTGGCTCTCCCATGTGCTATGGGAGAGAAAGGTGTCTCCCAGCAACCTGAAGATATTCTGAAACTGCCAGCTCTCATTACCAGAAGATAGAATCTCAGTAGTCTCATGCTCTTAACAACAGAGAAAAGGTTTGGCAGTTTCGCTTATCACAACTGCTACTTAAAAAAAAAAAAAAAAGCAAATGGGGCCCCCATTGTGGCCTCCTGTAAGCAGAGACTAGCAGAGCTGAACATGAAATTTAATTCTTCACAATAAGGAACTTTGCCCTGATTATAAATCCACACCATGTCTGCTTTGGAAACATTTAAGCAAACCTGAAAATTAATTTTCTTTCTCTGAAATAAATTTCATTTTAAAAAGTCTTCTTTAGTTTGGCCTAAGAGAAATACCTCCTGAAGCCTAAATAAACACAGGACGAAAAGAAGATATGGTTAAGATGCCATTTCAGGATTACTTCTAGACCCCTGAGTTTGTATCTTTACAATTTTTCATGTCTAAAATAACATTCAGTCAACTTTAATAATATCGTCGGTTGAGAGCTGCATTTTTGCGTGCTTATGCATTTATTCATCAAGTACTTATTGTGCCTTATTACATATACTAAGCACAGAAATTTGGAAAAGCAAATAAGTAGACTTCTCTTTTACATTTATCTTCAAATTGTAACCTGTTTTAGACTGCTATTGTGATGAATAAATCAAGATAAAATACAGTCTTTTTAAGTGTTTCATACAGATAAAAATAAAGCTAATTAGAAGGAAAAAATATGACTTACGTGAATTGGATCAAGAATTTTGACTGCTGCTTTTTGGCCATTTTTCTTATTCAATACTTTAAAAACTTTCCCATAAGTTCCTTTGCCAATTGTCTCAGTGATTTCCCATGTATCAGAAGGATCAGGAAAGTTATCAAAGATGATTGTTTTTCCAATTAATGGAAACATCTCAAAGGTTTAAAAACCTGGAGATAAGAAGTACAGTTTCATCTACAGTTGATTGAGGATATCAAATGGCACACACAAACCCATGGGAAATTAGCGAATATTTTCACTGATATGATAGAAAATATTCAACAGCAACCAAACATATTTCAGAGTCACAGGAAATTTGAATTTCAATTCTCATTTGCAAACATTAATATGAATTTAATAATGCTTTGTAAGCAGGGCTTTATTTCTATGTCCAATCTAGTCTCTTATTAATTGCTGTTAATTCTTTTTAGATTAAAATAAGAGGCATATTTATATAATTTTGATTTTCTTCTTTATACTCATGTATCACAACAAATCAAATAATTTTAGAATGAACCTTAGAGAAGATAAAATTCAACTTCCTCATTTAAGCAGATCTTGCATTTTATAAGTGATCACGTTTTATGTCACTTCTCTATGCAAAACTCAATAATGGGTCCTCTAACATGGCTTTTAGGATGGAATTTCCTTAACATAACCTACCAAATTCTTTAAAATATGGCCTTTGCTTAATGTTCCAGCCTCTTCTCTCATATACTATGATTCAGCTATTTATACCTCAAGGCATTTCTTTCTTGAGGACTTTAATATACACTATTCCTGACCCCCTCTGCCTGTGGCTTCTTTGCTAAATTGCAAAACCTACTAATCTTTCAGACCTCAGCTTAGAGACCACTTCATACAAGTGTGACTACTCTCCACCCCATCTGGGTTGCATGCACCACCTCGGTACTCCAGCAGCACTCTACGCTGCTGTTATCTGACATCATTACTGTATGTGCAGCAACTGCACAGGGCTGAAATGATTGACTGATTAATTAATTAAAGAATATGGCCAATGAGACCATTTATTGATATCATTATCAATATTATCAATAATATCACTATCCTATATCACCACTGGTACCGTTATTGTGATTATAAATCAGATAGCATTTATGTATCTGATATCATTACTGTATGTCCAATACCTGGCACACTGCTGAAATAATTAATTGATTTGTCAATTAATTAAAAGAATAGGTCAGTGAGATCAAGTGACTTTATAAAGGACATTTTATGTTTTCTTCCAAGTAATGCTCTTTTCTATATTCTCCCTATATTATATCATTTCTATAAAACTACAAAAAAGGGTGAGAATAATAAAAGAAAGGAAAGTGTTCTTAGCACTTCTGGTAGCCCTCACATTATTTCAATTATCTATACAAACCACACTCTTTTCAATATAAATTAATATTCCATATTAGCCCATGAAATTCACTTGTCTGGCCACACTCACAACTTTCACCTTTATTCACATCACCAATCCACTGATCTTTAACTTTCTTTAAGCCCATCAGCCCTCTTAATTTTTCACTCCCTACTCATTTCTCCTTCCTCAGGATAGACTCTAAGCCTTGTATTATTGTGACGTCTTTACAAAGGCCCTAAACACTCTTGTTCCTCCCTTTTTCCATCATATTCTCCTGGAGGGTGAAAACAACTCTGGTTAAATACTACATCTTCTTCACATCTGTGCCCATAACTGAGAAAACCATACAACCATGTTGACTAGTTTCACTTAAAATTCAGGATAACACATTGACAAGTAAACTCTCAACTCTGCCCAGCAACCCTACTGCACTTCTGTTGTTTGTATATTCCCTGTTCTCTGGAATTACTATTTCAAAGTGATATCTTTCCTCAAATTTGTCTCTCTACAAATTGTTCCCTCTTTGCTGTTTACCTTCTCCTACCAAATTTTACAAGTGATGCCTGTACTTCATAATTTATTGAAAAAAATGGAAGGAATAATAAATCCTTAATATTCTGACCTCAAAAGCTACAAACCAATGTGCATCAAACATAGTAAGTTCATTGCTAGCCGGGGTAACTGCTGTTTGTCCTCAAATAGCCTTTTCCTTTGGTTCCTTCTTGTCCTGTAGATCTCAGTTCAAATGTCAATTTCTTAGAAAGGCCCTCCCTGACCAACCTTTATGAAGTTAGCCTTCTCCACTTATCCTGTTATTCTTTCATTAGAATGTAAGCTACATGAGGGTATGGGCTTTGTTATTTTATGACTGTATCCACAATTCCGAAAACAATGCCTAGTACATGGTAGGCAATCAATAAATATTGACTAAATGGGCAAATGTTTATTTGTTCATTGTTAATTCTGACAGCAGAGACCTAATCTATTTTGTTCACTTCCAAATCTAATAATAGATTTGGCCTTACTCTGTACCTAGAAAATACGGTAAATGTTAAATATATAGCTGTTGAATAAATAAATGAATAGGGTTCTTCGAAAAATACTTTTTTTAAGTTAGGAAGCGAAATAAGGTTTAGGGAGAACTGAAAAGAACGTGAAAATCCAAAACACAATAAAGAGCATATTCTGATTCATTATACTTACGGGCACATTATCGAGTAAATGGCTATGAATACATGCTAAAAATTGTATTACTATATAAAAACACACTTCTGAATAGTTCTTAGAACACTTAATCCTTATGAAATTCATGTCTTTGATCCAAAATGCAAAGAGGTAATCAGTAATAATCATCCTCTTTAACAATTTCATAATCAGTGACAAAATCACTACTTCTTACATCTACTTGAGTCATGCAAATAAGCATTTATGCCATCTCTATAACATAAACGTTAGACCAAAAAACCAAATTAAATCTTGTTAAAGGTCTGAAATAGGAGTTGTCAACCAACAGAAACATTCATTACATGGAATACTGCCTTTCAAGCAGTAATGTTACTGAACACAGTCTTCATTTCTGATATATTAACTCTCAGGAGTTAACTGTTAGTTTTTCAATACACAGACATAAGAATTCAATGAAAAATTGACTGAACAACAAATATGTGCAAAGTATTTTTATGAGTTTTGGAAATACAAAGATAGAAAACTCATGGATAGATTAATAAACATGTAACTATAACATATTATAAAAAGTGATAAATAATAAGAATATGCATAAAGTGCTGTAATAGCCCAGGTGAAAAGCAGTTTATTCTGAACTGACCAGGAAAAGATTCAGAAAAAATTCTGAAGTGGTCAGGAAAAGATTTGAGCTGACACTAAAAATAAGCAGGAATTTGTTTAAAATGCAATTTTTTCTTTAACAGTTCTCAATCAGACAAATATTTAAAGCAGTGTATCAATATAGTGTAAAACATTATTTAAAAAAGTCACAAAATGACAAAAAAGAGGCATTTTGGAAACAGAATACACCTAGTCATGTTCCATATAAAGCAAATGAACAAAACTCCCAACACATAGGTAAAATGAAGCCATTTAAAATGACTGCTTCAAAATAATACATTAAATAATTTCAAGAATTAGGCTAGAATCAAGTCTCTTGACTGCTAAACTACACTTTTTCCATACAAAGCTGTTTATTCTTTAAGAATGAAATAGAATGTCACAGCTAGTAAACAACTAATTACTTAATAACTATGGTAAATTGCATTTGACATAAAAATGAATGTTCATATATTTTCCCTAATACTTTAGCATGCAAAGAATGAAAAGTAATTCTCTAGCCTATAAAATTAAAACATATAAATAAGTTCTTAGTTATATGATCATGTAAGCCAAATAATTATTTTCAACATATATATTTAACATAATTTGATATGTGCATTTACCATAATTCTGAAAAGGTACTAGCAAAGCTACATTTTTGAAATGAATACTCATCTTTTTGAATAGATTTATTATATATTGAGCTTTTGGATTTTTTTAAGATAGAAAAGTTGATCATAATACAATGAAAAACGTATCTTCAGGATCTTCAGATTCATCTCAACAATTATTCTGCTTGTTTTTGTAAACATGCACCTAATTCTTCTTTAATAAAATAACCAAACTGGCTTCATGCTCATTCTAAAACATAGCAGGGCTGGTTTCCCATTGGGTTATCTGTGTTCCCTCTGCCTAGAATGCTCTTTCTCCAGATATTGACATGGTTCACACCCTCACTTCCTTCAAGTCTTACATCAGCCATCACCTCCCCAATAAGTCCCACCCTGATCATCTTACTTACAATCCCAGTCTTACTTCCTGCATCCCATCTTGCCTCCCAACTCCTTGTCTCACTTACCCTGCTCTATTTTGATAACACTTATCACTTCCTAACACTCTACATAATTTCCTGTAATTATGTTTTGTTTTCTCCACTACCAGAATGTAAGCCCCTTGAGGCCTGAAATGTTTGTCCTGTTTTTTCACTGATGTACTTCAAAGACTTTAAAACCATGCCTGACACATAGTAGATAGTCCATAAATATTTGGTGAATATTAAATAGAAATGAATATAAAAGAGTCCATAGAAAAATTTCAAATGATTTCAACAACCCATTTTATCAAATATTTTCCAAAGAAATAATACCATCTTTGCCAGGCGCAGTGGCTCACGCCTGTAATCCCAACACTTTGGGAGGTAGAGGTGGGTGGATCACCTGAGGTCGGGAGTTCGAGACCAGCCTGACCAACATGGAGAAACCCTGTCTCTACTAAAAATACAAAATTAGCCGGGCATGGTGGTGCATCCCTGTAATCCCAGCTACTCAGCAGGCTGAGGCAGGAGAATCGCTTGAACCCGGGAGGCGGAGGTTGCAGTGAGCCAAGGTCATGCCATTGCACTCCAGCCTGGGTATCAAGAGCAAAACTCTGTCTCAAAAAAAAAAAAAAAAAAAAAGAAAAAGAAAAGAAATAATACCATCTTATGCATTTTTTTTCAGAGAATAGAGATAGACGGAACATGTGAAAGTATCTATAATAAGACAGACTGTACAAAATCAGATAAATTTATTAAACAGAACCAAATGGAAATTCTGGATATAAAAAATAAAATAACTGAATTGAAAATCTTACTAAAGGAGTTCAAGAGCAGACTTGAATAGGCAGAAGAAAATGTCAGTGAACTTGAAGACAAATTTCTTGTAATTATCATCTGAAGGGCAAAAAGAAAAAAGAACGAAGGAATATAAACAGAGCCTAAGGGATATATAGAACGCCACCAACAAGACCAATATATACATTATGAGAGTTCAAGATAGAAAAGAGAAACAGAAAGGGGAAGAGAGCTTATTTGAAGAAATAATGGCCAAAAACCTCACAAATTTAAGGAAAGACATGCATCTAGAAATCCAAGAGGCTCACTGAATTGCAAGGCAAATCTTTTTTTTTTTTTTTTTTTTTTTTTTTTTTGAGACGGAGTCTCACTCTGTCACCCAGGCCAGAGTGCAGTCGTGTGATCTTGGCTCACTGCAAGCTCCACCTCCCAGGTTCACGCCATTCTCCTGCCTCAGCCTCCCGTGTAGCGGGATTACAGGTGCCCGCTACCATGCCCGGCTAATTTTTTGTATTTTTAGTAGAGATGGGGTTTCACCGTGTTAGCCAGGATGGTCTTGATCTCCTGACCTCGTGATCCACCCGCCTCGGCCTCCCACAGTGCTGGGATTACCGGTGTGAGCCACCACAACTGGCCTGCAAGGCAAATCTAAAGAAACCCATGCCAAGACATTATAATCAAGCTGTGAAAAGACAAAGACAAAAAAAAAAAAAGGGAAACTTAAAAGCAGCAAGAGAAAAGCAATTTATCACATACAAGGGACTCTCAAGATTATCAGTGAATTTCCCAGCAGAAATCTTGCAAGCTAGAAGGCAGAGGGATAATATATTTAAAGTGCTGAAAGATAAAAACCTGTCAACTGAGAATTCTATATCTGGAAAACTATCCTTCAAAAATGAGAAAAAAAATTAATTTTTGTTCCCAGATAAACAAAAATGGATGGAGTTCATTACCACTCCATCTGCCCTACAAGAAATGCTAAATGAAGCCCTTTAGGTTGAAATGAATGGATGCTAGACAATATCTTGAAGTCTCATGAAAATGTAAAGTTCTCCAGTAAAAGTAATTACATGGAAAATTATCAAACCCAGTAGTATTGTAATTTTAGTTAATGCCACTTTTTTTATCTTGAATTTCAAACACAAATACATAAAAATACTTATAAATCTATGTTAAGTGGGGATACAATATATAAAACGTAATTTGTGACATCAATAACATAAAGTGTGGGGGCAGGGCTGTAAAGCAGTAGAATTTTTATAAGCAATCAAGTTAAGTTGGTATCAGTTTAAAATAAGTTGCTATAATTTCAGGATGTTATGTATAATCCCCATGGTAACCACAAAGAAAATAAGAATCAAAACATGTCATTACAAAATATACACTAAATACAAGGGAGATAGTATTAGAGGAAATGAGTAACAAAAACGTTATAACATCGAAAAACAACCAAAAAATGATAATGGTAAGTTCTTCTCTATTGGTCTTTTAAATGTAAATGGATTAAACTCTCCAATCAAAAAACAGATTGGCAGAATGAATTTTATAAAGGAACACATCTGATGCAACTATATACTATCTACAAAAGACTTCAAGTCATAAACTTTTACAAGAGACAAAGAAGAAAATGGGAAAATGATAAAATGGTCAATTTGCCAAGTAGACATAACAATTATACACATATATGTACCAAAATTTAGAGCTCCAAAATATATGAACAAACACTGACAGAACTAAAGGGGAAAACAGACAGCTCTACAATAATAGTAGATTTCAATATCCACAGTAATGGATAGAACAATGAGACAGAAAATCAGAAATAAAGGACACGATCAACACTATAGACCAATTGGATCTAACAGACATATACAGAATGCTGCACCCAACAGTGACAGAATACACATTTTTCTCAAGTGCACAGGAATATTCTTCAGGATAGACTATGTGTTTGACTGCATTACAAGCCTTAATGAATTTAAAGGGACTGAAAACATGCTATGCTAAATATCCTTTATGATCAAAATGTAATGAAACTAGAAGACTGGAAAATCCACAAATATGTAGAAATTAAGCAGTACACTATTAAACAACCAATAGAAGAAATTACAAGAGAAAACTGAAAATATCTTGAATCAAATGAAAATAAAAATACAACATAGCAAAACTTACAGAATCCAGCAAAAGTACTGCTAAGAGATAAATTTGTTGCTCTAAAAGCTTAAATTTAAAAAGGAAGAAAAATATGAAATCAATGACGTAACTTTACACTTTAAGGAACAAGAATAAGAGGAGCAAACTGAACCTAAAGGTGACAAAAAAAGTAGGAAATAATGAAGATGCAGCAGAGATAAATAAAATAGAGAATAAAAATGTAGAGAAAATCAACAAAACCATGAGTTGATTCTTCGAAACCTTTAAAACCTTTAAGCAGATTTACTAGGAGAGAGGACATAAATAACTAAAGCAAGAAATCAAAGAGGGAAAATTATTACCAATTACAGAGAATTAAAAATGATTATAAGAGAGTACTGTTAACATTTGTATGCCAACAAATTGGATAAACTAGATGAAGTGGACAAATTCCTAGAAACACACAATTCACCAAGACTGAATCATGATGAAGTAGAAAATCTGAAGAGGTATCACTTACAAAAGAGATTGAATTAGTAATCAAAAACTTCTCTACCACAATAACAACAAAATCTCAGGACCAGATCACTTCACTGGTGAATTCTACCAAACATTTAAAGAATAATTAACGACAATCCTTCTCAAACTCTTCCAAAAATATTAAAAAGAGGGCACACTTCCTAACTCATACTATGAGGCCAGCATTATCCTGACACCAAAACCAGACAATGGCACTACAAGAGAATAAAACTGGAGATGAATATCTCTGTGAAGATTCATGCAAAAATCCTCAACAAAATACAGGCAAACTAACTTCAACAGCATATTAAAAGGATCATACACCATGACCAATGGTGATTTATTTCTGGAATACAAAAATGATTCAACATATGAAAATCAATCAATGTAATATGCCATATTAACAGAAGAAAGGGGAAAAAACACATGATCATTTAAGTTGATGCAGCAAAAGCATTTGACAAAATTCAACACCCTTTCAAAATAAAAACACTCAACAAACTAAGAATAGAAAAAAACGACCTTGACATAATAACCATTTATAAAAAGCCTGTAGCTAACATTATATTCAATGGTGCAAGACTAAAAGCTTCTTTCCTAAGATCAGGAACAAGACAAAAATGTCCACTTTTACCATTTCTATTCAACATAGTACTGGAAATCCCAGTCAGAGCAATCAGGCAAGAAACATAAATAAAAGCATTCAGACTGGAAAGAAAGAATTGAAATTATCTCTGTTCACAGACTATTTGATCTTATATGTACCAAATCCTAAAGAATCACACACACACACACACACACACACACACACACACAAATGTTAGAACTAATTAATGAATTCAGCAAAGCTGCAGGATACAAAATCAACATGCAAAAATCTGTTGTTTTTCTGTACACTAACAATGAACAACCAGAAGAAGAAATTAGGAAAACAATTTAATCTACAATAGAATCAAAAAGAATAAAATACTTAGAAATAAACTTAACCAAGGAGATGAAAGACTTGTGTATTGAAAAGTACAAACATTGCTGAAAGAAATTAAAGAACACACAAATAAATGGAAAGATATCTGTGTTCATGGATTAGAAGATTTAATATTGGTTAAATGTCAATATTTCCCAAAGTGATCTATAAATTCAATGCAATTGTTAGCAAAATCCCAATGTTTTTTGCAGAAATAGAAATAAATACATCCTAAAACTCATATGGAATCTCAAAGGATCTCCAGTAATCTTGTAAAGAAGAACAAAGTTGGAGGTTTTATACTTCCTGATTTCAAAACTTACTACAATGCTACAGTAATCAAATCATTGTGGTACTGGTACACATAGACAAATAGAGTGAAATAGCCCAGAAATATAGTCAAATGATTTCCAACAATAGGGAAAAAACAGTCTTGTTAACAAGTGGTGGTGGAAAAACTGGATATCCACATGCAAAAGAACATTACTGTTAGATCATATATAAAAATTAACTCAAAATAGATCAAAGACTTAAACATATGAGCTAAAATAATAAAACACTTAGAAGAAAACATAAGGGAAAAGCTTCATGAAAATGGATTTGGCAATGATTTCTCGGATATGACACCAAAAGCACAAGCAGAAGAGAAAAAATACATAAATTGGACTTGGTAAGAACCAAAACTTTTGGATATCAAGGAATGTACAAAACATTAACAACAGAGTGAAAAGACAATCTTCACAATGAGAAAAAACACTTGCAAATCATATATCTGATAAAGGGTTAACATACAGAATATATAAATAACTCTACAACTAAAAAAAAAAAAACCCAATTAAAAAATGAGCAAAGGATTTGACTAGAAGTTTCTCCAAATAATATATACAAATGGTCAATGAGCATATGAAATGATGTACAACATCCTAATAATTAGGAAAATGCAAATCAAAAAGTCACAATGCAATACCACTTCATGCTCATTAGAAGTTATTATTTAGAAAGAAGAAACCCAGAAAGCGATTTCAGTGTTGTTAATGTTGTAGAGAAATTGGAACTCTTGCGCATTGCTAGCAGGAATATATTGCAGCTGCTGAGGAAAATAGTACAGCAGTTCTTCACAAAAGTAAATATAGACTTACCATAGGATAAAAATTTCATCTCTTGAATATAAGCCAAAGAATTCAATCAAAGGCTCAAAGAGATATTTGTACACCCACATTAATGGCAGTATTATTCACAATAGCCAAAGACAGAAACAACCTACATGTCCACTGACAGATGGATAACAAAATGCTGTATACACCTACAGATTATTAATTGGCTGGACGCGGTGGTTCATGCCTGTAATCCCAGCACTTTTGGAGGCTGAGGCAGGCAGATCACTTGAGGTCGGGAGTTCAAGACCGGCCTGGCCAACATGGTGAAACCCCATCTCTAACAAAAATATAAAAATCAGCCAGGTGTGATGGCATATGCCTGTAGTCCCAGGTACTTGGGAGGCTGAGGCAGAGGCATCACTTGAACCCAGGAGGCAGAGATTGCAGTGATCTGAACTCATGCCACTGCATTACAGCCTGTGCGACAGAGAGAGACTCCATCTAAAAAAAAAAAAAAGAAAAAAGAAAGTAAGAAAGAAAAGAAAAGAAAAGAAATATTATTCAGCCTTAAAAAGAAAGGAAACTTGACACATACTACAACATGTATGAGAGGGATGAGCCGAGAAGACGTTATGTTGAGAAAAATAAGCCAGTCGCAAAGGGAAACATTATATGATTCCACTCATATGAGATGTTTAAAATAGTCAAATTCAAAGACAAAAAGTAGAATTGTGGTTGCTAGCAGCTGGGGTAAGAGAGAACAGGAATTTTGTTGAATCCAGAGTTTCAGTTTGGGAAAATAAAAAATTTCTGGAGATGGATGGTGTTAAAGGTTGGGCAACAATGTGACTGTACTTAATACCACTCAACTGCACATTTAAAAATAGTTTAAAGGGTAAATTTTATGTAATTTATGTTTTACCACAGCAATATAATTACCCAGAATGTAATACAGGGGGTCAAAATAATAGAAAAATGTGAAAAACAAGTTAAAAGATAGGGAGAGGAGAATGGGATGACCAGGATGCTCTCAGATCCATGCATGATCATCCATCTCCTGAATCTCGGGGACCGACATCTCAAAACCGTATTTCCTACACTCCTTGTCCAGCTGGCTTCCTGCCCTGAGAAATTCTGCCAGTGAGTCCCAAGTAGAGAGAAAGGAGAAATCAAAATATTTTTCCTCTGCTTTCTTTGCTTTCTATGGTGATGTCTCCATCAGTTGCTGTGGCTCTCTATGGTCCCTGTCCCTGTAGGACAGAAACTGTCAGGGTTCTAGATAGCCTCGGATTCTGGGTTCTGCTAAGACTACCTCCTGCAGCCTGAGAAGTGACAACAGTCTTTTGCTACTGTTAACTTTTAAATTGCCTCACTATCCCCTATTTGGCTTTCAGATATGACAAACATTTGTCACTAATTCTCCATATTAAATTCCTTCTGTTGAACTATATGGCATTAACTGTTTTCTTGACTGATTCAGCCTAATACAAATCTAATCAGAATTTGAGAAGAAAATAAGAGAATGGAGAAAAGGCAATCAATAATGACTGAGAAGTTTCCAAAATAGTTGAAAGGTAGAACACTCCAATTCAGGAAAATTCAAATAAGATAAATAAAAAGAAATCCACACTTATATATACCACAATGAAACTATACAGCATCATCAAAGACAGTAAGAAGTTCTTAAAGTCAACCAGATAGAAAAGAGTTATTACATACAGAGGAAAATAATTGGAATGATTGCTGGTTTTTCAAAAGAAGACAGTAGCATAATATATTCAAAACACTGAAAGAAAATAATTGTTAATCTGAAATTAACAAAAGTACCCATAAAAGTATCTTTCAAGATGAAAGGCAAAATGAAGGTATTTTTCAGAAAAAAAGTTTAACACCACTGACCCCTGAGAAAGAGCACTTCTAAAGGATATGTTTCAAGAATGACAATGATCCCGCAAGAAAGGTCTAAATTACCAAAAACAGCAAAGAAACTGTATGTTATATAATTGTAGGATACAATAATGGGCTCTGTTGGACAAGATTGAACAGTAATAATCAAAAGTGGAAATGTGATAGGATTTAAAATGTTCTACGTTCCTCATATAGTTCAGGAAGCAGTTAGAAATAACTTTAGACTTTAAAAGAAAAATATACATGTCAAATACTTGTAACAGCAGAATCTCAGATTACCATGTATAGTCTCCAAAATATTAGCAGAAAAAAAAAACCTGACTTTACAAAAGTCATTCAATTAAAAAATTCAAGAAAGGAGAATAAAGGAAACATAGAAAAAGCAGTAGAAATAGACAGCATGAAATAACAAGTGGAAATCATTATAATATACCAGTAACCACAATAATTATAACTGGACTACACTCACCAGTGAAAAGACAGAAATTGGTAACTACAGGCTGTTTGAAAGACATCCACCTAAAACCTAAACAGAGAGAAAAGAATGGAAGTACAATAATGGTACCATGTAATCCTCAATAAAAGAAAGTGATGTGGCTAGCTCAATATCAGGCAAAATATATTTTAAAGCAAAAATATTTATTAGAGGCATGATGGCCACTACATAGTAATCAAAAACTTAATTCATCAAGAAAATACAAAAACTCAAAACAGAACCCCAAAACATGTCAAATAAAGGCTGAAAGAAATAAAGAAATAAATTCACAATTTTAATGGGAGATTTTAACATACCTTCTCAGTAATTTTTTGATTAACTAAACAAAAAAATGTTTGTAAGGATAAATAAAATTTGAACAACATAATTAACAAGGAGAATTTAATGGATATGCCAGAATACATATGAAATCCTACATACAAAAAAGAATAGATACACTCTCTGAGCACGTATGATTGCAATGCAATTAAGTAAGAAATTAACTACTGCAAGCTACATTGTTAAAAAAAAACAACTATACAATTGCATACCTTAAAAAGGCACTAAACAATTTAAAAGTCAAAGAGTAAACATAATGAACATTTTAAAATAGACTTAGAACTGAATAATAATGAAAAATTTACTCAACAAAATGTATGACCAGCAACTAAAGTAGTGCACAGAGGAAAATATATAGCCTCAAATTTTACATTAGAAAGGAAGAAAAGCTAAAATTATATAAAACCAATGACAGTAGAAAAAGAGAAGGGTATAAATTAAAGAAAAACATTACAGGAAAAAAAGATTAGGGGATTCATAAATGTAATAGTTCTTTAAAGATAATTTTTTTTAAATAGGGAGATCCTTGTCAAGATTGATCAAGAAAAAACTAGCAAGAAAGAAGGTAGAGATGTGCAACATTAAGGATGAAAAGACTAACAAATTAGAGCAGAGACTAAAAAGATAATTTTATATTAATAAATCTAAAACCAGATTAGATGGACAATTTCCTAGAAATATTACAGAAGGAAAAATAGAAAGAAAAAAGCTATTTTTCTTGAAATGACTGCATTCATGTGCCTTCATATTTTAACTCCAAACACTTAATTCTTTACTCATATAACCTCTAAGGAGAGTACATAAGTTAAACAAAAAAATCATTCTCTCCAAGTTCTGTATCTCATAATACTTCATATGTAATGACCAAATCTATTGGTGAAAGAGGCTAGAAACCCACCTTAGTAATAACTGCTTCATAAGTGAACACGGGCATGTTTTCTTTTCTAATATAATGCAAATATCAATAAATTTAATCATTAACTTTCCAAAATACATGCAGAAAGCAGGACTTTTTAATGAAAATATAAATTGCCTCATTGATATAGAACATGCTAAGAAGACAGCAGATGGCTTTACTCAAAACCAAGCAATATTTTAATATCATGAGTCTCACTTTTATACACATTCATCATGTATATTCTGTAGAATACTATTCACAGATCCTTCCCTTTATGGACCCACTTCTGTCAAGCTGCTTACACTGCATCACATAAGGATTACATCAGATTCAAAAGAAGTTGCTGCCTATGATGGAAGAAACACACTGGAGTTTCAGCTGGTCAGCTATAGAATTTTGTCTCTCTCCACAGAGTAGCCAGGATGATCTCAGCATAGAAATCAGATCATCTTATTTTCCTGCTAAAAACCCCACAAAATCCACATTCTTTACCAAGTTCTCCAGACCCTGAATGATCTGGCCATTTCTGACTTTCCTGTGTTCTCACCACTCTCAGTGACTTCAGCCTCAATTGCCTTCCGACGGGACTTACAACATTGTTAAACCCTTTTCTGCCCCAGGACCTGTTGTCTTTGCCTAGATGCTTTCCCCAAGCCTCTATCAGACTGGTTTGAACGTCTCTCATACACAGTCACATATCAGCAGGACCATACACAGTTACTACACCCGTAAATGCAATATGCCTGATTTTAATTTATTCTATAGATTATTCTCCTGGAATGACTATGAAAATAATAAAACAAAGCCCTCCTGGTTCAAAGAAACCTACAAAAAATTAAATTTGCCCTGTAAAACACTAGTCTGAATCGCCAAACAAGTTTCGGGTGTCTCCTTTCTTACAGAACATTAAAACAGAGGAATGGGTCTAGCTTAACTGGTCACAGAAATCTGGTCTAGCTTAATTACAGACCACATGAACTGGACACACATTCTTTCCAGCTTTCCAATAACAGTATAGTTTAAAACAGACCTTGTCCAGTTACATGTATGCTCTGTTTTGAATGAGCCATAACCAATGTTTTATTCCCTTCAATTTGCTTAAAAATGTTTTGCAAAGAGGAAATACAAAATCTACTTAAATACTTTTGTATTTGTATTCCGTTCTCCACCATTCATTTTCTCCCTTTATGAGGATAAAAGTACTTCTTAAAATAAATGCTAGAACCAAAAGAAAGACTATAATTTCCTTTAAAAAAAATCTCCATCTTTAAAAGGTGGTGTTAGTGAGCCTCCAAAAAACTTTAAGTCACCAGATCATTACTTTAAGTTTTAGTATAAACCTAAAAGTCAATGTCCACAGCTGTAAAATGGGATAATAATGCATGTCTGAACAAATTCTCAGAGTTGATATAAGCATCACCTGAGTTTTATGAGGAACTGTTTCGTAAATTGCAATACAGGATTATTCTCCTTTTCAAAGGATGACAGTTAAGCTATTGTGTGAGCCATATAATTAACCGTTCAAGTTAGTAAGGGATATTTCCAGAGTCTGAAATCACAAACTCAAATGTCTGCAGGAGTGAGGGAGGTAAAATATATGAGTGAAGCAGGACTTGATGAAATAAAGGCAGAGGATGGCAGCAATGTGGCAAAGTGGAGAATGTATACCCCACCCAAAGTGGGCAACTCATCCTGGCTTCTGCCATGAGCAGTTGCAAGAGCTGTCTTGCCTGGTCCTCCATTTTTTTCAGGAGAAGCCAGGACTCCAGGAACTTACACAAAATTTACTAATTTGAAAATACCGGTAAGTAAATCAATTATTTTAAAGTACTGAGCTGACCCAAAGAAACATTTCTAAAGGCCAATTTCAGGCTTGAAACTATCGCATACGACTTCTATATGAGGTTCTGCATTTTTTATCAAGACATGATCTATAACTATAAACATATCGACATTGTCTAATCACCCTCAGATATCAGGAAAAATGGATATTAACAGTGGCTATTTTTTTTAACTGCTTACCATATTCCAGGTACCTACTGTGCTTAAAGTTTTACATGCAGTATGTCACTTAATTATCAGGAGAAGCCCTTTAGAAAAGCATTACTGTAACCCATATTTTCATAAAAGAAAACTGAAGATTAGAAAGTTTTTAAGGTCATAATGTTTAAGTTCATGGTAGAAATTACGTGTCCAATGATAGATGATTTTAGTTCAAAAGAGTAATGCTTCCCAACTTGAGGTTCCTAACTCCCAATGTGTCGCCAAAGTAGTAAGGGATCGTCTGTGTATCAATTTGAAAGCTTATCAGAAATCTTCTATTTACCCTCTAATGAATAACTGAATTTGTTTCCTATTACTAGGGGGAGGGAGTTTGTTTGTTAGGTACAATCATTCAAATTATCAATTCCCGGACAAAACTAATGAAAGGATCCTTGTTTATAAAAAGAAAAAGAAAACGCAGCTGGAAATAACACTGCAAAAATTATTTACATAATAAACATTTTACAAACTTTATATGATTTATATAAAAGAACTATACATTCTAAAGGGTATTTCAGCCTCCAAATATTTATTTATCAAAACCACTTGTAGCAAATAATGGACCTTCAAATATTTTGGATTTGACAGAGAAAGTTATTTTTCAAAGAATATATGCAAAAAAAAAATTAGGCTATAAAGATGCAGTCGAAAAAGGACAAGATGATGCTATCAAATTATGTGACATGACCAAATTTTAATATATGTATATATACACATATATATTAAGTTGATATTAAAGATTACAAAATTGAATCTTTTAGTTTGCATTTTCGTCCCCAAATAATAATTTTAAAGGACTAAGACAAATGAATGTAATTTTTCACATGCTAGACATCTCATCAATATATTCATAAAGCCCATGTTATCTTTGAAAGCTTATGCATCTGTAAATTTTCCCATTTTAAAATAATTATCTTTTATAATGTAATAAAAATCAATATGGCACGAATAACATGCACCCAATTTATCTGTCAAAACTTGGCACTTAGGTTCTGGCAAACCCAGAACACTTGTCAATTTTATCACCTACCGTTAGCAAAGCTTGAAAATAACGCATAACAATGCTCAGACGCCAAAACTTTGAATACTGTGTCCAGGCTGCACTGGGGCCCTGGGCCTGTAACCCAAAACAAAAAGATCATGGCTTTATGGGAGTAAACATTCAGGATCTGGGGAAAATAATCAGAAGTTGAACTTAGAAACTTCTAGGTAGAAGGGCAAGACAAATAGTTTATTCCTCAGTAACTAAGTTTTCGCACTTTTACACAATGAACAAGGAACTTAAAGCCCCTCATTTCATATGCTGGCATTAAACAACTCTCAAGCTACCAGATCCGTCTGAATTATAAAAATGCTTAAGAAGGTTTAAGTGCACCTGTACAATTAGTTAATTCACCAAGAAAACTAGAAACAACCAGAAATGAAGATTCTTTTGAGTTTTCAAAAACGCTTAGTGTGTAGGGTTCAGTGGCATTACAACAGTCATTTCAAGGCTTATGGCCAATTTCCATTCTAACAATAATAAAATTTTTTTTCTGGAAGGGGGATAGTAGCAAGGTGCGAGTTAGCAACTACTTGGAGAACAGAACAGAGCTGTTGGTGAGCAGACTTGAAAGGACATCCTTTCCTGGTAGGTTTCTCTATTTCTCAATAATGATCATACTTTTCTTGTCTGCTCTTTCTCCTTAAAATTAAAACTCCTTTACGGATGCATTTGGGGTTGCAGGGAGCCCAGCTCCACCGACCTGCTTGTTCTGAGAAATCACCCGGAACGCAGTTCCCTCAGGGACGGGCCGACCCAGCGCCACCTGTGGGCGGCGCCGCAAAGCCCGCGCGCGCCACAGGTCTCCGAGGCGACACCCGCCAGACTCGGCGCCTCCTCCCTCCAGTCTCCCTGCAGGGCCCCCTCAGTTCTCGCCCCTCGTTACTCTTCGAGGTCCTCCCCTTACGTTTCCTTCCCAAGTTCACCCCTAAAGATCTTCCTTCACCCCTTACGCCACCCTTCCCGTTCCCTCCTCCTGTTTCCACTTCACGTTCACCCCTCCCGTTCCCTCCTCAAGTTCATTCCTCACGTTCCCTCCTCGAGATCCCCCCTCACTATCCCCTCGCGTTCCCTCCTCGGGTTCACCCACAAGATCTTCCCTCAAGTCCACCCCTCAGGTTCACCCTTCCCGTTCCCTCCTCCTGGCTCCCCCTCGAGTTCACCCCCGCCCCCGTTTCCCCCTCAAGTTCATCCCTCTCCTCCCCTCGAGCTCTCCCATCCAGCTCGTTCAAGCCTCACATTCCCCCTCTTGGTTTCCCGCTCTACTTCTCCCCTCGAGTCCCCTCTCTCACCCCAGGCCCCGACAAACACACAGGTCCTCCGGATCTGACCTGGGCGGGCGGGCGGTCGCGGCAGCCTCGCGCTCAGAGAGCCCCGGGCCCGCCCTGCAAGCCCCGGGGTCCAAGGAAGCGGGGCCGTTTCCAGCGCCGCGCGGGCGCCGCTACCCACCGCCGCCCCAAGCCAGTCCCCTGCGCTGTCCCGACACGTACCTGGGCGGGAAGCCGGGCGCCTCCTTATTTCTTTACGGGGGCGCTGGCTACGGGCGCTCCCTCGAGGGGCGGGCAGGGGCAGCCGAGCAGGGGAAGAACTGGGCCGCCTGTAGAGGGCGGGCCGAAGGTCGGCGGGAGGATCTGACCTGGGTCAACCGAGCCGAAGGGGCCCCTTATCCCGGCTCGCGGGGAATATTCTTCCTCTCGCCGCTCTCTCCACTGCCCGCAGGTGGAGGCCGCGCCATCCGCGCCATCCACATCCTCGCAGGGCCCTTGGCTGGCTGCCGAGGGGCTTCCCGGGACTCCGGCCGCGCTTCCTTGGCCCGGAGCCCGGCGAGAAGGGAGTGGGGCCCCTGGATCCTGGAGCCCTCATGGACTGGCCCAGTGCCTGGAGCAAATTCTGCTCCCGGCCCCGCGTAGTATCTTCCTCCCAGGAAATTCCCCACACTACGAGGGTCTCGGACCCGGAAAATGTAATGGGTTTCAGGTCCAAGAGGGATAGTGAGTGGCTAATGAGATCGCTCCCAGGGTCCAGTTCCCTTTTGCAGACTGCTAAGGAGTTTGGGGCTGGGGCTGAAGTTAAAGGCAAGAACTTCTACCCTCGGGAGGCAGCCCGTTAGTCACCAACCCTCTACTTGGTCCTTTGCAATCCTTTCCAGACCTTCTGTGGTCTCCTGTCACACAGGGCTCACCTGGGGGGACCCTGATGGCCAGATTCTCTTGAACAGTCTCTAGGGACATATTGGGTATTGCTATACCTTCATCCATTGAACAGGTGAGAACTACAACCAAAACATCCTTTGATTCTGTTAATTATCTCAATGGGTCTGTCGTTCATGTTATCTAAATGAGAATTATAGAAGAGACCAAAGAGAGGTCATCTAATCCTAATCAATGCATATCTTAAGGAAAAAATGTGATGTTAAAAATCTGTTTCAAAAGGTCATTCAGTATATTCAAGACCCTTCCTCTTAAAGTAGCTTTAAAATTTAGAAATTGGGCCGGGCGCGGTGGCTCACGCCTGTAATCCCAGCACTTTGGGAGGCCGAGGCGGCCGGATCACAAGGTCAGGAGATCGAGACCATCCTGGCTAACACAGTGAAACCCCGTCTCTACTAAAAAATACAAAAAAATTAGCCGGGCATGGTGGCAGGCCCCTGTAGTCCCAGCTACTTGGGAGGCTGAGGCAGGTGAATGGCGTGAACCCAGAAGGCAGAGTTTGCAGTGACGGAGCCGAGATCACGTCACTGCACTCCAGCCTGGGCGATAGAGCGAGACTCCGTCTCGAAAAAAAAAAAAAAAAAAATTAGAAATTGAATAGTGGACTTGTAATAGGGATTATATTGAATCAAAAGCCTAACATATATGAACAGCTTCAAATCAAGAAGTTATCTCATCAAAAACAGATCACAGCAAATATATTATTCAACATAATTATGGCCATTTGGACATACCTGGGAGATTTTAAGAATTAGAGCAACTGAGTGCTCACATGCAAAATAAAGTCACAATCTCAATAGAGACAAACAACACCCAATTAAAATACAATAGAAAAATAGATCCCATTCACAATAGAAGCATGAAAGAACATGAAATAACTAAGAATGATAAAAAATGAGAAATATAGGAGAAAAGTGGGAAAAAATTTAAAAATGCAGGATTGTTGACAGACTATTTATAATTGGAAAGACACTGGAATCCTAAGTTAGAAGACAAGATGTTAAACACATAATTACTACCTCCCAAATTAAGAGACAAATATATTCTAGAATTCATATGAAAACTACAGAAGCTAGAAGAGCTAAGTCCAGTGGTTCTCAGAGTGTGGTCTAGGGGAAATTTGTTGGGGGTCAGGGGGCGGTCTCTGAAACCATTTCGGGAGGTTCACAGGACCAAAATTACTTTAATAATAAGACTTTTTTCCACTCCTTTTTCTCTCCCATTTTTTAAATGAATTTATGATGAAGTTTTCCAGTGGCTCCATAATATGTGATATCACAACAGATTGAATGCAGAAACAGGTAACGTCTTCTGTTATGCCAGACATTAAAGAAATGTGCAAGAATATAAAATAATGCCATTCTTACCATTAAACTTTTTTGGTTTTGGAAAATACAGGTATTTTTCACTTAAAAATATGCTATTCATGTTAACATGTAATGAGCTTAGTAGTGAAATATATTTTTAAAATTTCTCAGTTTTAATTGCTATAACATAAAAGTTCTTTGGAGTCCTCAAAACTTTTTAAGAGTGTAAATAAAGGAAGGTTCTAAGACAAAAAAAATTGAGAACTTTTTTTTTTTTTTTTCTTTGAGACGGAGTCAGTCTCACTCTGTTGCCAGTCTGGAGTGCAGTAACACGATCTCGGCTCACTGCAACCTCCGCCTCCCAGGTTCAAGTGATTCTCCTGTCTCAGCCTCCCGAGTAGCTGAGACTACAGGCACCGCCACCATGCCCAGCTAATTTTTGTATTTTTAGTAGAGACAGGGTTTCACCATGTTGGGCAGGATGGTCTCGATCTCCTGACCTTGTGATCCACCCACCTCAGCCTCCCAAAGTGCTGGGATTACTGGTGTGAGCCACTGCCTCCAGCCCTGAGAACCTTTTGATAAGGCAATGAAAAAAGAAACATGTAATTAAGCTATAATAATGAAAAGAATGGCATTAACACGGAATAGAATAGTGTGTCCAATCCAACCAGCCTAAGACCATCAAGGACAAAACCTGCAGTCCCACAAAGTCAGGTTCATTGACTCAATGTTACAGTAGAGATACTGCAAACTAGAGGAACCATGAAGTGGAGTTTTGATAGGCTCAAAGCAAAGCAGAGCTGGGAGTCAACATGAGGTTTGGGCTGTGACCAAGGGTTCTGTTTCCTTGGATAAATGTGGAATGCTGTCTTGGGAAACTCCTTATCTGAAGCTCTGTACTTGAGTTGTAAATCGGGGCCATGTCTCTGTTGTCAAAGTGAGTTAGATCCTACAAGCAATTATGGGAGGTTTCATTTTTACTGACATAATTTCAAAAATCAAATTTTCTGATAGTCTATGAGCATAGGAAGCAAGATTTTCCAATGAGTTAGAAAGAAGTAGTCACTC
The DNA here is from genome assembly GCF_000001405.40 of Homo sapiens. Taxonomy (NCBI): domain Eukaryota; kingdom Metazoa; phylum Chordata; class Mammalia; order Primates; family Hominidae; genus Homo; species Homo sapiens. The sequence continues at coordinate 25,931,230 of NC_000010.11, read as the reverse complement.
AAAAAAGGGGACTGTTGTTGACATTTCACAGCACAGCCTGCCCTTGGAAGAAGCATGGTGTCCTGTTCATCTTACACCTGGCAATATCAACTTTTTTTTTTTTTTTAAGTTTTTGTTTTTCCTTATGTTGCTCAGGCTGGTCTCAAACTCCTGGGTGCAAGAGATCCTCTCATCTCAACCTTCTGAGTATCTGGGACTACGGGTGCGTGCCACAGTCCAGCCTCATTCCAGTTTTAACCGACTCATCTACTTCTTGGCAAAAAGACTCAGAGAAAGCAGAACTGGGCCGAGCAAGGTGGCTCATGCCTGTAATCCCAGCTACTCAGGAGGCTGGGGAGGTGGAGCAATCTCAGTGAGCGAAGATCGCGCTTCTGCACTGGATGACAAAGCGAGACTCCATCTCAAAAAAAAAAAAAAAAAAGAGAGAGAGAGAGAAAAAAAAATGAGTGCACTTGCCAGGAGCAAACTTCCACCTTGTAGACTAATGGCGTCTCATCAGTTAGCCCAGCACAAGTGACCCAGTGATCTGGGAGATCAATTAAGGGAAGAAAGATTGCTCATTCCTGCTTTCTGAGCTTCATAAACCCTACCTTGTGATATTTGTACATGAACTGCAGCCCAATCAAATTAGTTCTCAAATTTAGCCTTATCTCTCTATTCTGCTGATATTGCCTTATTTAGGCCTTCGCCATCCTAGAGTATTCCAGATGTTTCCTAATTTTTCTACTGCCTTGCCCTCTCCACTTTATAATAAGTCAAATCAAATATATTACTCAAGCCCCTTGTAGGAAGACTCCATGCATTTATGATTATGCCTGGGTGGTGACCCTCTCAGGCAAGAAAACAGAGTAAATCGCCTTTAGGTCTAAAAGTTCTCTCTTTTAAAAGTGCAAACTTTCTTTTAGTGCATTATTTCATTTTATATGCATAATGTCCCTCTTTAATGGAAATACCTGTAAGGTAGGTGTCTCTATTTACTAATAAGGAAACTGAAGGGAGGAATCAATGATTTCTCAAAGGCCACCATCTTAGTAATCACCTCTTTATCACACTAAATTCCAAAAGTTACCACCTCTGTAAATGCTCAAATTAGAGTTTGATTCTCACAGAGCTATCAAGGATGAAAACATGATGCTTCAAATGATCTAAACCCCACTGAACTAGCTTCCCAGTGATGGGCCAAGAATGGGCTTCGGCCTTCCTGTGTCCTAAGGACTTTCTTAGGACTTTCTCTCTTTTCTGTATCCACATTGAATTCCCACTCCCTTTTATACTTACTGAACCATTATAATCTTAGTTGTGATATGCTTGACTGTTCTTTTCCTAGGAAAATGCATTTGCCGGAGTTAGTATGATGGATATAGTAGACCACTTTTAAGGAATCCATCCCTCCATTTCTTATTCATTACTCAATTAATATTTACTGGGTACTTCTAGGTGCTGCAACTGTTCTAGGCATTGAATTTGAAACCCGTCTTTGCCACATATAACTATAAAATGTTTGGAAAATTGCCTTCTATATGTGCTGATACTCCAAGATGGAAGATTACCAATATAAGTGATATTCAGTTAAAACCTACACATTCTTTCACTACTAACCTTATCTAAATCATCTGATCATTTGCATTATTAACTTTTTAGAACACGTGGCTCAGGTGTTTTCTTGATTATTATTTTGGGCACTTTTAGCTGGTTGTGCCTTTATTGTCAGTTTTGCGGCTATCAGGACCTCAAAACATTTACATATACATACTACTCATTCAAATACATCAAAATGATCATCTTACATCTATTCAGGCAGGAGTCCAAGATTTGACTTACATAGTTGTTAGTAAAATATTCCACATTTTAAGATCTTATTGGTGGCCTCTACTTGATGTTTCTCTATTAATTTTGAACTTTTGTCATTGTTTTGCTGTTATGTTACTGTGTGGGAGGGAGGAATTGTATAATTTCACTATATAATTTAACTGAAATGTGCACTTTTGTCAAGTGTATGCAAACTGTTTCATATAGCACCTACTGCATAGGCTTTATTTTCCTACTGATCTGTACATTTCGGGCAGTGCTACAATGAATAGAATGGAAGAATAGGTCTCATTTGCTGTAGAGTGAATTTGTGTTTTTGCTATTTATTTCTTACCTTGACCTAAATTCATTTATTATCAGATACTTCCATTGAATCTCATGATTGACACAATAACATTTCAAATAATTGTTATTAGAATGTAAATATTTGGTTTGGATTCTTAACTGGAAATAAAGCTGCAGATTAAAAGTAGTTTCATTCTAAAAGGTGTGTTTTCCAAGAAAACTTAATGAAGACCATAAATAAGACAAGTTTATAATCCACACATTTTGGGGATAGAGAGAAGGGACAAGCATTGAGAAAACACAGTAGGGTGTAAAACCTCTTTAAGGCTGGGAGCAGTGTCTCACGCCAGTAATCCCAGCACTTTGGGAGGCTGAGACAAGCGGATTGTTTGAGCTCAGAAGTTTGAGACCAGCCTGGGCAACATGGCGAAACCCCATCTCCAGCAAAAAATACAAAAAATTAGCCAGGCATGGTGGTGCATGCCTGTAGTCCCAGCTACTCAGAGGCTGAGGTGGCAGGATAACTTGAGCCTGCTAGTTGCAGTGAGCCAAGATCATGCCACTACACTCCAGTCTTGGTGACAGAGTGAGACTCTTATCTAAAAAAAAAAAAAAAAAAAAAAACCTCTTTAAAAAGTAAAGTGGATGTGGGCCGGGTGCGGTGGCTCACGCCTGTAATCCCAGCACTTTGGGAAGCTGAGGCGGGTGGATCACGAGGTCAGGAGTTCGAGATCAGCCTGACCAACATGGTGAAACCCCATCTCTACTAAAAATACAAAAATTAGCCAGGTGTGGTGGCACACACCTGTAATCCCAGCTACTCGGGAGGCTGGGGCAGGAGAATCGCTTGAACCCAGGAGGCAGAGGTTGCAGTGAGCCAAGATTGTGCCATTGCACTCCAGCCTGGGTGACAGAGCGAGACTTCGTCTCAGAAAAAAAAAAAAAAGTAAGGTGGATATGTGCAGTGGCTCAGGCTAGCCAGCCTGCAGGACCACCTTTGGGAGGCCAGAGCAGGAAGATCCCTTGAGGCCAGGAGTTTGAGACCAGCCTGGGCAATATAGCGAGACCTCATCTCTACAATAAAAAATTTTAAAAATAAAGATAAAAAGAAGTAAAGGTAGGTATTTGACATCTTTTCTTCAAAATATTTACAGCTAACATGGCTTTTTAAAAATCTGATCTTTACTGTGAGTTTTTCTTATTTTTGTTTTTCAGCCCTCTTTGTATTGCAGCAATACTAGCAGTCTATCTTTATACTCCTGTATTTTCCTTTGTGGAGTATATTGGGTTGGAGGCTAGAAGGCATGATGAGAATGAAAGGTTATTTGAACATCATTTACTCCAACTCCCTGTTTTATGGAGTAGGACATTTGGGGTTAATTCATCTGCCTAAGGTCATATGTCAAGGTAGTGGCACAGCCAAGGTCTCAAAGAGAGCCCTGGCTTTTCTTTGTGCACGTGTTCTTGCCCAGATATTCCACTCATGTTCTGATTAATATTAGGGTAGTAGGGCTTGGGCTACTGGAAACTCAAGTTGGGAAGGTAACTGTGATGGTCCTACAAATAGATTCAATTTGCTACAGTGTCTATTGTTAAGCTTATACTCATGGACCACAACTCAGTTTCTGCAGGGAACAAAGACAGATACCCTTATACCAATGGTGTAGAATCCTGCTTGTAAAGGATCAGTACCTAGAAAAAGAATTAAGAAAATAAGTCATTTCTTATTTTGTTCATTCGAAAATATGGCTCAAGAGCTTCTTGTACGCCAGGTGTTCTAAGTGTAGGGAATATGATAACCCAAAAAATTGTCAACAATCTCTGCCTTTAAGCAAATTGTGTTCTAGTTGTGGAGACAAAATAAATCAGCAAATAAGTAAAATATACTGCATTTTATTTTTATTTAATTAATTTATTTTTTGTGACAGAGTCTTGCTCTGTCGCCCAGGCTGGAGTGCAGTGGCAAGATCTCGGCTCACTACAACCTCTGCCTCCTGGGTTCAAGCAATTCTCCTGCCTCAGCCTCCCGAGTAGCTGGGACTACAGGTGCACACCACCACACCTGGCTAATTTTTTTTTTTGTATTTTTAGTAGAGACAGGGTTTCACCATATTGGCCAGGCTGGTCCCTAACTCCTGACCTCAAGTGATCCGCCCGCCTCAGCCTCTCAAGGTGCTGGGATTACAGACATGAGCCACCACACCCGGCAAATGTACTGTATTTTAGTTGTTGATAAATGTGAAAATAAATAGAACAGGGAAAGGGGATAAATAGTGGGTGAAGCGGTGGAGGCTGCAATTTTCAGCAGGACAGGGAGGGCAGGGTCCACGGCAAAAGTGACAGTTGGGCCCTAGAGGAATTAGAATGTGAGGTGAGGCTGGGGGACGGAACCTGTGGAGCACAGAGGCTACTTTGAAACCATGGAGGTGCAGCGTGTCGTGGAGGAGGAGTGTATCCTCTGAAGCACGCCGATCTCCAGAGATTCCTTCCTTACTCCCTCTTTGCTCCAGCCAGTGGAAGTATGGCTGGTGTGAGAGTTTACCTTCTGACCAGAACTGTCTCAAGAATTTAGGAATTCTTGTTGCAAGAATGTTGCAAGTGCTTGTAATAAGTAGAAGAGGAATAGAAGGAAGGAATTAAGAGCTGGAAGCTCCCTGGTGGGGATTCTGAGCTTGTATAACACAGTTAACATTGTTCCCCTTGAGGATATTCTTCATTTATCAGCATCATGCAGAATGTCACCATTCAGGAGTTGAATTGTGAATTCAATTAAGTAGTGATTTGGGTGTTCCTAGGTAGATATACTCACAATATGGTAGAGTTGAAAAAATGATGGAGATAAAAACAATTTTGGAGGGAAGTGGTCTGAAAATACAGAGCAAAGTTCTTGTTTTCCATTTAGTTACCAGGTATTTTGTAAACCTTATGCATGACCTTTGTATTTACAGAACAAATGAAGCATCCATTAACTTCGAATGATCAGATGCTAGGGTGTGAGGAATTTTCAGGCCAAAATGCACTGGGTTATTGTCTCCTATTGACAGTGTGATATTACAGATAACCTCTAGGAGATCCTGAACATATTCAGGCTAAACCAGGCAAACAAACATTCAGGATGTTACCAGTGTGGAAAACCCCTAGGAGGTAAGTATGGCAGGGAATCAGTCTGAGAAAGAGGGTAAATCGAATGAAGCTATTTTGGTTATAAAAGTGCTGCGAATGTATGAGAGTACTTCAAAACTACTCTCTATGCTACAAAAGCCAATAAGTTTAGTTATGCAGTTCCTTTTGTGTCATTACATTTCAATAGAGTTTATTTAGTTTTGTTTCTGTTTCACCTATGAAATGTGTATTAGTCAGGATTCTCCAGAGAAACAGAACCAATAGAATATATGTAGATATATAAAAAGGGATTTGTTATAAGGAATTAGATTGTGCAATTTTGGAGGCTGAAAAGTCCCACCATCTGCCGTGGAAAACTGGTGGTATAGTTTCAGTCTAAGCCCAAAGGCCTGAGAACCAGGAGAACCCGTGGTGTAAGTCCTGACTTCTGAGACCCAAGAACCAGGAGCTATGATGTCCAATGTCCCAGGGCAGGAGAACATGCATGTCCCAGATCAACATGAGAGAGATAATTCACCTTTCCTCTTTGTTCTCTGTAGGCCTTCAATAGATTGGCTAGTGCCCACCTACATTGCTGAGGGCAGTCTCTTTATTCAGTCTACTGATTCGAATGTTAATTTCTTCTGCAGACATTCTCACAAACACACCCAGGAATAATGTTTTACCAGCTACCTGGCTATCTGTTTAGCCCAGTCAAATTGACACATGAAACTAACCATCACAAAACTCAACTCTTATTTTAAGATAGCAGCTTTAAAAAAATTTACTATACACATTTAATTAAATTTATTTTCAGTTTACCTCTCAGTTGTACTACTTACTAGCTGTGTTACAATGAGTACAACATTTAGGGTTTCTGCACCTTGATTTAGTTCTCTAGAAAATGGTGAGTACTACTATTGTCTACATCACAGAATTATTTTGAGGATTAAATAAAATTAAAATTATAAGGGCTGAGGACATTACATGGCATATAATACATAATTATTACATATTAGCTATAATTATTACTGTTGTGTCATCATTATTATAATTACCATCATTTTCTCACAGAAGCATTTCAGGGCTGTTATTACAAAACTCTTTCCCTTGTGTTTCCAATATGCCAACTATTTCAATCAAGAAAATTAATAGCCTATGGAAAGACAGTGGCCTTTGTCATCACTACGATTGATTCTATTAAATGTATTAAAAGTAATGGCAAAAACCCCAATTACTTTTGCACCAGCATAAAATCACTAGGTGCATGAATTTTGCATAATTCTTTTAATTTCTCAGAACCTTGATGTTTCTCATTTGTTCAACCAGGTAGATATTATTAATCCCTTCAAAGAGATGTGAAGAACAAAGTTCAGAAATGTTAAGGACGGTAAACGATATCATATTTAAGGGCTTGGCACTTCGTTGACTCGATAAATAGTAGCTACTACTTTGAGCTATTATTCCCTTTCATGAAAATCCTCCTACTAAAACTATGTGCTTCTTCCAACAGAGACAGCCAAAATTAAGACTGATGGAGAAATTTCCCCCAGCAATACCACTTAAAAATATGTATTTTTTACTTTAATTGCCTGGTATTAAGTTTTCTGCAGGAATACAAATAAAATTGCTTGTATGGCTTTGAGAAACTACAGTTTTTTGCTAACCATATTCTTTGCTTGAATGAAGATTCTGAATTATATAAATGAATCCTGTCTTCCTGACGTAGATGATTAAATGTAGCAAAATAGCTACGCACAGCAACTGCCTGGCTCCTTTTTGACACTAACACACCTAGGGGTCTGGTTCTGTCACTGGGGAGTGCCACAGACTCAAGTTCTACCAGAGCAGGACGCAGTGTTGTCACTCAGGAACTTGGGCTGAGCCAGCTCTATCACATTTCCTATGATCGATCTCATCAACCCTGAAAGGCAGGCTGGTGCCCCTGAACAGCTCCAGATTTCAAACCTGATCCATCGCTTCTAATGAGGAATCATAGGAACAACTAAAGGTGGATCATATAATAAATGAAAAAAATCTATTTGAGAAAATAATTGCATTTTCCCTTGGCAATTCATTACTGCTAAAACTTCCTTCTTTGACAGCAACTTCCGTAATACTGCACATTGGGGGCAGGAGGAGGAAGAAGAGGAAAAAAGGAGGGAAAAATCAACACAGAAAATAATTATTGCATATCTCACTCCAAATCAAACTTCCTTCAACACCAAAGGAAGGATATCAAGGAATTACATAAAGGTCATTTAATGACCATGAAATAGAATTTTTAGAGCAACATGACTCAGGGTAAACTTGTGATTCGCAATATAATTAGCCTTCCCTATGGTTACAATAGTTAATTAATCGGCCAAGAGTTCTGAACATGTGCATTTGTGGAAGAATTTTGTTCCCTTTGATTTAAGCAAATAGCAATAAAACTACCAATCTGCATTCTTTTTGAGCGTTCATGGGGCTGAAAAGAAAGCATAGCTTTGTCCTCCCCATTGCAAACTAACTTCTGGTTTCAAAATTTTGCAAAAGTCTTTGCCATGTAATGAATTCACTGGATTCTGAAGCATCCAGTGATGGGATGGTGCGAGTTGTCTCGGTAGCATTAAATTATACATTCACCCAAAGCTGGGGTAAAGTGATCCCACAGAGTTTGCTAAAATATTTACATTGCCAATTAGTGTAATGGGGGCACTAGATTCTGTACAAGATAGCTTTGTTTGAAAAGCAGGAAAACCAGTTAAGTAAATGTAAAAACAGAACAAAACAAAAAGAACAAAATACATCTTTGTAAAGAAGTTAGAAAATGTTTTCAGAGTCACTGACTCATTTCTTTTTCACCCAAACCCACCAGGAATTTACATCTTTCAGCATTTGGTCTATGATGCTTATAAACAAATACAGGGGCATCTTTCAGGCAAAGCAAATCATAGTAAATAATTTTAGCGCCTTGTTGTAGGGGCTTTTGCCATTGTTGGTACTAGGCAGAGTCCAGATTGGATGGGTGATAGGTGGGAGGATAAATATTGAGAATGATTGCTTCCAGTGGTGCCAAAGAGAAGTTGAAGCTGAAATGTACATCTGCATGCTGCAAGGTTGCCATGTCCTCATCATCTTCAAGAAAAAGAGTGGAACTACCCTAGTCCCTTCCATATACATTTGTCCTTCTGAAATTTTTTTACTGTGACAGTCAAGATACAATTAATTGTCATTTCAATGAGTTTATCTGAAAAAAGAAACAAGCATAATGAACACTAACCCTGTACCATATGTCTGCTAGGCCCTTTGCATACGTCATTTAACTTAATCCTCACAAGAACCCTACTGGAGGCTGGGTGCAGTGGTTCATACCTGTAATCCCAGCACTTTGGGAGGCTGAGGTAGGAGAATCATTTGAGGTCAGGAGTTTGAGACCAGCCTCGGCAACATAAAGAACATAGAGAGATCCTATCTTTACAAAAACAAAAAAACAAACAAACAAAACTTAGTAGGGTGTGGTGGCACACACCTTAGTCCCAGCTCCTTAGGAGGCTGAGGCAGGAGGATCACTTGAGCCCAGGAATTTGAGGCTGCAGTAAGCTAAGGATTGTGTCACTACACTACAACCTGGACAACAGAGTGAGACCCGGTTTGTTTGTTTGTTTTTTGAGATGGCGTCTTGCTCTGTTGCCCAGGCTGGAGTGCAGGGGGGCAATCTTGACTCACTGCAAGCTCCGCCTCCCAGGTTCACACCATTCTCCTGCCTCAGCCTCCCGAGTAGCTGGGACTACAGGCACCCGCCACCACGCCCGGCTAATATTTGTATTTTTTTAGTAGAGACGGGGTTTCACTTTGTTAGCCAGGATGGTCTCCATCTCCTGACATCGTGATCTGCCCGCCTCGGCCTCCCAAAGTGCTGGGATTACAGGCGAGAGCCACCACACCCGGCCGAGACCTGGTCTTAAAAAAAACAAAAACGATAAAGGGTAGAAAAAAATTGGCATTTCCATTTTACAGATGACTAAAGTAAGGCTAAGAGGGCTTAAGTAACTAACTCAAGGTAGCACTGTTTATAAGAGGTGGACCCAAGCAGTGAGAAGCAATTTTTATGCAGTTATACTTTATAGAGCATGGCATGTGTAGAAGACTTGCCTTATCATAAAAGCTGCCTAAAATAATACATTCTAATCACATAACTTTGGTGTTTAGATACTTTGTTTACAGACAGGTAAGAAATGGAGTACATTGATATGCCAGCTTGGTTGATTGTCTTTTAAAGATGTGGTAAAATATGTATGACATAAAATTTACCATCTCAACTATTTGTAAGTTTACAGTTTAGTGTTATTAAGTACATTCATATTGTGCTACCATCACCGCCATACATCCACAGAACTCTTTTCATTTTTGCAAAACTGAAACTCTGTACTCATTAAACACTAACTCCCATTCCATTCTACTCTTGAGCCCCTAGCAACCCCATTCTACTTTCTGTCTGTATGAATTTTACTGCTCTAACCTTATATTAGTGGAATCACACTGTATTTGTCGTTTTTTGACTGGTTTATTTCATTTAGCATAATGTCCTCAAGGTTCATCAATGTTGTAGCATTTATCAGAACTTCCCTCCTTTTCAAGGCTGAGTAATATTCCATTGTAGGTATGCATTCAAACACAAACTCACATTTTGTGTATGTATTCATTTGTCAGTGGACACATGGGTTGCTTTTTTTACCATTTGGCTATTGCGATCAATGCTGCTGTGAGCCTGGGTGTACCAATATCTCTTCAAGTCCCTGCTTTCGGTCCTTTTTGATATATTCCCAGGAGTAGAATTGCTGGAGCAAATGGTAATTCTATTTGTAATATTTTGGGGAACCACCACAATATTTTCCATAGTGGCTGTATCACTTCACATTCCCACCAATAATGCACAAGAGTTCCAATTGCTCTACATTTTCACCAACACTTGTTATTTTTTTATTTATATTTTGTTTGCTTTTTTTTATAGTAGCCATCCTAAGGATGTGGGGTTGGTTGTCTTTTTTTTTTTTTTTTTTTTGACTGAGTCTTGCTCCGTCGTGCAGGTTGGCGTGCAGTGGCGTGATCTTGGCTCACTGAAACATCTGCCTCCTGGGTTCAAGCAATTCTCCTGCCTCAGCCTCCCGAGTAGCTGGGACTACGGGTGCATGCCACCATGCCTGGCTAATTTTTTGTGTTTTTAGTAGAGAAGGGGTTTCACCGTGTTAGCCAGGATGGCCTTGATCTCCTGACCTCGTGATCCGCCCATCTCAGCCTCCCAAAGTGCTGGGATTACAGGTGTGAGCCACTGCGCCCAGCCGGTTGTCTTTTAATGCACAGGTTTGCTTCTGCATAAAAAGGTAGGAGACTTTGTAGATATCCAAAAATATCTTCCCATTTACTTATCACTGAACCTGAAATTCTCTGCAATGTATGAGTCATTAAAGGCCCTCAAGAGAATGCAGATTAATTATTAATTATTCATAGCATTTGTATAATTCTTTTCATATATGTTTAATCCTTACAACGTCTCTTTGAGGTCAATATTATTATCCCCATGTTAGACATAAGGAAACTGATGCCTGTCTTATTCATGAACTAGAAGATTCAAACCTAGATCCCTGGCTCTAAATTCTGGATTGTTCCACACCTAGGGGATGAAGGTAGTTGGGAAGCATGTTACAAGAAGAAGCTATTGTCACTGGTAAAAATTATTGGATTGTAGGTAGTTGGGGTTTGAGGTTACAGTGAGCTGTGGTAGCTATGGTAGTGCCACTGCACTCCAGCCTGGGTGAAAGAGTGAGACCCTGTCTCTAAAAATAAAACATAAATTTATTGGATTGATAGAAGAGCGCAGACCCTGAGGGAATGGGAGGCATGATTATTGCTAATTGAAAACTTTTCCAAATACCTTGCCCTGATGACTTGCAATACAATCACGTTGGTAATTGTTGTCAGTCTCTATAAAGATTGAAAAAAAGACAAAAAAGTGAAGCCTTTAGTAATGTTTGACATTCTAGTAATGTGATTTAAAAAAATACCTTCAAAGCTAGTATTCTGAGATTCGCTAGCCAGGAAGAAATGAAATGACCAGAAATTATCACCCCCGTCATTTGCTTCTTATCTGATCAATTGACAGTAAGAGAACTTAAATATTGACAACCATTTAGTAACCCAACAATTCTGTTAATAAAATAATTTGGAAGAATAGAATAGTCACACGTTAAATAATTCAGACATGAGACTAAACTAGGAACATGAATAAATAGAAAAATATAAAAAAGAGTATGGAAATAAGCTTTAGAATGATCTAACACAACCAGACATCTCTAATAAAATTTTCTTCATGTACCTTACCCATTTCAAAACATTTCTTAGTTGACGTGGTAGAAGTGCAAGTGGTGACTGTAATTCATACATTCAACATGACTTCTAAATAAAAGTTTAAAACCAAATAAACTACCAAGATCATGCTCTATCTGTAGGGATAGCACATTAGCCGTTATAGTTTGTTATAAAAAATATTGCGAATTAGGTATTACACAATATCAAGAATGGAACCTAATTTAAAAGTCTTCAAATTAGGGCGAGGCACAGTAGCTCACGCCTGTAATCCTAGCACTTTGGGCGGCCGAGGCTTGTGGATCATCTGAGGTCAGGAGTTTGAGACCAGCCTGGCTAACATGGTGAAACCCCATCTCTACTAAAAATACAAAAAAAAAAAAAAAAAAAAGAAAATTAGCACAAAGGCTGCAGTGAGCCGAGATCACACCACTGCACTCCAGCCTGGGCGACAGCGAGACTCCGTCTCAAAATAAATAAATAAATAAATAAATAAATAAATGTCTTCAAATTAAAAAGAGATAGTATTGCTTTTGATGAGTGTGATATGGAAGATTATTTCCATGGTTCATTATACTCACCTGGAGAACTACCTAAGCAAATGTTACCTGACTCTCTGGCTCATAGAGGGAAACCCAATTCCAGGACAGTCCTGGAAATTCAGATACAAACTCTGCTCACCCCCACCAAGGGATTGACTCTGGTTAATGGTGACCCTGGAGAGTCTGACAACTCTAAAAGTGATCCTTGATCACACAGATCCTAAAAGGATCAAATTTGATTAAAGTGCTTCTGAAATGCAGGTCTTGAAAAGCCTCAGAATACAAGAACAGGAATGTTTTCTTGCTGTTCTCACGAAATATCTCCAAAATTACACATACATACATACATACATACACAGAAATATAGGCAATCCAGAAGATTTTATTTATAAAATGAATTTCATTGTGTGTATATACACATATAGAGAGAGGTATATATAGGTGTATATATATGTATATATAGGTATGTGTACCTCTATATACCTATATATACATACTGAGATGATTCCTATTTCACTCAATGTCACAGATATTTTTAGAATAAATGAATGATCAAGGAGAAAGATTAGCCAAGGAAGACTTTCAAACAGTCTGATGATAAAGGAAATAAGTGAGGCCAGGTGTGGTGGCTCATGCTTGTAATCTCAGCACTTTGGGAGGCCTAGGTGGGTGGGTCACCTGAGGCCAGGAGTTCAATACAAGCCTGCCCAAGATGGTGAAACCCCATATCTACTAAAAAATACAAAAATTAGCCGTGTGTGGTGGCACACACCTGTAATCCCAGCTACTCGAGAGGCTGAGGCAGGAAGAATGGTTTGAACCTGGGATGTGGAGGTTGCAGTGAGCCAAGATTGCGCCACTGCACTCCAGCCTGGGCAACAGAGGGAGACTCTGCCTCCAAAAAGAAAAAAAAAAAAAAAGTGAGAGGTAGCAACAAAGTGAGAGGTAGCAACATCAGAAAGGCTTTTTTTGTGGGGCTTGTAGATATCAGAGCAAGAGAAAGGCATCTAGAAGAGAAGCAACTGCAGATCAAGCACTGATCTATCTTTGAAAAAAATAGTGTCTATTAAGCACGCATATTATGCCCTGTGCTACTAGTTTTTCATGTTTTTTTAGAACAACACATGAGGCACATGAACTTTCTTACTTCCTTCACTGGTACCTTTCAAACAGCTCTAGTCCCATTGAATTAGAATTTTACTTTTATTTGTGTGTCTCCTCAAAGGCAGATCTCATCATTTATTCATTTTTGTGTCCTTGGTACTTTAATACAGGATAGAAGTTCTGATTGGTGAATGAATAAGTGACTGGATAAAGAGAAAGGGAGAAGAGGAAGAAGCAATGAAGCGAATCCAGGGGAAGGCAAACAGAGCAAGCTCATGAACACATAGGCGCTGATAGCCTGGAAAGGTAGTATTCATCTTCAGTGACACAGATGTAAGACCTAGAGAGTAAATATATGGGAAAACTTTGAAATGGGGAGATGAACATAAAGCGAAGGCAGGCCAGTGCAGCACAGTGCCATTCAGTACAGTAAGTGGGTACACACTGAGAGAGTGTGTATATATGCACAGATGTGGGCAGGGCCAGGGTCTCCTGGCAAAGAGGAGTTAGTAACAAGGGAAGAGTGAAGACAATGTGGCTGCCCGTGAAGAAAGTGTGATGGGCAGTAACCGGAGTAATCTCAATCACTGGGGCTCAAATCTTTTCTCCCACTATAATTGGCAATTCAAGAATTGGAATAGAAATGCCATAAAGAGGATATTACACGTGATTAGAAATTGGCAAAGTGAAAAGTGCAGACACCAAGGAAGGGACCAAGTGGAGGTTGGAGACGAGTGTACTGGGGAATGGCAGGCTGTGGAGACCAGTCTGGGGAGATGGGGGGCCAAAACATCAACCAACGCTAACCCAGATTTCCTTCCATCCTTTCTAATTTGGTTCTTTTGTGTGCCTGTGTGATTGGCCAGTGCTAGAAACTCTCAGGTGTGTGCTCTTTCCTAAAAGCAGCCAGATCCGCTTTCATAACCTAGCTGATTAATTTCCAGATGGTGTTTTATCCTAAGGAGTCAACATTCATTGCAGAAACTGCTATCCTTAACCCAAACCACAGGCTATGCAGAGGCAGAACAAATCTAGCAGCAGGAGGGAGGCTGACTCCCAGGATGTGTGTGTGGCCAAGCACTATCCCTTCATCAAATCACCACCATCTGGCTCTCAAGATTGATCTGTGGTCCCCAGGTTTCCTTAGCAATAGGAAAAACCAACAGCGAGGAGATTTCTGGTCTCCCTTCTGGAGTGAAGTACACAGAAAAACATAACAAATATAAAGTTCAACTAAATCCACTCAGTGAAAACTATTATAGTTCCCACTAGAGACTGTGAACCGTCCACTTACAATACTAATACATCCACAGAGAAGGCACTGCAAATCGTGACCAGCCAGCATGAGTGGCTCACATATATTGACATTAATATGCAATATATATTTGTCTTGTAAGAGTTAAAGAAAAAAGAGGGAAACACAAAAAACAGCTCAACAGTCAAAGACAGGTTTATTTTGGAGAATAAACCTGAGAGGGGCTTCTGGCCAGTTTCAGTTAGGTGTGCTGTCTCTTACAGACAAGAGTAGTTAAGGGTTTTAGGGTGAGAGAGCTCATCACAGGCTTGGAATGTTTCTGTGTGGGGGAGAAATTTATTGCGGGGTTGGAATGTCTCTGTTTGGAGGGGAGGTTATCTTGAGGCTGACATCTCTCTGGCCAGAAGGGAGGTTATCTCAGGGTGGGTATGTCTCTGGTCGGGGAGGGGTTTATTTTAGGGTTGGAATGTTTCTGGTTGGAGATGTCATTTGTGGTTTATGGTCATGCTGGCCTTAACCATTAGGCTGATGCCCTTTGGATTTAGGCGGTTTTTGATCAAGGGTAACTTTAAAATGGCCGTGCTTGTCCAAGGTGGTGATGCTCCTGTTCTGTTATGTCTGAGGTGACATATTATTTCTTCCACTTCTGCGATTGAAAACTGTCTTCCAGGTTCTTAAACACTTTGCACATTTAATATCTGACATCTGAGTCTTTCTGGAAGTAAATATAAGAAATTACTGCACTTGGCACCTTGATCCAGGATACTATAGCTTACTTTTTTCTAAACCGTTTTTCTTTTCTTTCTTTTCTCTTTTTTTTTTTCAAGACAGGGTCTGGCTCTGTTGCCTAGGCTGGAGGGCAGTAGCAGGATCATAGCTCACTGCAGGCTCAACCTCCGAGGCTCAAGCGATCCTCCCACCTCAACCTCCCTAGTAGCTGGGACTACAGGTGCATGCAAAACCATTTTTGTGCTGACAGTTGCCTGACTCAAATACATTTGATACCACTGCTAGCAATGCATGAGCAACTGAGCAAAGCAAAATGCATCTGATCAGAGGCCATTTTCCGTTAGCAATTCACCTTGCACAACTCTCAATGTCTCATTTTCTTTTCCCTTTTCTTTAGGTTTTATTCATATTTTTCTTTAAAATGTTTTGGCACCTTAGTAACCCCATAATTGTTCTCAAACAGCATATATTTATTTATCTCTTATTAATATGACTCGTGTCTTCAGCACTGTGTTAGTTTCTGTGATGAACAGAAACGAAGTAGATGAAACGGCTCTTGCCTTCAAGTAGTTAATATTTATCTGTTATATTTTGAAGAGCGTGATAGAAGAACTTAATAACTGCCATTTCAGTGATTTATAGTTAAGTGCTTTCTTGTACATTTTTTTTTTCCTTCTAACAGTCTTATGGGGAGCTCTTGATGGAACCAAGTTTCAAATGCAGTTGTTTGGATTCTAAATCCTTTAATCTTTTTAGTATACCACAGATAAATTGGGAAAAAATCATGCAATTTCCAGACTCAGGTTTCACTCTGGGTTTAGCACTTATTGTTGATCATGGGTACACAAATTCTGTTTCTTTGTTTGAAAAATGAAAAGAATAAATCCAGTCCTAACATTTTTTTTTGCTTTTTTCTTTTATTGTGAAGACCCAATAAAAGAGCATTTATAAAACCATTCTGACAGTCACAATATAAACAGGAAACATCATTATATACCATGGTTTTCTTATTTTATATAGAGGGAACACCGAATGTTTGTTTACATACCAAGAAATAAAATGGAAACTTGGCAGATACTCTCCCCAAGAGACTTCTGCATCATTTCCTTGTTTTTTGCTTCTGGAATAGAAGGGCACAACATTTTCTTCTCCAAGACCTCATACTTATACCAGAAATAGGAGACTTGCTTGGTGGCAGGTATGGTTGCTTCCTGCTAATATGCCATTAGGGCAAAAGACATTGCATAACACATACGTGCACATCCCAGACATACAGTGTCAAGGAATATTCAGGAAGAAAATACATGTAAGTGCTGCATTCTCATTATTGAGTGAAGAATAGAGTTTTAGCTCAATTCTTAGTTTTTTTGAGTGACAGGTTTGTAAGTCACACGCTTACCAAATTGAAAGGAAAGGGAGTTATTTTTAAACTACAGTAGTAAGATATTCTGAAGCCACTGTTGGGCTCTATAATTCTTGCAAAATATTTCATTTAAAACATTTTCTTTTCAAAAGGCCGATTTTCTGAAAATACAATTACCCATAAGTACAGGAATGCATCAGTTTATTGTGCTTTGCTTTTCTGTACTTTGCAGAGGTTGCATTTATTACAAATTGAAGGTTTGTGGCAACCCAGTGTCAAGCAAGTCTATTGGCACCATATTTTCAACAGCATGTGCTCACATCTTGTCTCTGTGTCACATTTTGGTAATTCTCAAGATATTTCAAGCTTTTTCATTATTATTATGCCTCTTATGGTCATGTATAATCAGTTTCCTTTGATGTTACTGTCGCAGTTGTTTTGGGGTTTGCCCACATAAGACAGCAAACTTAATCAATAAATGTTGTGTGTGTTCTGACTGCTCTACCAACCAGCTGTTCCCCCATCTTTCTCCTTCTCATTGGGTTTCCTTATTTTCTGAGACAAAACAACACTGACAGTTTGCTGCTTATGTCTGCTCCCTGTGCCCAGGGTTCAGCCACCTACAGAGAGGACTGGAGCAGGAATTTGTAAGCAATTATAATCTAAGTCCAATTAGCTATAAACTACATTTATTTGTATTATTTTACTTCATTTTATTTATATATGTATATCATTTTACTTTATATATACATATATTACATATTTACACATATATTTACATATATGTACATATAAAGTTAAATAACATACATATGCAAATATGCAAATGTATATATTTACATATAAATATGTAAATGTATGTGTGTACATGTATTTATACATATATGTGTATGTATATTTATAGCCCAGGCTGGTCTCAAACTCCTAGGCTAAAGCAATCCTTCCACCTCAACTTCCCAAAGTGCTGGGATTACAGGTGTGAGCCACTGTGTCTGAATTTTCTTTTAATATAAAGTCCCAATTACAGTTTTATTTATCAGTTAGCAGCTTGTTTTTGTCATTTACCATAAAGTTTTGCTCCTAATTTTAAGAGAAATAAACCTGAAAGTCTGTTATATACCAGTTACCCTCCATTAGGGTCTTTTATTACCATGTGCCAAGCAGCATCCTAGGAATTTTACATGAATAGACATCTTGAAATAACATTTAAAGCTCAGAGAGATTATGCAATTTGCAGAGTTGAGCGAAGATTCAAACCTAGGACTTGTTTAACCATTGTACGAGGCCACCTCTCAATGTTAAGGGTAATAGACCACTGCTCCCTTATATGCTGTCTTCTACAGCCTCTGCTGTTTAAATACATTTACATCCTACTATAACTTTCATTTTTGTTGTAAAAAGAAGATTGTGCTACCTGTTTTTGGAAACATGCTGCCACTGTTTGGAATGTTGGGAAACTTTGCCACATTGCCAGACTTAAATTCCTTTGACACCCAGGAAGATTTGCTTTTACAAAGCTTCCACTATCAGACTCTGTCATGCATCAAAGATTCATCATGACCTTTGACATCTAGCTAGTAGATTGGACATCTAGCTTGGAAATGAGCTGGCATCCACTACAAAGCCTGGTTCTGCAGCCTTCACAGAAACACGAAATGGGGGTCCCCTCTTGCACTGTCGCTAGTTCCTCTGCTGGGAAACATCTCATGAGTAGAATCACAGCAGGGAGCCTGCTCTGGAACTGCAGCATCAGCCATAGCACAGCAGCCTGTGATAGAAAGACATGGTAGTTGGAAATGATGTGATCCTTGTCCCATATAAAATGGGAGGGCAGATTATGTGGACAAGAATTTAGAACATATTCAGTTTAAATGAAACCATAATTGACATAGGCTACTGAAAAATATAATGTACTTGCACAATTTATTTTTGGAGGAATCTGTAAAAATTGCACACACACACACTCTCATGCAGCGATTTCTTTTCAAAGTGCTCTAGCGACAATAATTGCAAACGGAGGCTGGGCATGGTGGCTTATGCCTATAATCCCAGCACTTTGGGAAGCCGAGGTGGTTGGATCACTTGAGGTTAGGAGTTCAAGACCAGCCTGGCCAACATGGCAAAACCCTGTCTCTACTAAAAATACAAAAATTAGCCGAGCGTGGTGACACACTCCTGCAGTCCCAGCTACTCAGGAAGCTGAGGCAGGAGAATCGCTTGAACATGGGACGGGAAGGTTGCAGTGAGCCAAGATTGTACCACTGCACTCCAGCCTGGATGATAGAGTGAGACTCTGTCTGAAAAAAAAAAAAAAGAATTGCAAATGGAAGAATGAGAATTTAAAACTGAGGTAGGTGGCTGGGCATTGTGGCTTGCCTGTAGTCCCAGCTCAAGAGGCTGAGGAAGAAGAATCCCTTGAGCCCAGAGTTCAAGGCTGCAGTGAGCTGTGATTGCACGACTGCACTCCAGCCTTGGTGACAGAGTGAAACTCCATCTCTTAAATACATAAATACATAAAGTTATGGAGGTGAGCTTAGAATAACCACAGAGATAGAATGCAGACAGTTTGAATTAGTGAGAATTTTTTTCTTGTTCATTTTATTGTTTTCAGCCATCAGTATGTTATTTGCACTCATGTGTGAAGACTTGTACACGGTATTTCTTGGGTGCAGACATTGAAGCTGGAGGTAGAGGTTCTGCAGAGTGCATAGGCGAGCCTCTTTCCCCAGAGCTTTACTGGGTTTGCATTTCCCTATGTCCTCTAGCTCTACCTTTAGCTCTCATGTTTAACTTTGATCTCAGGAAGGGCTCAATACTCAGGGTTATTTGTATACTGCAGAGAAAAAGCCTCCAAAGAATCCCGGATTGGGATTCTGTCAAAGAATCCTTGGGCAGCAGCTCCTGGGTCTGTCCCCTGAGCATTCTCCAACACCACGTCACATGCACATCTGGATGGGATGACAGCACAGTGAAAAATCAAGGGCCATTGTTTCACATTCATGGAATCAACTCTTTTCTACCTCTCTTGCTTTCCACTTTTGCTAAATCTTTTAGAAAGCTATATTTACATATGATTTTCCATATGGAAAAATTAGCCAACAAACAAACAAAAACTTCATTACACATTAGCTCTAAACTATTGTTTTAATAGCAGCAGCATTTCACATTTACATACCAGTAAAAAATAGAAAACATCATTATCTCAAGGAATATTGTATTGAACAAAGTCATTTCTGGTCAGCAGATGATCCCAAGTTACATATTTGAAGGATTCAGTGATGACAAACACTTGAACAATCCTGTACAACATTACTGTCTGTGTTAGTCTGTTCTCACACTGCTGATAAAGACATACCCAAGACTGGGAAATTTATAAGGAAAAAGAGGTTTAATGGATTCACAGTTCCACATGGCTGGGGAGGCTTCACAGCCATGGCAGAAGGTGAAGGAGGAGCAAAGGTACATCTTACATGGCAGCAGGCAAGAAACTGTGTGCAGGGTAACTCCCATTTATAAAACCATCAGATCTCATGAGACTTATTTGCTATCACAAAAATAGCATGGGAAAAATCCATGATTCAATTACCTCCCATCAGGTCCCTTCCACGATATGTGGGGATTATAGGAGCTAAAATTTCAAGATGATATTTGGGTGGGGACACAGCCAAATCATATCATTCCAACCCTGGCCCCTCCCAAACCTCATATCTTCACATTTCAAAACCAATCATGCCTTCCCAACAGTCCCTCAAAGTCTTAACTCATTTCAGCATTAACTCAAAAGTCCACAGTCCTAAGTCACGTCTGAGACAAGGCAAGACCTTTCCATCTATGGGCCTGTAAAATGAAAACCAAGTTAGTTACTTCCTAGATACAATGAGGATACAGGAATATATCTGTTCCAAATGGGAGAATCTGACCAAAATGAGGGAGCTACAAGCCCCAAGCAAGTCCTAAATCTGGCAGGGCAGTCAAATCGTGAAGCCCCAAAATAATATCCTTTGACTTCATGTCTCACATCCAGGTCATGCTGATGTAAGAGGTGGGTTCCCATGGTCTTGGGCAGCCCTGCCCCTGTGGCCTTGCAGGGTACAGCCCCCACTCCTGGCTGCTTTCATGGGCTGGTGTTGAGTGTCTGTTGCTTTTCCATGTGCATAGTGCAAGCTGTCAGTGGATCTACCATTCTGGGGTCTGGAGGATGGTGGCTCTTTTCTCACAGCTCCACTAGGCAGTGCCCCAGTGATGACTCTGTGTGGGGGCTCCCACCCCACGTTTCCTTTCTGCACTTCCCTAGCAGAGGTTCTCTGTGAGGACTTTGCCCCGCAGCACACTTCTGCCTGGACATCCAGGCATTTCCATACATCATCTGAAATCTAGGCAGAGGTTCCCAAACCTCAATTCTTGACTTCTGTGCACCTACAGGCCCAGCACCATGTGTAAGCCGCAAAGGCTTAGGGCTCGCACCCTCTGAAGCAATGGCCTGAGCTGCATGTTGGCCCCTTTTAGCCATGGCTGCAGTGGCTGGGACACAGGGCACCAAGTCCTAAGGCTGCATACAGCAGCGAGGCCCTGGCCCAAGTAACCATTTTTTCCTCCTAGGCCTATGAACCTGTGATGAAAGGAGATGCTGTGAAGGTCTGTGACATGCCCTGAAGACATTTCTGTGATTGTCTTGGTGATTAACATTCTGCAGCTTGTTACTTATGCAAATTTCTGCAGCCTGCTTGAATTTTTCCCAGAAAATGGGGTTTTCTTTTCTATCACATCATCAGGCTGCCAATTTTCCAAACTTTTGTGCTCTGCTTTCTCTTCAATGCTTTGCTGCTTAGAAATCTCTTCTGTTGGCTACCCTAAATCATCTCTCTCAAGTTCAAAGTTCCACAGATCTCTGGGGCAAAGGCAAAATGCCACTAGTCTCTTTGCATAGCAAGAGTAACCTTTACTGCTGTTTCCAACAGGTTCCTCATCTCCATCTGAGACTTCCTCAACCTGGACTTTATTGTCCATATCACTATCAGCATTTTGGTCAAAGCCATTCAACAAGTCTCCAGGAATTCCAAACTTTCCTACATCTTCCTGTCTTCTGAACTCTCCAAGTCTCTAGGAAGTTCCAAACTTTCCCACATCTTCCTGTCTTCTTCTGAGCCCTCCAGACTGTTCCAATCTTTGCCCTTACACAGTTCCAAAGCTGCTTCCATGTTTTTGGGTATCCTTATACCAGCACACCATTCTACCAGTACCAATTTACTGCATTAGTCCATTCTCACGCTGCTAATAAAGACATAGCTGAGACTAGGTAGTTTATAAAGAAAAAGAGATTTAATGGACTCACAGTTAGTTCTACATGGCTGGGGAGGCCTCCCAATCATGGCAGAAGGTGAAGGAGGAGCAAAGGTACATCTTACATGGGAGCAAACAAGAGAGTATATGTAGCGAAACTGCCCTTTCTAAAACTATCAGATCTCATGAGACTTACTCAATATCATGAGAACAGCACAGGAAAAACTCGCTCCCATGATTCAATTACCTCCCACGGGGTCCCTCCCATGACACATGGGGATTATGGGAGCTATAATTCAAGATGAGATTTGGGTGGGAACACAGCCAAACCATATCACTGTCTCTCCAGTCCAAAATATAATGTCATCATATACATCATTTTAAAAAATCCATTTCCACATCAAATTAGACATGGGATTTTTTAAACTAAAACATCCATGAGTGTTTATCTTTCATCTGGACTCCACACAGAAAGAAACTATTATTTTTACTGAAAAAGCTCTCAAACTCCTCCCATGATCAAGGGAGGAGGTGCACTGAGTAAATTCAGGAGCCAGCCAGAACAGAGTGCTGATCTTCCAACAAAGACTAGGCTGACAGGAAATCTACAAAGACAAAGATCTTCGGTGACAGATTTTGGATGTATCGTCATCACTCTCTAGTAAACAAGCGTGAAACTAAAATAAAATTCTAGGCCTCCTCAACAGAATAAATGGGCCCCCTCTTGACCAAGAGGACCCCAAAGAAACCTGAAAAACTGGTTCAGGCCATGACAGGAAGGAGGAGCAAAACATGCCTCATTCTGGCCTCTGCCCTTTGGAGTTCAGGAACAACTGACCAACATTAGAATCAAAACAGAGATCTTAAGACTAACAAAACAGACTTTTTGTAACAATAGGACACCAAATTCCAATCTGACTCTGGTATAGCATCATATGACAGATAGCAGGCAAAATATTTACCCTCAAAATGTATTTCTTTGACATACTTTGAAAGGGCTCTGCAAAAACATCTCTTATGGGGGAAATGTCTGTTCTGTAGAGAATATCCTTCCCTTACTAGGTCTTTTCTGGGGAGTCTGAAATTTTTTAGAGTCTGATAAGAGATATTTCCCATCTATTTTCCCTGAAGCCTGCTACCTAGAGTCTTCCACAGTCACCCTTATCTAAATTACTCAAGCCTTTTTTTTTTTTTTTTCCCAAATTCAACTCTTTAGGCAGAGCTTAACTCTTTTGACCAATTGCCAATTAGGAAATCTTTGAATCTACCTATGACCTGAAAGATGTCCCCTACCTCCCTTCAAGATGTCCTGCCCTTCTGGGCTGAACCAATGTATAACTTCCGTGTATTGATTTATGTCTTTGCCTGTAACTTCTGTCTCCCTAAAATGTATGAAACCATGCTGTAACTTAACCACCTTAGACACATGCTCTCAGGACCTCCTCAGGCTGTGCCATGGGCCATGGCCCTTAACCTTGGGAAAAGAGACCTCTAAATTGATTTAGACCTGTCTCAGATACTTTTTGGTTTACACAAGTAAGGGCACTAGAACCATCTGTGATAATAAGTCAAAGGTTGAATATCCTAACTCAGACCAGACAATAGGGACAAGAGCAAAGTAGAATATCCAGAGAAAATAAAGCCAGCATTTGAACTTCTCCCTCAAGAAGCAATGGTATCTTCTCTACTTTTTGTCTATAACTCCCACCCTATAAACATATTTAAGGGAAGTCTTGGAGAGAGTTACTAGAGGCAGGAAGTCCCTGGCGTGTCCTAGAAGTGACTATTCAGCTCTCCCGGGCATATTGGAAAGCCAGCAGGACAGCTTACCAGAAGCCTCTTTGCATGAGGCACTGAGAAATATGCTAGTAGAGAGCTTCTCCTAAGGGAAAAATGAGTCGTGACAAGCTTGACCCAGAAACAAAGCCTTAGTCATCACTATGGAGCACAGAGCAGAACCTGTCACTCAAATGTGTCCCTGCACCTTGACTGAATCCAAGGACAGGAGAGGGGGCTGTATGTGAAGCAATTAAACAGCTGTTGTACCAGAAGCTGAGCATTTCCATGAGGGCAGCGCAGATCTGATGCTCTTTAACTGTACTTGCATGAGATTGAGGTGCCTGTTGTGCCACAGAACACTATACAGTCCAGGCCCCTTGAGAGCTCCTGAGTGTCTGTGGTGGTGCAGGAACAAGACGGCAGAAGCACGATGGTGCCATGAGACAATCATCAGGGATGATTTGATCGGCAGTGTGCCTGGGAAGACAGAATGTAGGCCCCAAAGAGTCACATAAAGGATTCCTGGGGGACAATGGGAATTGTCACTTACAATGATGTTCTTTTCTGAAATATATATATTTATATATTTATTTACATATTATTTATAATATCTATCTATCTATCTATCTATCTATCTATCTATCTATCTATCTATCTATCTTCCAGAGGGTCAGGAAGGGACAAGACATTTGTGCAGAATTGAAAGACACTAAGGAATAGAGAAAGGAAGCAGATGGTAGTTTCAGTTTCAAGATGGGTCAGGGGTCAGCAGGACATTGTGCCATTATCATTTCAAACCTTTCAAATCTATATATTTACTAATTTTTTTCTTTCCCTTAATTAAATTTGGTCAATACATTATAGTCAGATGCCTTAAATCTAGGAAGCACCAGGCTGTCCAATAAGATGTATTTGCTAAATTTTTAGGTAGGGGATCAGAATAAAATCAATATTATGATTCCCTAGTTAGTAACTTGGGTCTTCTAAGCTGTGTGCAGCTCTCGAAATTTCCAGTCCATTTCCTCTTTCAGGAAGAGCTAGATTAGTAGAAACTTGGTCAGGATCGCTTCCTGGAGCTTGGGGTGCAGGATACAACAGCAACAGCATAAAAGCAGAGGAAGGCGTGTACAGGAATTCAAGGTGTGACTGGAGGAAACACTCTAAAACCAAATGACCAATTCACAATACCCTCACCAAGCAGAAATAAAGGATGGGTCAGAGAAACCAGGTTAAGGTGCAAAGAAGTCAGACAGCCTAGAGACTTTCTGGAGCCCCTCTGTGGGGGCTTTTAGCTGTGCTCAGGGCATTTAAAGGACATGAAACAAAATCCATGACTCTTATGATTCCATGTTGCATTACTTCCCGGGGGCTGCCATAACAAAGTGCCACAGACTGCGTGGCTTAAACAACAGAAATTTATTTTCTCACTGTGCTGGAAGTTTGAAGCCTGAGATCAGGGTGTTTGGCAAGGTTGGTTTCTTCTAAGGCCTCTCTCTTTGGCTTCTAGATGGCTGTCTTTTCTCTTGCGTGTCTTCACATGGTCTTCCCTCTGTGTGTGGCTGTGTCCCAATCTCCTCTTTTTATAAGCACACAATTTGTATTAGATTAGGGCCCACATCTATGACCTCCTTTTAACTTTACCTCTTTAAAGATTCTATTTCCAAATACAATCCCATTCTGAAGTTAGGATGGCAACATCTGATTTTGGGGATTGGGGCCCAATTCAGCTCATAACACATGTTTTTAAAATACAGTTGTCTCACCTTATCCATGGAGGATACATTCCAAGACCCCCCAGTGAATGCCTGAAACCACAGATAGTACTGAACCCTATATATACTGTGATTTTTCCTATATATGCATACCTATGATAAAGTTTAATGTATAAATTAGGCACAGTAAGAGAAAAACAACAATAACTACTAATAAAATAGAACAATTATAGCAACATACTGTAACAAAAGTCAAGTGCATGTGATCTCTGTCTCGCTCTCAACGTATGTTACTATATGTAGTATTCTTGCACTGAAGTTGACCATGGGGAAGCTTTGGAGTGCAAAACCACAGTCAGGAGGGCAACTGTAATTATATCAAAGTATGTATCTATGATTAGTCTCTTCCTAATTAATTAGAATGAAGTGGTCCGTCTTACCTTTTTATCTGTACTGGGAAGAAGCCATGGAGTGTAGAAAGGAGATAGATGATAGTTTCGGTTTCAAGATGGGTCAGCAGGAGACTGTGCCATCCACATTTTCAAAACTGCCACCTATGGTTAGGGGAGAGCTGGACAGTAGACTCCCTTGTTCACCCTTTCCCCAAAGGACTCCTTTCAAGCCAAGGAAAAGGGGAATGGTAGAAAAAAAGTGGCACCAAATCACTTTAATCAATGTCTTAAGAAGGAGACTGTATTAGTCTGTTTTCATGCTGCTGATAAAGACATACCTGAGATTGTATAATTTATAAAGAAAAAGAGGTTTAATGGACTCACAGTTCCCCATGGCTGGGGAGGCCTCACAATCAAGAGCAAGGGACATCTTACATGGCAACAGGAAAGAGAGAAATGAGAGCCAACAGAAAGGGGAAACCCCTTATAAAACCATCAGATCTTGTGAGACGTATTCACTACCATGAGAACAGTATGGGGAAAACCACCCCCATGATTCAATTATCTCCCACTGGGTCCCTCCCATAATACTAATACATAGGAATTATGGAAACTACAATTCAAGATGAGATTTACATGGGGACACAGCCAGACCATATTAGAGACATTATCTTTTCCACCTTAAGATGGAGATCTGGCTGCAGGAATATTACTGGCAGTGATCTTGGGAACAACATCTGTAGGGAAGTAAAGAAAGTAGGATTGGATAGAGGCAGGAGCTGAACCCAATGCAGTCAATGTAAATGCAACATAGGCCTTAATTGTCCAACAGATCTCCGGAGCTGGAATGGCCCTTTGGATTTGTGCTGTCACCTTATGCAAGAGGCTGGATTTCCTCCACCCCCAACATGCCCAGGGCAGCTCTTGAATACGGACCATCCCCTGAGCTGGGACAAGACCTTAGCTCTCTTCAACAGTGCTCTAGCTGCTGGGGGTTGAGGGCCTCAGTTCCAAAGAGGGGGATCTGAGAGATACAGCATGGCATTCACTGCAGTCAACTTCTAATCTAAATTATACAGAAAAAAAGCAGCTGGGGCCCATGAGAAGTCAGGCCCTCAGATGACAATTACATACTTGAAATTAATCTTTGCCCATGATCAATAAAGAACAAGTCCTATGAAACATGCTGCTGTAATGTTGGTTTCAAACCACTGTATCCTCTAAAATAGGAGAAAGATTTTTAAAAAGTGACTCATGTGATCCATTGGCCCTGAAAGTGTCAATTAACTGCAATGAGCAAAATTCCTGCATTTACATTTGCCTCTTTCACATGACCTCTTTCTAGGCAACAGATAATTCTTCAACAATTGATCCATAAAAGATCAAATACTTCTAACCCTTTAAGCATACATATAAACATACAAAAATGTGTTGTCTTTTTTCATCTCTGACTTTTCAGTAATGAGTGAAAATAAATTATTATATATCTAGGGCATTTTAACGATGGAAATTTACAAGATTGTTTTATCCAATGACCCAATTTCTTACATCAAATATTTACTGAACATCTTCTCTATGCCCAGCACAGTGCATTGTATTGAGCACTGCAAGTGAAAAAATGGAAAAGACAGATATGGCCCCAGCCTTCAAGTTATTTACAACCTTTGGGAGAGACAGACACACGAAAAAAATGAAAAACTAATAAAATACAAGTTATTTTATGTGCTGTTAAGACACAATGTGGATCTAGAGAATGACTGAGGTGAGGAGGTCATCTGCTTCAGTTGGTGTACTGGGAAGGCCTCTCTGAGCAATTGACCTTGAAATTCTGGCTTGAAGGTCAGAAAGGAATCAGACATTTATGCCAAAATGGAAGAGTGTTCCAGGCAGAGAGAACAATTTGTGCACAGGCTGTGAGGTGGAAAGGAGCTTGGCTTGTTCAAGGGACTGAAATATAGTCAGGGAGGGTGTAGGAGGTGGTGTTAGGGAGTATTGGGAACCCAATTGTGCAGGGGTTTGGAGGCCCTGGAAAGGTGTTTGCATCTTACTTGAAGTACAATGAGAAGTCACCGAAGGGTTTCCAGTTGGGAAGAGAGATGTGATCTAATTTCTATTTTAAGAAGGAAGTTCTGGTTTTGTGTGGTTAGAGGGGACTCTGAATGAAAGCAGGGAGAAGATTTAGGAAGACGAAGCTAAATAAAAATATAAAATCCAGGGAGAGATGATGATGAGATTATAATGACTGAAATTAGATAGACAGTGGCCAGCCAGTAAGGGAAAGGGAAATATTTACATTGACTCTGAAATATTTGGCTTGAGCAACTGGGTGGATGGTATTCCATTTATGGAGATGGGGAAGACTGGGCATAGAATAAAAGGTTTGAGTAGCAGGATTGGGAGGGTGAATCAGGCGTATATTTTTCTGATTCTTTCTCTTCCTCTTTTCTCTTACCATCTCCATCTGTATGCCTATACATACTTTCACAGAAGGTAGACGTGAATTATATGTAACACAACAAATGTATTCATAATATAAAAACAATCATGACAATGATAATCTTATCAAGCGTTTTCCACATAGACCAGAGACTAGGCTAGTTGCTGTATATACACTATTTCTTTTCATTTTCACTATAATCCCAAGGGTCTATTCCCTCTTTTCTATGAGGAAACCAAAGCTCCAGAGTTTAAGTCACTTGCACAAAGTCACATTACTTATCTGCCTGGGTATTGTCAGGCCTCTGAGCCCAAGCTAAGCCATCATATCCCCTGTGACCTGCACATACACATCCAGATGGCCGGTTCCTGCCTTAACTGATGACATTCCACCACAAACGAAGTGAAAATGGCCTGTTCCTGCCTTAACTGATGACATTATCTTGTGAAATTCCTTCTCCTGGCTCATCCTGGCTCAAAAGCTCCCCTACTGAGCATCTTGTGACCCCTACTCCTGCCCGCCAGAGAACAACCCCCCCTTTGACTATAATTTTCCTTTACCTACCCAAATCTTATAAAATGGACCCACCCCTATCTCCCTTCGTTGACTCTCTTTTCGGACTCACCCCACCCACACCCAGGTGATTAAAAGCTTTATTGCTCACACAAAGCCTGTTTAGTGGTCTCTTCACATGGACGCGAGTGAAAGTTATCATCTATCTGCTGAGATTTTAATGAAAGCAGCCTGACTCCAAAGTTGACACAGTTTCTGTACATACTGAATTTAAGCCTTTTGAGCTGTTAAATGTTTTTACTGTTTTTATGACACTTTCAAGTATTTCTCTGGAGAGAAACATTTCCTTCACACCGCCATATGGCAGTTTCAGTTCATACTTCTTTACCACCTGCTGCAGGACTAGATCAGTCTACAAATACTGTATTTTGTATCAACAGAAGCCTCCTAGCTGATTTCAAATATGCTGAAGCCGAGCCTAGAATAGAGCATGATGAATTGTCAACTCCATGGTGTATGATGTTGTTCTAGAGGATTTCTATATGCAGTTTCTATTAATGAAAAACGCAGTTAGATGAATTTTTTTTTCTAATCGTGAACAGATCCTTTTGATTCAAGAATATGAATGATTCTACGTCTGCCAGGAAACTGAATATTTGGATTTGTGGATTACTGACCCTTCTTTATTGCAATCTGAGCCCTGCCAGATTGAGTAAGGAAGGGAGTGGGTAAGGAAGGGGGTTTCTTGTGGGTAAAGTACAGGTCATGGATAAGGAAAGGGTTCTTTTGTGGGTGAGTGAGGAAGGGGATAAGGAAGGGAGTCTTTTGTGGGAAAAGTACAGGTGATGGGGACCAGCTTCCAGTAGAACTGGTCTGTCCACCTCGGGTTGCCCAGGTTTCCCTGCACCAGCAGAGGTGTGGCCCAAGCAGGGCATGGGTCTCCAGGTGCCAGCTACTATCTCTGGGGGCTCCATGCACCATCTCTGAGCTTCACACCAAACTGCAGAGGAAGAAACTGAGGCCAACAGCCAAAGTCTGTGCTCTCACCTCTCCATCGCGCTGGTGCTCACCTTTAGGGTACTCCAGGGTTAAAGCTACATTTCAGCAAAGCCACAGAGATCAGGTGCAGAGTCACAGCTGAGGGTCTGTCCCTTGGGCAAAATGGTTGGTTTTCAGTCTTACTGTAATACTTTCTTTACCATGATGATTTCTATCATATATCCACCAATGTTTCACTTCCTCGGAGACGTCTTCTGCAGGGGTGAAGGGAAAGTGTCCCCTTTGCTCTTGGAAGGTTTGCTGAAAAATCAACTAACAAGAAGATTAATAAGAGAAAAGGCATGCAGATTTATTACTACCATGTACACAGGGAGAATCACAGAGTGACTGCCTAATGTCCCAGTGGGATACAGCCTCTTACATACCCTACTTCTTAGGGAAAAGTGTGGATCATTTTATGGAGATAGTAAATAATTTTTAGGGGAATTCAGTGGGCTTGAAGAACATACAATGGTTTAGGGCAAAGTCTGTTGGGCCCTCAGAGCGGATAAAGGTTGTGACAAAAATTTATCCAGGTTTGTTGTCAGACTTTAGTCTTCCTTCCTGTGATATGGGTTCAGCAAATGAAAACTTAAGAGAAAGGACCTGAGGTTATTGTTTTCTTCTCTGTTAGGTCTAGATTTTAGGTAGATAAGACAACTTTATCTGTGCTTTGGGATAGGGAGAGGATTTGGGGGTGTGGGGGTTGAGATGGATTGTTCTCCATTGTTCTTGGTGGGTCTGTCTGATCTTTAATTCAAAACACTCAGTATACCATATACCATATTTTCAGGTGAAGTTCCCTGTGCTCTTTCATTCTTTAATCAACAGTTTTTTCTTATTCCTCTTCATATCACTTTATGTTAATTGCTATTGCAATTTCAATGTTTTTTTTACAAATGAATGGTCATTATAGGAAATTGAGACATAATGCCAAAACAAAAATGAAAATGAATCACCTATATTCACACTACCAAGATATAACCTTGGTTGAAGTGCATATTTCCTTTTAGGTTGTAAAAGTATTTTCAGAATCACATTAATTTTTTAAATACTATTTTACTTTACTCTCATTTTAAAACAATAGAACACCAAGAGAATCTTCCCATGTTGTTACCTATTTGTCAAAACAAAAACACTTAAAAATATTTATAATATTCTAGGATATGGCTATGGCATAATAATTTCCCTGTTGCTTGACATTTAAATTTGTGCAAGGGAAGATTAAACTGTGGTAACAGATATACCAAAAATATATTATGATACAAACACAATATTTAGATGTACCTAACTAGCAGAAGGGAAAAGAGAATTTGGAACAGATACACTTGTTCTTTGGTTAAGGTTATTATTATTTTGAAACAATCTCAAACTTATAAAGAATTGCAAGAATGTTTTTATTCATGAAACATTTGAGACTAAGCTGCCTACAGGAGGCCTCGCCACCTCTGAATGCTTTAGTGCATCTCCTATAAACAAAGATATTCTTCTACATAATTACAATACCACCATGGAAAATTGGTGGAAGTTAACATGCTACATCATCGTTATCTAATCTTTGGACCCCATTCCAGTTTCACCAGTAGTCCCAACAATGTATTTTAGTAAAATGATTAATTGAGAATCGCATTACATATTATTGTCACGTCTCTTTGGTGTCCACAAATCTAGAGCAGTTCCTCAGTATTTCCTTGATTTTCACAGCCTTGGTACTTTTGAAGATTACACATCAATTATTTTTTGGGATGTCCTTCATGAGTTTCTTTGAGGTTTCCTCATGATTAAATTCAGGTTATGCACCTTTGTCAGGGATATCACAGAGGGCAGGCTCTAGTCTTCTCATCATCTCTTACCAGGCAGAACACTACCTAGATTTGTCCTATTACTAGTGATTGGCACATTAAACATTTGATTAAGGTGATATCTGTCAGGATCCTTCACTGTAAAGTTTATCTTTTCCCTTTTGTCTTTAGTGAGTATAGTATTGAGATGGAGGAGTGATGCCTCTCAGGGGCCCGCCAGCCCAACGCCCCATCCCCCACAAGCATGGAAAGAAAGGGAAATCTTGAGTTATTTCAAAGGAAATTCCAGGCACCTAGCTAGCCTGGAGAAGTAAATGAGCAATTTGATAAGCAAGAAGGTAATAGTAGCTTAAAACAACAGACAAGGAAGTTAGAGTCACAAGATGTTTGGTTTCCTATAGAAACAAAAGATAACAGCTTAACATATATCCCCGAGTTGTTTTTCAGAAACCCCATTTCCCATGAGATGGAAAATGCCATCCACTGGCACATAGAGGGAACCGAGGATTGAACTGTGACCACCTTTCTTTCTTCTAAATTTCTTCCTGAGGGGCCTGGAGGGGGTAAAACCCACGGGCCACAGCTAACATTATTTTCTGCTGACCTCAAATTTTTAGACAAATCTTTTTGTCCTTAACCAATCACAAGTCAGAAAATCTTTGAATCCACCCAGGACCTGTAGGCCCCCGCTTCAAAATGTCCGTTTTTCTTTTTTTTTAAGTCGAATCAATATATAACCTCCATGTATAGATTTATGAGTTTGCCTGGAACCCCTGCCTCACTGCCTTTAAAAACCCTTACATGTAACTCATTGGGGAGTTCAGGTCTTAAGCATGAGCGCCCTGCAATAAATGCCTCACTTTTCTCTTGCTGCAAATCCTGATATTAGCGTTTGGCTTTGTTTCATTGGGTGGGCAGACCTAAGTTTGGTTCAGTAACGGTGTTTTGAAGGAAAGGATTTTGAAGCTGTGTTATCCTACTGAAGCAGCATCATTCGTCTTTATCTGGGGTAAATACCCCAGGTTTGTCATCTCAGGCCAGGGAAATCGAGGACTCAGACACACAAGAAGTGAGTTTAAGAGAGGAGCCACTGCACTCCAGCCTGGGCAACAGAGCAAGATTCTGTCTCAAAAAAAAAAGAAAAAGAAAAAGAGTAGAGGTTTAATAGCTGAAAGAAAAACAGAATCGCTTGCGGGAGAGGGAAGGGTGGAGGTTTTATAGACTAGCTTGAGGAGGCTGTGTCTGATTTACACAGGGTCCAAAGATTGGTTGGACCAGATGTGCCATTTACATAGCACGTGAAGAAGCTGGCCACCCCACCCTAATCTTTTATTTTGCAGATCAGTTCTCTACCTGTCCAGGGCCATGTTGTCTGTTCCTTATTGTACACGTGGTTGACGAAAGAAAGGGAAGATGGAGCCGCCATGTTACACATGCCTGGCCCCCAGGTAGCCTTTCCCTGTTCGCACAGCTGCCAGCATTCACCTGTGCAAGCTTCGAGCTTGCTTATCTATGCTTGCAGCTCTATTTTGCAGGCTGCTTTTTTTTGATAGAAAAGAAATGATTTGGAGGCTGCTTTTTATTAAAAAGAAAGCAGTACTGTGGGCTGTCTTACCCTCACTATCTGCCTAAATAATTTCTTCTTAACTCCTATATCACTACATTATCCTACTTTCCCTCAAAATTTTAATTATTCATTATTAATTTATATCAATATAGACTCATGGATACCTAATTGATTCGATAGGGTATAATCTATTATTATCATTTATATTTATGTTCAAATAATCCCAGACTTGGCCAGTGGAAGTTCCTATATCATTTGGACGTATCTTCATATTCTTTAAGCTCTTATTTTCTGGCACAATGAGATGTTCTAGACCCATCTTGTACTTTCTTACCCCAGCCCTCGAATCTGCCATTTTTCCAAAGAGTCCTAGTTTCTTTTAGTGGATACTGGTTTATGTAAACCTGTCATCATTTAAACATTTATAGTGTCTTCCATTATGTTTATATCAGAAAGTCCTTGCCCCACTAAACTAATTATTTATTTCACATTTTCTTCTAGTTTTCTACCGGCTTCCTTTATTATGTTTAGTTCCTCATTTGGAATTTAATTGGGGCATGTTATAAGCTGAAGCTCTTGTTTATTGTTTCAAGTAATTAGCCAATTTCCCATATAATTTATGAAATAAATGCATCCCTTCCCTATGTACATTCTATTTTCAAATAAATTTCAGGGCTGTTCATTCTGTCTGCTGATTACTTTGCCACAGCCATGCAGTTTTCATTATTGTAGCATTCTATTACATCATAATGTCTGTTAGGGTAATTTCCCAACACAAAAAATCTTACATGTCAATGGACTAGTATTTTCTGCTGCCAGAACACTTGGAAGAATGGTCCAATGACCTAGGAAACTATTTGGAGTTTGAGGATTTTGTGTCATTTCCCAAATGTTGTTACGTATGAATCTGTTTCTTTTGCGTGCCCTGGATTTTTAAGAGGGAAGAATATATGTTGTACACAATATACTGGCAGGATACAGACATGCTGGTGGCTTCTTACTGATGAGACAGTTCATCAGAGCATCTGCAGGAGAGTGTAACTAACCAGGAAGGTAGATTTTGATTCTTCCATACAAAGAGAATCGCTCAGTTGTATTTCAACAACTTTCTTACCCCCTTGTTTCCTAATTATCAGGTGTCATTTGTGCAGAACAATTTGCACTTCAAAGCAAAGCTAGGGAACCACCCCAGACAGCATAGAATTAAAATCTAAATTAACCTAAGAATCAAACCACAAAAACATGAAAACAAAGCATTAGAAAATAAACAGGTTTTCATTTTCATACTATAAAATCCAGAAAATTTATTTCATTGTATCCTAATCTGGTTATCACTGTGCCTCATTTATTCCTCCTGGTGACTGAGATAACTGTGCTCATTTGGAGGAGTGATGTTTTAGTTGGGTGTATGGTAGGCAGCAATAAGGCAGCAAAGCAACTCTACACCTTTGTCTTTATTGGTATTCCACAGGCAGGGCTGCTAGTGTGTCCTTAATTTCTTGCTTCACTGATTTACAAATGGTAACTGTATAGCTGGGAATGAACACAGTGGTAGACTAAGGAGGGAAAAAAAAAGCCCCTAATCTCTTAAATGGCCAGCAGGCAAGTGTCCAGACGGCATTGTTATCTGAAACAGCAGATCGACAATGGAAACATTGATGTTGCATGATAACGAATCACAAAGCTAGATGAGGCTACTAGGTCATTGGTGCTTAAATGTTTCATATTGTTTTCAAAGGTGCAACTTTTATTACTCAATTCTGCAATGGCACGTTTGCATAGAAAATACTAAGTAGCTTTTAGATACTATTACTTTAAGCATGACCAAATAGAAAAGGCCTTAAAGAGAAACAGTGACATCAATATTTCGGATAGAAAGAGATCTTCCTAGATGTCTGCATATTCACATTACACAACTAAGTCTATTTTTTCTTTTTGTTTAAAAAATAGTCACATTTATATAGCACTTAGGGCTTATAGAAGTTTTCATATATATTACCTGTTTTTTTTAAACACACACACATTTAATGAGGCCTTGTTCAGCACCACACACCGTACGGAGAACACATAAGCATTATCTCATCAAATCCTTACAAGAGCTCCACAGGGTGACTTTCAGGGTAGCCTTTTTACATAGATGGAAGAACAGAGGTTAAAGAGCTTAGGTAATTTCCCCATGGTTACTCTCCGCTTCTAGCGAGTGCTAAGAAAAGAGACAGCTCTTCCTTCTGCATTTGGTTATCCTGGTACAACATCTGAGTATTTCCAAGGATATT
Organism: Homo sapiens; assembly: GCF_000001405.40. NCBI lineage: Eukaryota > Metazoa > Chordata > Mammalia > Primates > Hominidae > Homo > Homo sapiens. Next base: position 25,895,897 of record NC_000010.11, on the reverse strand, counting down.
TTGGGAGCGTTTCTTGATAAGCTGATTTTTCCAGTATTAGATATCCTTTTATGTCTCCTTCTGTATTTTTCCTCCCCATCTTCCAATCTCTTATGGAAGCAACCACAAAGGGAAGGTTAGTTTGAACACACAGAGGGAGTACCCATTATCTCAATCAATTGAAAGGTTGAGAAGATGAGACAAAATTCAGACTATCGGGGTCTGACAAAGTATCTAAAGTACCTTAGATTCTGAGGGATGCAGACTAATGAAGTTCTCCTCTAGTAGCATTGGGGTGTAAAGTCATACATCTTGCTTTTGCCAGGTAAAATAAGACAATTCATTCTTTTAAACAATTAATTGATTAATTAATTGTGACAGAGTCTGCTCTGTCACCCAGGCTGGAGTGTAGGGGCACGATCTCAGCTCACTGCAATCTCTGCCTCCTGGGTTCAAGAGATTCTTGTGCCTCAGCCTCCTGAGTAGCTGGGATTACAGGTATGCACCACCATGCCTAGCTAATTTTTATATTTTTAATAGAAACAGGATTTTACCATGTTGGCCAGGATGGTTTCAAACTTCTGGCCTCAGGTGATCCTCCCACCTTGGCCTCCCAAACTGCTGGGATTACAGGTGTGAGCCACTGTGCCTGGCTGGGAATTTCATTCTACCCTTTCACACCAGGAATTTAAGAAAGGAAAAGTCATTTTATTCCTCCTCCTCTTGATCTGTAGTCCTTAAAGCTCAGGCCCGAGTTTGAATCTTTAATCCTGGATACAGCCTTTATAGAGATGGGACTTAGGGAAGTTACTTACCTTTCCTGAACTTAAATTTTCTTGGTGTTACATTGGGGATCTAATAACAGTGATTTCTTTATGGTGTTGTAAAGAGAACTAAACTAGATTGTATCCAGGCACAATAGACACAGGTAATTTTAGCTATTGTTGTTATTTAAAGAGAAGAATTGTGAAATTTTTGAGTGATTCTTAGTTTCAGATACCAGATGCTGCTACCAACTTTGGTTTTTACCCTCCATGACCTCTCCTTCCCCACCACTACCACATGGGCAGCCCTAGACATGGACACAGACTGAAGATCATATCTGGGGGAGCTCTGAGACCCTTCTTGCATTGTATGCAGCTTGGCTGTGTACAAAGTGGTTCTCCAGGGCTCACAACAGCATCTCTTTCCCTTGCTTCTGGTACCTGGCCTGTATCTTTGGTTGTTTAGTGGATAATTCTTGGATGTTTCAAATTCACCTTGAATTTACCATCATAAATCCATCTCAGCACATTTTTCCCCTTCCTGCAAATTGCCCTACTCCCTGATTTTCCTATCCTCATTCTTCTAACCTTTACAATACCTTTTATTATATTTTTTTAGAGAGATGAGGTGTCGCTATATTGCCTAAGCTAGTTTTGAACTCCTGGCCTCAAGCAGACTTCCTGCCTCAGCTCTCTGAGTAGCTGAGATTACAGATGGGTGTACTTCAGAATTATTTCAATTCCTTCCTTTTGCTTAAATATGACAGTTACCAAAACAGAAGTGTTACCTCTGTTGATGGTAGCCTCACCTGGTACCTCTATTTTCAACGCTTTGTAAAGTTTATACTTACTTGTAGGTTTGTTTGTTTGTTTGTTAAATCACTATGGTTGTAGTGTAGGAATGTTCTTTCCCTGTAAGGCTATGAGCCCCATGAAGTCTGGATCACATCTGGTTTCTCAGTGACAGTATTCCTAGTACCTAGCACAATCTCTGGTAATGACTGGCACCCAACAAATACTGGTTGACTATTGATCTGTTCTGTGTGATACTTTCTTTTTGCTCCACTTCTATCTCACTGTTGCCAATGACACCTTCCCTAGTGAAAACATCAACGCCTCTCACTTGGACTTTGAAAGACCTTTTACTGTACGAATATTTGGGCCATCAGACACAGATTGAATCCTGGTTCTGCCACTTACCAGCTATGTAATCTTGGGAAATTTTTTGAGCCTCAATATTTCCATTTCTAAAGTAAAAATGATAAAATGTACCAATAGGATTGGAAGGTTACATCAATTAATCTATTTAAAGTGCTTTGGACGTGCCTAGCACATAGTAAATTCTCAAGGCATGTTGGCTTAGAAGGAAATGCACAACGAGGAACATAAAGGACAACTTTCTCCCTGATTTGTAACATGTATTAGATTACCTGCTCTGGAACTCTATTCCCTTTAAATCTCCTTTAAATCTAAATGTCTGAATTTTATTCCCTCAGGCCTTTACTTTCTCTGTTGGAAACTAATGGCTAATCTGGTAAACTAATACATGCTAATGACTGATCTCTTAGGGGCTTAGTATGTCACCTCTCTGGTAGCATATTTCACATTAACAGATCCTCTAAAAGACTCCCTAAAAGTTATTCTAAAGATAAGACATTTGAGCACATGGCAGGAAGGCTGGTGGTTTCATCTCCTGCCAGGGTTCTCATGCAGTATCGTCTTTTTCTTCCCATAGCTCTGCTTCTGGACTCCTTCTACTGGACTCAGCTTCACAAAAGCCTAAAAGGTCAAATCAACCTTTACAGGGGATGGAAGGACGAGTTCTTGCCCGACACTCTGAGACCCTGAATGGATCCTTCTGTGGCTGATTCAACTCAAATCTGAGGTTTTCTGCCTTGTCCCTGTTGTAGTACCATCGTCCTTCTAGATATATGGAATGCATTCCTCTTTCTAGTCTTGTTTCAAGAGACTGGCTCTCTTGCTCTGAATCCTAGAGTCCTTGCCGGTTTCTTGCTGTGATAGATTTTCCTGCATGCAAGCTCTCTCTGCTTACCTGATCCTAAATAGCATCCACTTTGGAATTACATGTGCTTCTTTTCTGTTAGCTGTGTAGAATCCCCCTTCCCCACCACAGGGTGCCTTATGTCTGTTTTCCTAGGCTCTGGATTCCCAGCTCTCTCTGCTTGACTGACATCCCTCCTAGAACCTGTATCTGCAGCGTTTGTCCAATCCAGGAAATTATGTCTAGAAAACAGCACCTTCCAGCCTGCCTTCTTCACCTGGTGGAATTAACTGATCTCTCTTAGGTGTGATCCCAAGATAAGAGAGATGGAGAAGAGATGTTGTGCAAGCCAGTCTTTTTGCTACTGATCGAATCATTCTGTGCACAGTTATTTCTTCTACATGAGAGCTAACATCTTCAATTCCTTGAGCTAGGCAAAACTAGAGAGCTGGTTAAAAGCACTTTGAGTGGTCAACAAAACACAAACAAAAACAAAAACAAAAGCACAACCACAAAAGAATTCTGTATGAAACATTATAATTTACCCTAAATTACCATAATTGTATTTATTATTAAAATATCTTTAATATGATTATAAAAGTTACTGCAGTTGATACAGACAGGAAGCAAGGAAATACTGGGTAGAAGAGGGTGGTTGCCTGGCAAATAACCCATCCTCAAGCCTGGAAACCTGCAGCCCTAAATGGGAACAGGCATTCCTGTTTTTGAACCCAAATTTTGCCTTTTTGGCCCACCATACCCCTGTATCCTGTACTCACATAAACCCCAAACAACAGGCTCCACCAGCAGATGAGGAGAAAAGCAGATGAGCAAAAGAGCAGAGGAACAGAAAAGTGGCATGGCAGAGCAGGAGAGAAGAGAAGGAGCATCTGAACATTGAGAGGAGTTCAGCTGAGGATGGTTGTAGAGGAGAGAAGATAAGGAGCATCTGAACATTGAGAGGAGTTCAGCTGAGGATGGTTGTAGAGGAGAGAAGATAAGGAGCATCTGAACATTGAGAGGAGTTCAGCTGAGGATGGTTATAGAGGAGTTCAGCTGTGGGATGGACAAACTCCAGGGGAAGAGCATCTGAACGTTGATAGGAGTTCAGCTGGGGATGGTTGGAGAGGAGTTCGGCTGTGGGATGGCCATACTCCAGGGGAAGAGCATCTTCCCACTCCATCCCCTTTCCAGCTCCCCATCCATCCTGCCAAAGCCACCTCCACCACTCAGTAAAATCCCTGCATTCACCATCCTTCAAGTCCATATGTGACCTGATTTTTCCTGGATGCCAGACAAGGACCCGAGTACCAAGAGGGCACTGAACTGGTTAACACTTAAAGTTTGCAGATGGCAGAGCTAAAGGAGCACAGTAACAGATCCACTGGGGCTTTGGGAGTCACAGACACCCATCCCTAGATGCTACCATGGTGCTAGAGCCCAAAAGTGTGCACCTCAGCTCCTGCATCTGCCCGTCTGCCTGCTCCCCCTCTTGTAAGGGGTTTGAGAGTGTGGTGGCCAAACAGATGAGCCACACCCTGTTGCGTGTTCTGTGATGGAGGTCAGGGAATTCTCCCATTTCACAGTCTATCTGGCATGAAGTAGTTTTACTTACAGCAGGATTTGGGAATCCTAGTCACATGGCATTCCTCTTCAGGCCTATTATAAAATTATCTGTAAAGCTCTCAAAAGTAGTAACCTATTCCTTAATGTTAAAAAGCAAATATTTAATAGCACATTTATTATGAGATGTGATATATTTACATAATCGTAACTTTAAAGTGATAAATAATAATCGTTTTCCAAAGACTGTGAACTATTGGAGTTTGTTTATGGAAGCCTGGTCTCTTTTATAGCAGAGGATTAATGACTTATAGATCATATACCACATTTAGGAGGTATCTGGAATTCTTCAGGAATTTTTCTACTAACTCAGTATGACACCTGGGACAAGGGAAATGAGTTGCATGAGGCCTCAGTTGCTTCAGATGATTGACAGGAAGGATTTCAGAACTGTATCATAAGAAGGGGAAACCCAAGCAGAATGTCACAGTGTCCCTGAGTTGAGTTGTCAGAGATTGGAGTACATGGAGGTTGAAAAGGCTAGAATTTTCCAGAAAAGGTCCTGGAGTGGAGGGAGCTACCCAGAAAAAAAGAAAAAAAAAAAGCCCTTTAGGATGAAATTTCCAGGGAGTTGTAAACTGAACATTTCCAAGCAGCTGAGTCCTGACTAGCCAAAGTGAGAATGCTCATTGTTGAACACACAGAGTACACAAAGGGCCATACCTTAGTAAGAGGACAAACTAGCTCTAGAGCAAAGGCTATTCTAGACCTGCCTCAATAATCTTTCTTTACTCTTAGATTCTGATTTTCATCAGAGTGGCAATATACTCAGTCACAGACCTATCTTTTTTTCTTTCTTTCTTTCTTTTTTTGGAGATGAGTCTCACCCTGTCACCCAGACTAGGGTGCAGTGGTGCGATCTTGTCTTACTGCAACCTCTATCTCCTGGGTTCAAGTGATTCTCCTGCCCCAGCCTCCTGAGTAGTTGGGATTACAGGTGCATGCCACCATGCCTGGCAAAGTTTTTTGTATCTTTAGTAGAGACGGGGTTTCACCATGTTGGCCAGGCTGGCCTCGAACACCTGACCTCATGATCCACCTGCCTCGGCTTCCCAAAGTGCTGGGATTACAGGCATGAGCCATTGCGCCTGGCCCTTTTTTTTTTTTTAATCAGCTTTCTTTGCTACTCAGTTTGTTCATACAAAAGTTTTAGGTAACTGCAGTGTCTAAAATCACTGTGAGGGCTTTCTGAAAAAGTTCTTTAAAGGGGAGCAACTCACCTGGCTTATATCTTTTTCTCATTTGTCTTCTTCTTCTTGCTTACTGGAATCCAAAATTGATGTTGGATCAAGTGCAGCCCTCTTGTCACCATGAAGTAATAAGCTTGATAAGGCACTCACTGAGGATGACTAAGAAGAAATTCAAGAGGAAATCATTGTCTCTTGAAGGTATTGTAGAACCACTGTACTGGTCCTTAACTGCCTACTTTTAGGTTCCTTGTTAAGTAAATTGTTGAGAAAAGCTAGTCTCACACTCCTGGCCTCAAGTGATCCTTCAGCCTCAGCCTCCCAAAGTGCTGGGATTTCAGGTGTGAGACACTGCACCTGGCCTCAAGGTGTTTTTTAATTCTGAAGAAATAATCTTATGTAAATTTTCATTGTAATCCCCTCAATTTAGAGGCTAATTTAGGCTTCGGAACCAGACTACCTGGATTTGAAACCTGATTATACCAGTACTAGTTATATAACTTTTAGCAAGTATGAATGTCTCTGTGTATTAGTTTCTCATTAGTAAAATGGAGATAATTGGTAAAATAGAGTCACTGTGAGGATTAAATGATTTAATATCTACAAAGTATTGAAAACAGAACCAGGCACATAGAAAGTGATTAGGAAGTGTTAGCTATTATTATTATTTTGAGATGGAGTCTCACTCTGTTGCCCACACTGGAGTGCAGTGGCACGATCTTGGCTCACGGCAAGCTCCACCTCCAGGGTTCACGCTATTATTATTTTAAATAGATATATTTGAAAAGTATTGACTCTCATATTGAGCCTTATTATCCACAAACAAATGTGCTTTTCCTAATATTTAAATTTTCTTTTACAAGACTGAAGATTTTAAACATTTTCTTTCTTAAAGACTTAAAGGTTTCCTTTTTTTAGATACTCTCCCATTTAAATGCAAATGATTATATTTCAATAAAAATACATTTGTTCTTTCTATCTACAAATCAAATACTTTCTGGACATAAAAAGATAGCAATGTATGTTGACAAATGGAATAATTATGTTATCCCACTTCAATACACGTTTAAAACATAATTAGATATTGAGGTAAAAGAGAACACGATAAATCAGTAATCAACCTTTTAGTTTTGACAGTTGGAGATATTTTTAGCAATCTCAGTGATTTATATTTTCAAATGATTTTGTTGCATAGCACTTTTTAAGCACAAAGTATCATTTTCTGGAAAGAAATGTAATGAAGAAAAACGGTGAATTTTATTAAACTTGGTTACATTGGCTGCTTTTGTCCAATAAACAAACATAATCCAAATGGAAACATGTATGTATGCCAAGGGAAAGATACTATTAATAAAGATTGCATCCAAATGTCAAAACCAAGTAGAATTGGTAGTTTTGTAAATGTGCTCCAAAATCCAAATGTCATAAACCTTCAAGTGACCTTTGTGTTCCAAGCCATAACCAAATGGCCAAATCTGGCTTGTGTTACCATGGAGACACACTCTGATGGAAAGACCTGTGATGAGGTTGAGCAGCGTGAATGATTAGGGGGCAGTGTTGTCATAAATAAGGATTCGCCTCAGCGTAGCACTCCCTGCACGAGATTAAGGGTGTGTGTGCTGCGTAGATAGCATTGTTTAAGAAAATACTTGATAGCAGCTAATGTCTATAAGTAATGAGCAAAGAAGAAATATTCTAATATTTTAATATTCTTCTTGGGGTTCTTCATATGAAAATGCCGGGGGGAGGGGTGACAAAGATGTCAATTCAATTTAAGGACAAAAGTTAATCACCAGCGTAATTTATTTTCTTATGCTTCACTATGCTTTTCAACAAATATTTGATGTTATAAAAAATACTACATAATACAATAAATAAACAATGATCATAGAACTGTTCAGTCCAAGCACACTATATAGAAGAATTTTCTGTTATTGATAGGAGCTGGTCATAAATTCAAATTAATTCAATTTTAGTCACAAATGTTTCGCCCGCTATAAGGATGGCATTGTTATGTGCAATGGGAATCCAAAGAGAGGAAAGATAACATACTCTGTTCTCAAGAGGTAATAAGTTCACAAATATTTAATTCTTTTTTTTTTTTTTTTTGAGATGGGGTCTCACTTTGTCACTCAGGCTGGAGTCCAGTGCTGTGATCTCGGCTCACTGCAACCTCCACCTCCCAGGCTCAAGCGATCCTCCAACCTCAACCTCCTGAGTAGCTGAGACACAGGTGCACGCCACCACAGCCAGCTTTTTTTTTTTGTACTTTAGTTAGAGATGGGGTTTTGCCATGTTTCCCGGGCTTGTCTTGAACTCCTGAGCTCAAGTGATTCTCTCACCTTGGCCTCCCAAAGTGTTGGGATTACAGGTGTGAGCCCCTGTGCCTGGCCCGCAAATATTAAATTCTTATTTATGCTACAACTTGCTCATAACAGAGATTCAAATTTAGGACCATAAGAATTGAGTGGAGGAAAATATTAACATTTAAATGTGAGGAAAAGCTAAACCTTCAAGGAACAGAAAGCGCTTAAGATAAACAAAGAATAATACAAGAAATATGTAGCAAGCGTCTCACTAGAATAAGCAAGGCTTGGAGGAAGAAAAGCAAAGCATATGTGCCCATAGGGTCATTATTAGACGAATGTGGCTGGTACAGAGTAAAAAAGAACATAGAGGGAAATAAGAATGGGTCAAAATGACAGTCTAAGTACATATGCTTCCATCACCACAATTATCCCATGATAATTATGGGATAATGTTAGAACAAAGCAAAAAAAAAAAAAATCCGTAATCGTATGGGAAAAAAAAAGTCTAATCAATGCACCAGAAATTTTGAAGAATCCTTGGTATAAAATCAATCAGGAGCAGCTCTATGGAGAAAAGTAAAAGGGGGAAATCTTAGCTCGTTAAACATGCTGTCCAGCCAGGATATGTTCCAGGGAGCTCCAGCCCCAGAGACAAAAAGCCCAAGGAACAGGAGAGAGCGTTATGGCAGTCTTCAGGATAATTATTGGACAATTGCATCTTGAACTGCAAGATGAATGCAGTTCATCTTGCACTCAACACAGACAACAGAGCCATTTGCTCACAACCTGTGGGGGCTGAGCTCCAAGTACAGGTAGGGCCTTAGAAAGGTACCAACATAGGGCAGAGACAGGCAGCCTAAGCAAGCTACACCTGGAGGGAGGCAAAAGTGTGCAAATGTTCTTGCCCTGTACGTTGAGATCACAATAATACTGTAAATTTTGAAGATAAAATATATGTTAGAAAAGTATGTATGCTAGGAAACTAAAGATTCATCTTAGCATACATCTTTTTTGGTCACAAAGGTAAGGATTTAGAAGGAACAACTTCCCAACAGAGGAAAGATAAATAGAACAAACAATGATCCATCAATGTAGCAAAAGGCAGAAAAGGAAACAAAAAGGAAACCAGAAAGTATGGAAAAAGAAAACATACAATAAAATGACATTAATATGTCTAAACGTATCAGTGATAACAGTAGCATTAATTGATTGATAAGCTTTGCTAATAAAACACAGAGGTATTCCGATATGTAAGTAGAGTCTAGCTATAGGTTTCATTCAAGAGACACACCAGAAAATGTGACCAAAAATATACAATGAAAAGGGGTGGATACAATATATCAGATAAACACTAACAGAAAGGCAAAAGTAGCAATAATAACCCTGTACCAGACATCATTCAACGTAAAATATATTATATGGGACAAACATTGATTTCTTTAATGGGGGAAAGCCAGTCAAGAATATATCCACTATAAATATGTAACTAACAACACACAAATAAGGCAAAAATTAATATAAAAAATAGACACATCCACAATTATGTTGGGAAACTTATGACATGTTTCAAGAAATGACAAAATAAAGAAAGGAAAAATGAAATAAGACTATAGAGAACTTGAGTAACGCAATTAACAAGATTTATCTTTTAGATCTAAATAGAATTTTAAACCAATATATAAGAAATATTTTTTTCAGACACATAGAACATTAAAAAACAAAGTGAAATAGGCCACACATAAAATTGCAGTAAGTTCCTAAAAATAAATTTCCTACAGACTCATAATAGACTATAATTCAATGCTATTAATAACAAAAAGATAATTAGGCAAGAAGATATGCACAAGAGGAAAAGATGAGAATTTTTAATGGCTGAAGAATAAATAAGGATGAGAAAATACATATCAACCCTTGAGATAATAAGAATAAAAGAAAATTTAGTGAACACAGAACAAATACAAATCAGTATATTTATTCAATTAAAGAATACAACATTTTGTAAAGCCTAATAAAAGCCTAATAAAATAGTCATAACTGATATACTTGATCAAGAATAAAAAAGGTAGTAAACAACCTAGTTCATTGCAGTTTTGGTAGAATGTGCCCAAGAGTTCTTATCATAAAAATATGGAAAACATCTCTATAATGGTATGGATTCCCCAGGGAAATGAAACTAACAGGATATATATAGTACTGAGATGGAATTGATTCATGAGACTGTGGAGGCTTGGGAAGACCAAAGTACGCAGTGTAGGCCGGCAGGGAAGAGTTTCTTTGGTATGAGTCCAAAAGAAGTCTGCTGACAGCCTTTCTTCTTCTTGGGGAGGTCAGTCTTTTACTATTAAATTTACTATTAAAGCTTCCAACTGATTGGATGGGGCCCACCCACATTATGGATGATAATCAGATTTACTCAGTGAACTGATTTAAATATTAGTTTCATCTTAAAAATACCTCCACAAAACATCTAGAATAACGTTTGATCAAATATCTGGTTATCTTGACCTACCTAAATTGACACATAAAATAACCCATCACAAATTTATCCTGTGTCAACTTGGCACCCATACGCAGCTCCTTAAACCATACTTACTTTCCAAATAAAGACAATAACAAGGTCATGCTTCCGCCTAAAATGATGCAACTGTGTACAACTGAAAATGCACTGACCCCTTCCCCAGAAGAGGATGCAAAATCCTTGGGTGATGTTTACTCTTCTCCTTGATAGCCTTTCTTATCTCCTTGACAACAAATACTATGATGTAAAGTTAGCATTTTAATACTATGAAATCAAGTCAATGAATCTTATATTGCGTAAGAAGAGAATAAGAAAAGGAAGAAAACAGGCCAGGCACAGTGGCTCAAGCCTGTAATCCCAGCACTTTGGGAGGCCGAGGAGGGCAGATCATGAGGTCAGGAGATCGAGACCATCCTACCTAACACGGTGAAACCCCATCTCTACTAAAAATACAAAAAATTAGCCGGGTGTGGTGGCGGGCACCTGTAGTCCCAGCTACTCAGGAGGCTGAGGCAGGAGAATGGCATGAACCTGGGAGGCAGAGCTTGCAGTGAGCCGAAATCACGCCACTGCACTCCAGACTGGGCGACAGAGCAAGACTCCATCTCAAAAAAAAAAAAAAAAAAGAAAAGGAAGAAAACAGATATTTGCAAACACACACACACAAGCACACACACAGAGTCACAAACACATTCATAACAAAATAAGGAAGAAATACTCTTGACAATTATAATGCTCATTTCTGTAACCGGTCGTGTTTATGTGGCTCGTATTTATAAATACCTTCTTCCACTACCCATTCTGTATTCCCTTTGCCTTTAGCTGTGCATTTGTTTTACCTGGTGGGGTAACCCAGGTCTTCATTCCTGAAGGATCTGGGCCATTAATAGTCCTGCCCGGATGGGGTTGCGGCTTTTCTTTAACTTTAATAACAGAGCTTGGTAATATTAAGAGATATGTTAAGCAGTCTCCTGTATTCCAGACACATTCTTCCTTACCTCTATTGTGGAGCAGCTGTCCAATTTCCCCTTGTAGTCTGGATCAATCAACCCACCCAGCACAGTAACTTCCTTGCTTGCCAGTAGATTCAGAGGCATCAGGTGGCAGTCTTAACTTGCAGTTCAGTATAATCATTGTTGTGTCTCCTGGTGGAACCATTCCTTCCTTTGGAACAAAGACTTTTAGGACAACAGAACATAAGTCTTTGGGAAAAGAAAGGAAACATTTTGCTGGTAAGTTGCTAGAGATAATTGTAAGTGATGCCCCTTTCATTTCCATCCCTAGATTCCTGGACCTGTGAATCTTGGTTATGGGAGGAAAAGCATCACATACTGGACTTTGATGAAGAGAATGCACAGCCTTCCAGAGAAGGCAATACCTTGCCCCAGCCCTGCAAGGTATTCCTACCCATCTGGAACTGTGATGGAGTCTTCAAAATGCCATTGCATTGTTCTACCAAGCCAGCGGCTTCAGGATGATGGCTAATATAGTAAGACCAGTAAAATCCACGACCAAGGGCCCATTGCTGCACTTCTTTCACTCTGAAGTGAGTTCCTTGTTCAGAATCAATCCTGTGCAGAATATCACGATGGTAGACATTCTGTGAGCTCATAGGTAGTAGTTTGGCAGAAGCACTACATACAGGAATTGCAAATTTGCATCCAGAGCAAGTGTCTATTCCATTGATAACAAAATGCTGTCCCTTCCATAATGAAAATGGTCCATTATAATCAACTTTCCACCCATCCGACTGATCACCCTGGGAATGCTGCCATATTGGGGACTTAAGTGTTAATCTCTGCCACAGGCAGACTGGGTACTCAGCAACTGTAGCCAGCTCAACCTTGGTGAGTGGAAGTCCATGCTGCTGAGTCCATGCATCCTCCTTCTCTGACCCCATCCCTGGCACCTCCATCCCTGGCACCACGGCCACTTTGTTCATGAGCCTACTGGGTGATGATAGGGGTGACTGGGGAAAGAGACTGGCTGGTATCTACAGAATAGGCCATCCTATCCAGTTGATTATTTAACTCCTCCTCTGCTGAGGTCAGCCTTTTTGAGCATTCACATGGGACACAAATACCTTATGTATTTGTCTGTTCTGAGAGGTTTATCCTCTGACCTCTTCCTATGACTTCCTTGTTACCAATTTTCTAATAATAATCCTTTCAATTCCCTAATTATCCTGCCTAACTATTGGCCACAGTCTGTGAATTGGTATGTAATCTCACATTTGGTAATTTCTCCTTCTAAGCAAATTGAACAACAGTTACACTGCTCAGAATTGTCCCCACTGGGTGGATTTCCCTTCACCCTTTCCTTCAGGAATGTCCTAGAGAGGGGCTACAGTGCTGCAGCTGTCCACTTCCTGGAAGTATCTGTATATCATGAAAAAACATTTTAAAATTAAGCCTGAAATCTTTCATGTTTTTTCAACTGATTGCAGGGAACTCTTCATGAGGCCATAGACACTGGCTGGGAGAAAGAAGGTGGGTAGCGAGAGTGAAGACGACGTTCGTGCCACTTTTTCATGTCATTTATGCACATGCCTTCAGGTCCTGATGAAGCCCAATCTTGAATATAACACCACTCCCATTCGATAATGGAATGTGGCTGTGCATGCCCAACATTATAGCATGTAAGAGACACACCTGAAAATAGGACCCCCAAAAGATAAAGAGATGGATAAAATGTATCAGTTGAGTCTGACAAAAAGAAAGGCAATTGTAGCAATAACACCAGAAAACACAAAATTCAATGTCAAATATATTATATGGGATACAAATGTAGGTTTCCCAATTCAGTGACAGCAGCTCCCACTATAAGTTCTTGCCTAGTGAGAGAGTGACCCCAGAACTCTTCAAGGTTGGTAGGGCTCTCCTCACACATTTATTTCTCACAGATATGGAAAAAAGTGTTCCAGGGTGGATGCGCAGATCTGAAATGATAAATTCACGCCAACTCTTCTTTCTCCATAAGCTTGTCAATCCCTTCCTCTAGAGTAACCAGGGTAGTTCTGGCATTTCAAGTTCGTTTACTGTGGGTAACCTTTTTGGTCCATGTTTCAGCCATCCAAGCAAACAAATGAGCTTCTTCTGACTCCCCAAACTGCAACATTAAATGAAGAATCTCTGCTTAGTGGTCCCATATCAATAAATTTGGCCTGATCCAATCTTATATTCTTCCACCATTATCCCACATCCTTAACGACCATTCCTACACGTATTTCCCAGATTTGGCTGTATAAATTGGAAAAATCAAGTAGTCCTTTTGGAGTATAGTATATCTCTTCATAGGTCACATCTTGTGCCTTACCTTCAGGGGCCTGCTAGGACTTGAGTCTAGTATAAGTCCAGAAGCAAAGAGGAACGGTGGGATTGTGGATTTGTAGGAAAAAGAAAGAGCGATCAGACTGTTACTGTGTCTATGTAGAAAGGGAAGACATAAGAGACTCCATTTTGAAAAAGACCTGTACTTTAAACAATTGCTTTGCTGAGATGTTGTTAATTTGTAGCTTTGCCCCAGCCACTTTGACCCAACCACTTTGATCCAACCTGGAGCTCACAAAAACATGTGTTGTATGAAATCAAGGTTTAAGGGATCTAGGGCTGTGCAGGACAGGCCTCGTTAACAAAATGTTTACAAGCAGTATACTTGGTAAAAGTCATCGTTATTCTCTAGTCTCAATAAACCAGGGGCACAATGCACTGTGGAAAGCCGCAAGGACCTCTGCCCTTGAAAGCTGGGTATTGTCCAAGGTTTCTCCCCATGTGATAGTCTGAAATACGGCCTCGTGGGATGAGAAAGACCTGACCGTCCCCCAGCCTGACACCCGTAAAGGGTCTGTGCTGAGGTGGATTAGTAAAAGAGGAAAGCCTCTTGCAGTTGAGATAGAGGAAGGCCACTGTCTCCTGCCTGCCTCTGGGAACTAAATGTCTTGGTATAAAACCCGATTGTACATTTGTTCAATTCTGAGATAGGAGAAAAACCGCCCTATGGTGGGAGGTGAGACATGTTTACAGCAATGCTGCCTTGTTATTCTTTACTCCACTGAGATGTTTGGGTGGAGAGAAACATAAATCTGGCCTACGTGCACATCCAGGCATAGTACCTTCCCTTAAACTTAATTATGACATAGATTCTATTGCTCACATGTTTGTTGCTGACCTTCTCATTATCACCCTGCCCTCCTACTACATTCCTTTTTGCTAAAATAATGAAAATAATAATCAATAAAAGCTGAGGGAACTCAGAGACCAGTGCTGGTGCAGGTCCTTGGTATGCTGAGCGCTGGTCCCCTGGGCCCACTGTTGTTTCTCTATACTTTGTCTCTGTGTCTTATTACTTTTCTCAGTCTCTCGTCCCACCTGACTAGAAATACCCGCAGGTGTGAAGGGGCAGGCCACCCCTTCATGTATTAGTTTGTTCTCACACTGCTATAAAGATACTACCTGAGACAGGGTAATTTTTGGAAGGAAAGAGGTTTAATTGACTCATAGTTCTGCATGGCTGGAGGGGCTTTAGGAAACTTACAATCATGGCAGAAGGTGAAAGGGAAGCAAGGTCCGTCTTCACAAGGTGACAGGAGAGAGAGAGAGCGCGGGGCAACTGCCACTTTAAAACCATCAGATCTCGTGAGAACTCCCTCACTGTCACGAGAATAGTATGGGGGAAACTGCCCCCATGAGCCAATCACCTCCCACCAGGTCCCTCCCTCGGCACATGCGGATTACAGTTCGAGGTGAGATTTGGGTGGGAACACAGAGCCAAACCATATCAGGCTGGGCCCTGAGAAGAATCAGCATGGTCTTGAAAGATTGCCTTTAGGGAGGCCATTGTAGTTTCAAAACACACGATGAAACAAACAAATAATGATTGTAGAAAGGACAGATACATCCTGCTATAGTCAATAGAATATATACAGCCATGAGAATGGATAAACCATTACTACATGCATGAGCATGGATGAATTGCCCAGGCATAATATTAAGCAAAAGGTGAGACACTAAAGAGTATATGCTTTTATGATTCCTTTTTATAAAGTTTAAAATAGGCAAAACAAATGCATAGTCACAGAATTCAAAAGAGTGCTTCCCTTTGGGATGGGGAAGTTCCTGGGAAAGCTCTGATCCCACCTACTAAAATATACCCAAACATGTTTTCAGATAAGACCTTCATGGGGTGAGATCTATCCCTCTAAACCCTGAGGGCTTCCAAGTATCTCAGAATCAGTCTCGTTGGCATTCCTATTTTCATTCTTGTCTTTCACAACAAAACCAACCGTCATCCTGAGCATACCGACACGGGCAGCAGCTCCTTCCTCTGGTTCACCCCAAATCCTAAACGCCACACGGATTTCCTGTTCTCAGCTCCATGTCTTCAGATGTGGGCAGGCTGCTGGGCTCTCCTGCCTTCTGGTTCTCACTGAACTTTGCTCTTCCTCTTCCAATTCCTCAGTGCACTCATTTCCATTTGGCTGTTGGACTCACCCTTCCTCCAGCTGATGCTGCTCTCTGGCCTGGTCAAGACTTAACTGCCAATACCTCTCCCTCTCCCAGAACTGCACCCCCCTTTCTTCAGGGATCTGCCTCTCATTCCTAGTATTGTCTGGCTTATCCTTTGTTAAAAATAACAAGGGTTTTCCAGGAGGCAGAGGTTGCAGTGAGCCGAGATCATGCCACTGTACTCCAGCCTGGGTGACGGAGACAGACCGTCTCTCCAAAACAATAAATAAATAAATAAATACTAGGGTTTTCATGCAATTTCTGCTAATTGTCAGAGTTAGGACAAAGGAATGAGATATCCAGAGGAGGTGTGGAGGAGAGGAAAGGCAGAGGGAGAAAGAATGCAGAGAGGACTGAAAGTGAGGTCCGAGAAGTCTGTCATTAGAATAAAGAGGAATTCAGTTTTCTAGTTCCTCAGTGAAATGAAGGATTATAAACTATCAAAACTGGATGAATTGGCCGGGAATGGTGGCTCATGCCTATTATCCCAGCACTTTGGGAGGCCAAGACAGGCAGATCACCTGAGGTCAGGAGTTTGAGGCCAGCCTGGCCAACATGGTGAAACCTGTCTCTACTAAAAATACAAAAAATTAGCTGGGTGTGGAGAAGCGTCCTCTTGGGAGCCTGAGGCAGGAGAATCGCTTGAAACCGGGAGGCAAAAGTTGCAGTGAGCTGTGATCTTGCCACTGCACTCCAGCCTGGGCAACAGAGACTCCATCTCAAAAACAAACAAACAAGCAAAACAACGACAACAACAACAAAAAACAGAGTGAATTACTACATGACATAGATTCCTTTAACCTTACTTAATAATATATATGTGATTCAAAATGATACAAGTTAGCATAAAAAAGCTCAAAATTTAGCTGTAAAAACTTAACTAAATTTGAAATGCATGAAATTACATGTTACCGTGGGACCCAAGGGATTACACGTTAACTATTGCATTTTGATCAGTTTTGACCACCATCCCTGGTTCAAACAAGGTATCATAATAAGGCAGTTGTGGAATTTAATCCTTTGAGCAGAGCTGCTTGTTCCTCTAAAGAGAGAGTGATAAAAAAGATTCTTCCCCTCTCAGAATGATTTTGAGACCCACGGCAGAAACCAAAGGGAGAATGTGTTCCCCACTTCCTCAATCTAATCAGTGCATGCTCCAAGAAATGAATGAAAACATAAAAGATTTATAGCAAAGAGCATCAAGCATCAAGCCAAGACTCCACAAAAATTAAGTGTAAAGAATCAAGGATTTCATGGAATTTTATATTTCCCTTTGTGTTCACTCTGGAGATAAGAGTGGTTTAGATTGTTATTAGAATTGTTGACATTTCAGTGATCATTTTCTAGGAAAATAACTTTTTCTGAAAGGCACATTCTATAGCACAGCAGTCCTCAACCTTTTTGGCACCAGGGACTGGGTTCATGGAAGACAATTTTTCCAGACAAGGGTGGGTGGTGGGGGGATGGTTTGGGGATGATCGAAGTGCATTACATTTATTGTACACTTTATTTCTATTATTATTACATTGTAGCATATAATACAATAATTATATAATTCACCGTAATGTAGAATCAGTGGGAACCCTGAACTTGTTTTCCTGCAACTAGACTATCCCATCTGGAGGTGATAGGGTCAGTGACAGATCATCAGGCATTAGATTCCCTTAAAGATTGTACAAACTAAATCCCTTGCACACATGGTTCTCAACAGGGTTCACGCTCCTATGAGACTCTAATGCTGCTGCTGATCTGACAGGAGGTAGGGCTCAGGTGGTACTGTGAGTGATGGGAAGCATCTCTAAATATAGAGGAAGTTTTGCTCACTTGCCCACCCTAACCTCCTGCTGTGCAGCCTGGTTCCTAATATGCCACAGATCAGGACGGATCTGTGCCCTGGGGGTTGGGGAGCCCTGCCACAGCAGACACTAAAAATAGAAACTTTTCTTCATATATATGTATATATCTCTATTATTGGCTCTGGCTCATATTCTTATGTATTTATTTATTTTAGACACAGGGTCTCACTGTTGTCCGGGCTGGAGTGCAGTGGTGTGATCATGGCTCACTGCAATCTTGAGCTCCTGGGCTCAAGGGACTCTTATGCTTCAGCCTCCCGAGCAGCCAAGACTATAGGCATGAGCCTCCAAGCCTGGTCTACATATTCTAACTGGTTTAAAAAAAAATGTTGCACTTAACTAGTTACTTTGAAATGACAGTTTACAATAATGGAATTTAATTTAGCATACAGTTATTTTAGCAGATACTGAGATAATAATTCATGACCTGGGAGATGTCCCTAAAACTAAACATTCCTTCAGAGCAGTTAACTATTCTATTGAAAAGACTAATTTTTAAAAAAGAACCTTGTGGCTAAGCAACACAAAGATTTAAACTCTATTGACTGTCTTAGTGTAAATTTTCACTTGCTCTTCATGTGGAATCATGAGAGTTTGTCAGATGGAGCTGAGACAGAAATAAAGGCTCATGTGGGAGGCTGAGGCTGCCAGTCAAAGGGCTCACTATTGACTCACTCCCACTGGGAGACTGGGATGCCAGGACCTTCCACAATTTGATTGTTCACTGGGTTCTAACACCAAACCCAAGTCCACTCTGTCCACCTTGGGGATCTCATTATTAGAACCATCTATCAGCTGCCTCACTTTGCCAACATTAACTAGAAATGTGATTTCAATTCTGTATATCAGAAATGCAATTAAAATACATTGATTTTATTAATGAGTTTCATATTTCACAAAAGATTTGATGGAAAACAGATTTTTTTGAGACATTTCAAGGACTTTTCATAAGATATAAGTCTTCCCCCAAATCTTTGAGATGTGTTTTTTATCCCCATTTTACAGTTGAGGAATTTAAAACTTGGGATATGATGATAGTTTGTATCTAACTCCAGATTTATTTATTTATTTATTTATTTATTTATTTATTTATTTATTTATTTATTTATTTTTGAGACGGAGTCTCGCTCTGTCGCCCAGGCTGGAGTGCAGTGGCGCGATCTCGGCTCACTGCAAGCTCCGCCTCCTGGGTTCACGCCATTCTCCTGCCTCAGCCTCTCGAGTAGCTGGGGCTACAGGCACCCGTCACCACGCCCAGCTAATTTTCTGTATTTTTATTAGAGACAGGGTTTCATCGTGTTAGCCAGGATCGTCTCGATTTCCTGACCTCGTGATCCGCCCACCTCGGCCTCCCAAAGTGCTGGCATTACAGGCGTGAGCCACCGCACCCGGCCAACTCCAGATTTATTTGACTCCAAAGTTTGTGTTCTTTCATTTATCCTTACTTTTCCTCAAAAGAAAGGAGGCTAAAGCTATTGACTAAAAGAATGTTTAGAGATTAACAAATGCATTTCAACCCTGTATCCAATTCCTGTTACTATTACCAAAGATCTGAACAACCACAGAAACAGCTTATAACCTACCAAAACTCCAGAAGCAGTAAGTAGCATTAACCTCAAACAGGGAATCCGAACAACAAAATTCCTCTATAAAATATTTAATGACATTTTAACTTAGCATATGAGTAGTAATTCTCCTGAGAATAAAGCTGTTGTCTTGGATGAATATCATACCAGATTTAACTTATTATATGAGTAGTAATTCTCCTGAGAATAAAGCTGTTGTCTTGGATGAATATCATACAGGAGGTTGCTTATGAAACTGACACCTGGAATCCACTCCCACACTTACCCATGTTGTTCCCTTTTATGTTGATGTTACAGCCAGTTAAAAACAATTCTATCTGGACAGGTAGGTATGGTTAATAGCTAAGGTATTGTTAGCCATTAACATTTTGTTTCAAATTAGATAACCAGATTAACAAACTGGCCACTTAATAAGCCCCTCCTAGGAAATAGAAGCTAGGACATGTTAATTTTGAGGGAAGAGGTCAGAAAATTAGCAGAACATTGAATAAGTTTGGGTGGAATTCTGCATTGAAAAATAATTCCTGATGTGAAGAAAGACTCCATAAACCTCCATTAAGATGCTCTTCAATTCTAACATTTTATAATAAAATAATGTTACAGACAAGTGAACATTTTTATAACCTCATTTTTCTTAGGGTCAATTTTGCATAAAAAGAAAGTAAATCAATACCAGTTTCTGAAATTTCGAATATAGGAAATCATGCAAACAAAAACTCCCGCCATAATCCCTTGACAATATCTCTTCTCAGTGTACCCAAGAAGGCCAAAGGGTACCGTGACTGTCGAGCACACCAAGCTCCACGCGCCCTCTAGTGCATCCCTCTGGAAATGCAGCTACTAGTCCTAAGCTTAGGTATTTTCTCTGTTAAGAAAACAATTTCCAGAGCAGCTGTACTTAAAATCTGTTTATCCTGCATAGCCAACTCACCCTGAGGTGTTTCTCCAGGGTTCACATAAATTCGTTAAGTTAACTTAATCATTTCCCATCTATTCTCAAAGTTGACTTACAAGAACTCATAAAATATGACAAAATTGAAAACATTAGGCTGCATTGGATGAGAAAAGATAACAAGGGTGAGGCAAAGTGATCAAGAAATTAAATCAAAATACATGTAAAATAACAACTGACCATCCTCCCATCGATGATATATTTAGCTGTGTATTAATCAGGATGCACCAGGTTCTACTATGGTAAAGACAGCTCCCAAATCTCAGGAGTTTTTGACAACAGTGCTTTAATTTCTCTTTCGTTACAGATCTCAGGCTTATTTTTGGTTTCTAAGCGAATGGAGCAGCCATTGTCACTCACACTGCCTGCCACCATGGCAGAGGGGAAGAGCTTTGAAAAATCTTGCATTAGCAATTAAATGCTCTGATCACATCATTTCTACTCACTCTCATTGGCCAGAACTTGCCTCATGTCTCTACCCACAAGAGAGGGGAAAAGTCAGGTCTTCCATGTGTAAGGAGAGGAGGCAGAAATTTGTGGACAGCTGAAAGCCCACTACAGCGTTCCCAGGCAGGGTCAAAAAGGAAACCAGAACAGATCTGACTCAGAGTGTTCATGAAATTAAAAGCAAATACAACAGCTCAGTAAAATTCCAAGTCTTTTTGATTCTAGGGTCAGACAAGAATTTCTCCAGGATTCCTCATAGGACAAGGTATAACATAAATCATGTCATCATAATGCATTTGTGGCCTTTTCTTATAAGGCTCTTGTATAGGTTTATGACATTACAATAATCTACAGTTTGTCTAAACAATACTCTCTGGAAGAGTCGAATTATAGGTATCTTCCTCTTTGCTAAACTTCTGCATCAGAGACATATGTAAGCATTCCACCTTGCACACTGTGTTTAGTTATTTGAAGGGCAGTGAACACTAGGTTGTGTTCTCGAGGAAGCTTCTGGACAAGAGCTAGTTCTTTGCTTATAGGTGAGAACCAACTCACCTTCCTTCTCCCTTCCCTTCCCATCCCTTCCCTTCCCTTCCCTTCCCTATCCTTCCCCTCCCTTCCCCCTTCCCTTCCCTTCCCTTCCCTTCCCTTCCCTTCCCTTCCCTTCCCTTCCCTTCCCTTCCCTTCCCTTCCCTTCCCTTCCCTTCCCTTCCCTTCCCTTCCCTTCCCTTCCCTTCCCTTCCCTTCCCTTCCCTTCCCTTCCCTTCCCTTCCCTTCCCTTCCCTTCCCTTCCCTTCCCTTCCCTTCCTTTCCTTTCCTTTCCTTTCCTTTCCCTCCTCTCTTCTTCTCTTCTCTTTTTCTTTTTCTTGACAGGGTCTTGGTCTGTCTGCCAGGCTGAAGTGTGCCATCATAGCTCACTGCCAGCAACGTCAAACTCCTAGGCTCAAGTGAACCTCTCACCTCAGCCTCCCAAGTAGTTAGGACTACAGGCTCATGCCTGGCTAATTTTTTAATTCTTTTTTTTTTGTAGAGACTGGGTCTCACTATGTTGCCCAGGCTGTTCTCAAGCAATCCTCCCTCCTTGGCCTTCCAAAGCACTGGGATTACAGGCATGACCCACTGCATCTGGTTCCAAATTATCTTTCTTAATCATGATCAACTAAGGGTTGGTTAAGATCCAAATATGGAAACTGAGGAGCCAAGAGGGGCTCTTTCGTAACCAGAATCCATGCTAGTGTTCTGAGGTGAGCTGAGAGAGGAACCAAAATTTGGGCCAAGATCGTTTCCAGACAGTTCTGAATTTTTCTAATTGTACAGATAAGTGGTCAATTAATAGATTTTCCATGGTTCTATTTCATTGCCAGGGGCAAAATAGTTTTAGCCTGAAATTTGTAAGACAAGGCATAACTAGACCTTCATTTCAGCCACCTTAAACTACCATCCGAATGCCCAGGTTTGAACAATTCTACTTCTAGAAGAATCCACAATAAAACAAATGTTTGAGAAGGCTTTCCATCCTGAACTTTTATAATAAAATAATGTCACAAATTTTATAATAAAATAATACTATTTTATTAATAATAATTTTGCCTAGGAATTCTATGTATTACCAATTTAAAAGCTGGAGACTTGTCTTCTAAAACAATAATAATAATAAACTTTAATTGACTGTTTGCTGTGGCCAAGCAGTGTGGTAAGTAAGCACTTCAAATGTAGTATCTCATTTAATTTTACGGGCAAAATCTGTTACTACTCCTAATCTACAGATGAGGTAGAGTGAGGTCATATAATTTGTCTAAGGTCAAACAGGCTAACAAATGATAGAGCTAAGGGTTTTGACAAGACATCTAAATCTAGAACACATGTGCTTAGCAACTACATTTTCACCTTTCATGAATAATATCTTCATTTTTAGGAAAATATAGCTATGGTTCTTATGCAGAGAGATAATTTACTAGCAGGGTCAGTACTTGTCAGCTTTAGATAGTAAAAGCATCAACTGCATATGGAGGCAAACTGGTTTTCCTACTTTTGGTACACCAGCTGCACCCAAAATTGGTAATTGATTGACTACTAGAAAACAAGTTTGGGTTTTTTTTGTTTGTTTTTTTTGTTTTTTGTTTTTTTTTAAAGGGACTCAGCAAAACTGCTGTGTTTTCCTTTGCAGGAAGATTTATTTTATTTTATTTTATTTTTCAACTTTTATTTTATGTTCCAGGGCACACGTGCAGGAGATGCAGGTCTGTTACATAGGTAAACGTGTGCCATGGTGGTTTGCATTTTTTTAGGTACAATGTCTTGCTCTGCTGCCCAGGCTGGAGTGCAGTGGTGTGCTTATGGTTCACTGTAGCCTCGACCCCCCTGGGCTTAGGTGATCCTCCTGCCTCAGCCTCCCAAGTTACTGGACTACAGGCAAGTGCTACCATGTCCAGCTATTTTTTTTAATTTTAATTTTTGTAGATATGGGCATCTTGCCATGTTGCCAAGCTTGGTCTTGAACTCCAGGCCTCAAGCAATCCTCTCGTCTCAGCCTCCCAAAGTGCTGGGATTATAGCCATAAGCCACTGTGCCCGGCCTGCAGGAAATTTTAACTACTGTCAGAAAGCCACTCCCACCGTCTCTTGTTCATATTAATATGGTTTAGTTCTCCATGAGCACCAAAACCCAAGGATCTATAACATTCTCCTACAACTTAGTCCCAAAACAACTTTTGTTCTGGAATTAAAGGCAAAAAAAAAAAAATCCTATTTAGTGTTGCAGACTTTGACCTACATCTGATGGCTTAAACAGCTGTCCACACTGCACTTTGTTCAGGAAACTAGCTTCAAGTAGCTCATTTTCAACAAACTTATCCTGGGTAAAGAGCACAACATCAAGTGGCAGTACTGCTGAGTTGTCATCGTCATCATCCACACAGGCAGCCCAAAGTCTCTTTGTCTGAAATGTTCTGGTTCTCTTGAAAGAGGTCATTCCTAATGTGTGAAGTACTTTTGAAGGATGATCTTCCATGCTAGTCATTGTGTTTTGATACTTATTGATTGAGAAAATATGTGATGACAAATACTACTGTAAATTCAGCCTCATCTTTGAGTGCATTTATGTAACTCTACTAGTAATCACATCCCTACCTATATATATTTTATTTATATTCGTACATATACAGCATTTATTCAGTCTATAAACAAAGTTTAACCCATATATGAACTCAAAGACACCTTATAGTAGCTCCAAGACATCCAGGACTTATTACAAATAAGTTGAATATACCTATTTTCTACTTTCATGAACTCTCTAAAGCTACTAACAGTTCTCTTCACACCCCAACCCCTCCATCCCCACCCCACTGGAACTCCATGAAAATTTTATAACTTTGAAGCCAAAACAAAATCTGAAGTAGATAGAACTTTCCTTAAAACTTACATGCAAGCTGGACACTGTGGTGCATGCCTGTAATCCCAGCTACTTGGGAGGCTGAGGCAGGAGGATCACTTGAGGCCAAGAGTTTGAGGCTGCAATAAACTATGGTCATAGCACTGCACTCTAGCCTGGCAGCAACATAGTAAGATCCCATCTCTAAACAACAACAATGACAACAACAAAATACTACATGTATATGGCTGAAATGCTTAGGGGTGAAATGTACTGATGTGTACTTCAGAAAATGAAATGGATAGAAAAGTGGATCGATGAAAACATAATAAAGCAATCTGGCAAAATGTTAACAATTATCGAATCTAGGTTGGTTGGATATATGTGTGTGTATTAGTCTGTTCTCATGCTGCTAATAAAGACATACCCAAAATTGGGTAATTTGTAAAGGAAAGAGGTTTAACGGACTCACAGTTCCACGTGGCTAGGGAGGCCTCACAATCATGGTGGAAAGCAAGGAGGAGCAAAACCACATCTTACATGTTGGCAGGCAAGAGAGAGCTTGTGCAGGGAAACTCCCATTTATAAAGCCATCTTGTGAGACTATCAGACCATCAGACTATCATAAGAATGGTATGGGGGAAACTGTCCCCATGATTCAATTATCTCCACCTGGCCTCATCCTTGACACATGGGGATCATTACAATTCAAGGTGAGATTTGGGTGAGGACACAGCCAAACCATATCAGTGTGCTTACTGTAAAATTCTTTCAATTTTTCTCTGTATTTGAACTTTCACATAAAAAGGGAGGAATACATGCATGATTCTTATAATTATTTCATACATAGAGACTATATGTATAATATTTGGATACAATTATCATACAAATTTACAACATAAAATTCTGTTAATTAATTAATTAATTAATTTTATTTTTAAACAGAGTCTTGCTTTGTCTCCCAGGCTGGAGGGCAATGGTGCGATCTTGGTTCACTGCAACCTCTGCCTCCCAGGTTCAAGTGATTCTCCTGCCTCAGCCTTGGAGTACCTGGGATTACAGGCACCTGCCACCACACCCAGCTAATTTTTGTATTTTTAGTAGAGGCGGGGTTTCACCATGCTGGCCAGGCCGGTCTTGAATTCCTGACCTCAGGTGATCCATCTGCCTCGGCCTCCCAAAGTGTTGGGATTACAGACATGAACCACTACACCAGGCCTAGTTAATTTTCAGTATTAAAATCAGCTCCTTTCAGACTAGGGAAATACTCTTCTCATGTCTCTTGGCCTCCTTCCCTCTCCTGACCCTAATCCCCAGTTGGAAAAACCTGCAGAACATCTGCCATAGGCTAGGACCTCAAGAATGGGAGGGAGGAGAAGAGTCGTCTCTGAGCTGGTCTCTGGGCAGAGCTGTGCTGTAGGGCTGGCCCCAAAATAGGTAGACAGAAATCCAAATTACAGGTTTTGTTTGTTTGTTTTTTGTTTTTGTTTTTGAGACGGAGTCTCACTCTGTCGCCCAGGCTGGAGTGCAGTGGCGTGATCTCGGCTCACTGCAAGCTCCGTCTCCCGAGTTCATGCCAGTCTCCTGCCTCAGCCTCCTGAGTAGCTGGGACTACAGGCGCTCGCCACCACGGCCGGCTAATTTTTTTGTATTTTTAGTAGAGACAGGGTTTCACCGTGTTAGCCAGGATGCTCTCGATTTCCTGACCTCATGATCTGCCCTCCTCGGCCTCCCAAAGTGCTGGGATTACAGGTGTGAGCCACCGCGCCCGGCCCCAAATTACAGTTTTAAAGGGAGAATGACATGTAGGTCTGATGTGGGCTGTTGCTGGCATTCCACAAGGTGCTGGGCTTAATAAGGCATCAAGAGCAAGTCCAGATCTTAAAAATTAGGGAGATTGGAACCTCGAATGCCCTATTAAACTTGCTTTCATTCGCTTAAAGACTGGGAAGGGCTGAACCCCTAGGTTGAAGGCTCTTGGTACCTGGAGCTGAGCAGGATAAAATAGAGAATATCCTGGCACCCCAGGCAGGAAACACTTCAGGGGCCACCCAAGGGCCTCTGTTGACACGGGTTCTGGGCACCCAAGGGAGTTAAGGGGAGCCACCTTAGAGATAGGGCCTCCTTAGTTCATTAGTGTGTCTCAGAACAGCCTTTTGGAGTTTGTTCCACTTTTTATTATAAAAGGAATTAGGCTTTTCTTTAAACATTTTCTTAAATATTTAATGGACTTTTTGGAGCGCCAAATTTCCATTGAGGCCTGAGGTTGGGAAGAGGATGCTACAAGTTTATTATCTTAAACTCCACTTTGATACAGTGCTGTGCAAGATCAAAACCTGAGAATTTTATTGCCTTTCTGAAAAAGGGAGGGGTAATGTCAATAAGGACACTTATGTCAAATATATTATCCTGTGACAGTTTAATAGGAATGAGTTCCCGCGCTTATGTCGTTTGGCAAGGACTTGAATGTCAACTTAATTTTTCTGCCTCCCTTCTCTCTCAACTAACCACGTGCTCACAAAATCAAATACATGTGATCCACATTCGTGTTGTTCACTTATGATCAATGACAATTTATCACGGGAATTCTGAATATATAGGTGAACAAACAGAGAACCCAGTTTTCCCCAAATGATCACTCTTGTGAATGGTTATCTATCTTTAGCTGATGTTTGTTCTCATAAATCCTCAGCATATAATCCCATCCATAGATCTGCCAGAACCAAAGTGCACTGGGAATTATAATCACATACATGAAAGATTTTCTAGCATATAAAGAAGAGTGACTTTATGGTCCTATTCACCTGTATTCTATACTCTGATGTTAGAACCACCTAGAAATATTCTATCTTTGATGTTATCAGACACCTGTATTTTGCCTCAGCATTTAGTCATCCATAAACACAATTTGTTACTGTATGTACCATTTGCTTATAAAGATCAGCACTGAATTTCATAGTGATATACTGATGACAGGACAAGTCACTTTATTGTTCAGAATGTCAGGGATTTCCAGTGGAGAGGTATGTCCATGTCCTAACTCCAGAGCCTGTGAACGTGACCACATATGGAAAAAGGGTCTCTGCAGATGCAACTAAATTAAGGATCTTGATAGGAAATCACCCTGCATTATCAGGGAGGGCTCTAAATCCTTCAATCCAATCAACTGACACCTAATATTAACCATCACATTAGATAATAGAATAGGGGAGCAAAGGAAGATCAAAAGTACAAAATACACTGGGGGAAAATATATATACCCAAATCATTTTAGTCACAAATATCAAATGCTGCTACCATGATTTTTACCATTTATGCTTCCAGCATTTTATATGGTACAAAACAAAGTAAAACAACACAACACAATACATGTAAAGTAAATCAAAACTGGTAGTGTAATGACTTCAACTCAGAGGATTACAAAACACTTTGTTAAAATATATATATTTTAGGGTCTCACTTGTCACCCAGACTGGAGTGCACATGATCTCAGCTCTCTGCAACCTTGATCTCCTGGGCTCAGGTAATCCTCCCACCTTAGCCTCCCAGGTAGCTGAGACTGCAGGTGTGTGTTAGCACACCCAGCTAATTTTTTATTTTGTTTTGTAGAGACAGGGTTTCACCGTGTTGCCCGGGTTGGCCTTGAATTTCTGGGCTTAAGCCATCTGCTAGGCTGGTCTTGAACTCCTGGGCTCAAGTGATCGGCCTGCCTTGGCCTTCCAAAGTGCTGGGATTTCAGGTGTGAGCCACTGCAACTGACCTAAAAACATATATCATTTGGTCAACAAAGAGTTCAACCTAGAATAAGGGCCCAACCAAAAATGGAAACCTTTTTATTTGGAAAAGAGAAAAATGAATTTCAACATAAGTGAATTTAGTTATATGTAAGATTAAAATATCAACGATAATTTCTTACTCCTTTTAGTGTAAGTTGCCTCAAATCCTCAGTGGAATAAAACTGATATATAGCATTCAATCAATTCATCAAGATAAAACAAAAGGTAAAATTTCAACTGTGTCATGCATGCTTCTATTTCTAAAATCTTATTTTCCATTTTTTAATTTTCTCAATACTGTTGCAGTATTTTAAAATGTTTACCAAACTTTGTCTTTAGATTTTCAAAGCTGAATTTATCCTCGCCTCCTGCCCACTAATTTACTCATTTGTTTATTTCCCACTCCCTGTCAATGGCACCTTCATTTTCTGCATTACAAAAGCTTAATTTTTTGAGTCATCGTTGACTCATTCTTCTTATCTTTTGATTTTAGTCACCATGAAATCCTATATAATTGTTTTGCAAGATATCTCTGGATTGCATCCATTTGCTTATAATTGCATAACCTCATGGCCTTGTCCTCGTGTAGCCTAAATACTCCTTGTGTACCTGAATCTCTGTGCTATGTCAGTTCAGAGAAATAAAAAATAAAATTGATTACTACTCAAGACTTTACTCAGTCTCTTAAGAACTTTGCAGTCTAAGTAGTTAAGAACCAAGGTCTGAAGCCAGATTGCCTGAGTTAAAAACGGACTCTGACAATTCCTAGTAGTGCCTCAGTTACTTCATCTGTAAAATGGGAGTAATAATGGTACTTTAAACATCGTAGGATTATAGTGACAACAAAATGACTTAACACATGTAAAGCATTTATAACGCGGCCTGGTATATGAAAAGCTATTATTATTATTAGTTTTCTTATTGTTAAAAAACCATTATTAGTCTTTGTCACTAGCAAAGGAGATAGCAGTTGTTTTCTCTAATTTATTTCTCATCTCCACTCTCTACTGCCCACCCAAATCCTCCTCCAGAAGCCAGCCTACACTGCTCCCACTGTCTCTGGCAATTTTTTCAACTTGGTGGATCCTTTTCTTGCCTTTTCCAAGGCAAAATTCGCTAGCCCATCTCTGATTCTTTCAGATTTTTCAAACTTTCTACCAAAAGGAAGATGGCGAAACGAGTCTATCAGGCACAGGTGATAAAGGATGCATCCACTACAGAGAATTTCAAAAACAACAATGGAGGCCGGGTGCAGTAGCTCACGCCTGTAATCCCAGCACTTTGGGAGGCCGAGGCAGGTGGATTATGAGGTCAGGAGATCAAGACTATCCTGGCTAACACGGTGAAACCCCATCTCTACTAAAAATACAAAAAAATTAGCCGGGCGTGGTGGTGGGCACCTGCAGTCCCAGTTACTCGGGAGGCTGAGGCAGGAGAATGGTGTGAACCTGGGAGATGGAGCTTGCAGCGCGCTGAGATCACGCCACTGCACTCCAGCCTGGGCGATAGAACAAGACTCTGTATCAAAAAAAAAAAAAATCAATGGAATTGATAAAAAGTCTGTTTGACTCTAATCTTTACCATATGCTGGCAACTACTGAAAATATCTGTAAAAGTCAAGGCACAGTGGCATGTGCCTGTAGGCTCAGCTGCTCTGGAAGCTGAGGCAGCAAGAGGATTGCACCCAGGAGTTCAAATCCATTCTGGGCAACATAGTAAGAGCTGGTCTCTTAAAAAAAAAAAAAAAAAAAGAGCAATAAGTGATAAACTGCTCTTTCCTTCTCCCTTCCAAATATGTTATTGATCTAATTTCTGTAGTTGCTGTTGAGTTTTAACAGCATAAATATATATATATATATATAAAATGTACACATATATACATTTTACATGAATATATGTATAAGCTTTATATTATTTCATTTTTATTACTTATCCTCTAGTCAACATTAGATTCTACCTGTAAATTAATTCTGAGAGCTCCCAGTTAACATAGTTGTCCCTGACACATGTGAACTAAAATTCCCATATTGTTTTGACAATACGTTTATGAGTGTTTAGAGCCATTCCAGCAGGTACAAGCACAATCTCTGTTCAACTCTTGTGGTATTGCATATTCTTGCACTTAGACAGTAGTTTTAAAATAAGCAGTGGTATCACAGTGACTGTAAAGACAAAGAAACTGAACTTAAATTTCTTCAATTTTGACATTTTATGTGACCAATCAGAGTTTTGCTTTGAGTTTGAAGTTTAAAACAGCGAAACAAAGAATGTAAAATTGAAATGTATAATTTACTGAATTCGAATAGCCTGAAAACTTCTTCTTTTTAAATTGTTGTTTCAAACCTAAGGAATACATCAAGAAAATAATGATTAATACTAGATAACTGCATGATTATTACTGAAAATAATTATTTCATCCACAGCAGGGGCTGTTAAAAGTGATTTGTCTCTGTGTATCAAATATCCTCATAGTAGCTTTCTTTCAATATCCTTGGTCTGCATGACACAAGACACAAAGCCTGATTGTTCTGACTTGGCATCCTTCTCAGAAAAGGGCTTGTGAAGGCTGGGAAAACTCATATGCATTAGTAACTCTTGTACAGTTCATGGATTACTGAATTGGCCTTTTAGATAACCTTACTGCACCAGGTTGTGACTTTCTGTTAAACTTTACTTTCAAACTCTAACTCTTTTGCTCAATCCCACACCAGCACAAAAAATCTAAACTTCTCTGCCTGGTTCTCAAAGTCTCCCACAGTGACTCTGTCCCCATCTCACCATTCATGTGTACCTCTTTCTATCTCCCGTTTCACTGAAAATGTAAGAATTACAATTTACCATCTATGCAGCCTCTTGGTTTGAACAAACAACAATGATAGTAATTATACTGAATCAATTACTGAACATTGTGATGATCTGCTATTATCCATCATTGATAGTTGTTCACAAGAAGAATGTAAGCTTCTATTGGATGAGGAGGGGATTATAGAAATGTTACATATTCATCACAATGCTTAATCTGGGGCCAAGGACAGGTTATTCCTTGAAGTTACTCTTTCAGTCCCTCATATGGTTTGGCTGTGTCCCCACCCAAATCTTGTCTTGAATTACAGCTCCCACAATTCCCATGTGTTGTGGGATGGACCTAGTGGGAGGTAATTGAATCATGGGGTCGGGTCTTTCCCATGCTGTTCTCATGATAGTGAATACGTCTCATGAGATCTGATGGTTTTATAAAGGGGAGTTCCTCTACACACGCTCTCTTGCCTGCTGCCATGTAAGACATGCCTTGGCTCCTCCTTCACCTTCCGCCATGATTGTGAGGCCTCCCCAGCCATGTAGAACTAACTGTGAGTCCATTAAACCTCTTTCCTTTATAAATTATGCAGTCTCAGGTATACCTTTATTAGAAGCATGAGAACAGACTAATACAGTCCCTAAAGTGCTGTGAAATGCCGTCTGAACTTGCCCTGTCCTCTACATTTTCACTTGAAGGCATGCTTTAGTCAGTGAGCTAAAACTACTCTCCCCATACCATGTTCCCATTGTTATATTATTCTACTGCTGAAACAAGTAATGTGATTTCACCCTTAAAGAAAAGAAGTGTGTTAAGGGAGAATGTTCCCTGTGTCATGTTCATACCAATTTTAATTTCTGACCCTACCTCAGTTGTTCAGCTCATGTTTTCCTTTCCTCTGGTTTGGATCATGTCTTTCTTGTGTAGCTATTGTTTTTCTTGCATCCTATTTTATTTTCCATTTTTCAAATCTTCTTCTTATATGCCTATACCATATCAACATGATCCATTCACTTAATCATATTTACTTCAGTAAGTCTACTTCCTCCTTGGAAACACTCCTTCCGTAGCCCTCAAACTTTCTGTTTCCATGGAATTAGTTGCTCTCTAGAACTCTGACAGCCATCTTTTTTTTTTTTTTTATTTTTTGTTGACACGAAATCTTGCTCTGTTGCCCAGGCTGGAATGCAGGGCTGTGATCTTGGCTCACTGCAACTTCTGCCTCCTAGGTTCAAGTGAGTCTCGTGCCTCAGCCTCCCGAGTAGCTGGGATTACAGGCATGTGCTAACATGCTTGGCTAATTTTTGCATTTTTAGTAGAGACAGGGTTTCACCATGTTGCCCAGGCTGGTCTTAAACTCCTGACCTCAAGTGATCTTCCCGTCTCAGGCTCTCAAAGTGCTGGGATTATAGAAGTGAGCCACTGTGGCCAGCAGCCATCATTGTATAAGTGTGCTTTTTAGTTTTAAAAATCACTGAAATAATTTTGTTAAAGTAATATTTGATATGAGGCTTAAGAAAAATAGCATAAACATTTATAATGATAATTTTAAAAAACAGTGTCCTGTACCATCTTTCCCCAACCTCATTATTATACTCCCCAGAAGCAATTCTTTTATTATTTTAGCTATCCCTTTTGATAGTTACCCTCAATATCCTAAATACTTTCTTAATTTATTCATTTGAGGCATTATTTCCTTTCATGAAGGAAATTTTGTAATGACACATCTAGGGCTGGACATCCTTTCATTACCTATAATGAATACTCCCTCTATTCTTTCAGTCTGAAAGTTTATGTCCTTCATTTGGGGAAATTTTCTTCAATTATTTCTTCGATTATTTTTCTTTGTTTTTTTGAGATGGAGTCTCACTCTTGTCGCCCAGGCTGGAGTACAATGGTGGGATCTTGGCTCACTGCAGCCTCTGCCTCCTGGGTTCAAGCAATTCTCCTGCCTCAGCCTTTGAGTAGGTGGGATTACAGGCACCTGTCCCCACATCTGGCTAATTTTTGTAGGGGAATAGAGATGAGGTTTCACCATGTTGGCCAGGCTGGTCTCGAACTCCTGATCTCAGGTGATCTGCCTGCTTTGGCCTCCCAAAGTGCTGGGATTACAGGCATGAGCCACTGTACCCAGCAGTCATCATTTTATAAATTTTTTTTTAGTTTTAAAAATCACTGAAATCATTTTGTTAAAGTAATATTTGATATGAGGCTTAAGAAAAATAGCATAAATATTTATAATGATAATTTTAAGAGACAGTGTCACCATGTTGGCCAGGCTGGTCTCGAACTCCTGACCTCAGGTAATCTGCCCACCTTTGCCTCCCAAAGTGCTGGGATTACAGGCATGAGCCACCACACCTGGCCTCTTTGATTATTTTTTTAAATTTTTGTTCTTTTCTCTCTTTTTGAAATACCTATTAGAGAGATGTTGAACTTTCTGGATTGAGTGTCTTTGCCTCTTCTTCCCCTCTTACATTATCCATTCTTTGTCTTTTTAGGATATTTTCTTAACTTTGTATCCTTTTTATTTGAAAACATATAATGTGATCTTCTCAAAAACTTCTGAGGGTTATCAAATAGAGATTTAAAAAGTTCAAATGCTTCTATCTCTTTCCTCACTGACCATTTTTTCTCTCATTCTGCAGTTTCTTTAAAATTGGTCTTTTCCTTTATGTTGAAAAGTCTCAACAAGTATCTGGTGATATTAAAGAACAAGGCATTGAAAAGCTGAATGAGAATTCTGCATGTTGGTGATGGTGAAGCCTTCTGTGGACTGACGTGTATCATTTCTAATGGCTGCTTACCTGAGTTAGGGACCCAGGTGACCTCTGACCTCCTGCATGGAGGCAGACACTTAGTCGCCTGTGTCCTCCTCACACGGACAGTTGGGGAATAAAGTCTTCTACCCACACATTTGCTGTTCCCCTGTTTCCAGCCCCATGTTTGACTCTTCTCCATTAGTCTCCTGGGATCAGACTCCCAGTCTACTTCCGTAACCTCTTCAGGGAGGGGCAGGTGCCTTGTCTTCATTGTTTGGCTTTATTGTTTCCCATGTCCCCTGGAAGGCATCCCTTGTCCTGTAATTTCTTCTGCCCTGCTACATCAGTTTTACTTTCTTCATCAATTTTCTTCTGCCAGTAATATTTTAAATCTATGGCCTATTGATAATCTCTTACCTATTCTCATCATCATTGTGAGTTTGTACATTTAAAATATCTGCACTAACTTTTTAATTGATCCTGGCAGGAAGAAGAGGTATACAATAGGCATCTTTAGCCCAAAGTCTTATAATTTATTTTCATTGTATCCCTGGGTACAGTGGAGGTGAACTTTTTCAAAGTTGACCTGTCAGAAAATGTCTGTATTTGGCCCTCTCACTTGGTTACAAGTGACTCATAGTCACTTTCACTTAGAAGACTGAAGCCATTCTCCATCATCCTCCAGCCCCATTCTTGGTAATGAGAATCATGAAGTCAGATGATGCTTGTTTCTGGCTGAGATTTCTTTATTTTATCCTGGAACTTTTAGCAATCTCTTATCCAGGATGATTCTGGGTATAGGTATTAAAAAAAAAAACAAAACTCTACTCAGCATTTGGTGAGACTTTTCAACCTGAAAATGTGTGTCTTTCTTCAAATCTAAAAATTTTTTACTATATATTTATTTTCTTTCATCCAGTTTTTAATGTTTTCTCTGAAATTTAATAAATCTACATAAAAAATTTAAGTAAAAAAATTTTAAAAATCAGTAGAATCTAGATGAAAGAAATAACTAATAGGCAAATTTATTTGGAAAAAAAAATTCCAATGGCAATAACCTATAAAATGCTTAGAAACAAACCTAACAAGAAATGAGTAGAATTATGTGAAGAAAAATATGATTTTAGGAATAATATTTTAAAGACCACTTGACTATGTCCTTAAATGGGAAGACTCATTATTGTAAAGATATTTACACTAATTTAACAATAAATGTAATACATTCCTTAAGTTTTTTCTTCTTTTGCATATTATCAGTCATCTGAAATTGTATTTACATAAGGACAGCCAAGTATAACAAAGACTATCTTGATATAACAGCTAGAAACTCTTTATAAAGCTCTAGTGTAGTAAAAATATATAAAAAGTTCCATAGAATAGAATCATGAGTCAAAAAATAGACTGAAACATACCTGTGATATAGTTCAATTTATCTATTTTTACTTTGTTGTCTGTGCTTTTGCATCATATCCAAAAAGTCTTTTCAGGCTGCTCTGTCTATAGAGTGGCCATTCTTTATTCCTTTACTTAATAAACTTGCTTTCACTTAGAAAAAAAAAAAGTCATTGCAAACCCAACTTTAAAAAAAAGTCATTGCAAACCCAACTTCATAAACTTTTATCCTGTGTTTTCTTCTAAGAGTTTATAGTTTTAGCTCTTGTATATGCTTTTGACTTATTTTGAGTAAATTTTTGTATATGGTGTAAGGTAAGGGTCCAATTTCATTCTCTTGCATGTGAATATCTGGTTTTCCCAGCACTATTTGTTTAAAACACTCCCCTTTCCCCCCATTTAATAGTATTGGTACCCTGGTCAAAAATTATTTGATCATATATGTGAAGGTTGGCTTCTGAGCTCTTTATTCTATTCTTTTGGTCTAAATGTCTTCCTTTACACTAGTATGACACTGCTTTGATTGCTGTAGCATTGTAATAAGTTTTGAAACCAGGAGATTGAGATCTCACACAACATTTTTTTCAAGGATATTTTGGCTATTTAGGATCTTCTGAGATTCCATATAAACTTTAAAATGGATTTTTTCATTTCTGCAAAAAATGCGATTAGTATTGTGATGGTGATTACATTAAATTGGTAGATTACTCTGGGTAGTATTGACAGCTTAATATTAAGCCTACAGCCCATAAGCACATAATATCTTCCCATTTATTTGTGTCTTCTTTAATTTCTTTCAGTAATGTTTGGTCTCAAACTCCCGAACTCAAGCGATTCTCTTGCTGTGGCCTCCCAAAGTACTGGGATTACAGGTATAGACCACCATGCTTGGCCTCAGCAATGTTTAGTAGTTTTCAGTGTACAAGACTTTTCTTCTCCTTGGTTAAGTTTATTCCTAGTATTTCATTATTTCTAACGCTATTGTAAATTGAATTATTTTCTTAATTTCCTTTTCAAATTTTTTCACTGTTAATGTACAGAAATGTAACCAATTTTTGCAAGTAGAGTTTGTATACTCTACTGACGTTATTTATTCTTTCAAACAGTTTCTTTTTTGGTGGAATTTTTATGGTTTCCTACATGTGAGATCATGTCAGCTTTGAACGGAGATAATTTTACTTCTTTATTTTCAATTTTTATTACTTTTATGTCCTTTTCTTGTCTAATTGCTCTGGCTAGGACTTCCAGTATCATATTAAATAGAAGTGGCAGGTAGACATCCTTGTTTTACACCTAATCTTAAAGGAAAAGCCTTGTCTTTGGCTGTTGTATATGATGTTAGATGTGGGCTTTTCATAGCTGGCCCTCTATAGCTAATTTGTTTAGTGTTTTTGTCATAGAAGAGTGTTGAATTTCATCAAATGCTTTTCTGTATCTATTGAAATAATCATGTGATTTTTATCCTTTCTTTTTTTAAAGTGCTGTATTATACTGATTGCTTTTCATATATTGAACTTGTATTTCAAGAATAAATCCCACTTGGTCATGGTGTATAACACTTTCAATATGCTGTTGATTTTGGTTTGGTAGTATTTTGTTGAGGATTTCTGTGTCAATATTTATAAAGAATATTGGTCTGTAGTTTTCTTTTCTTGCAGTGCCTTTCTCTAGCTTTGGTATCAGGGTAATGCTGGTTTCATAGAATACAATTGGAAATGTTTCCTCCTTTTTCATTTTTTTGGAAGAGATTGAAGAGGATTGTTGTTAATTCTTTATATTTTCCATAGACTTCACCAATGAAGCCATCTGGTCCTGAGCTTTTCTTTGTTGGGAGGTTTTTGATTGCTGATTCAATCTCCTAGCTAATTATACATCTGCTCAGATTTTCTGTTTGTTTATGATTCAGTCTTGGTTGGTTGTGTGTTTCTAGGAATAGCCATTTCATTTAGGTTATCCCTGTGCAACAATTTTCAACCTTACAATATTAAAACACCAAATACATTTACAATGGAATAGCAATTTTTTTTTAAATAGAGGGGTAAAGTTAAGATGTTTGGTAACATCCATTCTGGCAAGAAACTAAGAAAATAGGAAATATTTTGCACAATTGCTAGGGTGTTAGTACAATAACAGAGTATTTTGTCTATGGAATATGAAATGCTCACAATCACGGATTCACCCATTAGAACGAGCACATACCCTACAAGATATACTAAGAGAAGTGTGCATTGTTAAATGTACAAGAAAGAAAGTTGCAGCATGGTATGTAAAAGGTAAAAATTAGAAAACACCTAACATGCCATTGTCAAGAAAAAAGCTTCAATTCTGCATTGTTTTAAAAATGCTTATGTTACAGTTCTTGTTTATTTTTAATTGAATTATAATAGGAAGTTTTGAACTTATAGCTCCTATTTCATATACAAAATCGCCTCCAGTTGATATCTGTATAATATTTTGTCCTATATGTATTAGATCATCAATTCATTTATTCATATTCCCTTCCACAAACACTTATTGAGCATCTTCTAGAGGCCAAGTACTGTGTATATTAGATATAGAATAGTGTGTGAAACGAAGCCCTAGATAGCATTGATCTCTTCACTTACTTAAGTCTTCCTTAACGTCTTGAAATACAATTTTATCATTTCTTTTGTTTATTTGCTTTTTGTTTTCCTTATTTCATTTTCTTTTCTTCACACTGGTTTGAAAGAGCTATATTCTTTGAGTGACTACCCTTGGAATTTTAGCCTTCGTATTTACCAAAGACTCATGTATTCAGTATCTCTTCTCATATAACGTAAGTGCTCTTGGAATGTTATAACTTCAACCATATTCCTCCCAGTTAATATTTGTGGTTGTTCTGTATCTTATCTCTATCTTGTTTTAATTATCTGTAACCTCACAGATTAAGTTATTATTGTTGTTTTATCATTCCAGTGTTTGTTTAGATTTATCTACATACACACCTCAAAATATATCCTATTTAAATTATTTGGGGTATATGTAGTTTGGAAACTCTGTTTCCATTTATCTTTTTTTTTTTTTTTTTTTCTGAGACAGAGTCACACTCTGTCTCCCAGGCTGAAGTGCAGAGGCACGATCTCAACTCACTGCAACCTCCACCTCCCTGGTTCAAGCAATTCCTCTGCCTCAGCCTCCCAAGTAGCTGGGATTACAGACACATGCCACCATACCTGACTAATTTTTCTGCATTTTTAGTAGAGACCAGGTTTCACCATGTTGGTCAGGCTGGTCTCGAACTCCTGACCTCGTAATCCACCCACCTTGGCCTCCCAAAGTGCTGGGATTACAGGCATGACCCACCGCAGCCGGCCTGTTTCTATTTATCTTAAAAATATTTTTATTTTAACTTTGTTGTTAAAAAGATATTTTTATGGAGAATACAATTCTTGATTAATTGTTTTCTGTTTGCTTTGGTTTGGTGTGGTAAGTAATTTGAGGATAATTTTTATTTGCTGAATTCTGCCATCCAGTGTTGCTTTGGAGAAGTCAGCTATCAATCTAATTTTTGTATTACCTTGAAGTTGATATTTTTACTCCGTGATCCCTTTATGATCTTTCTCTGTCTTTGGTGTTTAGCAGTTCCATTATAATGATTCTTCCTGAATCTATATATTGATATTTTCCCTCAGTTCTGAAGCATTTATGCAGCCAAGAATATTATTAGTTTGAATCTATATCTTTGCACTACATAGATGTTATATTCTTTCTATTCATTTTCACTCTTGTCTTTTTCCTATCCCTTTTGAACAAACTGTCAAAGTTTGTACTGTATTATTGATGAAAATTCCTGTTTAAATGTTCTGTTTTCACTTTTACACTGTTGGTGAGACTGTAAACTAGTGCAAAGATTGGGCAAGACAGGGTGGCGATTCCTCAAGGATCTAGAACTAGAAATACCATTTGACCCAGCCATCCCATTACTGGGTATATACCCAAAGGATTATAAATCATGCTGCTATAAAGACATATGCACATGTATGTTTATTGCGGCACTATTCACAATAGCAAAGACTTGGAACCAACCCAAATGTCCATCAATGATAGACTGGATTAAGAAAATGTGGCACATATACACCATGGAATACTATGCAGCCATAAGAAAGGATGACATAATATCTTTTGTAGGGACATGGATGAAGCTGGAAAGCATCATTCTCAGCAAACGATCGCAAGTACAGGAAACCAAACACCGCATGTTCTCACTCATAGGTGGGAACTGAACAATGAGAACACTTGGACAGAGGGTGGGGAACATCACACACTGGGGCCTGTCATGGGGTGGGGGGAGGGGGGAGGGATAGCATTAGGAGATATACCTAATGTAAATGACGAGTTAACGGGTGCAGCACACCAACATGGCACATGTATACATATGTAACAAACCTGCACATTGTGCACATGTACCCTAGAACTTAAAGTATAATAAAAAAAAGAAAATGTAACATAAA
Source organism: Homo sapiens (assembly GCF_000001405.40). Taxonomy (NCBI): domain Eukaryota; kingdom Metazoa; phylum Chordata; class Mammalia; order Primates; family Hominidae; genus Homo; species Homo sapiens. Next base: position 25,856,602 of record NC_000010.11, on the reverse strand, counting down.
ACACTTAAAAAATAAAAATGGCAATATACCTAAAAAAAAAATAAAATAAATGTTCTGTTTTAAAATTTAAATGTGGCCAGGTGCAGTGACTCATGCCTGTAATCCCAGCCCTTTAGGAGGTGGAGGCAGGGAGGTCTCTTGGGCCCAGGAGGTTGAGGCTGCAGTGAGCCGAGATTGCACCACTGCACTCCAGCCTGGATGACAGAGCAAGACCCTGCCTCATAACAACAACAACAACAATAATAGTATTAAAATCCAAATGTAAAATTCTATTCCTTAACCTATTTTTCTTTTTCATTTATTTTTATTTTAATATTTATTTATTTACTTATTTTTGAGATGGGAACCTGCTCTGTTGCCCAGGCTGGAGTGCAGTGGTGGGATCCTGGCTCACTACAACCTCCGCCTCCCAGGTTCAAGAGATTCTGGTGCCTCAGCCTTTCCAGTTGCTGGGATTACAGGCTTGTGCCACCACAGCTGGCTAATTTTTTTTGTATTTTTAGTAGAGATGGGGTTTTGTCATGTTGTCCATGGCTGGTCTCGAACTCCTGACCTCAGGTCATCCGCCCGCCTCGGCCTCCCAAAGTGCTGGGATTACAGGCGTGACCACCATGCCTGGCCTCGTTTATTTTTTAAACTTCAGACTGCTCTCTTTTTATCTCCACTTTGGTTTTAGCCACTCTGTCTTCCAGTTTCTTGTTCATGTTTCCTCTTCTGAAAACTTTTTGAGGAGAGCAAGATCTGACTTCTAAAGTTTTCTGTAGAACTATTACAGAGAAATGCTTTGTCTCTGAGTCTTCTTCATAATCATAATTCATGATGTATATTAGCTGAGGATTTGCCAAAGGGGGACAACAGAAAGGAGGAGAGTGTTCTAAACATCTCCTTTTGTATATATGAGTGTTGACTGGTTCCTGTTTTTAGCTGGAGATCTGATACACAAGCTTATGTGATTAGCAAACATTCCTTCAATACTTGCTAAACTTCTCCAAGGAGATTCTGCTTTGCCCATTATACTCTAACACGACTAGAGTAAGATACAGGCTATATTTTTTTTATTGGCTTAGGTATGGGCTCTGAAAGCCTTTCCCCATAAGTAACCCCACTGCCAGAGCCCCTGCTGTCTCTGGCTCATCAGCAATGTTTCTTTGTTGGTTACTATGCATTTCATAGCATACTATGCTTTCCACTAAGAAGTTAATAAAAGGAATTGAAGGGGTTATAGTGAAGGAGAAAGGTGCAGCTTTAAAAACACCTAGTTAAAAACAATCCCTGTATCGTTGAGGATTGCTATGCCAACTGTACATCCTTCTATCCCTATCTTGGAGCTAACAGGGAATTAATTTAAGACTTGCCTTCTTTAATGCTGTCTGTTATATTCTGCTTCTGAAGGCAGAATGCATGATGTTAAGGAACACATTTCTCTTTTATCCTCCATAATTTGCATTTAATGGGAATATCTCCAAGTGTGTTATTAGTTTTAGTTTTAAATGATATAATTGGGTTTTGTGATTATTTGGCTGTTGACATAGTGCTTTTCATGGGAAATTGGGAGAAGTCTCTGCTGGTATTCTGAACTGAAAGCCAGTAGTCCTATATTTGCATGTTTCCCTATATTAGCTTCCTTCTTGATTTTAAGGACATTTGTATCATTTATGTAACACAGACCACCTCTTTTTAATATGCTGATTTTCTTCATTTCATAAAATTGATCTATTCAGAAAAGAAAAAAGTTCCCATGATTTCTACTTCTATTTTCCCTTAGAGGAGTCTGGTTATTTTATGAAACTATATGAGCTAGACTCTAAGAAAGTCGTCTAATTGGCTGACTAGTAAGATGATGGATCAATTGCCTATATCTCTTTTGTGGGATTGGAGAATTAGATGTTCTGAATCTACAGCAGCTACATTACTCATACTATGACTTCCTTGGTAATCTCAGCCACCTTCCATCTGGTTTTCTGACTTCATAAATGTATTAAAATAGAATATTTCCCAATGTTTTATCATGAAAATGTAAAAAAAAAAACCTCTAGAAAAGTTGAAAGGCTATTACAACAAACATCCATCTATCCCTAACCTAGATTTACCAGTTATTAACATACCCTCTGTGGGTATGTGTGTCACTGTTGTTTTGTTTTTGCTGAACCATTTCAAAGAAGCATATGAGTTGTACACTTCATGACACTACTTTTAAATGTTTTAGAATGTACCTACCCAAACCAAGCTTATTCTCAAATAGAACAATAATAACATTATTATGATAAAACATTTAGTCACATTGATACAATAATACCTGATAATTTTATTTAATACACAGTCCCAAGTCAAATTTATACAATTGTCCCAATAATATACTTTATAATTATTTTTTTTCCAATCAGGATCTAATCAAGATCAGCTATTGCAGTTAGTTGTTATTTTTCTTTTCTTTTCTTTTCTTTCTTTATTTTTTGAGACAGGATCTCACTCTGTCACCCAGGCTGGAATGCAGTGGTGCTATCTCGGCTCACTGCAACCTCTTCCTCCCAGATTCAAACAATTCTCATGCCTCAGCCATGTGCCTGACTAGTTTTTTATTTTTAGTAGAGACAGAGTTTTGCCATGTTGGCTAGACTGGTCTCGAACTCCTGGGCTCAGATGATCTGCCCCATCTTGGTTTCCCAAAATTCTGGGACTACAGGTGTGAGCCACTGGGCCTGGCCAGTTGTTATTTTTCTTTACTTTCTTTTAATCTAGAATAGTCACTCTGCTGTTATATTTCAAATCCAGACAGCAGTGCAGCTGTAGACAGAATTATGTTTTAGGTTTATATAAAACTTAATTTTATCTGACTTAGAAGATTAATAAAACGATTTATTTTTGAATCAGTTATGTTCCCGTAAAAAATTAATTATCCATTTGTTAATCTGCAAAGGATCTCTGAATGGCTAACATCATGTCTTTATTCTATTAATATAAATTGAAGAAATTATACTCATTATAAACATTTACAGCTTACAAATTGTTGTTTAAATTATAAAGACCGTAATCATAATAAGGTTCATTTTACCCGTCACTAAGATGCATAAATATAATGTCTTTCATCACTAACCATTCCATCCTTCTGTCCATATTTGACACTCACTTTACTATTTCTTCTCATCATTTTCCCTCTAATTATATCTCTTTTCTCCTCATCATTTTTAGTATCTGTTACTTTCCCTCCCTGTTTTCTCTGTTCCTTATCCCCCTCTCCTGCAATACCATTTCCCATAGCAGAAACGAGTAATTTATTCTTGTTAAAAGCGTTTTGTGTGCCAGGCATGGTGGCTCACACCTGTAATCTCAGCACTTTGTGAGGCCGAGGTGGGCAGATCATGAGGTTGGGAGATCGAGACCATCCTGGCCAACATAGTGAAACCCCGTCTCTACTAAAATAACAAAAAATTAGCCAGGCACAGTGGCAGGTGCCTATAGTCCCAGCTACTCAGGAGGCTGAGGCAGGGGACTCTCTTGAACCTGGGAGCTGGAGGGTGCAGTGAGCCGAGATTGTGCCACTGCACTCCAGCCTGGGCGACAGAGAAAGACTCCGTCTCTCAAAAAAAAAAAAAACCGTTTTGTGGTATGGAATAAACATCCAACCGTTTAGTTAAATCAGCTAACATTAATTATTGTTTCTATCAAATGTTGGGTGACTTTTAAGGTTAATCTCAGCATAAAAAGGAAGCAAATGAAATAAAAGCAACCTCAGAAAGCGAATACCGCGAAGTGAGCATGGAGAAGTCCGTGATCTTGCCCCAGTTTACACAGCTGCTCAGTGATGAATCTGGGAAGTGAATGCAAGCAGTTGCGGCCAGAGTCCCTGACCCCAATCACTCTACTGCCTCCGCAAGGCAGACACCTGACAGCATTTGAGTTTGTGATTCCTACCTTGTCTTTCAGGATGTGCTCTGTGGTCCTTGATCTCCCTTTTGGTAGAAAGCTTTCCAATAGCTTTCCTTGGGACCTTATCTCTTCACCCCTCTCTGATGGCATGTTGGCTCCTTGCATCCCCTGGCTGCCTCCTGGGATCCACCTCTCTTTGTTCTCTGCAGGGAAGGAGGTAGAGTAATTGTGGTTATGGGCTGTGGCCACTTAGTTCCATTCAGTCCAGCTTCTTCTATCTGGGGATAGGGGAAGGAGGCTTCTCATCACACAGGTTGACGATGGTGAGAGAAATAGTCCTTTACTGTGCAGGGGTGTGCATCTACTCTACCGAGGTGAACCTGTTTGTCCGCTCTGGATTCATTTCCAAAAGGCCTCTCTCAGTTGTCTTTGACTTAGTACCTGTCAGACCCAAAAGCGGATGAATGTGGGATAGAAAACACCAGCAGAAGTTACTCAATTAGCTGAGCTCCTTTACTGCTCTAGGCCTGAGACAACACCCGCCTAAAATAAGGATACTAATGCCAACCTTGCATTTTCTAGTAAGTACAGAAGTCCCCCTTAACCTGCAGTGTTGCTTTCTGGGGTTTTTGTTACCTGTAGTGAACCGAGGTCCAAAAATATTTCAGAAAATAAACAATTCATAAGTTTAAGTTGCGTGCCATTCTGAGTAGTGTGATGAAATCTCCTGCTGTCCTGCTCCATCCTGCCTGAACTGTGAAGCATCCCTTTGTCCAGAGAATCCTGTATGTGCTACTCACTCTTTAGTCACTTAGGAGCCGTCTTGGTTATCAGATTGAAAAAACAGCGTATTCAGGGTTAGATACTGTGAAAGGAAATTATCCTGGGCCCTCAAAATCACTGAGCTAAAGCGAAAATTCAAGCTGGGAGCTGCTCAGGGCAAATCTGCTTCCCATTTTATTCAAAGTCGTCCCTCTGCTCACTCAGATAGATGCATATTCTGATTGCCTCCTTTGAAAAGGCTTATCCAAAACTCAAAAGAATGCAACCACTTGTCTCTCACCTGTCTGTGACCTGAAAGCCCTCTCCCTGCTTCGCGTTGTCCTCGCCTTTCTGGAAGGAACCAATGTACTTCTTACACATATTGATTGATGTCTCATGTCTCCCTAAAATGTATAAAACCAAGCTGTGCCCGACCACCTTGGGCACATGTCATCAGGACCTCCTTAGGCTGTGACACAGGCACATGGACTTAACCTTGGCAAAAAAACCTCCTAAAATGATTGAGGCTTGTCTCATCATTTTTCTCAATTAACAGTACTATCTATAGGGGGAACTACCGTATTTGATAAAACTAATCACATGAAACACTGAGGAGATAAACTAGTAAAAAAAAAAAGCAAACTCTTCAACAGTGGTAGCTATTCTTATTTATCTTGACAAAGAGTCTTATGTGAATTGAAGCAATTTTCTCGGAGACTCTGACAGTATTTCTATGTAGTTATTAGTATTCACAGGATCCTGATAAATGTTTATTTCACTGAGACCTCATATACATAGAAGATTGTCATAAATAATCCCGGTATATGGATGTGATGATTTTGATGTGTTTTGCTGTGTTGCTTTATGTTGCCTTTCAGGGGGAGTGGTAACTTACTGCAGGATACATTATTATAATTTTGCTTAAATGTAATTGCATAGTTTCTCAGAAAATTACATGAGACAAATAGCAGTAACATGTGACTTGATTTAGAGGAGTGACTATATTTTTCATCAATTTTCAAGAAATAGACATGGCAGGTTTTGATTACCCACATGTTGAGGTTTCCATTTTGGTGTTGAAAGTCATTACAAATATGACTCACCTGGACAATTTAGAAAACAAAAGCCAGGATTTACCTTAAACCAGGATTTTTCAACCTCCCCACTACTGACATTTGGGGTTGTATAATTCTTTGTTGTGGGGACAAGGACAGTCCTGCACATTGTAGGTTGCTTAACAGCATCTTGATATCTACCCCCTAGATGCTTATAGCATCCTCTCAATGGTGACAACCAAAAATGTTTCTAGACATCGCCAGATGTCTCCTGGGAGTGATGATGGTGCAAAATCACTCTAGTTGAAAAATCATAGCCTTCAGCTCACACTATATTTAATTTTCCTGAGCAAGTCTTCAAAGAATTGAGAAAACAATTTCCAGTAGGAAAAAAGATAAAAAGAAGAAAGAGGCTTCAGAAAATCCATTCCTATGGATTTTGCATTCAGGCCATTTTTTTGGTCAAGATATTTTCCTAAAAGAGAAAAGAATCCACCCACTATTCTCACAAATGCACTTTCAGCTCCTTCTTGCTTGACAGATCATTCGCAGGCAAAGCAAAGAGCTCCTGATGGCTGTAATTTATTTCGGCGTCCAATACACCAATTTCCTCTTCACATCTTGAGCTATTGTTCTTCCTCCAGTATCATGTGATAACATTTACCTCCCACCACTTCACAGAGACTATTTCTCCCAGACACTATAAAGTGAAGGAATCAGTATTATGCAATTAAATGGTCCTTTTTAAGACTTTACAAAGCTCCATGGATTCATTTAAATAGTGACTCATCACATTATCCTTCTCAGAAGCAAAACCCACTTTCCATTCCCCCATTTATGGCCTCCCTACATCGTGTGCTTGAGGTTTAAAATCTTAAGAGTCTGCTAAGACACAAACTCAACATATCTTTAAACTAGAACAGTGTGAAATACAAGGGGTCATGAAGATACCAGAACTTGCAACTGATCTTTCCTGGTGAAAAATTTGCTTTGTTTTACAAAGCAATTTCCTGCATTTTCTCTTTTTATTATCCCAATAACCCTTAGAACCATGCATCAAACTGCCACTCCTATTTGAATAAAGCCCCTGTCAATCTGGTAAGTGACTAAAACACATAATTTTTCAGGGTGTGAGGAAACAATAGATTTGATCTCACAAGATAGTGGCTGGGATGAATGGATCAAATTCCCCCCTCTGCCTCTTCCCATCCCAGCCTTTGATGTCTACTCTCCATGAGAGACTGAGAGAGAGATGGTGAGGTTTGGGGTTTATTTGTTTGGAAGAGGTAAAATGTCAATAAAGGCTGTCTTCAGATACAATAATCTGATGATCATTTCTGGCTGTGCTGGGGAACATAGAGAAACTCTAGCAGGGGGGATTTTGGAAGCAGTTTCTTTTCCTCCCTCACTACCCCATGCCTCCAGTCCTTCACCTAGATGGGAGAAGAATGACGTCAGTCTGTCTGACAACCTAATTGTCTCTGAAAGGGCCAAGATGTGGTATCTAAACTCCACACACTGTCATCTTACCAGGCCTGGCTCAAATGGCCCCTTTTCGGACAATTGTCCGTGTTCCATCACTTAATCAATCACAGACCAGTCTTTTCCAAGAGAGCCCCTCTAAAGTCTCTTATCCCTTTATACCAGTGTTGCATTTACTTAGGTATGAGCCTTTGATCTCTTTTTAGATGGTGCAGTCCTTCAGGGCAGGGCTATGTGGTTGTGTGTCTGCAGGCATCCAGCTCTGAGCTACAGCATGTGTCTTCCCTGAATGAAAAGAGGAGAGGAAACCTGTGCCTGATGTCCACTCAGCGTGACCTTCACTTCAGAGCATCCCTAGAATTTAAGTCCTCACACCCCCAATCCGAAACAAAAACACTCTGCACAGTAGTGATAAATATCCTCTCTTCTTTGCTTCTCTTTATATACAGTGTTTGCGTCAGCAAATGTTATTCAAGCAATAGTTATAATTACACTCATCAGTGCAGGAAATCTGAATCCACCAATAGATTTCTCTTTTCCTCTCCCTGTCTTTCTTCCCCCTTTCCCTTGTGACATGGTTTGGCTGTGTCCCCACCCAAATCTCACCTCAAAGTACAATAATCCCCATATGTCAACGGTGGGAACAGGTGGAGATAACTGAATCATGGGGTGGGCCTTTCCTGTGCTATTCTCATGATAGTGACTACATCTCATGAGATCTGATGGTTTTATAAATGGGAGTTCCCCTACACAAGCTCTCTTGCCTGCTGCCATGTAAGACATGCCTTTGCTTTTCCTTTGATTTCTGTCATAATTGTGAGGCCTCCCCAGCCATGTGGAACTGTGAGTCCATTATACCTCTTTCCTTTAGAAATTACCCAGTCTAGGGTATGTATTTATTAGCAGCCTGAGAACAGACTAACACACCTTCCTTCCTTCCTTCCATCCTCCCTCCTTCCCACTCTCCCTTTCTTCCTCCCTCCCTTTTTTCCTCCCTTTTCCCTCCCTTCCTCCCTCCCCTCCTTCCTTCCTTCCTTCCTTCCTTCCTTCCTTCCTTCCTTCCTTCCTTCCTTCCTTCCTTCCCTTCCCTTCCCTTCCTTCCTTCCCTCCTTCCTTCCTCCCATCACTACGTATTTTAGCATCTACTCTGTGGCAGTTTCTCTTCCAGGCACTGGGATTCATTGGTGAATAAGATCAAGTCCTTATCCTCATTGAACTTACATCTTAGTGTAAATCTCACTCTTATCCTGAAGGTCTCAAAAGTGATTTGGCCACCTTCCTCCACCCAGGTGCGGTTGTTGGAGGCCTGACAAGCGGAGAGCAGAGCCTGCCATCACAGCAGCATGGGGTGCCTTGGGTCCCTTCCATGAAGGACCCATGAGCATCATACTCCTGGTTTCTGCCCAGGCCAGTACCCCTCATTCCTCATCACTTCAGGGAACTGGAGACCAGGAAACAGCCTCTCACAGGACGATGAAGCCTCCTGGAATAGCTTACTTTGTTTACAAAATGATTTCTTGCATTTCTTCTTTTTCATTATTCCAATAACCATAAGAAAGATGCATCAAATTGCCATCCTTATTTGGAAAAAGTTCCCTTCAATTTGATAAATGGTCAAAACACAGCATTTTTCAGGCCATAAGGAAATCACAAGGTATTAGTTTGGTGCAAAAATAACTGCAGTTTTTGCTATTACTTTAAAAAAGAAATGCACTGGGCGCGGTGGCTCATGCCTGTAATCCCAGCACTTTGGGAGGCTGAGGCAGGTGGATTACCTGAGGTCAGGTTCGAGACCAGACTGGCCAACATGGTGAAACCCTGTCTCTACTAAAAATACAAACATTAGCTGGGCATGGTGGCACACACCTGTAATCCCAGCTACTCAGGAGGCTGAGACAGGAGAATTGCTTGAACCCAGGAAGCAGAGGTTGCAATGAGCCAAGATCCCACCACTGCACTCCAGCCTGGTGACAGAGTGAGACTGGGTATCAAAAAAAAAAAAAAAGACAAAAACCACAATTATTTTCGCACTGATGTAGTACTTGCTGATTTGCTATCTGACATAAATCTTTACCGATACTATGAAAAGCTGTTGCTTTAAGAAAGGATGCCCAGGAAAACTCTTTATACCCAACATAGAAATAAGGGCTTGTAGAACCCTGACATGGAGGGATTTTTTTTTTTTAAAAGGCATTTCCTAATAAGAATTTCTAGTCTATCAATAGAAATGTCAATTGCTGCATATGTAATGTCTTACTTACATTGGGACTTTCCACTAGGAGCAAAATTATTTCTATTTTGTGAGCAGAAAAAACAACAAACATTTAAAAACTGGCTTCTTGGAAACCCAGGGAAGAGAAACGTGACAAGATAAAGGTAGAATGATTGCATGTCATTAGAAGGAAAGAGAATGAGTTTCTGCAAAGGCACATTTGATTTTCTGTTTGAGAAACAAATTCTCCCAAATAAGGGGTATTTTTTGAATTATTGAGAAATATATTTCAATTGGACATATTGTTCCTTCTCGGTGACAGCATGTCCTTTATAATGATGTTATATGATAAAACTCTGGTGAAGGAATTGGCTTTTGTGCCCCATTTAAACTAATTTTATCAAGCATGTGTAAGGAACCAATATTATAAATCAAGGCACTAAACATACTCATGTCACTCATCATATTTTCTTAACAGTTTTCCAGGCTATTGTCCTTATTTCCTTTCTGGGAAACCTATTTAGTTTCCGTTTGTGTATGTTCGTTTTTGTTGTATGTCCCAGAAGAGCATTTCTACGGTCACTACATCAAGAGAAACTTACTCCAGTGGACCAAGTGAAGTCACTGTTCACATCTGTTGTTTCAAAGCAGTGTTTAATGCTACAGTCGCCACCAGCCACTTTCTCTGTTGGCTCCACACTTCCACAAATGCTTTGTGAATATATGTTACCACGTATCCAAAATATAGAAAAGGCCAGGATTTGGGGTACAGTTTCCAACATGAAGCATTATCATTCTGTGTCAAATTTGCCAGTTTGCCGGGGCGCACTAGGACACTGCTAATGGTTGGTCAGAACTGTGCTTCTCAAACCACCTGAAGAATAACTAACAACAATATTTGATTCCATCATTGGCTAATATTTTACAAATTAGAATAAATCATGAATTACTAGAAAAAACATTTTTAAAAAATCAAAGGCATACACAATAAAATACCATTTAAAAAAATTATTAGAGTCTAGTTGGGCATGGTGATGTGTGCTTGTAATCTCAGCTACTTGGGAGGTTGAGGAAGGAGGATCTCTTGAGCCCAGAAGATTAAGGCTGCAGTGAGCCATGATTGTGCCAGTGCACTCCAGTCTGAGAGACCAAGCAAGAATATAAATATGATTCAATAGACATAAAGTTGTATAGGAGAAAGAAAAAGTAATACCTTTTCCTCAACCACTGCAAGTTTCATGGCCAAAATCCCTGTAACAAAAGACAGACTAAAGGAGAAAAGCATAACCAAATTCATTTACCACAAGTTTTACGTAATATGAGAGCCCTCAAGATGAAGACCCAAGGACCCAGGGAAAATTATTTTTATAGTTAAATTTGATGAACAGGGATCAGTCATGCAGAAGTATGATTAGATGAAAAGGAGATATGACCTAATGGCAGTAAACTGGTGGTAACTTAGCAAAGTCTGTTTTTTCAGATTTTTCTGGGCTTTTCTATGTAACATTCCTTTCATCGGGGTATAGGGCAGGACACATGTCACATGAGTGTCTTCAAGAGAGAAGGTCAGAGAGAACTTTCTGCTTCCATGGTTTTTTCAATTTCTTTCAGCTTAAAATACTCAGCATGCAAAGATGCCACATTTTAGGGCAGTGTTTCCTGCAGGCCATCAATTGCTTTAAAGTTTCTAAATGCTTATTTTCAGTTTCTAATCCTACCTTGTAGGGAGCACACATGGAGTAACACTGCCTTAGCAAGTACCTGGCTAGAGGTAAGCAGGTCAAACTGAAACAAATTAACAAGAGGTAGATGTAGCAAACCTTGAGGGTTCAGCTCTATTCAGCCAACAGAAATACTACTAATGGAACAGCCTTCACGGCCTCTGTACTAGGGTAATGTAAACCAAAATGTATCTGAGACAGGTCTCAATCAATTTTGAAGTTTATTTTGCCAAGGTTAAGGACATCTCTGGAAGAAAATAATAGGGAATCACAGAAACAGTCTGTGATCTGTGTCTTTCTCCAAAGAAGAGTTTGAGGGCATCAATATTGAAAGGGGAAAAGTGGGCTGGAGGAGAAAGAGGATGGGTATAGTCATTCACATGTAACAGGAGAAAAGAAGCAGGGAGGGGAAGAATCAATTACACTTTCATCTGTGGCTCAGAATGGACACTTTACATAATATAAGGGGAGCATAGAGTAGCTACCTGTGGAGATATTTAACCTATTTTTTTTTTGAAACAGGGTCTTGCTCTGTTGCCCGGGCTATACTGCAGTGGCATGATCATGACTCACTGCAGCCTCAACCTCCTGGACTCAACCTCCTGGTCTTCCTGAATAGCTGGAACCACAGGCATGTGCCACCACGCCCAGCTAATTTTTGTATTTTTTGTAGAGACAAGGTTTTGCCATGTTGCCCAGGCTGGTCTTGAACTCCTGAGCTCAAGTGATCCTGCCTTCTCAGCCTCCCAAAGTGCTGGGATTACAGGTGTAAGCCACTGCACCCAGCCTTTAAACTTTCATCTGCAGCTGCCTGATTAGCAACAAAAGGAAAGGCAGTGTTTTGCATGATTCAGCTTTTGACTTAATTTTTTCGTTTTGGCACAGTGAATTGGGGTCCCAAGTTTTATTTTCCTTTCACTGTAAGTAATGGCCAAGAAAGTTTACCATGGGATGGTATAAGGACCTGTAATTTTATCATTTAGCTGTTGCTCTGTGTATTTATATCCTTATTTTTCTACGTACTTATATTTTCTTTTAGCACAATGTGGTAGACGTGAAATCAGACCACTAGTTTGGTCCACTGGAGAGACTCCCCAGATTTCTGCTTAGGAGCTAGAACTGCAAAATTGTATCACTCTTAGAATATCACCCAAACTTCCCAACCACTAGCATCTCTGACACAAAGCATTTCAAGGAAATAACACGTCTATGCTTATATTTTAGTTGTATGCTACAAATAGATGATTTCCTGGCCAAAACAACTTTTCTATCATGTGCTGCATTCAATCCTGAAATATCTGCAAGAAATCCAAGATGAGCAATCATTGCCAAAGTGGGATTTGGTTGGCGAAATCAAAAGCCAGGGTGGGGACAAGGTGGGAGTGAGAGGTATTTGTTAGAAACAGAGCACAACGCATATTTGGGGGTAAACAAGAAGGCAGCTGTAAAGATAAAGAAGATTTATAGAAGGCCAGGAGATGAATAGCCAATAATTTTTCCTTGGATAAGCCTTTATTACTCAAGGCAGTGTGCATTATAAAATATGAGAAACTGAAAAAGAAGAGGAGTCAAAGACAAACTCATGCAGGTCATTAATCATTGATAAAGAAGGGAGACAAGACCCATGCGAAGGCTCGGAGTAATGGCCTTGAGGATTCTTTATCACAAATGCCTGGGTAGATTGTAAATATGAGATTGAGTAAGAACACGAAAATCACTGAAGTCTGTCTGAGAAAATCTGAGCAATGTACCTGCAATCCTGTTTTCAGTGAACACCGATCGGGCCGTGGGAAGAGAAATCCAAAAGCAGTCTCATTTGTTCCTACGTCAAGTTGAGAATGAGTTGGATTGATTTAGGAGATGAGAATGCTGAGGGTTCGACAAGCCATAATTATGGATGCTCAGGTTTTTACAGTGACTTTTTCATTTCATGGAAATATAACCTTAAAGTTGCATAACCTGCAGTTTAAAAATACTGGAACAGCTTGGTGAGTGGGAAGGGGATCTGACCTTGACTTTAGGAGACCTGGTTGCAGACTCAAGTCCTTCAGTAACTGCCCACCTGACATCGAGCAGGTCTCCAAACCTCTTCTTGTCTCAATTTCATTATCTGAGATACGGAAATAAGTATTTCTGCAGAGGCCGGCACTGTGGCTCATGCCTGTAATTCAAACACTTTGGGAGGCCTAGGTGGGAGAATCACTTGAGCTCATGAGTTTAAGACCAGCCTGGGCAACATGGCAAAACCCCATTCCTACAAAAAATATGAAAAATTAGCCAGGTGTGGTGGTGCACGCCTGTGGTCCCAGCTACTTGGGAGGCTGAGGCATGAGAATCACCTGAGCCCAGGAGGCGGAGGTTGCAGTGAGCTGAGATCGTGCCACTGCATTCCAACCTGGGTGACAAAGCAAGACTCTGTCTCAAAAAAAATAAAGCAAAATGAAATCTGCAGGGTTTGATTGATTGACCAGGTTGCTGAGTGAAAAAAAGGAAAATGACTGAGATGTATAAAATCTGGGAAATACAATTATACACTTAAAAATAGCTTCGCTTAGCTTGGTCTTGATTCTAGAGAGGAAGGAGCTTCATTCACAGTATGTAAATAAATTTAAGATATGTATTTATTTCTATATTTAACTTATTCCAGATATTTTTAGGTAACTATTTAGGCTGTATTAACTTCATGTCAATGACTTATGAGATAGACTTTTTTTTCTCACAGTGTAATGTTGAAGAACTAAAAACTAAAATATGGTGTATTTCTGTTTTTATTGTTGTTTCTGCTGTTGCTATTTTATTATTTTACTCTCTTCTTCAACATCAAATGTTTCTTAATGGAAGCGAACTAGAATCAAACAACTAATCTGGACATTCGTCATATCTCTATTGCTTATTGTGTGGTGTTTCCAAATCAATTCCTTGTGGCTTAGGGCAGAAAACTGACCCAACCCCAAGGTGATTTTACCGCTTTGCGGGTATCCAGAGCTTTTGATGGGTCAGGAGGGGAAAGGGGGTTGTCATCTGACTGTGGGGTCCAGAACTCCCGTTTGTTCTTTGCAACTGTAGGCTGATACTCAGGGGAGCTGTAAGAATAAGCTCAACCCCTCGGAGTCCATGCCCCTGAGCCCAGTCTGCTGGCCAGCAGCCAGTCTCATTTTCCCAAAACCCGCCAGTATGTAAATGTCCACAGCTAGTCAGCTACATAGGAGCAGCTGTTAACCTCGAAATGCTTTAATTGTTGGGGCCCTATTTCCATTAAACATGTGTTCCTTTGTCTTCATCTCTCCAATAATGGCATACAAATTAGCACAATTTATGTATTACTTGGGAAATCCTATAATGGTGCCCAGTGAATTTTAGGAATAAGGATCTCCCAGGATACTATTGTACACATTCTAGAAGGAGGGAACAGCCTCCAGGGAGCATTTTTCATTTCCCAAAGACATATTTTATCTGATTTAAATGAATTCATATTGCTTTTCAATATTTTTTATTATACTTTAAGTTCTAGGGTACATGTGCACAACGTGCAGGTTTGCTACATAGGTGTACATGTACCATGTTGGTTTGCTGCACCCATTAACTCGTCATTTACATGGTACAATGGTACAAAGAGGAGCTGGTACCATTCCTTGCTTTTCAATATTTAAAGGGAGGCAAGGGGAATAAAATTTGAGCGTCTGAATTCCAAGCAGTTTTTGGTGAAAAGGCCAAATTCTAAACTTTGCTACTTAATCTTTACATTATTACTATAGGAGGTCAGCAGACCTAAAGATGTCAATTGAGCTTAATCTCTCAACTTGGAAGATATAATGCTGAAAGAATGCAGCTTTTAAATATTCCTGTCTTGAAGCATACAGCTTGATGGACTAGACGAGAGGTATGAAGGGTCTTTAAAGTGCCCAAAAGAAATAGAAACAAAATACATTTCACAAATGAGTTTTTAAAACATTCATTGCGAGGCGCCTATGATCATAAAAGGCACAGATAGCTACTTATCCATTTAAAACTTGTAAAAGCGGATGTAATCTTGCTAACAGTTTTTTGTGTGTTTGTTTCTTATTTGTATAATTTTTTATTGTACTTTAAGTTCTGGGATACATGTGCAGAATGTGCAGGTTTGTTACATAGGTATACACATGCCATGGTGGTTTGCTGCACCCATCACCCATCACTACATTAGGCATTTCTCCTAATGCTATCCCTCCCCTAGCCCGCCACCCCCTGACAGGGCCTGGTGTGTGGTTGTGTGATGTTCCCCTCCCTGTGTCCATGTGTTCTCATTGTTCAATTCCCACTTATGAGTGAGAACATGCGGTGTTTGGTTTTCTGTTCCTGTGTTAGTTAGCTGAGAATGATAGTTTCCAGCTTCATCCATGTCCCTGCAAAGGACATGAACTCATCCTTTTTTATGGCTGCATAGTATTCCATGGTATATATGTGCCACATTTTCTTTATCCAGTCTATCACTGATGGGCATTTAAGTTGGTTTCAAGTCTTTGCTATTGTGAACAGTGCCGCAATAAACATATGTGTGCGTGATCTTTATAGTAGAATGATTTATAATCCTTTGGGTATATACCCAGCAATGGGATTGCTGGGTCAAATGGTATTTCTGGTTCTAGATCCTTGAGGAATCACCACACTGTCTTCCACAATGGTTGAACTAATTTACACTCCAACCAAGAGTGTAAAAGCGTTCCTATTTCTCCACACCCTCTCCAGCATGTTGTTTCCTGACTTTTTAACGATTGCCATTCTAACTGGTGTGAGATGGTATCTCATTGTGGTTTTGATTTGCATTTCTCTAATGACCAGTGATGATGAGCTTTTTTTCATCTGTTTGTTGGCCGCATAAATGTCTTCTTTGGAGAAGCTTCTGTTCCTATCCATCGCCCACTTTTTGATGGGGTTGTTTTTTCTTGTAAATTTGTTTAAGTTCTTTGTAGATTCTAGACATTAGCCCTTTGTCAGTGGATAGATTGCAAAAATTTTCTCCCACTGCTCACAGTTTTTTAAAAATTCAGTATTTCCCTCGTTTCTTCACTTTTACGGTTATGTAAAAGACTTGATCAATGTTTAGCTAGAATGTATGTAAATGACAGAGAATTTCAGAAATTTGACTATCAGAAGACATTTACATATATCACACTAAATATTAAACAAAGTATAGCAGTTCAATATAAAGTACAGAAGAGATAAAGGATGTTATAATTAAACATGAGCCGATTAATAGGAATTTCACTTCACGTAACTTAGAGAAAAAGGTGGCTGTTTCAATAAATGAAACTAAAATTTCTCCTGGATCCCAGAATTCAAATTGTATTTATAAATATATCATGTATTCATCTACTATTTGGTTTAAATGAACTTGTTGGGCTAGCCTGGGAAATGTTATCATTTTTACTATTTTGTACAGAGAAAATATTTTCTAATTTAAGTTGGAGCTATCTGTGCAGTGGTTTCTCTATAGTTGTACATAAAATAAAATAAAATAAAATGTTTTTACTATGAGCTAATATCCAAAAATAGATGAGCTGAGTAACATGAAGCATAAATAGATTACAAAAAAAAAGCATTTCACGGGGTTGCTATGAGCATCCAATGAGGTCATATATAAAGTGTTCTCAATAGTGATTGTCCATAGTGAGCTTTCAGTGGAGATTTACTATGACTACTGCTATTACTAATGCTCTCTTTATTAGTTTTCATAGACTTTTTCCAGAGAAAAATACATTCCAAACTCGTACATCTTCATCCGGAAAAATATTATTGAGACTCTCTGAAGACAGAATTTCCAGTAATTGGGCCATGGATTTAGTTGCATACTGTTAACAAAAATTGTAAAATTTGGAAAATGTCAGAGACACTTCTTAAATTTTTTAGAAGTATTCCTCCTGTGCAGTAGCTTTTGAAGAAGCATTTAAAATTTAGGGGAGCAAAATTCTAGCCCCACTTGGAGTGAGAGAGTGGGAAGAAGGGACAATGATGAAGAAATGCTGGTTACTACCCAAATGATTGTTGAATGGACTGTGAATGTTTTACCAGCCTATTTTAGAGGGAAGTGCTTTTCTTTTTCTTTCTTTCCCTTCGTTCTTCCTTCCTTTCTTCCCTTCTCTTTTTCTTTCTCTCTCTTTTTTTTTTTGAGACGGAGTTTCACCTGTCGTCAGGCTAGAGTGCAGTGGTGCAATCTCAGCTCACTGCAACCTCCGCCTGCTGGGTTCAATTGACTCTCCTGCCTCAGCCTCCCGAGTAGCTGAGACTAAAGGCGCGTGCCACCACGCCCAGCTAATTTTTGTATTTTTAGTAGAGACGGGGTTTCACCATGTTGCCCAGGATGGTCTTGATCTCCTCACCTCATGATCTGCCCGCCTCAACCTCCCAAAGTGCTGGGATTACAGGCGTGAGCCACCGCGCCAGGCCGTGGAAGTGCTTTTCTAACCAAAGATATACCCAGTATCTTGTTACCACTATTGGGGTGATTCACTTTCTGCAGCTTCCTTCATATTCTTCTTTCCTCATCTGTTGGATTTAAGAGACTTAAAGCTGCTGGAAACGTAATTAGCTCAAAAGTGATAACATATGTGTGGCCAACATTTGAGCATATTTGCTGAGCTAAGTGCATAAGCAGGGCTGGTTATTTAATTTGAGTAGCTTATCAGCTTCATTTAGAGTGACTAGAGAGTCGCTACTGCCCATTATTTAAAAAGTATATTTCTTTTACCACTTTTACATTTTCGGATGAGAGACAGGCCCATGAGGAAGACTACAGACAATTAAAAAAATTCTAATGTACACAGCATTTCATGGCTCTTTGACAGAATTAATGAGAAAAGTATAATCATGGATAAATTTATAATAAAATAAATTTACTTGTTTAGATCATAATTTGCACAGATTAAGCCAAAGGTAGTATAAAATAGGATCTTCCTCTTTGACTTTAGAACATATACACATACCAAAATCCTCAAAAAGTTAATTTAGTATTCCTGGTGATGATAGAAATATACCACCTAATTTTTAAAAATGCCTCTTCTTATACATACTATTGGAGAAACATAAGGCTACATCCATCTCCATAGAGCCATTTGCCTGAAGTCTGCAGCTTGAGGGGCCCCACATTTTGGCCATTCTTCTGTTGCCTGGTTGTGGCAAGGGGAACAAGAGAAACCTAACATGAACTTTGATCAGAATTGATATTGATCTTTCCCTGGTACTAGATCAATTTAAGAATGAGGGATAAATCCACTTGTGAAGGTTTTGGAATACCTCTGACCCCTTCTCTACACTTCAAAATTCAGTACATATACAAAAGGATGGATCGGGTGAGTTTAAAGGCAAAATTACGAATTGTGAATAGCGGTTAAGTACCCTAGCTTTTTCCTCTCCCCAGTTTATGCCACTGTATTTTGTACTATCAATGATTATTTATAAGTAGACAAAGTTCTGAATTAGTTAGAAACTGTTGTCCCAATGACTGTGATACTATTGGTACCACATTTGTTTAAATATCTATTTTAAATGGAAGGATTTTATGATATTAAGTGACTTACCACGTGATTTCTCATTTATCAGTAGAAGTTTACAAGTTCTGGGATGAGCTCTGCAAATAAATTTAATCAGATATATTCCTTGTTCTTTAGCAATTTGTAGTTGGTAACTGACATAGCCATCTACAACAAATCAAAGTGTAGTTTTTTATGAAAGGGGGGATAAAGTTTGCCTTTATGATCATATGATTTCATTCATAGGTGTATCATGAATCATGCAGGATTTGGGCATTTGAACCACACTTCCTTCTTCATTGATCTGGAATCCTAGCATCAACCATTCCCATACTTGCTATGTTCTATACTCAGTTACACTTTTAATCCCAACTTTGTTGATCAAATATTCAGTGTAATGTGCATCACTATAATCTGAGACTATATAAATTTATGTTCAAAATTCAGTCTAAAATGACTCTCTCCTTGTAGGTATAGTAGCTAATGCCTCCTCCGACTCCTGTACCTTCTGCTCTGGGCTGAGGGATGAGGGAAACAGCCTCTTTCTTTTTCACATTAGCTGGGTGACCGAAGAGCTAAGAATCTGTCACTCTTTTTATCAATCTTTACTATAATAAGCCATCATTAAAAAGTCCCTTTTCCCCTCCAACAGTATCAGATATTTCACTTGGGGGACAGTGGAGTTAAACTATTTAAAGTTCAAAGCACACACATCATACTTTCCACCCAAAGTTAAACTTGATTCTATTTAGTTCTTGTTCTGTTAATGATGTTAAATCCCCAGCCACCCATTACATATTCATTATATTATGCTTACATTCTTATTATTCCAAGGAGTCCCCAAGTCTTCCAGACTCTTCCTATAGGAATATTTCTTGCATTGATTGTGTTCTCTTCATTCCTTCTGGTTTAACCCTAGTGCGAGTCTTCATTGCATAGACAATTTACTTTTCTGGATGGTATGATCTTTGGAGGCTTAGGTTATACTTTGTACTTGTTTATATCTCCCAGCATGTAGGATGGTATCCGCTATGGAAGACCTTCAAAATGTTTCTTAGAGGGTTTTTATTTATTCTGCATCGTCACAAATGACTGCGCAAAAATGGCTTGACTCTCAAATCCAAATGTCCTTCTATGTCTTTTAAAGCATCTATTAAAATTCCTGAGTTAATATTTTCAGTTTGCTAAAAAATAGATGCATACATATTACAAATCCCTGATTTATGAGTTGTTTGGTTATACACTTACTGGTGACTGACACTGAAATGGGCATAGTACAGTACTAGAACAACTACAGTTTAGAAAAATGGGAGCTGTTAGTTTAAACTAATGAAAGAGAGTGGCATATTTTGGTCTTGGTTAATAATGTCCCCAGATTTATCCCTCAGCTGTTCATATGCCAAAAGCTAGCACCAGTCAAGCATAATAGTGCCAGATGTATGTACTTTTCCATCTGAAATGAGGGCGTAAACAATTTTCGCAAGCCCTTTGGCTAGTTGACATGGTATGTCTGTGGGGAAGTCAGAGTCCCAGATTCGTGTGTGAACAGGTTCCCTTTGTGCATTCATGGGTAAGTCACAGCCGACGAGCTACCATGAAGGGCTACTCTTTCTTTGAGGGCATTCCCTTTGGTTTCATATGATCTTTAAAAATTTCAAGCTGCTTATTGACAGAATCAGTTTTAATCTATTACTCGTTTACACTGCTCACATAAGTCAAATAATAGTTCTCACTGATATTGACACACTGGATGTTTGTTAGCCAGAAGAGCTTTGATGGAAAAAGAAAAACAGCTAAAATAGAAAATTAAAGGAAATAAAACAAAGTGATCTTTAATCATCTCTCTTCTATGAATCTTGGCATAAGTTAAGAACACTAGTGACATTATTTTCATATATGTATAGAGTTTTCATTTATAAAAGACATTATTACACACACACACACACACAGACACACACAGACACACACACACACACACACAGACACACACACACACATGCTCCAGAAGCCTTCAGGCCTAGCTTTTAATGAGATAACCAGATTCTATTGAAAGGAGTCCAAAGTTAAATAGCCACATAATGATTTCTGCTGCATGGCGAATGGTATTATATAAAAGGGAGGGTATGTTCACAAACATGGTATTATAATAATATCTAAACGTTTTCTAAGGAACTGGCTGATTTTTAACTACTTGGTATATGGTCAATCAGAAGAATAAAACCCCTCTCCTATTTTGTTTCTTGTCTCTCTTCAAATAAGAGTGATTGAGTTTACCAAATTTCATGAAAGATTTCCTGATGAAATTAAAATTGTATTCATGCTAGTCACTGTATTTGTGAAAATCAGTATATATTTCCATTTAGTCATTGCTTTCGTGCTGTATGTAAATATGTTGAACTATTATTTTTATCATTCCTATACCTCTGTTAAATGAAAAAGTGAATGAATAAATAAGTAGACAAATCAACATTAGCCCAGAAATAAATCTCAGAATATAAAAAAAGTGTGTGATAAAGGTGATACCATAAATCAATGAATAACAAAAGGAATAGTCAATAAATGCTGTTGAGTAAGCTGTTTGGTCATACTTTAGATTAGATACTCTTTGCTCATCTTACACTAAAAAGATCCAGATGTATTTAAGAGATAAATATAGAATAAATAACATAAGGCTCAAACTCTTTTAGATATTGGTGTGTGGAGAAACTTTCTAAGTATAAAACAATTAGAGAAGTCACAAAGGACAAACATATTAAAACTAATAACATGAGGTATAAAATCATGTATATAGACATTCATAAAAAGTAAAAGGCAAATGTCAAATGAGAATAAAATAATTGCAATAACTATGACCAGCCAAAGAATAATATTCTTACTAGAAAGTGCCTTAGGGTAAGGACAACACAATCAGATGGCAAAAAATGAACAGTTATGACCAGACAATTCACAAAGGGGAAAGATGTGCAAATAATAAATAATGTTACAAGGACTATTCAGCTGTGCCAATAATACAGGAAATGAATATTGAAGTGCCAGTTAGAAATCATTTTTAAAAAGTCAAACAGTAAAAATGTTAACATGATGCTATTCATTGCTAGTGAAGATGGGGTGAGGGAGCACTCATAAACTGTTGGTGGGAGTGGAAATTATCATAACATCCCCATAAATGAATAAAGCAAGATCATACACATGACTATAACAAGAGTCTCCACAATATTCTTTGTTTTGATACTTTAATACCATTTCTTATAATTTTTATTAAGGAATGAATTAGGGATGTGACCAGATATTTATTAACAAGGATGCTCACTAAAAGCATTTGTTTACAGTAAGTAAGAACCTGAGAATTAAAAATTTTTAAAAATGGATAATCATTAAATTATGGCACAACAAAACTTTGGAATATTATACAGCCATTAAAAATATCTTAGAAAAAGATTAATAACTTGAGTAAATGCTTACACTATTAAGGAGAAAAGTGGATAGCAATCATGTATATAGTAATTGTTCATTGTGTTTGTGTATGTGTGGATAAAATTTTAAAGAAAATACACCTTGTGTTAGCAGTAGTGATTTCTGAGTGATGTGATAGTAGATAATTATTTTTAGAGGTGGTGTCTTGCTCAGGCTGGTCTTGAACTCCTGAGATCAAGTCCAGGAACATCCTGAGCACTTGGAACTACAGTGTGCATCACTATGCCCAGCTCGTAGATAATTTTTAATGTTTATTTTTTACTTTTTAACCATTTTCCAAATATTCTATCATAGGTGCTTAAATAGACAAAAACAATAAAAGTAGCGAAAATGTCACATGTCCTCACTTGTATGTGGGAGCTAAGAAAGTTGATCTCATGGAGATAGAGAACAGAAGGATAGTCGCCTGATGCTGGAAATGTGATGAGCATGAAGAGAGGTTGGTTAGGTTGATTAATGGGTACAAACATACAGTTAGATAGAAGGAGTAAGTTCTAGTGTTTGATTGCACAGTAGGATGACTATAGCTAACAATGGCATATTGTGAATTTCAAAAAACCTAGAAAAGAAGATTTGAAATATCCCTGACAAAAAGGAATAATAAATGTTCTGGGTGATGGATATCATAATACCACCTAAATACCTTGATTTGATCATTACACTTTCTATGCATATATCCAAATATCACATGTGCCCCATAAATATGCACAAAAATTAGGTGTCAATAAAAATGTTTAAAAATTAATGAAAATAGTCTCAAAAACATTGCAAAAACTGTCCCAAGCAGAAGAGCAAACCATTTTCACCATCCTGTGTTTCGTTGGGAAAGGTCACTTTCAGGTGTACGCACTTGACAGGAACATGTACCAACTGGCCTTTATCACAGCAGAAAATCCTTCAATTTATATTTCACAAATAAACCTGAACTTATGGTGCATTCTATGTGATTTCATCAAAAGTGCTAAAAAGACTGCAGATCTCAAAATGAATAGGTTGTGTGTGCTGTTAAGAGACTCTACACGCTCTCAAGGGAAATCTTGATTGGAAGAGTTGTGTGATCTTAGCACTCAAAGGGCATGAGCCACTGCGATGAGAAGCACATGTTCTGCAAAGCCTGAGGAGTTCTCAGCTGGCGTGATGGGCCGAGGGGGAGGAAATCATATTTTCTTGAATAAGTCAGGGATACACACCATAATGCCAAATCTAAAAATAACAGCATGGTAGCCTTATGAATGTAATAGTAACAACTAAAGCCAAGGGCAGCCTCTATTCCTAACAGATTAACGTACTTTCCTGAAGTAACAATATCTGTCTTTTGTTAGGCCTGGAATAGATACCAGGACTGCAGGGTCTTTTATACGTGTTATCTCGCTTAGTCTCTCGTAAGACTCTACAATACAAGGTCATCTGAGGATGAAGTAATGGAGACATGGCTCTAGATCTTTAAAAAAAAATCCAATTCAGATAAAGTGTCATGGAGCCCCATTTTTTTGTAATAAAATTCATAGGAAGGAAACTAACATGTATACACATATGCCATATGCCAAGGTTAGGACTGAGTATTCTACCATGTAGATATCAATCAACTCTTTTAAATTTAATGTATGTAATTCATTTCAGAAGAGCTTTTGTTTGCCAATAGGAACTTTATAATTTATCATTAAAAAAATAACCATTTTAATGCTAATATAGGTAAGTTGGGAGACAGTTTGTGAACCATTCCCAAACTAGCATGGCTGACTAATCAGGTATATAATCACTCTCCATAACGTGTAGTCACAGGAAACATTACAAACCAAAAGTAGCAAAATTAAAAGGCAGAATTGTAAAATCCAACGAAATTTAATTCTCAGATAGTCAATGATGAAAATTACCACTCAATCAGCACAGGCATATAACTCATGTTGAACTTTTCTCCCTCATCTCCAACATGATATTCTGGTAGAGTAATATCTAGAAAATTTGAATATCAAAATTATTGTGTGCATTCATTGTACATAAAATGCATCAAGAAGTAAATAGCATAATTGGGGTCTGATAATACCAGAAATAAACAAGACAATATTATCAATAAAACATTTTGGGCATTTGTGAAAAATCTCAGTTTCTCAATTATTGATAATTTATATTAAATTAAAAGAAATTAAGGAAAAAGTAACATTTACCTTAAACCCACATTCTTTTGAAACTTATTCTCTTATATGTGTATTATATAACCATGATTGTTCTGATATATCTGATGGTGTATGCTAAGGCTCTGAATTTATCTTCTGTGGGCAGAAAACACAGCCCTTTAATAGAGAGCTGTACATAGCTGATCCTGTTTTAAAATATAAACTAAAATCATATAGAATGAATTAAACACCTGCTTTTACATCAAAACAGCTGAAAATGATGTGACTTGTCTAAGGGCCCTTGAACTCTGGCCTTCACTGCTGCTCACAAAATTTCAGAAGGAAATTGACTGAATTTTATGTTTCTATGTTACCTGAGATTTGCTAAATCACTCATAGGCTCATAATTTCTATATACAAAGGCAAAGTTCCTCAAGACACAAGACTTGCCTTTCCTCTTGGTGTCAATTCTTGCATATCGAGCTCTCTGAGTGATCTCTTGAGCTTCTTTTGTGGTCCTGCTTGTAAGGATTCTCTATGTCTTTGCTTTCCTTAATAGCATTGTTTCCCGTATTTCATTTGTGCTGGACAATATATGGAGTAGTGGCTTTTTCTCTTAATAAACCCAGTAAACAAACTTTGCAGAAACCTGAAGCAGTGATTAACTTTAGGTAAAGCAATATTAGTCCCTCATTATGATTTCTCAATGCCCAGACAACTTCCAGAGGTAATAAGAAAATTCCGAGACTCTTTGTGGGCAGGAACCATTTTTCCCTCACATCCTTCTTGGATGAATATCCTAATAAAAAAAAAAAATTCTAGGGAGATCACTTGGGTAAACAGTCTTTCTAATAGTTCTCAAAAGACTAGCCTGGATTGGAAAGCAATTTCAATTTTCTCTCAACTTTCCTTTTCTGCTCACATTTAGAATAAGAATATGTCTTTCTTTTGTAGCCAAAAAATAACTGTCAGCAGTGACATTGTGCAAGAGACTCCAGGCTTGTTCTTTTTCCTTGTGTTCTCTGAAGAGAAAATGATTACACTGTGACTTGCCATTGATTAACTAAAATCATCCAACTATAGAGAGAGGAGAAAGTGCAGCCCAGAAACCATAGCAACCTCTGCAAAAATGATTCCTGTAATGACACTCTTTCAGAATGTCCAGGCTTCCAGGTGGGCGACTGCTTGTCATTTTTGCCTGTAGTACTGGATCATCCACAGTGGAGCTGACTGGGGTTTACTTGTAAGGGCCATTCTAATTATGCAAGGAGAGCTCATGCTTGCTGCTGAGAAGGAGCAACAGAAACATTAGCTTTTGCTACACTGTACCATCAAGGAGGGATTACCTATACTCACCTCACTGCATTGGGAATCTATCTGCTCCCACTAATCTTTTCATTTCACCTGATAAACAAGAAGTTAGTCTCATTTCAGAGTCTAAAGAGGCATTTCCATTTTGTGGGACACAGCTCTCACATCAGGGACTCCTATTATTATTCAAGAGCGAGAATATTGAAATTTATCAGTGGTATTTTGACAATTTATATTATGAGGACATCTATTTGATTGCCAGCTGTAAGTTCAATAGATGAGAGAGTGGAACTCTGGACATGAAAGAGCAGTGTTATCACCTGGAAATCAGTGGGAAGGTTGGAAGTAATAACCTTTTTTCACTAGATTTTTATTTTCACCATTTGGAATAATTTTCCTTACTACATTTTCAAACATTTTTAATACCCACATTTATACACAAAAAGCCAAAAGAACACAGCAGTCTGCTATCATTGTTGCTCTGGTATTTAGCCATTTGCTTATATAGAGTGTAGCCAGCTGTCAAAGGCAAATATTGGAAATAACTTATAGATTGTTTTAAATGCAGGCTTTTGCTTATTTAGAGGAATCAGAAGATACTTTATCCAAACTAGTACTGTGCTGATTCGTCTTGTATTTTAACACTGTTAAGAAGACACATTCATTCATTCTTTTTAAAAAAAAAATCAAGCAAATAGGGAATATTGAAAGTCTAGTATGTACTATGTAAGTGAGCACTGGGCCAATCAAGATAAAAATTATCTTTCTTCAAGGGAGCTACAGTCTAGAAATCCTCAAGTTCCTACTTGTTAAGAAATCAACAGATATTTAAAGATTTTAGAGTTTTTCCAGAGGGTAATTTGCTACCAATGGAAATGGCTCCAAGACACTTTCCTTGTTTTGACTGAAGCTCTTCTTTCACACAGGCTGCTTAAGGCTTATGTGATAATCTTTTATGAAAACTACTCTCCAATTACGGGATAACGGTAATCTCCCATTTGGTAAAGAGAAAGTATTCCATCTAAGGCTTCTATGGGCTGCAGTTAGAGTGGAAAGAAGTAGGCTTCAGGCTATAACTGGAGAGCAGAGGCCAGCAAGTAACTGATAAACTGTAGGACATAGCACAGCCTTTGTAAACCACGAATCTTATATCATTTCCATACAATTCTTATTTATCTATGACTGTTTCCATGTATCTAAGTCTTTTTTCCTCAGCAAGACTTTCCTTTCTGGGTAGACAGACTGTATCTCACGCTCCTTTTCTATGCCCATAGTATATGAGATGCTTAATAAATATTTATTGACTTGACTGAATTTCTCTCTCATAATTTAAATTATAAGTGCAGAAAGCAAACTGAAACATTGAATGCCACCTATGACTATAGAAAATCTCTTAAAAGGTTTGAAGCTGAGTTTTAGTCATCATTTAAATCCACTGTGGGGTTATGTAAGGTTATTTCTTGAAGCTAAATATAACGATGAATACATAAGTTTGCATTTCACATTCTCCTTTTAAAGAACTCATTTAGCTTATCTCTCAAAAACAGGTTTGATTAATTTAAAATATGCCCTTGGATATTGACTTTTCTGAATGAAAACCTACAAGAGGCTTGGTGCATATATAAGCTGTGTACTGATCATGGAAAATACAAACAAATGGCGGATTCAGCAGAATCCATGCCACGTTTCAAGGACTTGACCTCTAACGTTGAATAGTTAATGTCTCATTCTTTATCATCAGTAATTATTGCCTTTAACGCAATTAGTAAAACTTGCAGGATGTTCATCAGGGAGTGAATTTATAGGTTGTTATGTGAAGGTTTTTTTTTTTTCTAAAAAACAAATATATCATGAGGCAAGAATTCATGTGGCAAGTCCTATGGCTAATTGCTTCCTTTGGGGCAGGCAGTTATTTGAGGGGGCTGAGGGAGAAAGTGCTTAGTTAATATTCACTTGGCTGGCCGATTATCATAGTTGAAATTATACTCGTGATAATTTTGCTTATATAAGTAAAGTGAGTATTACTGGCAAAATGTCATGAAAAATGTAAAAGTTACTGTCAATTTATACTGAAATGCAGTTAGTTAGAGAGAGAGGATTTTGAAGGAGATGATGAGTCAGAAAATATTCAAGAAGGCTTCGGTGTGCATCCATTTTCATGATGGTAAAAATACATTGTTTTTCCCTCTCCCGTCAGTAATGTGCAAATAGCTGGTTAAGTAGTTGGTATTTCCTAAACCTTGTGGTTGCTGCAGAAGTTTGAATAGCAAGTACAAAATATTTAGTTCAATTTACATAGCACGTATGTTTGTTTACTTGACTAGATATGTCATTCACTAGACATCGTGCTCTAGAGAGCAGGTGCTGGGGTCTGATTCAAAGTTTAAGGGAGGGCTGGGCACGGTGGCTCATGCCTGTAATCCCAGCACTTCGGGAGACTGAGGTGGGAGGATTGCTTGAAACCAGCCTGGGAAGCATAATAATGAGATCTCATCTCTACAAACACTAGGATCACTTGAGCTCAGGAGTTTTACTAACACTGAGTGAGACCTTGTTTCCACTAAAATTCAAACAACATAGTGAGACTTTGTTTCTACTAAAAAAAAAAAAAAAATAGCCAGGTGCTGTGGCACATCCCTGTAGTCCCAGCTACTTGGGGGGCTAAGGTGGGAGGATTGCTTGAGCCCAGGAAGTCGAGGCTTTAGTGAGCTCTGATCGTGTCTCTGCACTCTAGCCTGGGTGACAGAGCAAGACCCTATCTCAGAGTCTAAGGGAGGCTTCCAATCATTCTAGTTTAAAGTGCTGGTGAGAGTCAGCTTGATCTGGTTTTTAATCTGGGCTCGGCCATCTGCTTGCCTTGTATTGTTGTATATTTAACCTCTATAAAGTCAAGAACATGTACTTTGTAAATGGCAGTCATTGTATGTATGGTTTTATTAACATGATGAAATGTTTAATTTTTAGTATGTTCTGGAGGATAGAGAGAGAGGGTGGTGGAGAGGAGAAGGGGAAAGAGTTTAATTTGTTGGTTTGCTTCAGCTAAGAGGTATTAGTTTAGTACAATGGTTGTTAAATATCTATCTGCAGTTCCATTATATTAAAGACTCTTGGAGATTTTTTAAAATGTAGATTTCTAACTCCATTCCTTAAGTCTCTCTGGAAAATTATTTTCTCCACTGACTCATTAGCTTACAAATGGAGAAAATGACTGCTCAGTGTCAACTCCACGTGGTGTTTCAGTAACAGTTTTCAATACACTTTGACCACTTGGGATAAAACAAAACAAAATGCTCACCTACATCACTCAAGGTCAAAACACATCTAAGCATAATTGTGGAGTATTAAGAAAGTGACAAGAACTCTACAAATCAAGCCCATAGCATGAGGCTAAAGCTGTACTCAGGGACAAGTGCTTAGTATCAAATATTATACACTATTAAAGGGTAATTTTAAAAAATGAAGCATTTAAATGAAAAAGCCAACAAAAACAACAACGAAAACTATTTAAGGGAGGAAGCTTTAAAAAGTGAGATAAAAGCAGAGATTATTCAATAGGAAAACAGACAATAAAGCCCTATAAATAAGGATTTTTGTTTTGTTTTCAGTTGTGGGACATGTCAGTTTCATTAAAGAAAGAACATAAATATAGCAAATGTGAAACCAAAATAATGTCATATCAGATAGAATGCCAATTATGACACTAACACATTTTGTAGAATATTATGCTTTATAATAAATTGAAAATATCAGTGTTAAAATTTTCCTTAAAAAAATAAACTGCCATCATTAACTCAAAAAATAGGTAACCTTAATAGACCAACAGTAAGGGAGGAAATTAAAAGTATTGTAAAAATAATTATCTCGCAAAAGGCGCCGGCTCCACATAATTCTACCAGTGCGCTCTTAAGATATTTTCAAGAACAGTAACTATTTACTATACAAAATGATCCAGAACATGAAAAGAAAGAGAAGGGAATTAAAAGAAAAACTCATTTATGATTCTGCCAGAATAGTGAATTACAAATCTGATACAGCCAGTGCAAACATATTTAAAGTTCAATCAGGCCAGGCATGGTGGCTCACACCTGTAATCCCAGGATTTTGGGAGTTCAAGACCAGCCTGGCCAACAGGGTAAAACCTCGTCTCTACAAAAATATAAAAATTAGCTGGGAGTGATGATGGGTGCCTGTAATCCCAGCTACTTGGGAAGCTGAGGCCAGAGAATCACTTGAACCCGGGAGGTGGAGGTTGCAGTGAGCCAAGATTGCACCATTGCACTCCAGCCCGGGTGACAGAGCAAGACTTCATCTCAAAAAAATAAATAAATAAAAATAAAGTTCAATCATACATGTTATTACAAATGCAAAAATTTCCAAGTTAAACATTAATTAATGTTGTTTATTCTTAGATATTCTCAGAATGCCAGGATCATTTAATGTAAAAGAAAATATTATATTTCATAAATCAGTAAAAGGAGAAAATTATCAGAAAGTGAAAAGGCATTTGAAAATGTAACCTCTGTATTTGATTTAAAAATTGTATTATTAAGCTAAGTTTTAAGAAATATTTTTATCAAATAGCTTACTAAATGCATCTCAGTGCAAACCTAATACCCTTAACAGTAAAAAAACGCAGGCACATAATTGTTCAAGTCTGGAAAAAAAGCTGTTGGGGAGTTATTACTATTATTTAACATTGCTCTATAAATTCTAGCATTCACTAGTCAAGAATAAGAGGAGTATATAAGCTGGAATTCAGACAGTGGAATTTTCATTATTTATAGGTGATATGATTATCTTAAAAGCTCAATAAAGTAAATTCAAGGAGAAAAACATGCTAAAACTAAAAAAAGACAAAGCCATGTATTTAAAAAACTAACTATATAACATTAATGGACAATAGATATATATGGATAATGACCAGTTAGAACATGTATATACCAGGGAGGAAGTACCAATTTACTCTAATGATAAAACAAATCATCAATTTAACAATAAAGATAAAAGAGTCATTATAAGAACACTTAAAACCTACTGAGATAATTAAAGGAACACTTGGACCATCAACATATCATTTTCCTGGAATATAGTAAAGATATCAAATATCATTTAAATAATTTTACATTAGAAAAATAATAAAACCTGATAGGTATTTACTATTATTTAAGCTTTTTACTTCGTTACATGTAATTGGAATTGGTTTGTAGTTTCCTTTTCACATTATCAGAAGAAAAGGGCAAATTACCCAAACAATTTACAATAAGTAAGTTGCTTGTGAGGGAGATATTGTACAAGTTATTAAAACGTTTTAAAAATATGATTTAAACAGTATGTTGCTGGTTCAAGAATAGACTTTCTAATACAGGTGACAGAATAGAAAGGAAGGAGTCTGATATTTAGAATGTGGTAAAGCTCATTATTTCAAATAAGTCAGAAAATAAACCATTATTTAATAAAGTGTGCTGAAACAAATGATCATTTCATTTGAGAAAAAAAGTTAGACCCCTGACTTATACCTTATATTTCTGGAACTAGTTAATAATGGGGATAATTATGGCACCCATTAATTACGGTACCTACCTGATCGGATTGTTTGTGGATTAAATTAGTTAATGTGTATGAAGGCCCTGGGCACATGGCGACTTAGCTTTTGTTTGTTAATAAAATAAAATAATAAACAATAGGCAAAATAAAAGCTAAGTTGCCATGTGCCAGGCCCTTCATACACATTAACTAATTTCATCCACACAACCATTTGATCAGGTAGGTACTATAATTATCCTCATTTTACAGATAAGAAAATAGAGGCACAGAAAGGTTTAGTAATTTGCCCAAGATCATCCAGCTATTAAATGGCAGAGACAGCATTTACACAGGGCTCAATCTCTATGCTAAACCCTATTTGTCCTAGGATATGATTCTGTTAGCTTACGACTGATCAGTTCTATTTAGTGTTATTTCATTTAAACTTTTCCCTTTGATATTTATTCAAAAGTGAGAGGGCTTTCAGGTTTTCTTTTTGCATACCTTCATCTGATTTTTATATTACTGTTATTCTGGCTTTACCACAAAGAATTTGAGAGCTTTCCAACATCCTTATATTCTAGAACACGTTAAATGGCAGTCAAAGAATCTTTTTGTTGCATGTATCAAAGGACCCAGTCTTCTTTCTTCATCTTAATATCCTAAGAGACATTTCTATGAACACAGTTCATTTTCCAAAGGAAATGGGCACATGCGTGGGAGTGGCTATACAGAATTCTCTTTGCAGTGGCCATACTGTTGGGACACCTGATTGAACATAGCATCTGACAACGGTGCAGAGAACATAAAATCAGAGAAGTCTCTTCACTGCGCTGTTTCCTGACGCCGGGATGCAGCCGATGATCAACCCTGCAGCTCCCTGTGCTCTCTCCTGCCTAAGTCACATCTCTGAAGTCAAGGGGAGGGGTCCTGTCAGGGTGCAGGCACGACCAGACCTTTATTTAGCAGGAGGCACAGCTGACTCAACCCCTGCTCGTGACACCCAGGGTGATAATCAAAAGTCTATTGTGAGATGCTGAGGCTGAGCCATCACTCCAGCAACTCTGACTTACCTGCAAAATGATGCCTGTTTCGGGAAGTTTCTTCCTGAGAAATGATCCATAGGGTGGGCAAAAAAGTTCTCAAATGGGCCAGTGTGCTGCCCCAAAAAACGATTTTCACAGACACAGTGATCTCTCCCTGATACAGATTAGATATTTGTCCCTGCCCAAATCTCATGCTGAATTGTAGTTCCCAATGCTGGAGGTATTTGGGTCCTGGGGGCAGATTCCTCATGACTTGGTTCTGTCTTCACAGTAGGGGGAGTTCTTGCACGATCTGGTCATTTAAAAGTGGGTGACCCCGGCTCTCCATTCTCTCTCTCTTGCTCTTGCTTTCACCATGTGACATGCAAGCTCCGGGTTTGCCTTCCACCATGAGTAAAAGCTTCCTGAGCCCTAACCAGAAGCTGAGCAGATGCCAGTGCCATGCCTGTACAGCCTGCAGAACTGTGAGCCAATTAAACCTCTTTTCTTTATAAATGACCCAGTCTTAGGTATTTCTTTATAGCAGTGCGAGAATGGACTAATACACTCCCTCTACAATAGCAAAAGGTGTGGATTGGTGCAACCAGTCATATAATTTTAACTACTGAGAATGTATGACTTCATTTAAGACATCCATTTTATAGGTGAGAAAACTGAGCCCCAGAAAGTTGATATAATGTACTTAAGGTTTCTCAGCTATTAATGACTGAGTCAAGTTTTATCCTTTTCCCATCCGTTAATGTCTCCTAGTTCACCAGTGAGAATAACTTTATATCCTAGCCAGGCACAGTGGATCACACCTGTAATCCCAACACTTTGGGAGGCTGAGGCAGGAGGATAGCTTTAGGCCAGGAGTCCGAGAACAGCCTGGGTAACATAACAAAACCCCGTCTCTAAAAAAAAAACTTTTTTTTAGTATACTCCAAACAAAGACCTCTGCACCTGGCTGCACAGGTTGTGCACTGCACAACTTCAAGTGGTGGTGTTCATATAGACTGAGTAAGAAACAGAAAATGGGGTAGTGCTACCTCCTACCCATAACCTTTGGCTTATATCACTCCAGTGACACCCTGGGTTAAGGCGGGGAGACATCTATTCCCTGATTTTTGCTCCTAAGTAAATTCTTATGAGAATACAGTTGCCTCCCTCAACTCAAGAATGAATCAATAAAGATTGAATTGAAAGATGAATGCTGACTGACGAAAAATCGCCTTTCTCCTTTGAACATAAGACATTCTTATTAGCCCTATTGCGGAGCCTTAATTCACTCCTGCTTAGGATGAGTTATTTTGCAAAATTTGAGATTCTTTGTTCAAAGAAATTCTTGGCTGGCTCATGTTACCAACCCTAGGGACATGGCCAGGTTTGTGAGTCTCTCAGCAGTGAGCACAGCTCATACTCAAGCTGAGAGCCCCCAGTGCATGATGATAAAGTTGGTTCTTGGCTGGGCATGGTGGCTCACGCCTATAATCCTAGCACTTTGGGAGGCCGAGGTGGGCAGATCACCTGGGGTCAGGAGTTTGAGACCAGCCTGGCCAACATGGAGAAACCCCGTCTCTACTGAAAATACAAAAATTAGCCAGGCATGGTGGTGCATGTCTGTAGTCCCAGCTTCTCAGGAGGCTGAGGCACGAGAATCGCTCAAACTCAGGAGGTGGAGGTTTCAGTGAGCCGAGGTGTTGCCACTGCACTCCAGCCTGGGCAACAGAGCAAGACACCATCTCAAAAAAATAAATGAATAAAAAATATGTTGGTTCTCTAAAAAGATAGTACATGTTAAAGGTTCTCATGATTCATTGAAAAGAAAACAGAACAGAGGGTTCAGGGATCTGGGCTCCCACCTGACTCTAATACACAAGGCCTGAGTGGCTGGGAAAGTTATTTTGTTTTTCCAAGCCTCATTTTCTCAACTCACAATCTATAGCACTGGATTAGCCCTTCATTATTTCCTTCCTACAATAAGTGCTATATGATGTGAGTATCTTTTTATTGTTGTATCTCATTCTCCAGAGACAAAGCAGCTCTAGAAACCTTCCTCACCTGAAGTTGTGAGACCATCCAGGGACCTAATTTTCCTATCACTTTGAGTTAATAACTTTTGCAATAGTTTTGTCTGTTGTCCCAGAATCCATCATTGTGGGGTGTCAGTGCCTGGGGTTAAGGTGATTTGATTAGATACTGGGGTAGTAAATGGAAATAGAAAGCACCAATACAGATTTGAAGTATGATGGGACAGCTTGGGCAACAGAGCGAGACTCCGCCTCTACAAAAAATGTTTAAAAAATTAGCCTGGCCTGGTGGCGTTCACCTGTAGTCCCAGCTACTCAGGAGGCTGAGGTGGGAGGATCACCGGAGCCTAGGAACTTGAGGCTGCAGTGATCACCAGCCTGGGTGACAGAGCAAGACCCCTGTCTCTAAAAAATAGAAATAAAATTTAAAATGAAACGTGATGGGAAACTTTGTGTAGTAACAGACTCACTTGGAGCTTTGTTTATGGCTCCAGGGGTAGCACAAAGAAGCCACAGCCTACTGTAGTGACCCGAGAGGCATCATACAGGCCTTCTTCACCCACAACATCCTCACTATGCCCTGCAGTGGTTCAAGGAGAGATTGGGCTTTGAAAGCTGATTTTAGTCACTAAGAATACCCCGAAGAAGGCCAGGTGTGGTGGCTCACGCCTGTAATCCCAGCACTTTGGGAGGCCGAGGTAGGTGGATTGCTTGAGGTCAGGAGTTCGAGAGCAGCCTGACCAACATGGTGAAACCCCGTCTCTACTAAAAATACAAAAATTAGCTGGGTGTGGTGGCGGGCCCCTGTAATCCCAGCTACTCGGGAGGCTGAGGTAGGAGAATCGTT
The DNA here is from genome assembly GCF_000001405.40 of Homo sapiens. Taxonomy (NCBI): domain Eukaryota; kingdom Metazoa; phylum Chordata; class Mammalia; order Primates; family Hominidae; genus Homo; species Homo sapiens. Next base: position 25,821,674 of record NC_000010.11, on the reverse strand, counting down.
TGAACCCAGGAGGCTGAGGTTGCAGTGAGCCGAGATTGTGCCACTGCACTCCAGCCTGGGCAACAGAGACTCTGTCTAATACACACACACACACACACACACACACACACACACACACACACACATATACACACACATACATATACCCTGAAGAGGAACAGAGGTAGACATGTAAAACCTTTACAACCTCATTTTTAAGTAGGGTCCAGTCTCAACGCAATAAAGGTCACAGCCTGGCACAAAATGAGCAGCCCTAATGATGAGGCTGGGGGCTCCGAAAGGGGAAGTAAGATAACACCCAAACTCAGCCTCACCCCCATTGCATAACTGCCCCAGAACTGGAAAGACTTCCAGATGCCCCTTGATGCACAGGAAGAGCTGGTCCCAATTACTTCCTCCCATCTGCACGTATTAATTTACAAATTTCAGGTTCACTTGGCAATCTGAATAGTCGGTTCTCGCCTCCCCTCATGCTGAGGCAACAGCTGAAGGCACTCATTGCTCACTTCTGTGCCAGAGTTTGAGAGAAATGCCGTATGACCTCTGCCTCCTTATTATTTCTGCCCACTCGGCTGTTCTGAGTTAAGCAGGAACCAGAACCTTCCAGGGGCCATTGTTCGGATAATGCTAGCTCATCTTCCTGTTTCAGTTTCAATTCTCATCGCCTTAATAAAAAGAGTGTTTTCTTTCTCTTCATCCTTCCCTGCCATGCCCCGAATGGCCACTTCCATCAAATTACATGAAGGATGAAAGAAATGGGCAAATACAGCTATATCAAAGGGGAAAAAACCCTGCAAACTAAAAAGTCAATGCTTTGTAACTGCACATAATTTTCTTCTCTCCCCAGCTATCCACATATAAGTAGGAAGGGGCAAGATGAAAGCTTTGTAATTTCTCTAAAAGGTTATTCCATAATGTGTCAAACCTGGGGAGCAAAAAGAATGTGTGTACTCAAAGCTACATATCTTTCACTGCAATTTTCCCCTCTATTACTCAGATTGCTAAGATGGGCTGATAGGACAGCTTTTTCCTCCTAAAACCACATATTGAAATTGGAAAACCCCGCTAAGAGCCAATTCGAGTTTCTGACATCATTGTATTTCCTGAAGATGAGCTCTCATCCTGATGATGGAAAAATGAAAAAAATAAACAAAACAAAAAGCTCAAGCCTTTGTTTTCCTGAGAGGACAGATTTTGCTGCTTTGAACCAGGGGTTTCTGTGGAGCAACGTTCTCGAGACGAATGTGAGTCAGATGCAGGAGGTGAGGCAAAAGCCATTAATTCAATTATAGGAAATTAGGTTGAATACTTAGATTTCTCTACCTCCGTAACATTTTTTCATTTGGATTGAAATCAGGCTAAGAAATAAATCTTCTGATAGGAATTTTGCCCAGTAAATAATGTTGAATTGAATCTACTTCCCTACTAATGGTTCCACTCATCAGTCATTAGTTCTACTGTCCCTACTAAGAGTTAAAAGATTTCTGTTTAAGGAAAGCTTCTCTCTCCCTCAAAGAACAAGATCTAAGATATAAAACAGACTATAATTAAGCCAAGGGGATATCATGGAATACCTTCCAAAGTCATAGAGCTAAAACTTTGCTTCTGTAGGGAGTAGTTCAATTTAGATTTTCCTCAATCTGTACGTCAGCAATAAAACAGCAAAAGCAGAATTAGAGTGGCTGTGTTCGCAGCAACCTGGATGGGATTGGAGACTATTATTCTCAGTGAAGTAACTCAGGAATGGAAAACCAAATATCATATGTTTTCTTTCATAAGCAGGAGCTAAGCTGTGAGAATGCAAAGGCATAAGAATGACACACTGGACTGTGGGGACTCGGGGACAAAGAGTGGGAAGGGGGTGAGGGATAAAAGACCACAAATTGGGTTCAATGTATACTGCTTGAGAGATGTGTGCACCAAAATCTCACAAATCACCACTGAAGAATTAATTCATGTAACCAAACACCACCTGTTCCCTAAAAACCTGTGGAAGTATAAAATTTAATAAATAAATAAATAATTTCCCATTCAAAATAAAAACAATTACAGTGGCTGTGGGCTAGGATTCGTCCTTAACTTTTCCCTACCAGGCCTAGACAATAGGTAGCTACTAGGCTAGAAAGCAGAAGTCTGGAATGCTAAAATAATTACAGGGCAGGCCCTGGGCCTTATCCAGGGAATCCAGCAGGACTTGAGTATTGGAAGTCCAGACAGGCATTTCATTCATTCATGCAGCAATGATGCAGTGCTTGCCTTGGCAGCACATATACTAAAATGGGAACAATACGGAGAAGATGAGCATGACCCCTAAAAAGTAAAAAATAAACCAATAATGATGCACTAATTGGGTACATGTAGCAGGTGCTTTTCCAGACAGTTGGGATATATCGGTGGAACAGACAAAGATCCTTGTCTTTGTGGAATATACATTCTGAAGCAATTAATCATAAACATGATAATGGGGTAAATTCTACAGTGTGTTCAAAGCTGAGAAATGCTATAGGAAAAAAAAATGAAATAGAAAGATAGGCATCAAGAATGCCACGGAGGCAAGTAGAATGTGGGTTTCAAGTTTTAAATAGGCAGTCAGGTTTTATTTCAACGGTGCCACTTGAAGAAAAGACTGGAAGAGCACGAGGGCCTTAGCCAGTTAGGTGTCTAAGGCAGCGCATTCCAGGAGGAGGGGATGGTTGTAATACAAACGTCAGAGGCAGGAGCGCATCTGGCAGGCTGGCGAGAGGAGGGAGGTGGGTTGGCTGTAGCAGAGGCAAACAAGGTAGAGAGGAGAGGAGCTGACATCAGAGCGATAAAGGGAGGAGGTTGTAGTTACTGTGGGCCATTGTAGGAGTCTTGGCTTTTACCCTGTACGAGATGGGAGACATTGGGGTTTTGAGGGCTTTGTATATTGAATTAAGACTTTCATACATCAGTTGAGAGAGCAGAATTTTAGGTGATTACTGTTCAGGTCAACAGTTTCATTTCAGCAGTGCTGCTATCTGTAAGGAATGCTTTGCAATGAATTTTTTTTTTAATTGTGATATCATTTTTTTCATAAAAATTAGGTGCTGGCCCTAATGCAATTGAGACAAAGCTGGAAATCGTTATATCTGTGATTCTTAACCCTGGTCATAAATTAGAAGCCTATGGGGAGCTTTTACAGCCTATGAATGCCAGCACCCATGCCCAGTGATTTGGATTTAAATGGCCCAGGCAACAGCCTGGGAATCTACATTTAAAATAAAACCAAAACAAATAGAGCAAAGAAAAAGACTTTCTAGGTGATTTTAATGTGCCTCTGAGATTGGCCAATTCTGCATTAGATGCTTTGAAGGTAAAAATCTTTAGCTCATTGAACTAAAACTAATAGATCCTCTATTTTGATTAAAAACAATAAAATCTCAAAAATATGCATGAAATCCTCAAACACTACCATGAGATAGCATGCCTAAAAGGAATGATGTAGTCAGAGATTTTAGAATATTTTCAATGTAAATGAAGCCTCTGCTTACAACATGTCAGCCTGTAGGAATTTCCTTCACTTTATTTTGCTTAGAGTTTCGAAGAGTAGTTTTTAAGAGTGGGGATATGGGAGTCTATGAAAATGTACTTCTCTTTGATGGTGACTGAGCCCACTTGCACGGTGAACTGGATGTCCCTAAATGCATGACTGGCTCTGCAGTGTCCTCTCTGCTCAGCAACAAACTCCACTTTGGGGCACAGGCCTCCTTGCCCAATCTGTAGAAATGAGGCAGCCACTCACCTGAACAAGCATTTAAATTAGCCACATTAAAATGTGAAGGATAAAACATAAAACATAAGGATAAAACATAAAAACCCTCCTGACGCCCCAGGAACAATGCTGCATGCGCAAGGGTAAAGGAAAAAGCAAAATAGTTGATAAAGAGAAGGAGGGCTAATAACTGGAATTTCTATGTAGCACTCTGCTTTCCTGTCTTTTTGGACAACAAGTAAGAGGAAACCTGCCTGCTACCCTCAAAGATGTTGCATCGTAGTAAGTAAAATCATCTTTGATCATTTCAAAGTGGGGTATGCGTCTTTTAAATCATTGTCATCACAGCTTTATATTCTTGATCTTATGCCGTTCTCACAATCCTGACATTTAGATGTTATATTCACCCCCTTTTACATAGAGAGAAACCCAATTTTAGAAATCTGAGGAAACTTTCCTATTCTAACAACTGGTGCATGGCAATAGCTGGCTTTGAGCCCCTGCAGTCTGGCTTCAAGGCTGTGACACACAGCTACCCTGCTCTCCCCTACTCCATTGGAATAGAAATGCTGGATCCTATGCCCCAATGCAGCTCCTGTAACTGCTGAATAAATAGGATGGAGTTTGTGGCTGATTTGCTCAATACTTTCTCTAAATAAAATATTCTTAGAATGTACATATCTATTATTCATTCTGCAAATGTATATAGGCACTCCTATATTTCTCCTGGCATTAAATGACTTAGATGGCATTTACTGTGCTATGATATCAAAGATAAAATAAAATATTTTGTGAACATCACTAGGTAAATCTCATCTTCTTCCTTGAAAACTGCTGTCTGCCTACTCATTGTGACTTTATTTCATCACTGCCTTCAAAATGTGGCAGCCAAAATTCTACTCATGTTAGGGTGAGGAAAAGTCCATTCTCAAAAAGCCGGATTACCCAGATGGAACAGAGAAATCTGTTACCGGCCTCCAAATAACAACAGTGTATAATTAGCAGCTGCTAAAAGAATAGAAGTCAATTGGACAAAAATATGGTATGATCCACATTCATTTATTAAATACCTTATGTTTCCAAACACTGCTTTTCACAGTGGCTGAAAAGTCTTCTTGGGGGCATTTCAGCATGTGTCCCTGGGCACCAAACACAGGGAAGTGACAGATTTTTTTAAACTTCTAAAAGGAGCTATTACTACGTCCAACAGCCAGGCACAGACATGCCTCTTTTACATCTGCAGGATGAAAAAATACATTTGTCAAAAGCAACCTTCAAGTAGGCTGCCATTATCAAAGACGTCAGCAGCCCATCTCCCTAGGAGACAGCGAAACCCCGCATTTATCTAAATTATCTCAGTAATATGACAGAGTGATTGCTCACTAATGGTCAGTAACAGTTTTCTTTGTCATTTTCTTAGTCATTACCTCCTCGGAATGAACTCCAGAATAAACTGCTTGCAGTCCGTGACTAGAATGCTAATTTCCTCCTTACATTTGTGACAATTTCTCTTAAACATATGAACATGGCTATCATATTTCTGACATTTTCATTTTGTGAAAAAGAACACCCTGCCTTAGAAAATCTGATGAACACAGAGATACTTTGCATGCAAAAAAAAAAAAAAAAAAGCAAGAACAATACTGTTAGCATTTCCTCCCATGTGAATTCTTTCATCTGACAAAGCTTGTAGTGAGTGACTACAAGCTCAGAAAAGGCCAGAGGAGGTTATTTGCAGGTGTGGGCTCTGTTTTTGTGGCTTTACCAAACTATGCCTCACGTTTTCATTTCTCAAACCATCCTCCTTTGAAGATACCAGTGATACAGTCGAACCAAGTGCTCTTGACAGCAGATTCTGTGAATATTTTGCTGCAACAGCATGAGTCCCCAAACCCTTGGTCCTTTCTGAGAAGGAAGGAAGAGGTGGCCAACTGTTTGTTGTACATGATTTTCTGCCCAATAAAAGCTAGATTGGACTTTATAAGAACTAAAAAGCCCAAAGCCAAAAGGAAAATAGTGAGAAAGCAGAAGGTTTTCTTTCAATAAATAGAGCTGGAGAAGTTGTAAAAAAGAAAAAAGTGAAGTTTAAAAAATGTTGAAGAGCGAGCTGTACCGGGAAACTAGGTCACAGTAGTGCAAGGTGGTCACTTGGCTGGGCAGTCCAAATACAGGAGCCAAAACAATCAGCTGGGGAATCAGAATGGCAGCTACAGTGGCCATTACAGGTAGGAAAGGCTGGGTCAGCTGTGCTCCTATCCTATGCAGAACCTCCAACTTACAAAAGATGAAATGAAGTAAATGCAGACACTATGGAAATAAATGTATATCACTGTCCATTCATTCATGTGCAAAAGGAGTCATGAACAATTCAGTAGTCTCCTTTGCAACCCAGTGCAATTTCAACTGCATTGTTTCTCTAGCAATTTTGACCATTTTGTTTATTCACTTAAAAACCAACCATATGACTCATATTTTCTGGGACAGTCCTGACTTAAAGGAATTTGTTCCATTTCTACTTGGAAGTACATACACGCTTACTGGAATAAGTATACTGATTATGGGGTTGGGAAAATATGACCACTAACAAACACACATCAGACCTACACTGAGTTCCAGTACAGATGTACTCCCTGTCATCCACTGTAATCTTTCCCTATTTGACCTGATGCATGTGATCAGTCACACCTTTCTCCCCAGACTACCCATATGTCCAAGTGACAATTAGAACTGGCAGCCTACATGCCCTACAGGCATTTCAAAGGTATCTTATCAGAATACTAAGCTCCACATTTTCCCTTTCCAACTTGTGGTTTAATCTAGTAAGTTTCATAAACCAGAACACTGTGGTTATCCTAAAATTTATCTTCTCCTTCACTTCCAAGCCAAATCCAATTCTACTTTTGTTTGCTACCCGGAGTACATTTGCACCTCTGTAGGCCTAACACTACTGCGTATCAGGCCCTCCCCATCCATTGCTTGAACTAGTGCAGCAAACTTCTCTTTTTTTTTTGAGACAGTCTTACTTTGTTGCCCAGGCTGGAGTGTAGTGGTGTGATTATAACTCACTGTAGCCTTGAACTCTTAGACTCAAGAGATCCTCCTGCCTCAGCCTCCTGAGTAGCTGGGAATACAGGCATGCACCACCATGCCCAGTTAATTTTGTTAAAAGGTTTTTTGTGGAGATAAGGTCTTGCCATGTTGCTCAGGCTGATCTCAAACTCCTGGGCTCAAGCGATCCTCCCACCTTGGCCTCCCAAAGAGCTGGGATTGCAGGCATGAGCCACTGAGCTTGGCCCCAGCTAACTCTTAATTGGTCTCTCCATTTCTAGTTTCTGCATTTCCAGGCCATTTTCATACTGCTTTCACTTTTTTTCTTAATTAAAAAAAATCTTGTCTATTCTCCTAATTTAAAATATAAAATCGTCCCCCAAATTCTTCAAATCATGGCATCCGATTTAACCCTAATTCAGTCTCTGCCACTCAGTCTCTAAACCCCACTCCAAACATGTTATGAGCCCATCAAAACTGGGCTTTATGTGGCCACTTTCATCAACATCGCATTGTCCTTCTCTCCATGTTTACACATCTTTTGAGACCAACCTTAAATCCCATCTTCCTTCTTTAAATTTCATTCCATCCCTTAAGTAAATTAACCCTACTTCACACTTTCTCTATTTGATTTTTCTTTTCTCTATGCTTTCCTAGCTCAATTTCGATGTCTAATATAGGACTTAACACACTGAATTGTAGTTGCTGCTTTATATGTTTGGTCTCCTTTCCAATCTATTAGCCCCTGGAGGGCAGACGCTGTTATCCATTCACCTGTGTGTCCAAGTACCTGGCATATAACAAACCCTTAATGCATACATGCTGAATTGAATGACTATAGATGGTCATATTTGACATTCTAACATCTATATTATTAAAAAACAAGGCATAAATTTTAAAAAATACTACTTTTCTCATGCAATAGTACTTCAAATCCTAAGACTTCTTCTGTGTTAATGATAATAACCTATCTTTTGTCTGTGGCCATATGAACGTGTCTAACCTTGTCTGATCTTGGAAGCTAAGCAGGGTCTGGCCTGCTTAGTACTTGGATGGGAGACCAACTAACAGGTGCTGTAGTCTTTAATATAAAACAAAACCCCATCTTGTGTCTAGCAGCCAAATGTTGTCTGGTTTAATCACTCAAATAGCAGAAATCCCACGTTAAGGGTAAAAGTCTTTGAATAGCAGAATCATGGGTAAGGAAAGAAAAATAACACTGTGGTTTGCTGGGCTGTACACAGCAAGCCTGTGGACTGCAACTAGTGTGAGGTGGGGGTTGGGGGATTTAGAAACATAGGGACAATATTCCAGTCCATAGGCACTTCTCAGACTTCATGCTATCCTTTTAAAATATTCTTTCCCTACCAGATATTTTTCCCGGAATCCAGAGTCCCTTGATGTTAGTTTGAATGTGATATAAAATTTGGAGATGATTTGCTAAGAACTATCATATAACTCTTCTCCTTATGAAGGAGAGTTCTTGGCCATGTCAGCATCCATAAACATTGTTTTGAGAAGACGCAGAGGTATCTCATTTCAGAAGAGGGGGCTGAGAATATCGAACATTAAACTGTACTGAATCAGTAAACTTGAGGTCACAATATAAAGCCAAAAGCTGAACCCCTGAAAAGCATAAGCCCAAGTATAACACGGACAGTTACACTTACCCCAGTGGGCCTTGACAGCGTTGCTGTATTATCACTCAGTACAAAGGCTGATGTTCAGAATGTTGATATTGGGCCGGGCATGGTGGCTCATGCCTATAATCCCAGCACTTCAGGAGGCCAAGGCTGGCAGATCACTTGAGCCCAAGAGGAGAGATCAGCCTGAGCAATGTAGCAAAACTCTGTCTCTACAAAAAAAATACAAAAATTAGCCTGGCATGGTGGCCTACCCCTGTAGTCCCAGCTACTCAGGAGGCTGAGGCAGGAGGATTGCTTGAGCCCAGGGTTCGAGGCTGTGGTGAGCCATGATCATACTGCTGCACTCCAGCCTGGGTGACAAAATGAGACTCCATCTCTAAAAAATGTATGAGAATGTTGACAATGAGTCATCAACGAAAGGTTAAATTATGCTCAGTTCATCTATTTATGAAGTCAGATGAATATAGAATATGTTTGAGGAGGAATTCCTCTCAAACAGCATAATTTTAAGGATCTTGTGTTTCAGGGAGTAAAATTCCATTGCCTGGTGATTTGCTTTTTGACAATTAGCTCTTTTCCTACCCATGCAAAGTCAACTGAAGTATTTATCATACCAATAGACTAACTCCATGACAGTGATACATCTGAAATGTATTTTTAGGTGTAAATGGTTTTAAAGAGCATTTTGTACCCTTGTGAGAGATAAACAGCAGATATGGACTACAATATATACTCAAAAACAAACTCTGAAAAAAAAGTAAAACATTTAAGATAATTCCATGGTTTGCAGCTTTTGATTTTGCCTTATTACAACTATGTACTCTGTTTATTTCTTTGCCTTCCGTCTAAAATAAATGGTAAGTTATTTGAAGCACGATTGTGTCTCGCTCATCTTCCATGTTATGCAGTACCTAAAGGAAATGGCTAACACTATTAACATTCTCAACATTAGCATTGATAAGGGACCACTAGCATGAAACTATGGCCTGGTCATCATAGACAGATTCTAAGTTGAAGACCAAGAAGGTATCTCTCTACCTGGACTACCAGGTGTCACAAATAGATGAGTCCTTCATGCTTCATGAGATACAAGAGGAGGAACCGAGTTTGAGTTCAGACATGACTGAAGACCTACAGAATCTCAGTTTGATTTAATAGGGTAGTTGTAACTGATAGTCACTTTTAGTATCAATACAATTTTTGTGTTAAATCTCTAAATATCTTAAAATAACATCCATTAAATAAAGATGTCCTTCTCTCACTAGGGTGTATCTAGAGAAAACTGATTGAGATGGCAAAGTCATGAAACCAAGCTATAAAGGGAAGTATTTTAGCCAGAAGAAAATAAATCCAAATGCCATGATATTTGAAGAACTATTAAATGCAAAAAAAGAGCAAAATGTTTCTTTTTGTTATTTAAGCTGGTTAAAGTAGAAACAGTTAGTGAAACACATTACAGAGGGGCAGAGAAATGTGTGTGTGTGTGTGTGTGTGTGTGTGTGAGAGAGAGAGAGAGAGAGGGAAACTAAGCAGGAAAATAAAAAGAGAGGAGAGATTGAGAAAGATAATTATATGTTCAGATTTTCTGTGATTCTTCCAATTAGTGAGAAATAATTCTTGATGACATCGAAGTTCCTTTCCAACTCCAGATTACATGATTCCATGTCTGGAAGTTTATTTTACTTAGAAGGGAGTGAATGATTGGCAGAAATAATGACTCAGCTTCAAATGGAATCTTATTAGCAATTTTTTTGTTGTTGTTGTCATAGCTTTTCAACCTCCAGCTCCTTAAAAAAAATATTCAGTGGAAACACATAAAGTCTCCCTGAATGTCCCTCAATCAAACAGCAGCGGTAGTCTATGCTACCCCACAGACACAAACAAGTCTTGTATTTCCCTACAGACGTCACTGCGGAGAGTATGTTGGCTGACTGCTACATACACACAAATTCATTCAAACACCAGTGACACAATCTGGATCTTGCAGACAGGACAGATTCACATCACCTTCTGTGCTGCATGTCTGTGCTTCCAGATTCCATTGCACTGTTGCCTGCATCTGTTATTGAAGAAACAGCTTGGTTTAAATGTCTGCCTGTTGTACAGAGAAACATTCCCTAGGATTTGAGCTGACAGTGATTTTACCAGCTTGGAGAATGAGAATACGAATGATAGGTTACTCCTGGAATATAAATCATGGCTGGGAGATAGGAATCTATTTAGTTTAGTATGAGCTACGAGTCTCCCTTGTGAGATAGTCCTACCATTCCAGTGATATCCAACCTCTACAGGCAACAATATTGCATCTCCATCAGGAGGCACTGGCTAGAACATGGGGCAGTGTGGCATGCCTGGAATCTGCCTGCAAACTTCTTGCTCCTAGTCCCATCATTTCTGTGTAACACTGACATTATTCTTCTCTTTGTTTTAAAGATTTGGAGGTCAGAAACCATTATATGGTAAAAATAGACCCCATATATGTAGACATCCAGATCTTATTTATCTATTTACTGTTATTCTGAGCAGAACAGGCAGTTTGTAAGAAGATGGCAATTCCACTATTATAGAATTGTCTATGGCTGAGAGGGGATATAGAGTCAATAACACCAGCACTGCACTCCCATAACCATCAGAGCCAAAAGACCTGCCTGTCATTATCCAAATAACCAAGCCTCAGTCTTTCTAAAACAGGCCTGTGTCCTGCATCAATACTTTACTCATTCATCAGCCACATTAGATAGTCTCCTAGGGTCATTTTTCTCTAGTGGTTTATGTTCTAATGGGAAAGGCAAGACTCCCTCCTCAAAGGAAGGCTCAGTAGATTGCCTTGAATGGGTAAAAGACACACATCATATAGGAATAGAATAGGTAGCAAGTGTTGGACGGTTTTATGGCATGGCAAGACTGTATTGATGATTTAGAATAGCAGTATTTTCTCCTTCATAGAATAAAAAAAAAGTAGATGAACTATGTTGCAGTGACCCTTTTGGTTAATACAGAGCTTGTGGACTAGGGAATGAGAATGTTGAAATAATTACGTAAAAAGTTAGATGCTTGTATGTCACAGAAAATGATAGGCCATTGTAACTCCTAGACATTAGAAATTTTAAGGAGCTAAATCATAAGGGAAGGCCGGGCGCGGTGGCTCACGCTTGTAATCCTAGCACTTTGGGAGGCGGAGGCAGGTGGATCACCTGAGGTCAGGAGTTTGAGACCAGCCTAGCTAACATGGTGAAACCCCGTTTCTACTAAAAATACAAAAAATTAGCAAGGCGTGGTGGTGCATGCCTGTAATCCCAGCTACTTGGGAGGCTGAGGCAGAAGAATGGCTTGAACCTAGGAGGCGGAGGTTGCAATGAGCCGAGTTGGTGCCATTGTACTCCAACTTGGGCAACAAGAGCAAAACTCCCTCTCAAAACAAACAAACAAACAAACAAATTATAGAGGAAGTGATTGTAGAATTGTCTCAGATCTATAAATATACTGTACAATATGTAAACCTTCTGCTTTTAACCTGTGAGTAAATGAAATCGCATTCTAATACCTTTCTACTGCTTGTACGAGATGTTTTCTTTTATTAATTGGAGTTATGGGAGAGCCACTGAAAAAATACACACATCAATAAGATAGAGGGTAGGAAATCCTATGCCTTCCAATTTTTTTTTTTTTTTTTGAGACGGAGTCTCGCTCTTTCGCCCAGGCGGGAGTGCAGTGGCGCTATCTCAGCTCAGTGCAAGCTCCGCCTCCTGGGTTCACGCCATTCTCCTGCCTCAGCCTCCCGAGTAGCTGGGACTACAGGCGCCCGCCACCGCGCCTGGTTAATTTTTTTGTATTTTTAGTAGAGACAGGGTTTCACTTTGTTAGCCAGGATGGTCTCAATCTCCTGACCTCGTGATCTGCCTGCCTCGGCCTCCCAAAGTGCTGGGATTACAGGCGTGAGCCACCGTGCCCGGCCCAAAATTTTTAAAGTATCTCCTGCAGGAGCAAATTCTCCAGAAACCCAAATGGTAAAATACCATTGATTCAATTGGGTTTAATCAATTCCTTGCTGTATTTCAGTTTATGGAGAACCTTGCAGAATTATTTAAAGAATTGCTTATTTCAATTCAATTAAATTATTAAACTGAAGTTTCAAATCAATGTATAATACATATTTTATTTTCTATTTTAAATTGCAAAATATTAAGCACATACAGCTAATACATAGAACAGACACTTACAGACTCCCTCCACCAAGATTAAATGAATGTAAATATTTTGCCATATTTTTTTCACATCCTTCATTTAAAGCAACAATATTTATACTCAAATCCCAACAGCCTCATAGGTCTCTTCTTTTCCAGAGGATATCCTTATTCTCTAGAAGTAAATATCATTTTCATACGAATATCATTTTATGCCTTTTTGCATATGCATTTATCTTGTAAAAATAAAAGGAAAACATATAAACCTTCTGCTTTTACCCTGTGAATAAACGGTATTGCATTCTAATACGTTTCTCCTACTTGCCACTTCATTCATTCATTTTCAGATTGATTGATAAATTATTTTAGGTACCTGTGGCTCCACGTCATTCATATTCCTTGCTATTCAATGTCCCAGTTAGATGTGCCAATCCTCTAGGTCTGAACAAGCTAGTTTATCCACAGGCTGCCTGACTCCACCGTGCGTAAGAGCTGCTGGAGCGTGTCTGTGGGTGGTGCTGTCAGTTGCAGGGAAACATATCACCTCCTTCTGCAATCTTACATCTCCTAGTTTTCACAAGCCTTTCTCCAATTGCCTGGGGGATTGAGTGTGTTGATCATTCTGATTTCCTTGTTAGTCAATTGCATTTTCACACTTTTTGCTCTTTAGTTGGGGTGGGCAGAGTTGGGTAGGGTGGGGTTGCTTGTCCTTTTCTTATTGATGGGTAATTCTTTATATAGACTGGAAAACTCTCCTTTATCTTTCAAGGGTGCGGCTTATAACTTTCCCAGTTCACTGCTTGACCTTGAAACTTTCTTTAGGTGCCATTTGTCTAATACACATTTTAAATTGTAATAAAGTCTGATTTATCAAGCTTTTACTTTGTGGTTTCTCCTTTTTTCTCTCTTATTACCTAAATCTTATTATACTCCAATATTAAAATTGTTATTCTATGTTTCCCCCATAAAGTTTTAAAGTTTTTTTATCCAAATTTTGGTCCACCACTTGCTACTAATTCTATGGCCTTGGTTAAGTCACTTTGACCTCCTTATCTCAGTTTCCTCATTTGTAAAAGGAGATAGTAACAGTAGAGACCTCACAGGGTCATTGTAAGGAGTAACTGAGTCAATGTATGTGAAACACTTCAAAAGTCCCTGGAACATAATAAAGGCCACATAAGTGTTGGTTATTATTAATAACATTAGAAGCAATCGTATTACAAGAATTTAAGTAAATAGTAGTTAAAAAATTCTAAGGTCTGAGGTATGTTTAAAAGGAGTACAGGAATACTAAATAATTATAGACTGTGTTAAAAATATTGATAGTATATATGCCAAAAAAACCCACAAAATAAAATGGTAGTTATAAATTTTAAAATATCATAATTATAATACAAGTAAATTGAAAGAATAGTCTTTGGAAAAATATTATTAGCTTAGATAAAAACATAAACAGATGCTAGCCAAATCCTCCTGACAAGTGATAATAGCTTAAAGTAAATGGATGGAAAAAGCTAAGTATGAAAATGTTAGTCTAAAGAAACTTGCCTAGAAATAGTTATATCAAGCAAAGTACAATTTAACCCAAAATGTGTTAATAAGGATAAATAGAGATACTACATAAAAATAAAAGGAAAATCTACCAAGAAGATATAATAATCATGAACATGATTACCCTAACCACTTAGCTTTAAAATATATAAAATAAATCCTGACAATATTATTAGGAAAAAAATTAACAAAACTATAATTACAGTGTGAAATGTTAATATATTTCTATCAGAAGCCAACAGACAAAGCACAATAACTTTAAAAATCCTTTTTGAAGCTTTAAGAAACAGAATTAGCCAGACTGTCTAATTCTCTCTCTCTCTAAAGAAGATAGATCTATCGGTCTGCATCCTTTAAATAGAAAATATTTATAGGTTTGAGTACACAAAGAATGTTTACAAAAACTGATCATGTATATGTCACAATTTCAGTAAATTTCAGAGAATAGCTATTACATAAACACATTCTCTGACTACAATATTAGATACTTTTAAAAAATATAGGTTTAGAAACCCCAAAACACACTCCTAAGTAGTTCATGTTTAATTAAAAAAACAAAACATTTAGGAGAACTACCACAAAGCATTACATTTTTTTAAAATGTGAGATACACCTAAAGTAGTATGTAAAGGTAAATGTATAGTCTTAAATGCATTTGTTTAAAAAAAGTCTAAAGAAACTAACTAAACAGTAAACTTATAAACTAGGTAAGATCATAGTAAATCTGAATAGGTAGAAGGAAGAAAGCAATAAAGAAAGAAGCAGAAATCCATCAATTAAAAAAAGAAAACCAGAAACAACAAAATTAACTTTATTCTGCCACCACTTGTTCTAAGTTAAACCTGAACTTCCTTGTGAGGAGACTTTATTTCTCCAATTTCCTTGGCTAGTGTACTTAAATGTAGTCAGTGGAAGTGAGGTGGATAGAGGGAGAGAAACAACTAGGTTGGCTGGGCGTGGTGACTCATGCCTGTAATCCCAGCGCTTTGGGAGGCTGAGGTGGGCAGATCACTTGAGGTCTGGAGTTCGAGACCAGCCTGGCCAACATGGTGAAACCCCATCTCTACTAAAAATACAAAAATTAGCATGGCGTGGTGGCAGGCGCCTGTAATCCCAGCTACTCGGGAGGCTGAGGCAGGAGAATTGCTTGAACCCGGGAGGCGGAGGTTGCAGTGAGCAGAGATCCGCCACTGCAATACAGCCTGGGCGATGGATCCAGACTCCGTCACAAAACTTAACTACTAATAGTCTAATGGTGACTGGAAGACTTGCTGTCAGAGGCGTTCAAACCAGAGCGACTTCATCTTGAGTGAGGGCTAAGAAAATGATGCTGAGACTTGCGTGGCTGCATTCCCAGAAAGTTAGGTATTCCTAGCCTCGAGGTGTTTACAGTTAAGGGAACAGATTGATAATGTTTACTAAACAGACCTAGACTTGGGAGTGTCCTAATATCCTGATATCTTGAGAACAAAAGCATTCCTAATTTTGCTTTAAAGACAATATCAATTCTTGCAAAATAAAGTAATTAAGAAAATTAATCCTTTATCACAAACTCTTAGCAGAGCACATCTCCCCATAATCTTTTTTTATCCTATACATAGGAGCATTTTACTTAAGGTGGACGCCTTCCTCCTCTTACTTTCGGAAACCCCCTACTCTGTCTATGAAGTAGCTGTATATTAGTCCGATTTCATGCTGTTGATAAAGACATACCCAAGGCTGGGCAATTTACAAAAGAAAGATGTTTAATTGGATTTACAGTTCCATGTGGCTGGAGAAGCCTCACAATCATGGCAGAAGGCAGGAAGGAGCAAATCACATCTTATGTGGTTGGCAGCAGGCAAAGAGAGGATGAGCTTGTGCAAGGAAACTCTTCTTTTTAAAACCATCAGATCTTGTGAGTCTTATTCACTATCAGGAGAACAGCACGGCAAAGACTTGCCTCCATGATTCAGTCACCTTCCACTGGGTCCCTCCTACAACATGTGGGAATGCAAGGTGAGATTTGGGTGGGGACACAGCCAAACCATATCACCCTACTTTCACCACTTTACTTTCTTAATAAAGTTGCTTTTGCTTTGTACTGCGGACTTGCCCTGAGTTCTTTCTTGCAAGATCCAAGAACCCTCTCTTGGGATCTGGACCTGGACCCCTTTCCTGTAACATTGCCAATAAGATAAACAGTCAATTAGCACACATTTTGTATGTTATACATATTATATACTACATTCTTACAATATAGTAAGCTAGAGAAAAGAAAATGTTATTAAGAAAATCATAAGGAAGAGAAAATATATTTACTATTCATTAAGTGGAAGTGGATCATCATAAAGGTCTTCATCCTCATTCTCATCGCCTTCACGTTGAGTAGGCTGAGGAGGAGGAGGAGGAAGAGGAGGGATAGTCTTGCTGTCTCAGAGGTGGCAGAGGCAGAAGATAATCTATATATAAAAGGAACTGTGTGGTTCAAACACATGTTGTTCAAGGGTCAACTGTAGTGGTGAACAGGCAATTGGCTTTTAAAAAGAGCTTTCAAATGGCAAATGACCTTTATCACTTATGAGAATATGCTTGCTAATCTCTCTAACAGAAAGATAAAATGCAGCTCAGATGTGGGCCTCTGTAAATCCCTCTATATTTGGCCTTTCATGGGTCAGACCCCCTTCTCAGCTGAGCACAACAGTCTCATCCTAACTCACTGTTTGTGCTTCTGGGGCGTGTCCCTGTTGTGTCTCTGCCAGCTGTGAGGTGGCCCAGGTGCATTGGCAACAACCTCAATTTTCCAGAATTGGCAAAGAGGAGAGGGTGTAGCCCCTGCTGGCAGATTGGGGTCAGCAGTGCCTGTCGGCTAGGAGCTTGCTGATGTATCTGCATGGCTTGCCCTTTCCCCTGCAAGTATTTACAGCTCTAAGCAAAATCTCAGTGAACTGAAACTCTTTTCTCATTTGGCAGATGTTTGGGCAAATTATTTTTCTGCTGATAATCTGAAGAAAATTGGCAATAGCAGTTAGTGGCTACCTGACACATTGAGTTCCCTACAGGAGAAACAAATCAAATGCAATTAGGGATTTCTTTTTTAAGACCGGGATTTGTTCGGTCTTTCAAGATTATTGTTCAAGTGCATAGCATTACATGACCACTTCTATCTTTGGCTCAATCTAAATGAATGACATATTATAATAAAGCATGCAATGCATGTTCTCTTGAATAAATATGATCCCTATTTTGTTTTAAAATAACATTTTAATTAATATTTGCTATGACAAATATACCGTGATGAACTTTATCTTTGGTGGCAACTATCATAAAGAATAATCTGGCTTTTGAAAAGCTGAATTTGAATATTTTATTAAGCAATTATTAAGACTAAATCTAAAAGGTTACTAAATATAGCATATAATTACAGCTTGAGAAAACCAATATTAATTAAATACAGTTGTGCATTAAATGAGAATTTTGCGTTTAAGAGTCCAAAAGCGAACTCATACATAGTCGGTAATAGGTATTAGGTATTGGTATTGACAATATATGCCTATAGTTTCAGACTACGGATTATAAATATTAGACAACAAAATTAACACACTTAAATATTTTCAGACCACTCAGTAGAATTCAATAGTAATAATAATCAATAGAAATAAAAATTATTTTCCATAGTCGGGGTCTAGAAATCCAACAGTCTTTTCAAAAATAGAAGTTTTCTAACCCCTTAGTGCTTTCCTGGGAAATCTGTTTATTTCCCCCACTTTGCTACTACACTTGAGTTTCTTCAGTTATTTTCTCTAGAGGAAAACCTTCTGCTCTCCTGTTTCTCAGGCTTTGTACAAGAACAAAACAAAATGAAAAGAAAAATTCACAACAGACTTTCAGAATCTCCAAAAGAATTCACATGAAACTTCCCATAGCCATACACTGTTGCTTAGGAGATTATATTTATTTCCAAGTCAAAACAGTTACTCGGTGGAATTGATTATGGTGGGTTTGTTAGCCACCATGATGAGAATCGTTAATTGTGTGACCGATAGCAAATCCATGAGACAATTTGTGTTTTATTCCACTTAAGCAACAAGCTAAGCAGATTTCCATGTATCCACCAGGACTCTGACTTTCCCGTTTCATTATTTACTCTCTCCATGTATGTCAGAGGTTTTGTTATAATCATGAGACTAGTTTAACATCCTCCAGCTCATGGCCTCCAGCAACCAAACTCCTCTCCCCAGGAGTTTTTTCTCTATCTTTCCAGAAATATTATATGCATTCCCAAGTAGCTCGTGTGTATGGATATACCTAATCTTTTTTCATACAAAACAGAAAAATAAAATTAACAACAAAAATCTCCACACTATTCTCAGCCTTGCTTTGCTTGCTTAATAATACACTTTAGAGTGCTTTCCACATTAGTGCTTACAGATCTGCTCCATTCTACGTTGTATTATTTCATTCTACAGTTATACCATAATTTATTCAACATTCTTACTAAAGAATGTTTAGGTCAGTAGCTCTCAATCAGAAATTTGGCCTCCCCAGGGAATATTTGTCCATGTCTAGAGACATTTTTTTTATCATTGTTTACTTGGGAGAAGGTGTGTTTACAGTCTCTTTTATAATTGTGAATTTTTATCAATTATTTATTCTGATTGGTATTGTTTTCACACAGTGAAGCCTCTTGATTACCATATAATAATTCCCAGTCATCTTGCTTATTTCTCTTAATGTTTTAACATTTCAAAGTTGATGATTCTGGAATTTTTAGGTATATAATAATGTAATTGTCACCTACAGATACTTTTAACCCTCTTTCTAAATTTTACTCCTTTTTGTTTTCTCTTTATGTTTACATTAGCCCGTACCACCGGAATAATGATAAATAACAGTGATACTAGATACTTTGTACTGTTGCTGACTCTGATGGAGATATTTTCATCATTAAATATGATCCTGGGGTTTGTATCTGTGTGTTTATGCAGGTATGTGTGTATACCAACTCATATTAAGGACATCAATATCCATCATTGTATTGAGTTTTTATTATGAATGGATGTTGAATCATATTGAATGCCTTTTTGAAGTATATAGGAATGATCGTATTGATCCATTAATGTGTTGGATTTAATACTGAAGATTTTCTAATGTTGACTCATTCTTGGATTTCTGGAATAAACTTTACTTGCTCATATTGTGTGTTTTTTTTATAGACTGCTGAATTCTGTTTACAAATATTTTTAGGAGATTTACATAAATATTTTCATATATGAGGATGATTAGTAAATATTTTTATCATTAGTTATCTGTTTATACATAATAAATATAAAATTATATATTATATAAAATTATATATGTATTATATATATTTACTATGTATAAATATATAAAATATACATATATATGTTAATGCCTCCACAAGAAAAAAATTTGTAAATCTTTTTTCTGTGTTCCAGAAAATTATAAATAGCATCAAATTTATCTGTTTCTTACTGCTATAGAATTTCCTGAGAATCTCCCAGAGAATGATGTGCTTGTTTTGAGGATGTCATGATTGGGTAGATTTTTTACAAATTTTACATATTCTTTTATGGTATTTGTTCCTTTAAGATTTTCTATCTCTTTAGTTCTCAGTATTAATAATTTATGGTTTCCACAAAAAATCATGCATTACATCCAGTTTTTCAAATTTATTTACATGGTATTGACAGAGTAGTCCCATAATATTCTTAATTTCTCCTGTATCTATAGATGTCTTTCTATTTTCATTTAATTTGCATAATTAAATTTTGCCCACTTTTTCTTGTTATTAATTTTTGTTGCCATCACCATTAATTTTTACTTTCTGCCTTCTTTAAACATGTATTAAACTTTTTTTCAAGCATTTTGGATTGGAAACAACTGTTAATGTTTATTCTTTCTTTTAAAAAATATGACTATTTAATACCACATATTTTTCAAGTATTGAAGAGTATGTATTTTCCTCCGATATATAGAGATATATTTACTTTTATTTTTCTAAGAATGCTCAATCTTCAATACTCATTTCCTTGGTTATACAAGAGTGAAGAAAATTATTACTCCAAGTAGAAGTGAATTCGGTATGGTTGTTGCTGGTTTTCTTTTTCTTGTTGTTGTTGTTTGTTTGTTTGTTGTTTCTTTTGATTTTTTTTTGCTTTGTTTTGGGGTTTGTTTTTGCCAATTTCTATGCTGTTTTCATTGCATTACAGTCAAAGAATGTTGTCTATGTAATTTCTACATTTTGTAAATTAGTTATGGTTTGTGGACAACATGTAGTCATTTTTTGTCATCATTCAATGGAAAAATAAAAGTATATTTTGTCTTTTGAGAGTATAGTGTTTGATTTACACCAATTAAATCTACTTTACTGGATATATTTTTCATGTTAGTATATTAATTATATTATTTATGTCAATTTTCAGATTACTTTCTTAAATTTAATTTGTTCTTACTTTTCTCCATGTTATTTTTTACAGCCTAAGAAGAGTGAAGTCTCACATGTCTCTTATTTTTCTATTTTTTCCTATAGATTTCTTGTATTTTGGCTTACTGAATATTGATGCCATTTTAAGTGGTGCTTAGTCATAAATATTAAATATTTGCTATTGATAGTAACATTTGTCATTTTAAAGAGCACTTCTTTGATTCATATAATGCCTATTTGACCTGATTCAGCCCCGTTTCTTAAGATTGCAACTCTTGCTTTCCTTTTGTTTGAATTTTCCTAATATGTCTTTGGTGGACTTTATTTTCAAACATTCTGAATTCTGATTTTTATTTACTTATATTATTATACTTTAAGTTCTAAGGTACATGTGCACAATGTGCAGGTTTGTTACATATGTAACATGTGTTTGTATATGTATGTATATTATTTATGTATATGTATACATGTGCCATGTTGGTGTGCTGCACCCATTAACTTGTCATTTACATTAGGTATATCTCCTAATGCTATCCCTCCCCCCTCCCCCCACCCACAACAGGCCCCGGTGTGTGATGTTCCCTATCCTGTGTCCAAGTGTTATTACATTGTTCATCTGAATTCTGATTTTTAAAAGCTATGTTTCTTGTTTCCATCATTTTGTTAAATGTTGCTTTGGGATCCAAACTTAGAATTCTTTGTTTTCTTTTATTGAAAGTTTATTTGTATTTCTTAATATAATTGATACCTCTAGAGGCCCATCCTGACATTTGAGAGCTCTTGGGCAAGAGTACAAATGCAGGTCTGTATATAATAGGTCATGAATGTATTTTTTTTCATCTTCTAATGGGGAGGCCAGAGTCGCTCTTCGTTGTTTTTGAACCAAGATTTTTATAGGAATAATTCTTTCTTATTCTCATTGTTTTGATCAGAAATTAAATATTCATTTAATAAAGCAGATGAAGTTTCAAGGATTTGACTTGTTTGAATTCTGGATTCAATAAGATTAATTGTCTTGCTCTTTTTCATTTTTTTTTTATTTCTCCTCTCAGCTCATAACTAATTTCATTGTTTTAATCAGTAATTAAATCTTCCTAAATAAAGAATTTGTAAGGTTCTATTTTAGAATTATTTGTGAATTATACTTTAAAGACATCTGTTCACTTTTACTGTTTAGAGTTTTCAAAAATGTAAACAAATTTATTTCTCAAAATTTTGATTTTTTTCTTTCAGCTCTTCTCTATTATGATCTGAACTGTTACATGTTGTTATCAAGATTGCTCCTTGTACGCCTTCTAAAATTAAAAAAATAAAATGCAATTATCTTCAAAGTGTATGCAGTTTGAAATTTTTCATCACAAACTCATAAATGAAAGTAAAAGTTAGAAATTGAAAAAGTAAAAATTATTTGTGTACATGTTTCCCAAAAAAGTTCTTTTTTTCAAAAATACTAAAATTACTTTTTAATATTAAAAACCAAAAATACAAATTTTGCACATTAAAATAGCATAAAGGCTGGACATGGTGTCTCACCCCTGTAATCTCAGCACTTTGGGAGGGTGAGGCAAAAGGATTGCTTAAGCCTAGGAGTTTGAGATCACCCTGGGTTGACAAACGTAAGGAGACCCTGTCTCTACAAAAAAGTTTTAAAAAATTAGCCAGGTATGTTGGTGTGTGCCTGCAGATCCTGCTACTTGGAAGGCTGAGATGGGAGAATCTCTTGAGCCCCAGAGGACAAGGCTGCAGTGAGCTGTGATCATGTCACTTGCACTTCAGCCTGAGTGACAGAGTGAGACCCTGTCTTAACAACAACAATAACAAAATAAAAACCTAAAAATAAAATAAAATAAATATTAAAAAGCACATAAAATTCTCAATAAAGTTTTAAAAATAAAGTGGAATTTTAAATTTATATTTTAAATTTCACTACTTTCATTAAGAAATATTATAAACGTACAACTATTAGCAATTTTGTGTGTTTGGGGTCTATTTAGCTACCAATCATAAAGAGGTATGACTTGTTAATAATTTGCTGATATGTTTAAAGTGCTTAAAACAATGCAGAGCTCATATTAAAATCTCAATATTTCCCTCATTATTATTATTGCTAATATTATTTTCTATTCAGCTTTTTAAGTTATATCACTTTAAACTGTTAGGATTTAAAAATTTCCAATCTGTTCAGTGATTGTAATACCTTGATTAAGCACTTCTATCTTGTCTCTGAGTTAAATATTTTCATGCTCACTGCCACTGTTTCTGTCATAGTTTCCACATTCATCCTTTGATTGGCTGACGCTTTTCCGCAGGTAACCTAAGAAAGGCTGAAGACAATATGTTTTGTGAGTTCTCGAATGTTTAAAACTAATTTTTGTTGCCTTTATGCTTAAATAATAAGTTGGCTGGGTATAAATACTATCATGTTTCCTTTAGAAAACAAATTATCTATTCTCTAATTATTTTTATAGCACTGGATATTGCTAAGGAAAAAGATAAGCCCACTGTGTGTGTGTGTGTGTGTGTGTGTGTGGGTGTGTGTGTATCCTACCTGGATTCTAAGGATTCAACCCAATAATTTTATTGGATTATTCTCATTGTTGATCTTTGTGGATCAGTTTTCCCCTGGATATAGTAGGCCCTTTAATATTAGATTCAAATACAATTTTACTTATGAGAAGTTTTCTTAAATTAGATTTTGAAGTGTTTTGTAGTAGTCTTTGGAGATGTTCACAAATTTTGCCGTTCTTATCAAACAAAAGCCACGCAACACCATTTAAAAAATGGGCAAAAGACATGAACAGACACTTCTCAAAAGAAGACATATATGTGGTCAACAAGCATATGAAAAAAAATGCTCAATATTACTAATGATTAAAGAAATGCAAGTCAAAACCACAATGAGATACCATCTCACACCAGTCAGAATGCTTATTATTAAGAAGAAGAAGAAAAAAAAAACAGTTGCTGGAGAGGTTGCAGAGAAAAGGGAATGCTTGTACTGCTTGCACAATGCTGGATGGAATGTAAATTAGATCAGCCGTGTGGAAAGCAGTTTGGAGATTTCTCAAAGAACTTAAAATAGAACTACCATTTGGCCCAGCAATCCCATTACTGGGATGTACCCAAAGGAATATGAATTTTTTTACCATAAAAACACATGCATGTATTTGCTCATTGCAGCACTATTCACAATAGCAAAGACATGGAATCAACCTAGATGCCCATCAATGCTGGACTAGATAAAGAAAATATGGTAGGTACACATTGTGGAATAAAAAAGAAATGAGATCATGTCCTTTGCAGCAACATGGATGCAACTGGAGATCATTATCCTAGGTGAATTAATGCAGGAACAGAAAACCAAATACCACAGGTTCTTACTTATAAGTAGAAGCTAAACATTGAGTACACATGGACACAAAAAGGGAACAGTAGACACAGGGGCCTACTTGAGGGTGGAGGGTGGGAGGACAGTAAGTATCAAAAAACTACCTATTGGGTACTATGCTCATTACCAGAGTGATGAAATAATTTGTACACAAAACTCCCATGGCACACACTTTACCCACGTAACCAAACTGCACACATAGCCCCTGAACCTAAAATAAAAGTTGAAAGGAAAACAAAAATACAAAAAAACCCAAACAAATATTGTAGTTATTTTTCTGGGCATATGGAAGCATTGAACTTCCCTCCCTATTTGAAATGAACTGTGGCTCAATGAGCAGCTTATGGCCAGGGAAATGTTTGTGGAAGTCACATGTGTTATTTCCACTAGAAACTTTAAGAGCCAGTGCATGATATGACTTCTTCATTTCTCCAGGTCACAGAGATTTTAGGACATTGCAGATAATGGTGGCTTTTTTAGCCCAGATTCCTAAGTAGGAATGTCATGAAGCATGGCTCAGTCAACCCAAGAAAGACACATAGCCTGAGTGAAAAATAAAAATTGGCTGTTTTTAGCCACTGAGATTTAGAGGTTTTGTGTTGCTGCAGAATAACTCAGTTCAATCTGATAAATAGTTTTGTTTTGCTTCGCTTTGTTTTGCTCTGCTGTTTCTTTGACTTAGGTTTGCTTTCTTTTCCGACAACGTTTTTTCTGATCAGTGTATTTCATCTTCTATTTCTCTTTCATTCTTTTCTTCAATTCTCATTTTTTGTTAAGTAGGATCTCTGTATGGATTCTGAGCTGGTTTTTCCAGATTAGTATTCAATTCTCAACAAGGTGAGTTTTTTCTAGAGAAGGTCTTTGCTGGAGAGGGGTCAGAACCATTTTCTAGCTGTACCAAGATTATCTCTGATTCACACTGTTGTCCTTTATAATATAGGGTTCTGTGTGCAATTGAAACTTTTAGTCTTTTCTTCTCCCAAGTGAACCAAGATCAGCAACTTCAGGGCTACTCACCTTACACAGTCTCTTTTTCCCCCAAAATAATGTGAAGACAGTTTTGTAAAATATAATTATAGAAAACAATTACACAGCCTGTACATTGTGCTAGACAGTGTTCTAAGTGCTTCAAAAACATTGATTCATGTAATCATCATGAATTCTCTATGGTGTAGGTATTACATCGATTTCCACTTTATAGATAATGAAATGGAGATACTGAAGTTTATTGATTCACCAAAGTTCACACATCTGGTAAACAGCTGAGCCAGGCCTCAAACCCAGACAAGCAGCCCTTGGGGTCCTCATTGTTTGTTACCATAGCACACTCCACCTCTCTGATTTCATGGTGACAAAGAATCTCTCCTGGATCAAGCTCTAGCCAGGCTCCTCTGAGCCCTCGTCTTGAATAGGCCTCAACCTTGGCCTATAAAGACTTGAATGAACACTGACATACTTTCTTTTTCTAAATTTTAATTTAATTGAATTTCTAAAAATTTTAAGTTCCAGGGTACATGTGCAGGATGTGCAGGTTTGTTACATGGGTAAATGTGTGCCATAGTGGTGTGCTGCACTTATCAACCCATCACCTAGGTATTAAGCCTGGCATGCGTTAGCTATTTTTTCTGATGCTCTCCCCAACTCCCCACCCTCCCCCAATAGGCCCCAGTATGTGTTGTTTCCCTCCCTGTGTCCATGTGTTCTCATTGTTCAGCTCCCACTTGTAAGTGAGAACGGTGTGGCGTTTGATTATAAATATAGTGCTTGGTTCTCTGTTCCTGCATTAGTTTGCTGAGGATAATGGTTTCCAGCTTCAACCATGTCCCTGCAAAGGACACAATCTCATTCTTTTTATGTCTGCGTAGTATTCCATGGTGTATACGTACCACATTTTTTAAAAAATCCAGTCTATCATTGATGGGCATTTGGGTTGATTCCATTGCAGCACTATTCACGATAGCACTGACATACTTTCTAACTGCTCAAAGCCACATCCCTAGGATGACCCTAGCATCCCCCCACTCCTCAAGGTGCCTGCTTGAAAAAACTCAAGCCTGACAAATGAATTTACTGTTTGTTCTGGCCACACTTGAAGATAGGGCCCCTGTCTCCCAGCCTCTGTGGGAGGGCAGGAGCTTAACCTCCTTAAGTGCCCAATAGCAAACCCAGATGGGTTTCACACTGACCAACCCTCTTTCTGCTTTTTTGTAATTTTTCATTTCCCTGACTCTACTGAGCTTCTGCTAGCCCCTTTTCCTATTCCCTCATTATCCCTTTAAATTGCCAAGATATCTGTCACCTGTGTACGGTTCACACTGGACTCTTTTTCCTATTTAAATAGTTATTACTAATTAAATCTGCCCTTAACCACTTCAAATAGTGTCCAGCTTTGTGTATCTTGGACAGCGGTCAGTGGTTCTTCATTCGATGTCAATTCCTTTGCTTCTCCTTGGTGCCAAACCCAACCCAGAGAAGCCACCATCCCTTGTACTCTGTTCCTGTGTCTTGTATCTTGGTTCAGACAGTGGGCTGTGGTCTTGTCTCACCAGATATGCCAGTTCTCTGGAGCTCTATCCCCTTTGCCTGAGAGATACCCCTGTGGGCATGTTTTCCTTGGTTTCCCCATATCTGAATTTGACTTCACCTCATAAAGAAGACCATCCTTACAGATCATGGTTTGAAGTGAGGGCTGTCTCCTAATTTTGTCATAGATGAAATGTATGCTTATAGTCAATCCCCTGTGATTTTAAACATGATTTAGAAGAGGAGAGAAGGTGGGAACATTTTTAGTCTGCCATTTTAAAAATGAAATTTAGGATTTATTTTTAAGATTAAACTCACTAATGACACAGAGCCAATATCAACTCTAAATACTCAATAACCTTGGATGTAGGGAAATTAAAATGTTGGCCAGTAATGCCTAATCTTATAAGCATTCGATAGGACTAAGTCTTGTGCTTCAGTGACCTTAGGCAGATCAGGTGGTACCACACATAGTGGCCACATGTTTTCAATTTGTTCAATAGAAGATACCAATAAAGTTTGCAGTGGGGGAATCTTTCCCAGCGTGGGCTACTTGCAAGATATTACTTTTCCCACTGTAAAGGGTTTAAAATGATGCATGACAGAAAATGGAAGAAGCTAGAGAAAAAGCAGCCAACAGGTCCATGCCTCTCTCCTTGGTGTTAACAATTGAGGTGGGGGTTGGGGCAGGAAATATTGGAGCTATCACTGCCCAATAATTTAATTTTCCTAAATCTGAGGTTATTGAGTATTTGGAGTTGATATGGGCTCTATATCATTAGTGAGTTTAATCTGGGGGTTGGGGCAGGGACAGAAGTTTTTGAAACACACTGGAGGGAAGCGAGGTTTCCTTTTAATTAATTCTCTAGCATTGTTCAAGGGTATAGGGGAAAATAAAGAAGAAAAGAAGCTTTTTACCTGAAGAATGCTAGCTCCTTTAAATGATCAGGCCCAGAAAGGCACGGAATGTGACAACAGTCACGTAATCACATCACTCTCCCTTGAGCTAGATAATTACCTCCTGAAGCTACTTGCTATGAGGGGTCTAAACTAAGTGAGGAGTCATAAAATGCCATATGCTGGACATCATAACTCATACCCTAAAATCCAAAAAGGAATAGCCAATCACTAATCAATGTTATCTCTGTAAACCAAGGAGAATTGCTGTCAAACAACTTTGTGTGCACCCCCTCCTTGTTCCCTTTGCCTTTAAAACCTGGCTTGTAACAAATGCTGAGGGAGCACTCCCCAAGGCAACTTGGACGTGTGTCCAGGCAGCAGGCCTCACTTTGACTCAAGTAAGCTCTAACTTGTATTTTATGTCTCATCTTCTCCTAAAAAGGTCAACAAGGGGATGAAAGCAGTAGTCCCAATTTAGTATATGTTACTATAAAGGGTATTTTGAGCACTTAGACAAGAAACATAAGTGAGAAAAAAAATTATATTCAAGATTTTTTTTTTTTGAGACTGGGTCTCGCTCTGTCACCCAGGCTGGAGTGCAGTGGCACGATCTCAGCTCACTGCAACCTCCGCCTCCCAGGTTCAAGCAAGTCTCGTGCCTCAGCCTCCTGAGTAGCTGGGATTACAGGCATGCACCATCATGCCCAGCTAATTTTTGTATTTTTAGTAGAGACAGGGTTTTCCCATGTTGGCCATGGTGGTCTCAAACTCCTGACCTCAGGTAATCTGCCCACCTCTGCCTCCCAAAGTGCTGGGATTACAGGTGTGAGCCACTGTGCCTGGCCTATACTCAAGATTTTGATGCTCCAAGTAAGCATCAGATAAAAACAAACAAACCAACCAAAAAAAAACCACAATTATTTAGTCACACCAAGGCTAGGTGTTGCCCTGAGTGTACCAGATTTCAGGTGTGAAACTTTTCAATTTATAATCTTACCAGTTCATTACTTCATCTATTCACTCATTCACTAATTTATTCATTTGTTTTGTGCAAGGCGTGGTAGCTACCAAGATCAAAAGACCAGAGGAGAATTTTCATCCAAGTCGACTTTCTCTAACAGATTATGGATCTCCAGACGTGAAAGGAAACTTAATTCTCCAAACCAGCTTCCTTTGGAAAAAGCACAATGTGCCTATGTTTTAGAAGAACATTTTATAAAATTAATCATCAATCTGTCATTAAAAATAATATTAAGAACAGGGATGACGTCCTATGTATACTTGTCCCCAAGCAACACCTAATGCCATTATGTTCACAGTAGACACTTAGCAAATATTTGTTAAAAGAAAAAAATGTACATGTGTACATATGTCTATATGTCTGTGTATATATATGTCATAGCTAAACAATGGTTTATCATGCGGCATATTAACTACATTGATTTGAATAAGAAATTACCATGTAGGGAACATTGCTATGAAAAATCATAGTTGTATTGGCAATAAAGAAAATTGTATATCTAAAAGGCTAAGCGAGGTAATCATTCATCCATATAGGTGTCAGAGTAACAGTATCCATTTGTTGGCAAATTAGTAATTTATCATGTTCAAAGAAACCAAATATTTTCTCATTCTCCCAGAGATTGTACAATAAACTTTCTTCCATAAAGGCTTTGAACCTGTTAAAATACTCATTAGTTCAAAGTGCCAGATTCTCTGGAAACCAATTCAAATAGCCTGTCGGCAAGGTGATAAAACACATTTACTTGCTCAAATGCCCTAGATAACAATGTCAGCTAGCAATGGCACTGCTAAACCAATGGCACAAAATTCCTAATTGAGAGTCCTACTAAAAGAAAATTGATGATTATAAGGCTTTTCTTATTCAGGTTTATTAAAATTTTTCCTTTTGTAACATTGAAATATGATGTTCTAGTGAAAGTTCTTGGTTGCAAAAAATCCAGAAAAGGATGCAATAAAATATAATAAGGACAGGAAGGCAATTGGATCAATATAAGGAAGTCTCAAGGAAATGAAATAAAGTTGGGCTTCATGAAAATGCTAGTTACTTGCAGCAACATGGGTAGAACTGAAGATCATTATGTTAAGTGAAAGAAATCAAGCACAGAAAGACACTCATATGTGGGAACTTAAATAGTGGATGTCATTAAGATGGAGAGTAGATTGGTGGGTACCAGAGGCCAGGAAGGGTGGGGGCAGAGGGGAATGAAGAGAGATTGATTAGTGAGTGCAAATATACAGTTAGATAGAAGAAGAAATAAGACCTAGTGGTCAACAGATCAGTAGGCAGACTATAGGTAATAATAACCTATTGTACATTTCAAAATAACCTGAAGAGAATAATTCAAATGTTATTGGCATAAAGAAATGATAAATGTTTAAGGTGATGCATAGACCATTACTCTAATTTGATCATTTTTTGTTTGTTTAAAGAGGCAGGGTCTCTCTCCGGCACCCAGGCTGGAGTGCAGTGGCATGGCCATAGCTGACTGTAACCTGGAACTCCTGGCTCAAGTGATCCCCTCCCACCTCAGCTTTCCAAGTAGCTGGGACTACTGGTGTGTGCCACCATGCCCAGCTAATTTTTTAATTTTTTTGTAGAGACAAGATTTCACCATGTTGCTCAGGCTGGTCTCAAACTCCTGACCTCAAGCAATCCTTCCACCTCAGCCTCCCAAAGCACTGGGATTACAGGAGTGAGCCCTGATTTGACCTTTACACATTATATGAATGTATCAAAATATCATGTGTACCCAGAAAACATGCACATCTATTATATATTAATATCAATAATAAATGAATGAAACAATTAATGAATGAAAAAATTAAAAAAAAAACAAGTTCAGTGGTTTTTCTCTTTCTCTTTCCCTTTCTGCCCTCTTTTCTTTCTTCTCTCTTTTCCTCCCTTCTCTCTTCCCTCCTTCTGCTTCTCTCCCTCTGCTTCTCTGTGTGTACGTTTCTCTGGCCACATGGTTTCTCAACTTTCTTTTTCCCTGTACCGCTACTACAATTTCGTCTCTGCAACTTGACTTCTGCTGTTTTCTCTTATTTGACTCCCTTGTACTATAAGTAGTTGTGGCTTGCTTTGGTAGCTTTTAATTTCTGATTATGACTTCTGGCCTCTTAGTTCAAACTGTTGACAGGGATAATCTGATGGTCTCTGGCCATTCAAACAAATTGGCTTTTGGGAGGTCAGGTACCCACCCCTGATCCAACTGGTTAAAACTACAAATAGTATAAAATATGGGTCCTTTTGCATGGGGTGGAGTGGAGTGGGGTGTGGTTAACAGAGAAGGCAACATGAGGTGGCTACACATTTAGCTCTTTCTACTATATACAACAATGACCAGTGCGAGGCATAGTTGCTCATACCTGTAATCTCAGCACTTTGGAAGGCCAAGCCAGAAGGATTACTTGAGCCCCGGAATTCAAGACCAGCCTGGGCAACATAGTAGACTCTGCCTCTACCAAAAAAAAAAAAAAAAAAAAATTAAATTACAAGTGTGCATCTGTAATCCCAGTTACTTGGAAGGCTGTGGCAGGAGGATTGCTTGAGCTCAAGAGTTGAGGCTGCAGTGAGCTATGATCACACCACTGTACTTCAGCCTGGGCAACAGAGCAAGACCCTGTCTCAAAACAAACAAACAAACAAACAAAACAAAACAAAACAAAACAAAACAAAAAACAGAACTCTTGGAAGTAAAACTCCCTTCTAATACACAGTCCATGTGTTTCAGAAAATGGAAACTATGCATGGAATTCAGCCTTGCTCTTTTGTCCCATCATTTATTTGTTCATTTTTAGTAAATACTTTTGAGGATCAACTACTAGCCAGACACAACTGTGGGGAAAAAGATATTTTTATTTTCTTTATTCTCGGTAGGAGATCGTGTTTTGATTCTGACATATTAAGTCATCTGTAAATGTCAAAGAAAAGAAACCAAAGGAAATAATTACATTAAGAACGTCTTCTTTCAATCTATGTATGTTTATTTGCCATTAGATGTGACTACACTGTGGAAGAGAGTCTTGGCATCTCAGGAAATCAGGCCACCCACCCCCACCCCAGGCTGGCCCTTCATTGAACTAAACATAAAAATGTAGGCAAGTCAGTTCAATACACTTTCTCCGTTTTATCATCTCTAAGTTGGGAGAAACGATATCTATTGTACATGCATCACAGAGAGTTCTTGTAAAAGGGTAAAAACTTAGATGTTCTGTATGGGCAATGACACGAGATTTATTCCTAGGGCAAAATTACTTCTCAAAAAGGATCCAAGGAAAGCAGTTTTGAATTTGAGGAAAACTTAAACGATCCACCTTCATTATATTGCTTGTAAAACATAGTTAGAAATCATGGTTTTTTCGGTTTAATTTTTTTCAGGCATCTAACTTTCAGGCTTCTGATGCCTAACAGTGAATTCATAAATATTTATATTACTTGATATTTTAAAAATCATTGAAGAAGAAAAAATAAAAGGGTGTCTTAAATAGATGTAAAATTAGCTCAATTTTCCCTTTTTTCTTCAAGTGTGTAGATTCATATAAGCAGAATTGCCTTGGATAAAACCTTATAGAAACCTCCAGGATCTATGCAGCACTGCTGCATAGCTACACTGGGACCCTTTCAAAACCACAGAAGCACGTAGCTCATTGCACATGGAAACTTCATCATTTTCAAGGCCAGACAAAAGAAAATGAATTTCAATTGAGGCCAAAGACATTCAAATAAGACCTCAGGTACTTATTTATCTCTAATGGTAGAATTATTTGGAAATCAGATACTGAGAAACAGAGAATGGGTTCCAAGAATTACTCTAACACTTGGTTTTAATCAGACAAATCAGTATGTTCTATCTTTCTATCTTTCTGTTCCTATTCTGTCTAGAATGTTCTCCCCCAGCCTCTGTGCCTCTTTCCCCCTTACCATTCATTGCCTCAGGACAGGTGTCCCACCCAGTCAGAGTCAGTCTCCTCTTATGCCTTTTCATAGCATCATTTATCAATACTGCCATCATTCCTTGTTAACAGACAATCTTCCCATGGAACCGGCACCTCATGAAGATCTCAGCTGCCCAGCTGCACCCCCAAAGTCTGTTGGAATGCCCCACACATACCTGGTGCAGCGCTTGTATGGAAAACACTCAGGAGCTAATTTCAGCTTCTCAGGAGGAGAAGGAAATGCCAGCTGAGTGAGGGGGATTTCGCATGAAATATTTTTTGTGAATCTTTTCCCTTTGGGAAAAAAAATTATTAGGCCGGGCGTGGTGGCTCATGCCTGTAATCCTAGCACTTTGGGAGGCTGATGCGGGCAGATCACTTGAGGTCAGGAATTCAAGACCAGCTTGGTCAACGTGGTGAAACCCTGTCTCTTCTAAAAACACAAAAATCAGCTGGGCATGGTGATGGGCTCCTGTAATCCCAGCTACTTGGGAGGCTGGACAGGAGAATTGCTTGAACCCGAGAGGCAGAGGTTGCAGTAAGCCGAGATCACACCATTGAACTCCAGCCTGGGGGACAAGAGTGGGATTCCATCTCAAAAAAAAAAAAAAAAAAAAAAGAAAGAAAAAAAGGGAATTAAATGCATACCTACTGTATTTAAAGTATACAATGAATCAAAGACAATTGGCCAGGAAAAGTGTTTTAATTCTATAGGACTAGAGCCTGCTGATGAAGGCTGACTCTAGAGGCAAACTTCCCAAGTTTGAATCTTACTAATTCATGTACTTTGTGAACCTGGGCAAATTCCTTAACCTTCGAGTCTCAGGTCTTCATCTATAAAATGGGGAAATTATTGAATCCATCTTCCACACTTTGATCAAAGAGATCTTGCTAAAACACAGATTTGATAGTTTCTTTTCTTTTTAAATAAAAATGTAAGTTCCTCTGGAAGGCAAAAATTGCTCTTCCAGAGCTGTTCCCTGGGTTCACCCCAGCATATTCTGACCCTCCCCCAACTCTCTGCCTTACTCACAGCAAACTATTTATGGTTTCCCAAATATTCATTCATTGGCGAGAGGGCCAAGCCCATTGCCTCAAATCTCCTAGGGATAAGGTGGTATTTGATTAGAAATAAAAATCTTTTTGTGAAGCAATGAAATTGAGGCAGGTGAATATATTTCTCCCTATGTCTGTTACCTTAAACCCATGAAGTCTCTACCTGGGCATTATTTAAGTAGCTATTTCTCCTTAAAATGTAAAGTATGTTTTTAGCATGCTGCACATAGAACTTTAAGCTTTATTTGTGTTTCTCAAAGCGAGGCTCTAATTCTGCCATCATAAGCACCACCTGGTACCTCCTAAATGCAGATTCCTGCACCCCACTCTACATGAATGAATCAGTCTCTGGGGTGGAGTCTGAGAATATGCAATTTTATTAGCTATAACTTATTCATGCAGCCTGAAGGTGTTTTCAAAAAGCTGCCCTCCCCTCAATAAATTGTCTTTATTTTTAATGGTATAGGTGGGAGGCATCAGGAGATGGTCTATCTTCCTTAAAGTACCAACAAAAATGCAAGCTATTTGCTGTAGAACTCCTGGTGCTTGAGCAATGTGGTGGCCTGGTGCAGGCAGCAGTGCAGACATAGACTCAACACAATCCATATATGAAAGGAGGCTCCTCCTGCTCCTATAATTTGCTATTTAATAGCCACCAGCCTTTTCTTCCAGAGAGTGCTACTGTTTCAAAAAGAACAGAGACTCTGTGCTGCATGGCTTAGTCCCACTTTAATATCGAATAATTTGAGTTTGACTTAGGGAGACCTGTAGGTGTTCTCTGGGAGGGCTTCAGAAATCAATACAGCCAAAAAGAGAAGTAAAGTCACGTTTAAAAGGCCAACTTGATAGACAGGTGTGTAGACAACAGCCTAGTGAAGTGATTCGAGGCTGCAAAGCCATTTTCTCTTACCCAGGAATAAGTCAGAAATTGCACTGTCAAGATCTTCCTTTTACCTAGAAAATATCTGATGGTCCCATGAACTCGCCCTGCTCTGAAGAAGCCAGGCAGCAGAAGTGGTGAAAGGGTTTAGGGGTCACTGCTGACCACTCCTTCACCAAGCAGCAAGGACGTTTCTTTCTTTCTTTTCTTTTTCTTTCTTTCTTTCTTCTTCCTTCCTTTTCTTTTTTCTCTTTTCTTTCTTTCTTTCTTCTTTCTCTCTCTCTTTCCTTCCTTCCTCCCTTCTTTCTTTTTCTTCCTTCCTTTCTTTCTCTTCCTTCCTTCCTTCCCTCCCTCCCTTCCTTCTTTCCTTTCTTTCTTTTCACCAAGTTTCACTCTGTTCACCCAGGCTGGAGAGCAATGGTGTGATCTCGGCTCACTGGCTCACTGCAATCTCTGCCTGCCAGTTTCAAGCAATTCTCCTGTCTCAGCATCCCACGTAGCTGGGATTACAGGTGCCCACCACCACGCCTGCTAATTTTCATATTTTTATTAGAGACAGGGTTTCACCATGTTGGCCAGGCTGGTCTCAAACTCCTGACCTCAGGTGATCTGCCCGCCTCAGCCTCCCAAAGTGCTGGGATTACAGGTGTGAGCCAGGAACCAGACATTTCTTTAAGAACATGAATAAGAGGCATTTCTTTTCCTAGAAATGACACATGAATTCACTTAGTTTGGGTTTGTAAGACTTCAGATTGGTGAGTAGGGGTTATTAGGATAACAATGGTTTACTTAGAGTGAGTGGAGAGGACTGGGACATTGAAACACAACCCTAGTGCTGTCACCGGTCACCTTAGGCTACCTCCAGAGGCTGGGAGGACCAGTAACTCCACCAGCCGCGAAAATCACACAAAATCCCAGGAAAATTGGAAGCACAGGTGTCACATTTTAAATGTTTCAGATTGCAAGTATTGAGCAAGCACTTACTGAATACTTGCTTATCTGACTGGTGTGGCAATTGGCAATGAGACAGCTTTCCCTTCTCAGCCAGCCAGCTGCTGTCTATTTTTCACAGACTGTTTGTCAGGATCTGTTCTGTGATAGACACAACCTCACAATATCTGGTGCCAAGACTTGATTTGAAAACAAATGGAAAAGAACCAAACAGGTGGTAAACATCCAGGTGTTTCTGGAGTTACATTGATATCACGCTTGTTATCAACAGGACGAAGGAAACTTGAGATCAAACAGTAAGTTGTTGATATAAAGATCAGATGCTGGACCAGAAAACAGGAGCAGTCTGTAAAAATTAATCCAATTTGAGGAATTTAAATAGACTTCTAAAAATTACACACAGAGGCTGGGCACGGTGGCTCACGCCTGTAATCCCAGCACTTTGGGAGGCCAAGGCAGGCAGATCACAAGGTCAGGAGATCAAGACCATCCTGGCTAACATGGTGAAACCCCATCTCTACTAAAAGTACAAAAATTGCTGGGCGTGGTGGCAGGTGCCTGGAGTCCCAGCTACTCGGGAGGCTGAGGCAGGAGAATGGCGTGAACCCGGGAGGCTGAACTTGCAGTGAGCCGAGATCACGCCACTGCACTTCAGCCTGGGTGACAGAGCAAGGCTCTGTCTCAACAACAACAACAAAAAACCACACACAAAAAAATTACACACAGAAAGTCATGTGGGGATAGACTAGTGTAACTTTTATTGGTAGTTTATTGCAATTGTTTAATTTGTGTAACTCTTCCTTTAAGGTGAAATGCACTAAAGGATAAACAGATGGCTGTCATGTCAATAAACTGGCATACTACTGCTTACTGTTAGCCACATAAGCAGAATGCCTGCTTGTTTAATTAATCCTATTGTTTTTATGCCTTATATAATACATGACTGATAACTGAGAGTTGATTCTGAAAACATCCAATTCACACACTGCTGCTGGCCTGTTACGGCATTGATGTTTATTGTAAACCCATATTTTGTTACAGGTGAATGTAATTATGCTTTATTATGCTGATATCAAGTATCAAGACCCACATCATCAGAAACAGCTTTATTCAGAATACAATATTAGGAATACACACACATAAACTCAAATTGCAAACTGAAGAACAGCAATTTCAGCATGAGTCAAAGCATTTATATGAACAGCTAAGTAAAACAAAATCGCAAAAGCAAAATAAGCTCTGATCCACTCTGGCTTCTCTTTCATCAGGCCAGTTACCTGATCTCTGGTCCAATCTTTCCTATGTTGCCCAGCGAAAGGAGCAGAGAGCTGACCTTGGTAACAGGAGAAAGAAAGAAGCACCCTGGGAGAGCAAGGTGAATTTGTGATCTAAGCAGAGAATGGAGGTGTCCAAAATAAAAAAGGCAGAGACTTCTAATCATAGTAACAAGATGAATCATGGAACTTGGAAATAATGACATATAGCATGGCAAAAATATATAGACTAGAGTAAGAAGATATTTTCTTATAAAATTAATTTTCCAAACATGCGAATATGAGTTACTCTTTAAAGGAAGGTTAGGAAAGATTAAATGAGACTCAGACCAGACTTATAAAGTAGTACCCTCTCTTAAGGACAAAGACTAGTGAATAATGATGTTTTATGATCAGTTCTAGCCTCTGATTATAGCATAGGCAAAATAAGTAATAATTAAGTAATGCATAAAAGTAGAATGAAGGCCAGGTGCGGTGGCTCACACCTGTAATCCCAGCACTTTGAGAGGCCGAGGTGGGTGGATCACCTGAGGTCAAGAGTTTGAGACCAGCCTGGCCAACATGGTGAAACCTCATCTCTCTACTAAAAATACAAAAATTAGCCAGTGTGGTGGTGCACGTCTGTAATCCCAGCTACTGGGAAGGCTGAGGCAGGAGAATCACTTGAATCTGGGAGACAGAAGTTGCAAGTGAGCCGAGATCGTGCCACGGCATTCCAGCCTGGGCGACAAAGTGAGACTCCATCTAAACAAATAAAAAAGAAAAGAAAGAAAGAAAATATCTTCGAAAGCATAGTAGAAAGAAACTAGAAGGTGATTTAAGAGAAATGTCAATTTACTTCATATAAATGTAGATTATGTCTAGACAGATTAACACAGGGAAGTTATTCAAACAAAGGAAAAAATGCCAATGGCAAATCTGTGATAGATAAACTAGGGTAAAACTGAAAGAAAACATCTAGACATGGTTTAAATTAAAGAAATAAAGAACAAAAGTGATACTGACCATGGCTTGACAGTTTTAAATGAAAAATAAATCAAGAAAATCATTCTTGCCTGCTTCCTTTTTTTGTTGAACAGTTATGCTCTTTTAAGAAATTAGTTCATTAAGATCATAACATTGCAGAATTTAGTCATATACTTAAAATGAAACTTAATAAGTCAAAATGTTGGCTTTGGCAATAGATTAAAGTATAGGAAACAACCTAACAGGTGTTTTGAACGATTTTTTATTGATACCCATGTATATTTTTCCTCAGGAACGTCAGTTAGGGCTGCTGTACCAAGAAGCATGTCTTTAGTTTGTAGATGTAGGGTGAAATATGCAAGCAGTTGACAAGTGCTGGAAGTCTGATATCTTTCCAATTAGTGGATCCACTGCCATATGGAAAGTGTGTTCCATTCCCTTGGACTCACACATCTCTGGATGCCACTGATGTTTCAAGGAGGGCAGAATGTGGACCCAGGCATTCCCAGTGAACACCACCATGCCTGTCTTCCTGCTATTCACTGCAGTTGCTTTTTATCCTGAATCTCTTTCTCCTTCTACCATTTCTCTATATTATATTTACTCACATTCAAGGACTGCCTCTTCCCCCGGTAGGGAATCCATCAAGAACCAAAAGGAACAGATCAAGACCCAGGCAAAGCCATGGGGCACTATGGAACATTTCTTCGTTGACCACATAATGTAGCTGCAACATGAACTTTATCCAGCAGCGTAATCTTCTCTTTGAGTGTTTTGGTTTAATAATTAAGTAAAATAAGAAGTCCTCTTACCTCAAAATGCAATGTCCCTAAGTGATTCAGAACATTAAATTGAGGCCTGTGCTATACATATTTGAAAAAAAAAAAAAAAAAAACTTGAATCTGAAAAGCAACACAGGTGCATTTCAAAAGAATTTGATTTAAAAAAAAAAGTAGAGGTGTTATCTAGTTGAAAGGAAAGAGAGATGACCCTGTAGGATAACTTTGTGAATGAATCGAACAAAAGTTTGCTCACTAAGGTAAATGGTTGAGCCAGCTGCTTGAGCTGAAAAGGCAAACTGAATTGTTTTTTAAAATCAAACAACCCTATTACTGTGAAATTGGGAAGTTGAAAGTCCTGTGTTTGATATTGTCTGAAATACCAAAGTCTGGAGGCACCTGATCCCTGTGGTATTTTCTTGGATTTCCTCGAACGCCTGTCTCTTACTTAGTGCCTGTCATGTAGTACCTATCATTGAAATGTCAGAGTGTCTCCCACAATTTCATGCCACACTGGAAAAGGTCCTAAATACTATGCAGGCTTTGACATTCAAGAAGTTTTTTAAAGAAATTGTGTTACCAAAATAGATGACCAGGGTCAAAGAGCTCAACATTTTTTTAAAGTTGACTTTCTAGTTTTGCATTTAAATACAACACTGAAATTTTTCGATATCAAGAACAACAAACAACGTGTCTCAGCAGCTAGGAAACATATCCACTGCCTGGTTGCATATATTGTCCTTTGCGAGGCTGGTGATGTGAGTTTGCTGTAGGAATTTCTCAAGACTGGAACTTTCTCATGGAGCCAGAACTTAGCACTTACACAATGACTACTACATGTGGCAACCCATGGGTACTCTGAGGTTCTTTATTAGTTTTGCTGTGAACACAAAATGGACCCACATAGATGATTCACATATCAAAGGAACAAAAAGGCCCATGCACACATGATAAAAATTACTATGCTAGTAAAATCACATAAAAGTAAATGATCGTTTTCCTCTCATCAAATTGACAGATATTTTTTAAATGATAACTTGAAGTACTGGTGAGCATGCAATAAAACAGGTCCCTCCCAAGTAGCTGCTGGAGGGCAGGAAAATCATCCTTTGACCTGGCAACTCCATTGATATGAAATTACTCTAAGGATATCATCACAGATGTGTACAATAATTTATGCACAATGATATACACACCATGGTTTTCTTTATAAACACAAAAATAGAAATAACCTAAGTATTTAATAATGGAAGGCTAATTAAATGAATTATAATAAATTCTTATCATGGAATATTATGCCACTGTTAGTGCTCAGAAGACAGTATCCCAAAATATGACACTTTGGCATGCTGCATACTTTAACCTGAAGGACAATGGAACAGACTCAGAAGCAAAGTCTCTTTCTGATCTTTTCCCTTCTTTCTCCTGCTTCTTTTCCTCCTCCAAGGTAGGCCATAGAAACTGGAATCCTTCTTCCTCAAGGCAAGTCATGGAAACCATAACCCCTTTTCCCCAAAGTGAGCCATAAAACCTAGAAATATTTCTCTAACTTTCCCCTGCCTTACTATGTATGAGCTGGCCATAAAGAAGTTCTCTGACCTACCTTGTCTGAAAGTAGATCATAAGACCCTCATTACAGAGGGGTCCTGCTCTATACCCCAGAAGAAGGAACACTACACAGAGAGCCCAAGAAGAATGTAAACAGACAGGACTTCTTGGGTTTTCCTACTGAGTCTATTACTATTAGATCATTCTCTTTGCATCCAATCATAATTTCTACACAGCTGTTCACTCTTCATTGAATCTAAGCATACACATGGACAGTTTTCTTTTGGGTCTTTGGGTCTTCGTTTCTGAAGTCTCCCATGCCATGTAAAACTTTGATTAAATAAGCTTGTTATGCTTTTCTCCTGTTAACCTGTCTTTTGTTACAGAAGTGTCAGCCATGACCCTTATGATGTGGTGAGAAAAGGTATCATATCTGTTTGGACCCTACGCCATTAATAAAGACATCAAAAAGTGCCTTTATTAATACTTACAGCTGTTGGAAAATATAATCTGTTTATTTTTAGATAAAAAGTCAGGTCAGAAAATAGTATATCCAGCTGTCTATCGTGATCCTCATTTTGTTTTAAAAACACACGAGACCGGGCATGGTGGTTCATGCCCGTAATCCCAGAACTTTGGAAGGCCAAGGCAAGAGGATCACCTGAGGTCAGGAGTTCCAGACCAGCCTGGCCAACATGGTGAAACCCTGTCTCTACTAAAAATACAAAAATTAGCTGGACACGGTGGCATGAAACTGTAATCCCAGCTACTTGGGAGGCTGAGGCAGGAGAATCGCTTGAACCCAGGAGGCAGAGGTTGCAGTGAGCCAAGGTCGTGCCACTGCACTCCAGCCTGGGTGACAGAGCAAGACTCCGTCTCAAAAAAAAACAAAAAACAAAAAACAAAACAAAAAAAACAAACAAACCAAAAACACCCCATGAATTTGGGTGCAGTGCCTCTTGCCTGTAATCCCAATACTTTGGGAGGCCTAGACAGGAGGATTGCTTGAGCCCAGGAGTTTGAGAACAGCCTGGACAACATAGTGAGACCGTGTCTCTACAAATAATCAAAACAGTAGCCTGATGTGGTGGGTGCACACCTCTAGTCCCAGCTACTTGGGAGGCTGAGGTGGGAGGATCACTTGAGCGCAGGAGGTTAAGGTTGGGGCTGCAGTGAGCCATGATTGGGCCACTACAGGCCAGCCTGGGTGACAGAGTGAGATCTTGTCTCAAACAAAACAAAACAAACCAAAACAAAAACCACACATGTGCACACATGCATGTACAAATGAATATAGAAAAACACGGTAAACTGGGACAAAATGTACCACAATATTAATGCTAGTCATCTCTAATTGGTGGGGTTCCAAGTAATTTTGGTACTTCTTATTACTTACAAATACTTTTTAAAGTTTCTATAGTAACCAGGTATTATTTTATAATCAGAAACAAATATTATTTAAAATAGTTTTCTAACCAGAAGGAAAGTATGTACCATTTTTAAAGAGCTGAAGTAAGAAGCTATCCCTTCACAGTGTCTACATATGTGGAGGATACATAGAGGATAACAGAGAAATGTTGAAGTTGCCTAATCTGGTTTGCATCTGTGTCCCTGCCCAAATCCCATGTCGATTGTAATCCCTAATGTTGGAGGTGGGGCCTGGTGGGCGGTGACCGGATCATGGCGGTGGATTTCTCATGAATGGTTTACCACCATCCCCTTGGTGCTGTTCTTGTGTTAGTGAGTGACTTCTTGGGAGATCTGGTTGTTTAAAAGTGTGTACCGTCTTCCCCCAACCCCTTGCTCCTGCTTCTGCCATGCAAGATATACCTGCTCCCAATTTGCCTTCAGCCATGACTGTAAGTT
This sequence comes from Homo sapiens, assembly GCF_000001405.40. NCBI lineage: Eukaryota > Metazoa > Chordata > Mammalia > Primates > Hominidae > Homo > Homo sapiens. Next base: position 25,779,992 of record NC_000010.11, on the reverse strand, counting down.
CCCTGAGGCCTTCCCAGGAATGCTTCCTGTATAACCTGCAGAACTGTGAGCCAATTAAACCGCTTTTCTTTATAAATCATCCAGTCTTGGGTATTTCTTTATGGCAATGTGAGAGCAGACTAATACAGTGCCCTTCTTCTCCAGGGATCTCACAAAAACTACTGTTATCTACTTAAATGGGGGCAGAGCATTAAGCAATAAAAGCCAATACTTTGCTACTTACATTGAATTTGTTGAGAACTGGGCGTTTTAGTCCTTGCAACTTTATCAAATGTCAGTACCATTACCATTTACAGATGTAAATAAGTAAGTTATGAATGAAATGTTCATCTCAGAATGAGAATGCTCCGTCTTATCTCAAAAACAGAAACCTACAGCACCAGGAAACTAAACAAGGTCCGCTCAGTTGTTGTGACCTATTAATGTGCAGAGCCAGAAGACGGGCTTTAAAATAATCCATTAGAAGTAAGTAATGAAAAACATGTTCATTTGACTTAAAAATATCTCTTCTAATATATCTGATCTTGAATTCATGAGACCAATAGAAGGCACCACAGAAGGTTTTTTTTATTACATTAGATAAGTCAGTTAGAGACAGAAAGAGAAAAATAAACCCCGAACACATTATCAACTAATAAAAAATCAGGCTGGGCACAGTGGCGCATGCCTGTAATTCCAATGCTTTGGGAAGCTGAGGTGGTGGGAGGATAACTTGAGGCCAGGAGTTTGAGACCAGCCTGAGCAAAATAATGAGAACTCATCTCTACAAAAAAATTTTTTAAATTAGCTGGGCATGGTGGTATGCTCCTGTAGTCCCAGCTACTCAGGAGGCTGAGGTGGGAGGCTTTCATGAGACCAGGAGCTCAAGGCTACAGTGCACTATGATTGAATCACTGTGCTTCAGCCTGGGCAACAGAACAAAAATCTGTCTCACACACACAAAAAAAATCAGTTTGTCCTGCCTTCCTGGTTTCATTAAATCCAGGTATTTCTGAGGCTGATGATGATGTTGAATAGGATCGCATCATAAAACTAGAAAGACTTCACAAACTGTCTCATCAAATCATCATCTTTTATGGATGAAGAAGACAACCCCCCACAGAGGTGAAAAGCCTTGCACAAGATCACACAACGTTTAATAGCAGTCAAGATGAGGATTCCAGTCTGACTTCCAGGCCACTCTCATTTCACTACAACACACTTTTTCAGTGTGAAATGTCTCATTTGATCCGTTTCATTTATGTATCTACTCAGAGAATGTCCCCATCGACCATAGCAAATGAGGCTGGGTGACAGCTATAGTAAGTAACACATTCTCAAAAGATGCCATCTATCTGTGCGATGTATTTTTATCTGTCTTGATAGATCATTTGCACTTCAAGCATTATAAAACACCTTTTAGAGTTAATTCTAAAGGACGTAAAGATCTTCATTTTCAAGCATGACCTGTGCTACCAAAGTCCAGATATATTTCAAATAACATTTTACAGAAGGACAGTGACTTTTTCCAGCTAAAACCCACAAGCCTTTAACAGACATCAAACGTTGGTTAAATAGGATGTATATAGCCTAACATGGAAGATCACAAATATACACAAAAGCTAAGACACGTCCAGGTAATAAATCAATCATATCTCAAAAAATTTTAAGATGGGAGGGGAGTGGTTTTTGTTTGTTTTTTTGAGACAAGGTCTCACTTTGTAACCCAGGCTGGAGTGCAGTGGTGCAATGTAGACTTACTGTAGCCTCTACCTCCTGGGCTCGAGCAATCCTCCCACCTCAGTCCCCCAAGTAGCTGGGACTACAGGCATATGCCACCAAGCCCAACTAATTCTTATATATATATATATATTTTTTTTTTAATACAGATGGAATTTCACTATATTTCCCAGGCTGGTCTCGAACCCCTGGGCTCAAGCAATCTTCCTGCCTCAGCCTCCCAAATTTCTGAGATTACAGGCATGAGCCACTGAGCCCAGCCTGTGTTAGCACTTTGTATACATCACAACATTTAATCTTCACAATAGCCCGAGGAAGTAGATATAATTATTTCTCTCATTTTACCAATAAGAAAACAGAGACACAGAGAGGTTAAATAAGTTGACCAAGGCAGAACCAGGACTTTCACTGAGACAGTCTGGCTTTGTAGTCCCTATTCTGAACAAGGAGGAGAAATATGACTTGCGAAGTGAGAAAAAGTAGCTGAGAATTTTTAGAGTAAAGCCCAGGGTATGGCTGTTTGTAGGACCTCCCATTTTAACTATAAAGCTGTAGGACATATAAATCACAGTTAAATGCACTTATAACAATCAGATACCTAAATGTTGATGTTGTTGGCTATTTCCTAAACAGTGTGAGGCCATTTGCCTTGATGACACAGTACAGTCAATTTACTATGAGGAGATACATTTCATGAGAAAATATGTTTAATATGGGGGCTTATTGTGGGAACCACATGGAAAAAGCATATGAGAGAACACACAGATAAATCGTCACAGTTTTTTTTCCCCTAGAGCCTCATAATCCAATGGAGGAGATGGGCGCATATGCTGATGACAGTAATGAGGACAATAATAATGATTGTAAGTAATCAATAGTAGGCAGTGCTCTGGCTGCTGTCTTGGGTGTCTTATGTCATTTTTTCTAATCCTCTACATACTAAATATGAAGAGAGGGTGGTAGAGTCTCCAACCAAGATCCTTGCTAAGTTCTTTGGAACTATGCTGGCTGAGTCAATGAAATTTAAGAGTAGTAAATCAAACATTATCATTTGCAATGACTAAGCCCTAATAAATACAGCATGTTAGCTTTTTCCTGAAGGACATAAAGCATAGCTGTATTTTACTCATCCCCTCTCAGCCATATTTCCTGAGAAGATCATACACAATGGTGAGTGTTTGGGCAACAACTGTGTAAATGAGGTTGTGACGATGAGCTCCTGGAGAGGACTTGTAACTCCCTGCGTTCCTTTGCAGCTTTCCCCAGCCCCAGACTGTTAGCATCGAGAAGATACGGAGTACAATTTCCTGACCAATTACAAGATCACAATGTTGAGAAACCGAACTGAGTTCTGCTTATCTGGTGTAATAAGGCCAAACATCCACATTGAGATGGTGCAGTTTGAAAAGGAGACATTTCTTTGCAAAGCACTAAGCAAGGAGAATCAAGAATAGGGCAGCTTACACTTCAGACCCAATCTCCTCAATGGCTTGCAAACAAGCATGTTTAAAGGAAGTGGAAATTTTCAGGAAAGCAGGAAATCAGTGAGAGGCAAAAGTGTAAATCAATACATTAAGGTTACACATTGGTTTGGCCTGAAAGAGTAGGATATCTTGAAGCAGGGGGCTTACAGGTCATAGGTGGTTTTCAATTTGCAATTGGTTAAGGAAAGGAAGCTTTGTCTAAAAGATTGGAGGCATCAGAAAAGAATGTGAGCTCTGGCTTGTGGACATGACTTCCTCCAGGCCCCTCAGGAAGAAATTTAGAACAAAGAAGGACAGTTGGAGTTCAGTCCTTAGTTCCCCCTTATCTGAGGTCTATGTGCTGGCAGATCTATTTGCTGGGGGTCCAGGTTTCTGAAGAACAACTCAGGGACATATATTAATATGTTATCTTTAGTTCCTATAGGGAATCAGACATCCAGTAACTCTAACTTCCTTAACTGTTGTTTTAGTATACTATTACTGATATAGGAGATAGAAATTATTTAGTCAGATAGGGCAAAAGAGTCCTCGGCAGAACTTCCCTTCTAACAAAGAGCAGCTCCCAAAAACATTTCTTTTCTAACAAAGAGGAGCCTGAAAGATTGAGCTGCAAACATTGATAAAAAAGCTGGAAGCTTGCATGGGGGAATGCCAGCAGCTGTGCCAACAGAAAAGGGGTACCTAGGGGCCAGGCATGTCTACCCTGGGAGCTCCATCTTCCCTTTTTTGTTAGCATGTGTACAGTAAGAAAGAAATGGGCAACATGGCGCAGCTCAGGCTGAAAACCTGCCTGCATAATAAAAGCCTGGGGTGGGGGCTGCCAGAGATTCATGCCCTATGCAAATGGCACACCTGGTCCTAACCAGTTTTTCATGCCCTATGTAGATCAGACACCACCTCCTGCCAGCTCATCTATAAAATCCTCTGCCTTTCACTGCAGATTGGCAATCCATTTTTCTGGGACCCCCCAGTCTCCAGCAGAGAGCTATTCGCTTTCTTTCACCCATTAAACTTCTGTTCTTAACCTCACTCTTTGTGTGTCTGTGTCCTTGATCTCTGTAGCCATGAGACAACAAACCTTGGGTGTCACCCCAGACAATGAGGCAGCTTCATTACCTTCTCGCTTAGGAAGTTGCTCATCTACTTCTCAGGCCTAGCTAGGTGTCCAGAATTTCCCTTGAAAGAATTCAAGATTTCCCTTTATTTCCATGATTGGGATGGAGGGCCCACAGGCCCCTAAGAGGGGCCCCCGCTTCGTCTCAACAAAGGAAACATGAATTTCTAGAAACTTCAACTTGAAAAGAATAGCCATTCATTCAACAGAAATGTTGAGCATCTACCAAGTGCCAGTGCTGGAGATTTTACAGTGATAACTAACATGGTCCCTGCCAGCCCTTTGCTGCCACAGGATGCCTACTTGGCTTGCAAGAATCTATTGTTATTTGCAGGAATTTTACCAGCCTGTAGCCGGCATGTTGGTACTTTCAGGAGACAGCAAACTGAAGAGACAGCAAACCTGGACAGCTGGTTGTTAAACATTTACTAGCACATTACTGCTTCTTGCCCCCCTAGGACTTACACTCTAGTGGGGAAGGAACTTAAAACATAATTACAAGTGTGATAAGTAGTAGCAAGTGGACGACCTGGGTGCTATGGGAGGGCTTTGCCTGAGGGTACTCAGAAGTAAAAATTGACTTACATTCCTTCTTGTTTTTTGTTTGGTTTTTAGACAGTCTCACTCTGTCTCCCAGGCTGGAGTGCAGGGGTGCAATCTGGGCTCCCTGCAAGCTCCGCCTCCTGGGTTCATGCCATTCTCCTGCCTCTGCCTCCCGAGTAGCTGAGACTACAGTAGCTGAGACTACAGGTGCCCGCTGTCAGGCCTCTGAGCCCAAGCCAAGCCATCGCATCCCCTGTGACCTGCACATATACGCCAAGATGGCCTGAAGTAACTAAAGAATCACAAAATAAGTGAATATGCCCTACCCCACCTTAACTGATGACATTCCACCACAAAAGAAGTGTAAATGGCCGGTCCTTGCCTTAACTGATGATATTACCTTGTGAAAGTCCTTTTCCTGGCTCATCCTGGCTCAAAAAGCACCCCCACTGAGCACCTTGCGACCCCCACTCCTGCCCACTGAGCACCTTGCGACCCCCACTCCTACCCACCAGAGAACAAACCCCCTTTGACTGTAATTTTCGTTTACCTACCCAAATCCTATGAAACAGCCCCACCCTTATCTCCCTTCGCTGACTCTCTTTTCGGACTCAGCCCGCCTGCACCCAGGTGAAATAAACAGCCATGTTGCTCACACAAAGCCTGTTTGGTGGTCTCTTCACATGGACTCGAGTGAAATTTGGTGCCATGACTTGGATCGGGGGACCTCCCTTGGGAGATCAATCCCCTGTCCTCCTGCTCTTTGCTCCATGAGAAAGATCCACCTACGACCTCAGGTCCTCAGACCGACCAGCCCAAGAAACATCTCACCAATTTCAAATCTGGTAAGCGGCCTCTTTTTACTCTCTTCTCCAACCTCCCTCACTATCCCTCAACCTCTTTCTCCTTTCAATCTTGGCGCCACACTTCAATCTCTCCCTTCTCTTAATTTCAATTCCTTTCATTTTCTGGCAGAGACAAAAGAGACATGTTTTATCCATGAACTCAAAACTCCAGCGCAGGTCACAGACTGGGAATGCAGCCTTCCCTTGGTGTTTAATCATTGCAGGGACGCCTCTCTGATTATACACTCACCTTTCAAGGGTGTCAGACCATGCAGGGACACCTGCCTTGGTCCTTCACCCTTAGCGGCAAGTCCCGCTTTCCTGGGGCAGGGGCAAGTACCCCTCAACCCCTTCTCCTTCACCCTTAGCGGCAAGTCCCGCTTTCCTAGGGGGCAAGAACCCCCCAATTGCTTATTTCCACACCCCAACCTCTTATCTCTGTGCCCCAATCCCTTATTTCTGCACCCTGACCTCTTATCTCTGTGCCCCAATCCCTTATTTCCGTGTCCCAACCCCCTCTCTGCTTTTCTGGAGGGCAAGAACCCCACTCCCCTCCTCCATGTCTCTACGCTCTCTTTTCTCAGGGTTTGTCTCCTTCACTATGGGCAACCTTCCACCCTCCATTCCTCCTTCTTCTCCTTTAGCCTGTGTCCTTAAGAACTTAAAACCTCTTCAACTCACACCTGACCTAAAACCTAAATGCCTTATTTTCTTCTGCAACACCACTTGGCCCCAGTACAAACTCGACAATGGCTCTAAATGGCCAGAAAACGGCACTTTCGATTTCTCCATCCTACAAGACCTAAATAATTTTTGTCGAAAAATGGGCAAATGGTCTGAGGTGCCTTACGTCCAGGCATTTTTCACACTTTGTTCCCTCCCTAGCCTCTGTTCCCAATGCGATTCCTCCCAAATCCTCCTTCTTTCCCTCCCGCCTGTCCCCTCAGTCCCAACCCCAAGCGTCGCTGAGTCTTTCCAGTCTTCCTTTTCTACAGACCCATCTGACCTCTCCCCTCCTCCCCAGGCTGCTCGTCGCCAGGCCAAGCTAAGTCCCAATTCTTCCTCAGCCTCCGCTCCTCCACCTTATAATCCTTCTACCACCCCCCCTCCTCACACCCGGTCCGGCTTACAGTTTAGTTCCGCGACTAGCTCCTCCCCACCTGCCCAACAATTTCCTCTTAGAGAGGTGGCTGGAGCTGAAGGCATAGTCAGGGTACATGTACCTTTTTCTCTATCAGACCTCTCTCAGATCAGTCAACGTTAAGGCTCTTTCTCATCAGACCGCACTAAATATATACAGGAATTCCAATATCTAACTCTGTCCTACAACTTAACCTGGAGTGACTTAAGTGTCATCCTGACTTCTACCCTCTCCCCAGATGAACGGGAAAGAGTTTTTTCTCTAGCCCAATCTCATGCTGATAACTGCCGGCTTCATGAGCCAGACCTCCAGGAAGGCATTAGAGCAGTTCCCCAAAAGGATCCCCAATGGAACTACCAGGCAAATTCCCCAGGTATAGCTAGGCAAGATTACATGGTTTCCTGCCTAGTTGAAGGGCTTAAAAAAGCAGCTTACAAAGCTGTTAATTACAACAAACTTAAAGAAACCACCCAAGGTAAAGATGAAAATCCAGCCCAGTTCATGGCCTGCTTAGCAGCAACCTTTAGACGCTATACCGCCCTAGACCCAGAGGGGCCAGAAGGCCACCTTATTCTTAATATGCATTTTATCACCCAATCCACTCAGGTTCGACTCCTGGCTGGCTCGTTTGACAGCAACCCTGAGACACTTTACAGTCCTAGCCCCTAAAAGGTCAAAAGGCCGTCTTATTCTCAATATACATTTTATTACCCAGTCTGCTCCCGACATTAAATAAAACTCCAAAAACTGGAATCTGGCCCTCAAACCCCACAACAGGACTTAATTAACCTCACCTTCAAGGTGTGCAATAACAGAAAAAAGTTGCAATTCCTTACCTCCACTGTGAGACAAACCCCAGCCACATCTCCAGCACACAAGAACTTCCAAACGCCTGAACTGTAGCAGTCAGGCATTCCTCCAGAACCTCCTCCCCCAGGAACTTGCTACACATGCCGGAAATCTGGCCACTGGGCCAAGGAACGCCCGCAGCCCGGGATTCCTCCTAAGCCGCGTCCCATCTGTGTGGGACCCCACTGAAAATCGGACTGTTCAACTCACCTGGCAGCCACTCCCAGAGCTCCTGGAACTCTGGCCCTAGGCTCTCTGACTCCTTCTTGGCTTACCGGCTGAAGACTGACACTGCCCGATCACCTCGGAAGCCCCCTAGACCATCACGGATGGCAAGCTTCGGGTAACTCTCACAGAGGAAGGTAAGCCTGTCCCCTTCTTAATCAATACGGAGGCTACTCACTCCACATTACCTTCTTTTCCAGGGCCTGTTTCCCTTGCCTCCATAACTGTTGTGGGTATTGACGGCCAGGCTTCTAAACCTCTTAAAACTCCCCAACTCTGGTGCCAACTTAGACAATACTCTTTTAAGCACTCCTTTTTAGTTATCCCCACCTGCCCAGTTCCCTTATTAGGCTGAGACACTTTAACTAAATTATCTGCTTCCCTGACTATTCCTGGACTACAGCTATATCTCATTGCCGCTCTTCTTCCCAATCCAAAGCCTCCTTTGCATCATCCTCTTGTATCCCCCCACCTTAACCCACAAGTATAAGACACCTCTACTCCCTCCTTGGCGGCCAATCATGCACCCCTTACCATCTCATTAAAACCTAATCACTCTTACCCCACTCAACGCCAATATCCCATCCCACAGCACACTTTAAAAAGATTAAAGCCTGTTATCACTCGCCTGCTACAGCATGGCCTTTTAAAGCCTATAAACTCTCCTTACAATTCCCCCATTTCACCTGTCCTAAAACCAGACAAGCCTTACAAGTTAGTTCAGGATCTGCGCCTTATCAACCAAATTGTTTTGCCTATCCACCCTGTGGTGCCAAACCCATATACTCTCCTATCCTTAATACCTGCCTCTACAACCCATTATTCTGTTCTAGATCTCAAACATGCTTTCTTTACTATTCCTTTGCACCCTTAATCCCAGCCTTTCTTCGCTTTCACTTGGACTGACCCTGACACCCATCAAGCTCAGCAAATTACCTAGGCTGTACTGCCGCAAAGCTTCACAGACAGCCCCCATTACTTGAATCAAGCCCAAATTTCTTCCTCAACTGTTACCTATCTCAGCATAATTCTCATAAAAACACATGTGCTCTCCCTGCCAATCGTGTCCGACTGATCTCTCAAACCCAAGCACCTTCTACAAAACAACAACTCCTTTCCTTCCTAGGCATGGTTAGCGTGGTCAGAATTCTTACACAAGAGCCAGGACCACACCCTGTAGCCTTTCTGTCCAAACAACTTGACCTTACTGTTTTAGCCTAGCCCTCATGTCTGCATGCAGCGGCTGCCGCTGCTTCAATACTTTTAGAGGCCCTAAAAATCACAAACTATGCTCAACTCACTCTCTACAGTTCTCATAACTTCCAAAATCTATTTTCTTCCTCATACCTGACGCATATACTTTCTGCTTCCCGGCTCCTTCAGCTGTACTCACTCTTTGTTGAGTCTCCCACAATTACCATTGTTCCTGGCCCAGACTTCAATCCAGCCTCCCACATTATTCCTGATACCACAACTGACCCCCACGACTGTATCTCTCTGATCCACCTGATATTCACCCCATTTCCCCATATTTCCTTCTTTCCTGTTCCTCACCCTGATCACGCTTGATTTATTGATGGCAGTTCCACCAGGCCTAATCGCCACATACCAGCAAAGGCAGGCTGTGCTATAGTACAAGCCACTAGCCCGCCTCTCAGAACCTCTCATTTCCTTTCCATCGTGGAAATCTATCCTCAAGGAAATAACTTAGTGTTCCATCTGCTATTCTACTACTCCTCAGGGATTATTCAGGCCCCCTCCCTTCCCTACACATCAAGCTCGAGGATTTGCCCCACCCAGGACTGGCAAATTAGCTTTACTCAACATGCCCTGAAGTCAGATAACTAAAATACCTCTTAGTCTAGGTAGATACTTTCACTGGATAGGTAGAGGCCTTTCCTACAGGGTCTGAGAAGGCCACCGCAGTCATTTCTTCCGTTCTGTCAGACATAATTCCTCAGTTTAGTCTTCCCACCTCAATACAGTCTGATAACAGATGAGCCTTTATTAGTCAAATCAGCCAAGCAGTTTTTCAGGCTCTTAGTATTCAGTGAAACCTTTATATCCCTTACAGTCCTCCATCTTCAAGAAAGGTAGAATGGACTGAAGGTCTTTTAAAAACACACCTCACCAAGCTCAGCCACCAAAAAGGACTGGACAATACTTTTATCACTTTCCCTTCTCAGAATTCAGGCCTGTCCTCGGAATGCTACAAGGTACAGCCCATTTAAGCTCCTGTATAGTTGGTCCTTTTTATTAGGCCCCAGTCTCATTCCAGACACCGGACCAACTTAGACTGTGCCCACAAAAAAACTTGTCATCCCTACTATTTTCTGTCTAGTCCTACTCCTCTGTTCTCAACTACTCATACATGCCCTGTTCTTGTTTACACTGCCGGTTTACACTGTTTCTCCAAGCCGTCACAGCTGATATCTCCTCGTGCTATCCCCAAACCGCCACTCTTAACCCTTGAAGTAAATAAATAATCTTTGCTGGCAGGACTATGCTGAATCTCCTTAGGCACTCTCTAATCAGATGTCCTAGGTCCTCCCAATTCTTAGACCTTTTATACCTGTTTTTCTCCTTCTTATTCCATTTAGTTTTTCAGTTCATACACAACCATATCCAGGCCATCACCAATCATTCTATACAACAAATGTTTCTTCTAACAACCCCACAATATCATCCCTTACCACAAGATCTCCTTTCAGCTTAATTTCTCCCACTCTAGGTTCCCATGCCGCCCCTAATCCCGCTTGAAGCAGCTTATGCCCTGCGCCACCTTAACTGATGACGTTCCACCACAAAAGAAGTGTAAATGGCCGGTCCTTGCCTTAACTGATGACATTACCTTGTGAAAGTCCTTTTCCTGGCTCATCCTGGCTCAGAAAGCACCCCCACTGAGCACCTTGTGACCCCCACTCCTACCCACCAGAGAACAAACCCCCTTTGACTGTAATTTTCCTTTACCTACCCAAATCCTATAAAACGGCCCCACCCTTATCTCCCTTCGCTGACTCTCTTTTCGGACTCAGCCCGCCTGCACCCAGGTGAAATAAACAGCCATGTTGCTCACACAAAGCCTGTTTGGTGGTCTCTTCACATGGACTCGAGTGAAACCCGCCACCACGCCTGGCTCATTTTTGTGTGTGTGTGTGTATTTTTTTAGTAGGGACGGGGTTTCACCATGTTAGCCAGGATGGTCTCAATCTCCTGACCTCGAGATCCACCCGCCTCGGCCTCCGAAAGTGCTGGGATTACAGGCATGAGCCACCGCACCCGGCCGATTTACATAGCTTCTTAAAGTCAACTACATTCCTCCTTAAAATGTTTTCAGCACCGATTTATTTTTATTTATTTTTATTTTTGAGATGGAGTTTCACTTGATTGACCAGGTGATCTCAGCTCACTGCAAGCTCTGGCCTCCCAGGGTCAAGTGATTCTTGTGCCTCAGCCTCCTGAGTAGCTGGAACTACAGGCATAAACCACCACACCCCATTAATTTTTTGTAGAGATGGGGCTTCACCATGTTAGTCAGGCTGGTCTTGAACTCCTGACCTCAAGTGATCCGCCTGCCTCGGCTCCCAAGTGTTGGGATTACAGGTGTGAGCCACCACACCTGGCCAGCACTGATCTTTACCACATCTCTGAACTCCATTTTATATCTCTCCTATAAAAATAATAATGTATTACCTAGTGTTATAGATAGGGTGCAGTGTAGAGAGATCTGAACTCAAAGTGAAGCCCTGACATTGCCAGCCTGTTTGGCTTTGGACAAGCCACCTAACCTCACTGAACTCAATGTTTTCTTGTGTAAAACAGAATAATCGTGATGCTTTGCAGGGTTATTTTGAACATCAGTATATTAGATGTATAACAATTAAATGCATTTTTAAATCATTTTTAGTCATGCAATTGTTTTTATTCTAACTCCTACTAGATTTTAAATACCTTAAGGAAAGACAGAATATTTTATTTCCAGCATATGCTAGAAGTTGACATATGATAAAAGTTTGTTGAATTAATTCATTCTTAATTGAATTAAATTGCCCCTAAGTGTCTGTTTGAAAAGATAAACTGGTTATTTCAATTCAGATCTAGAATATGCACTGCTTTGCTATGCTGGAGTTGAGGATACATTTGTTTTAAAACTAAAATAAAGGAAAACATTAACAAAAATTGTATTTAATTTTAACAAGTTAGTAATGACAGCACCAACTACATCAAAATTACTAAAGCTATTGATGCCTCTCAGTACGACCTTGGTAATAATGATTTTTGTTATTCCATCAGAGAAATTTCCAAAAAAGGAGTGCTACGTTTGATAATGCAACACATAATCCTTTTAGCGATTCTGCTTTCCGTATCTCCCTTATTTCCATATTCCAGATATCTTGTCTAAGTCATTTCTAAATACCTTTGGAAACTGATTTTTAGAGTCTTGCATTTTAAGAGCTGGAAGAGATCTTGGCAATCATTTTTAGCTTCATTTTGCAGGTAACTGAAATTTTAAAAAATAAAGGAGTAAAGGTCACACTATGAGGAAAAATCATCCCTTGTTAAACTGTTTGGCTTAGACAGATTGGAATCAGAACTACTATTTTCTGTTTTTTTTTTTTTTTTTAAACAACCCTGTAAGGGAAACAAGAAAATATGAATTATAAAAATAGTCCCATACAACCATTGTGGAAAACAGAACAAAGTCTCCCTGCTGGCACCAAAAAATATGGCAAATGAAATAAATGAAGAATGAATAAAGCCATATAAATTAAATGTGAAATTGCACTAGCAAAAAATAAAAAAGAGAGAAAACAAATTTTCTGTTTTCTTCATAACACATGTGAATGACCCAATCTGAAGCAATGGGCATTATTGCTTCTTGTGAATTGCCTTTTCTTTTTCTTCCCAGACATTTCTAGTTCTAATCCTGCTGTCCTTCCTGTATTTGAAAACCAAATCAAACGCTGAGTACGTCAGACTCTTAGATAGGCCGACGTTGATAAGGTTCTCTGGCACAGCACGGCTTCTTCCCCTCGCTTAACCTTTTTTCTCCTAATCCTTTCCGATCTGAGTCCACCGATTTTATATTTCTAAGCAATTAATTTTTTGGCTGGGCTGCGCGATCCACAGGTGGGGGATGATTGACAGCGCGCAGATAGGCTCCATCTGTTGGCGGCTGATAATGGCATCCTGGGGGCTTCTGGGTAATGTCTTTGCACACATAAAAGGGAGCAGCCTAATCTATTTGCAGCTCAGGCAGAAAAAGCCCCTCAGCTCGCATTGTTATTCAACAGGAACAATTGGTTACAGGCAGCACGTTTATGGGCACAGTGGGGTGGCTTGGGGAGGGGGCAAGGTTCCCACAGTGAGCGATGATTCCTCTAAAGCCCATGGTATTTTTCCCTCTTTGGGAAGAAAAGAAAACAAACAAAAAATAGATGCGATGGGGAGAGGGGGAATTTTGTGACAATCCCAGGAGAGAGAGAACTTGGGGTTCCTGCCTATCCTTGGCTTCACACATTATCAAAGAAAGATGAGGAAAAGGGAAATAAATAATGATAATAATTAGAATTCAGTTGTGATGTAAACAAATAAATGAATACAGAAATGGTAGGGCTGGCTTCAGAGCCTCCGCGAAGGCTTGGTTAAATTCCTGGGTTCCTCATGGAATGTAAATGACAGCACTGGTGTTCTGGTAAGAGCATCCATGTGCAGGGGACTACACTTTAACAGAAAGATGATCAGGCATTCATCTAGGGTGAGTAGGGTGGGGGTAAAATTGCTTTACTTGTGAAACAGATATTTCAAAGGCTCTGGACAAGCAGGACAAAGATATTCAAAATCAGAAAGATTTTTAAACATTGTCTTAAAGTATTTATAATTAGCAAATATTTCAGATTTAGGTAAACAATTGACGTGGCAATATTTGAGAAGAATATTTAAGGCTTTTAATCTAAAGCCTTAAAAAGGATGAAGTTTTTTTGCTTGTCTGATTATCTTATTCCCTCATCAGACACCAGTTGGAGACAATTCAGCCTCATCGTCCCTTGCCAAAGGATGCAATGATTCTTAAGGTCAGTTCTTCTACTTTGATGTATCAAGTTGGATTTTTTTACAAGCAGTCTTTGATGTATTAAGTTGGATTTTTTTTCCCTCCCTTCTATTTTCTCTCTCTCATGTTCTCTCTCGCTCTCACCCCACACTCATTTCTCTTTTGGAACTCAGTAAATAAAAGTCCTTTTACACAAGACAAGCATATCCAGGTCCATTTTAAAACCATGCTTGCCATAGTAGTCGGTCCTTATGGCCCCCTAGCATCACTCAGACCCACTAAAACACATCCAGCCTCCTTGTCTCTGGGTGTTTTTATCTACTCGGAAAGACAATCTATATGGTGATTTGAGAATCCTTAATGGGTAAGGAAATTAAATGCGTATTTGCTTACAAGCATATAAAATGACTTGTTATCTCCTTTCACAGCTGATGTTTAGAAGATGAACCTATGTCAATAAGCATTTCTTTCCTCCACACTTAAACTCAGAATTATCATCTACCAGAAAGAATCAGAGGTGATATAAATGCAGTAGACAATGAAGTCGGTGTCTAAACAGCACTAACATCAATGCTCTTTAAGTGATTGAAAATAGAGTCAATATTCCATCAACCTCATTCATACTAGGGGGGCAGGAAGCTGGAGGCATTATTTTGACTAATATGACACTAAATAGTTTACAATGGATTATGTAATATTTTGGGGAATATGACACTAAATAGCTTACAATGGATTATATGTGTGAGTGACATATACATTCTCATGGTCATGATAATTGACAAGACTCAGGTTTCTGGAGATACTGCTTTCTTTATCTCTGTAACTCAAGTTGACTTTTGATTCTCAGTGGCTAATTCTACTCTTGGTGTAAAGTGTAACTTAGTCACTTCTGAGATTTTTCTTCTATCTAGTCCAACAATTTCTCAGTCAATCTGTCTCTGCATCATATTTTGTTCTCTATTTTACACTCCGATCAAGGTCTAATTCCACAATTCTCAAATTCAGTCAAGTGAAGACTGTCCCTTCTTGACTTTTTGGAAAGCATCTCCTAGGGTTCAGGGGGAATTTATCTGTTAGTGCACAGGAACTATCCACAGTCACGTGTCTTTCACAATAGATGTAGTTTCTTTGGCTAGGATTCTGCCCTAACTTTACCTCTGAGCCTTTGGGAAACCCAAGGCTGTCAGCCTCACAGCAGATACACACACATGCACACACACATGCACACGCACTGCCCTATGACCCCTCACCAACATTTCTGTGAAATGCCAACTACCAGAGAACATATCAAACAAGCACTAATCCTCACTAGTTTCCTCAACTTGTTGAGCAGTTTCCCTCCTGTCTCCTGTCTCCACCACAATTTGAGAAAGATGAGTGGAAGAAATACATTTTTTTCTTCCAAAATATCTCCCTCCCTTGTTTCAGGTTTTATTGACTCATGCCCAAGATATCTCCTTACAACCAAAGAGTATGGACCAGTCGTTACAATCGTGGGTGTTCCTTGGTTTAGCTGCCAGTGGGAAGATGTCATATACCAGGCAGGCAGGAAAGAGCACATGGACATCAGAATATGTGGGGTTGTTAATACATGCTGTTAAGGATTAAAAGTGAAGCGGCGTCACTGTCTGGGATAATACTGGAGATTTGTCATCTAACGACAAGGAAATCGAGTAAGCGTACACAAGAAGTGGGTTTAGGAGCAGAGGTGTAATAGGCAAAAGAAAGAGAAAGGAGAGTAGCTCTCTGTCTTGCAAGAGAGAGGGGTGCTCAAATGGGACTTCTGGCTTGTGGTGGAGTGCACCGGATTTTATAGACAAGCTTGAGGAGGCGGTGTCTGATTTACACAGAGCCCAAAGATAGGTTGGACCAGGTGCGATGTTTACATAACGCGCAGGGAAGCTGGCCACTCCACCCTAATCTTATTATGCAAATGGGGTATTGCCTGGTGGGGGCCATGTTGCCTGCCCCTTTCTGTACACGTGACTGGCAAAGAGAAGAGAAGATGGAGCCACCATTTTGAACAAGCCTAGTCCCAGGTAGCCTTTTCCTATTGGCATAGCTGCCGGCATTCACCTATGCAGCCTTCTAACCTGCCTTTCTGTCTTCAGCTCAATTTTACTGGCTACTCTTTGTTAGAAAAGAACATGATTTGGGACTGCTTTTCTTTAAAAGGAAAACCTCACTGAGGACTTCTTTACCCTATCTGCCTAAATAATTTCTTCTTCTATTTCAAAAGCATGAGGACACACATTACCATAAAATCCACTAATATGTATTCTAGGTAATAAAATACACTTCAGAATCTAAATTCAAAAAACAGAATTAAAAATATAAGGACAATGAAAAAATCAGGCAGCTCTGTTTAGAGATGCAATTTAAAGGTAATATAAACATTTAAATTTGTGTAGAGTTATAATGTAAAGGAAGCATAGGAGTCAGGGCATATCTTTGAACAGAGTGCATGTATGGTTTTTGGAAGACAGTCAGCCTGTTGAGGATTACTATCAGACATGGTCATGCAGAAACCCACCATGTTACAGCCACAGGAAAGGAGAGGTCCAGAAAGTGCAGCCCTGATGCAGTCTTGCGTAGAGGGCACTGTTAGACAAATACCCTGCAGCAGAGGGGACCCTGGAAAGGGCCAGGTAAGGATGTAAATGAAGGTTTCTCTGGTCTTGAGTAAACATCTAAGTCCAAGCTCAATGTTTGAGAACTTTAGGGATTGTCACTTTCGGGCTAACTCCGGTTGGGCTGGTGATGGCAATAAAGCCTGTTGCTAAAGAATCTCCCCTGGAAAAAGGCAGAGGCTCCTTCTCCTGGACATTGATAACCCAGCTGCGATTGGATCCATTAGATCAGACTGAGGTGCAGATCATTTTCCTTGCTGTTTCTGACACAGGAATAATACAGGGTGGTCACAGGAGAATAAAAAATTCCAGGCAGCAGTTTCACATGACTAGAGGCTATGGGCTGATAAGACTCTGAAACACCAGAGTGTGGACCAAGCTGGCTAAGACTGACTGGACCCAACATGGCGTTGGATTTGACCTAGGTTTCACCTAGGACCTCATTAAATGCTCATTAGCATACTAATCACACATCCACCAGCGCTGTGACAGTCCTGAGACCACCCATATTTAGTGTAAAAATGGGTGGCACCACAATTCTGAGAAATTGCCATCTTTTTTTCTGGGAATTTTCATGAATATTCCACCCCTTGGTTTAAAAAACCCATAAAGGTAGCAGCCCCAAACACTGCATGACTCTCTCTTGAGTCCACCCGCACTCACTCTTCTTGAGTGTGCACTATTTTCCGACTCATCCTTGAATTCCTTCTCTCAACAGTATCGAGAGCCTGGTCACCAGCTGGCGTCAAGGTCCCACCAGCATTTGGGGACCTCCCCTAGCCCACCAGTATCATTTTCACAGCCCCAGAGTTGGAATTGGGAAGGAGAACAGGGGATTGATATTTGCATGATGTTCTATAGAACAAATATCTTAGTGTCAATTCTTTTCCTTTCGATGTCCCTTGAGATCCTTTTCTAAAATTCCAAATTCGTAGGAACGCAGAAAAGTATTCTCAATAAATACCCATTGTCCTAGTCAACTCTGGCTGATTATAACAAATTATCAAGGAGTGGGAGGTTTAAACAACAGACATCTATTTCACACAGTGCTGGAGGCTGGAAGTCAAGATCAAGGTGCCAGCAAATTCGGCTCTGTGGAGGGCCTGCTTCCTGGTTTGCCGTTGTCCTCATGTGGAAGAGACAGAACAAGCTTTCTGGGTTCTTTTTATAAGGGCACTAATCCCATGATGAGGGCTTCAGTCCCCTGGCCTAGCCATTTCCCAAAGGTCCCACCTGTTTTCATCATGCCAGAGGTGTATGAACCACAGCAACTCCATCTTGAATAGGGGCTGGGTAAAATGAAGCTGAGACCTACTGGGTTGCATTCCCAGACAGTTAAGGCATTCTAAGTCACAGGATGAGATAGGAAGTCTGCCTAAGTCCGCATAAGACACAGGTCATAAAGACCTTGCTGATAAAACAGGTCGCAGTAAAGAGGCCAGCCAAAATCCACCAAAACCAAGACGGTGATGAGAGTGACCTCTAGTTGTCCTCACTGCTACACTCCCACCAGCGCCATGACAGTTTACAAATGCCATGATAACGTCAGGAAGTTACTGTATATGGTCTAAAAAGGGGAGGCATGAATAATCCACCCCTTGTTTAGCATATCATCAAGAAATAACCATAAAAATGGGCAATCAGCAGCCCTTGGGGCTGCTCTGTCTATGGAGTAGCCATTCTTTTCTCCTTTACTTTCCTAATAAACTTGCATTCACTTTACTCTATGGACTCACACTGACTTCTTTCTTGCACAAGATCGAAGAACCCTCTCTTGGAGTCTGTATAGGGACCACTTTCCTGTAACAATCACATTGGGAGTTAGGACTTCAGCATAGGGATTTGGAGGGTGCATAAACACCCATTGGCTGACTGGCTGAGCAAACATGTAAATAAATTTGCTGCTCAAACATTGCGTCTCTACCCTCAAGTCTTTCTCACTATCCCTTTTGCTGTTCTTCTCTTTGCCTCTTGAATTTCAACACTGTAGCCCGGTCTGATTAGCTAAAGCTGCAGATTCAAACCCTTGAGGCATCTGTTGGTTTTTAGAGTCCAGCCTCCATCTGTAATTTCAGCCAGCACTTTCTCGATTGTTTTCACACAAAGGGTATCAGCGATACCTGTATGTCAAAACAATAATAATTATCAGGTGAGTGTAGTTAGTTGCCTCCTTTCTCTTATATCTTCATTAATTTCATAAGTTAAATCTTTTCCCATAAAAAAAATGCAGCTTGCTATCAGCATTCATTTAATTTTACGTAAACGCCCTCTTTGAGGCTGAAGCAAATCTGACTCATTTTCAATGTGAAAATGAAATATAAAAACTGTTCTTGGAGTTATTTCTAAACAGAACTAACATCAGAATCATCTGAATCATTAGAATCATCTATTTTGGAAAAATCGGATTCATCAAATGAATCTTCAGCCAACTGTTAGAGAATGATGTTAACATCATGTGTAGGAATGCTACATTTTCTAGGATTTGACATTTTCAGTGGTTGAGAATTACTGTGTTTTGTAAATGGAAATACTACTACTAAAAACAGAATGCTATAAATAGAATGATGTCTTTTGCTTCTCAAGTCGATATACCAGAGTGATGCAAAAATAATAATAAAAGTGAGATATTTTGTGGCAAAGTTATCTTGGGGTAAACACTGCAGCTGAAAGCCCGCCGGCAAGTATTCCCAGAGCAAACAGGAAAAGGGTTAATTTAGTTTAATAACTGATTCTCCCCCTATATTCCTACCAAGTTCAAAATCTGTCTTACAATCAGGCCTATTGCTGATTGCACTTACCAACCCTACAAGCCGAACCTAGCAGTCTCTCATATAGCTAAGCAATGACAAGAGCGTCAGGCAGCAGAAGTGAGGACAGATCACTGCTGAGTCTTCATGTTGAGAGCAGTGGGGCAGTTGTTAGCTGGAGCTGGCTTGCACTGATTAGTGAGAGCAGATTGTGTATATTTCTTCTCTGTGCTGAGTTCAGTATGCACTGATACATTGGTAGGATGAAATTTACCATGGTGAAAGTATTTACACCATGGAAATTGGCAAATGCTATTTATCAGGCCTTTTTTTCCTCTCCTAGATCTATTATTAAATATTTTCCAGCATACTACTAGATATGCAGAAGCACAAACTACCCAACAGGCTTTTTGTGATTTGGCCTTAAATGTTAAATCCCCAGAATATAAATAGAGAGATCTTGTTGGTTGGAAGTAGGTGGAAAAGTATGAAAGGTAATGCAAGGTCGAATTCAGATGCACTCATATGTGAATGCCCATTATTAGCCTGTCCTCAATCAATTCCCAAGGCCAAGCCTTGGGAAATTGAGCATTAGTGAAAGGAAAATGTCTGCTTTGGTCAACTGAGAATAATCTCAAAGACTAAACAATTTAAAAGTTAGCTGCCTTATGAAAGCTTTCATAATGGTGAGATTTATATCTGGACAGATGACAGCAGGAGAGATATTAAAGTCAATAAATAAATGTTTATTAAAGATTTCTACTAGAGACTTCGAAAATACAAGGACATACAAGCTATAATGCCTTATCTCAACAATCTCACATGCAGGGGTATATTAGTCTGTTCTCATGCTGCTAATAAAGACATACCTGAGACTGGGTAATTTATAAAGGAATGAGTTTTAATTGACTCAGAGTTCCACATGGCTGGGGAGGCCTCACAATCATGGCGGAAAGCAAAGGAGGAGCAAAGGCACATCTTTACATGGTGGCAGGCAAAAGAACGTGTGTAGAGGAACTCTCCTTTATAAAAACATCAGATCTTGTGAGACTTATTCACTATCACGAGACTCTCCCCCATTATTCAATTACCTCCCACCAGGTCCCTCCCTCAACATGGGCATTATGGGATCTACAATTCAAGATGAGATTTGGGTAGACACAGCCAAACCATATAAAAGGGTAATAATATTATGTGGTGGAAACACATCGGTTGGGAGTCAACAAGTTCCTTTATTGGCTTTGCACTAACTGGCTGGTTGGTCATGTCCTTTACTGTCTGTGGACTTCACTTTCCTCTTCCATAAAGTAGAGATTTATGTTCTTTGAGATTACACTCTGAGATGTTATTTTGTTTAGCTATGAAAAGAATAAGAGATTCCAGGCCCAAAAGAAATCAGTGTGATTGCAATTATTTGCAGATGTGTGTATGTCTGTATGTTCATTTCTCCTAGACTGAACTTTTTAAAAACATAGATAATGTGTTATTCATCCTTATATTCCCAGTACTGGACACATATTGGATGTTCAGTGAATGTTGAATGAACAAATAAAGAATAAATACCTCTGTAACTAATCAGGGAATAGGTATAACACAAATTAGGTTGTGGACCTGTGAAGAAACTGGTGTATCCTATTGTACTTTTCCATTTGGTTTTCATAGGAACCCTGTTGGTACAAAAATATATGCAATTTCTTCAGATTCTGGTGAGAGGTAGAGACAGGGCCAAGTTGCTAAAAAAAAAAAAAAAAAAGTGTCTTCTATGAGTTTTTTTTGTACCATTACAAAAATTTTTTTTGGAAACAACCAAGTGTACTTTGTTTTATCAGATAATTGGCACACTAGTTTTATTATAACTGGTAAGAATCTTGCAGTACCTAGAGGCAAAGATTCTGAACATTGATAGATTATCTAAGCATATATTTGTAGTGATGTAATTGTGGCTATAGGAGACTGGATAACATCTGTGCAGGGCATAGGACGTTTTAAAAAGTTGCTTAACCAAATGAACCTCTGCTATCAACTTGCTGTGCTACTACATTTACCTTTCTTCTCTTTAGTGTTGTAGGGCAAAAAATCTGGCTAATGGAAAATTTTAATTCACTGTTTTGTTTAACTGACTTAATGGACTGCAATTACTGATGTAGTATTTAAACAACCAGAGCAGTAGCTGTGCTTTTTCACATCATAAATGCATGCTAAATTTATCTTCCTTTATAATGTAGCTTGTAGGTTTGCTCCATTTTGCTGTGTGAGTAAATGGTTAAACATCTTACAGTTTGTATTGCCCCCCAGGGTTAGAGAGAAAACAAGTCATTTATCCTCAAGAGCTCCCCTGAGATCTGCAGAAGGGTGTGCTGCTTTTAAATAGATTTCTGTAGCAAAGTGCACAGTCATTTTAAAGCTACTGATGTATTTGGAGACATTCATTTCCTATCTGTCAGCCCCTACCTTTGGATTTCATATTTCCTTCTAGTTCACAACAGGGGAAGTGCAGACTGACTCAATGCTGCCCCCAAGTGTTATCTCAAAACATAGGCTCAGGACAAAAGCAAGACAAAGAGCCACTAATCACAAGAAAAGAAATTCATTATCAAAATCTACAGTTTATTTTGAATTGTGCTTCTGGTTGCTATTTAAAGAGAACACATTATGAAATGAAATCAACTCAACAAATATTTTTGGAAAACCTGTGCTATGTGTAAGAGGATACAAAGGAACAAAACACGATCCAAGCTTTAAAGGCTTTCAAACAAGTCAGAGAGACAAGAGTGGCTGAAAGGCTAAATAAAAAACAACTAATAGATGTCACAAGAATGAATTAGACGAACTGTTAAAATAATGGTAATCTAACTTGTATAGCTGACATTTAAAAAATATAACCTAATACACATTTTTAAGGCATGTGCTAAATCCTTTGTATTCGTTATCTCATTCAATCTGCACAATAACCCTATGAAGAAAGAAACAGTGTAATGTCTCCTTTTTTCTTGAATGAAACAGAGGCTTTCAGTCTGGTGCAAAAGTAATTGCAGTTCTTGCCATTAAAAGTAATGGCACCAACCTAATAGCTAAGAGCTAGGTCACCTACCTATGACATGACAGAGCTGGGACTCACCTCAAGTCTTCCTGGCCAGAAAGCCTGTGCTCTTACCTGAAATGCTTTGTAACCACAAGATGCTAGAGAAGACAACCATCATGAGAGTAGAAGTGATCCCATGGGGTTTTCCAAGGATGTGTGGTTTGAGGATGTTCACACTTAAAAAAAGAAAGTTTTTAAGTTTTGTTTTGTTTTGTTTTTGAGAAAGAGTCTTGCTGTGTCACCCAGGCTGGAGTGCAGTGGCTCGATATTGGCTCACTGCAACTTCTGCCTCCCAGGCTCAAGCAATTCTCCTACCTCAGCCTCCCGAGTAACTGGGATTACAGGTGCCTGTCACCACGCCCGGCTAATTTTGTATTTTTAGTAGAGACGGGACGGGGTTTTACCATGTGGGCCAGGCTGGTCTCGAACTACCGACCTGAAGTGATCAGCCCGCCTCGGACTCCGAAAGTACTGGGATTATAGGTGTGAGCCACCGCACCCGGCTGGAAAGCTTTCAAAGTGAAGCAATCAGCATTGCTTGTGTATCCGGAATTGGTGGGTTCTTGGTCTCAGACTTCAAGAATGAAGCCGCGGACCCCGGCGGTGGGTGTTACAGCTCTTAAGGTGGCGCGTCTGGAGTTTCTTCCTTCTGGTGGGTTCGTCGTCTCGCTGGCTCAGGAGTGAAGCTGCAGATCTTCTCAGTGAGTGTTACAGCTCTTAAGGCGGTGCGTCTGGAGTTGTTCGTTCCTCCTGGTGGGTTCGTGGTCTCGCTGTCTTCAGGAGTGAAGCTGCAGACCTTTGCGGTGAGTGTTACAGCTCATAAAGGCAGTGTGGACCCAAAGAGTGAGCAGTAGCAAGATTTATTGCAAAGAGCGAAAAAACAAAGCTTCCACAGTGTGGAAGGAGACCCGAGCGGGTTGCCACTGCGGGCTCAGGCAGCCTGCTTTTATTCTCTTATCTGGCCCCACCCACATCCTGCGGATTGGTAGAGCAGGGTGGGGTGGGGGGGGGGGGGGGTGGTCTGTTTTGACAGGGCGCTGATTGGTGCGTTTACAATCCCTGAGCTAGACATAAAGGTTCTCCACTTCCCCACCAGACTCAGAAGCCCAGCTGGCTTCACCCAGTGGATCCCGTACCGGGGCTGCAGGTGGAGCTGCCTGCCAGTCCTGTGCCGTGCGCCCACACTCCTCAGCCCTTGGGTGGTCGATGGGACTGGGCGCCCTGGAGCAGGGGGTGGCGCTCGTCGGGGAGGCTCTGTCCGCACAGGAGCCCACGGAGTTGGGGGAGGCTCAGGCATGGTGGGCTGCAGGTCCTGAGCCCTGCCCGGCGGGAAGGCAGCTAAGGCCCGGCAAGAAATCCAGCGTAGCACCAGTGGGCCGGCACTGCTGGGGGACCCAGTACACCCTCCGCAGCCACTGGCCTGGGTGCTAAGCCCCTCATTGCCCGGGGTCGGCAGGGCCGGCCGGCTGCTCCGAGTGCGCGGACCGCCAAGCCCACGCCCACCTGGAACTCCAGCTGGCCCGCAAGCGCTGCGCGGCCCTGGTTCCCGCTCGCGCCTCTCCCTCCACACCTCCCCGCAAGCTGAAGGAGCTGGCTCTGGTGTTGGCCAGCCCAGAAAGGGGCTCCCACAGTGCAGTGGTGGGCCAAAGGGCTCCTCAAGTGCCGCCAAAGTGGGAGCCCAGGCAGAGGAGGTGCCGAGAGCGAGGGAGGGTTGTGAGGACTGCCAGCACGCTGTCACCTCTCACTTGGTTTGGTAAGAGCAGCAAGATTTTTTCTTTTCTTTTCTTTTTTTTTTTTGAGGCAGAGTGTCACTCTGTCACTCAGGCTGGAGTGCAGTGGTACCATCTCGGCTCACTGCAACCTCTGCCTTGTGCCTCAGCCTCCCTAGTAGCTGGGACTACAGGTGTCCACCATCATGCCCAGCTAGTTTTTTTTTTTGTATTTTTGGTGGAGAGGGGATTTCTCCATGTTGCCCAGAATGGTCTCAAACTCCTGAGCTCAGGCAATCCACCCACCTCGGCCTCCCAAAGTGCTGGGATTACAGGCATGAGTCATGGCGCCTGGCTGCAAGAGATTTTTTTAGTCAGTCAGATTTATAAGCCTGAGTTTGAATCCCAACTCAGGCACTTGGTTGATCAGTGACTTGGGCAAACATCTTACACCCAGTTTCCTGTCCTGTCAAATGAAGATAGAATAACACATACCTCTGCTGTGTATCAGACATATATGAGAAGTATCTTGTCCATGGTGGGGTGACTCATGTCACAGCTCCCTTCTTCTTCATGGAAGGGAGGAGTAGAAAGGTTGGGAGTCTTGGACCCAATGTTCACAGCCTTGAGGGACAGACGAAAGTGTGATTTCAGAACACAGAAACTTTCTAAGGAGAGAGTTTTTAAGACTCATACAGGCTACTGGCGATGGCACAATTTTATAGCTTATGCAATTTATACTTTTTTTTTTTTTTTTTGAGACGGAGTTTTGCTGTTGTTGTCCAAGCTGGAGTGCAATGGTGCAATCTCAGTTCACTGCAACCTCTGCCTCCCGGGTTCAAGCGGTGGCTCATGCCTGTGATCCCAGCACTTTGGGAGGCCAAGGCGGGTGGATCACCTGAAGTCAGGAGTTCGAGACCAGCCTGACTAACATAGTGAAACCCAGTCTTTACTAAAAATACAAAATTAGGCCAGGTGCGGTGGCTCACGCGTGTAATCCCAGCACTTTGGGAGGCCGAGGCGGGTGGATCACGAGGTCAGGAGTTCAAGACCAGCCTGGCCAATATGGTGAAACCCCATCTCTACTAAAAAAAATACAAAAATTAGTTGGGCGTGGTGGCATTCGCCTGTAGTCCCAGCTACTAGGGAGGCTGAGGCAGGAGAATCGCTTGAACCTGGGAGGCAGAGGTTGCAGTGAGCTGAGATCGCGCCACTGCACTCCAGTCTGGGCGACAGAGTGAGACTTCATCTCAAAAAAAAAAAAAAAAAAAAAATTAACTAGGTGTGGTGGCGCACGCTTGTAATCCCAGCTACTTGGGAGGCTGAGGCAGGAGAATTACAATTTAAACTTTCAAATACCAGCCTAGAATATATAAGTTTCCTTCCATAAATGTCTCTGATCTAATCCTTATGCTCCAGGGAATGTAGCTCAGAGAAGCGTAAATAAAAGAGATTTTAAAAAATTACCGAGGTCTTTCTAGATCAGATTTGTAGCTTATAGTTATGATCTCTAAGCCCCTCCTCACCATGTAAAAAATTAGGTCATCTTGGGGGAACTCAAATGATCACTTTGTTCTGCTTGGTTCAAATATTTTCTAAGATGCTGTTGACTTCATGGGGTGCCGTGAGCCACTGAGCCCTCTTCCACATCATAGCAGATTCCTTCTGGCTTGGAAAGCCTATTGTCAATGCAAGTCGATTTTAGCACTTTTAAAATCATTGTTGCTATGTGTGCAATGGTACCCTGCTGACCTGAAATGGTTAATTTGCCTTTCTAAGTACTTAACTCAGGACTGAGCTGTGACTCAGGCTGTGCCTGCATGGGGAGATGGAAATGAACTTGAGCAATGTGGTCATCTGCTCTTGACTTCATGGGGCTCTTTCTGCCTGAGTGAAACTTTCCCTGTGCTGAAAATTGCAGCAACCAATAGGATTGCATCATTGCATCATTGCATCATTCCAGTGCGATTTTCTTCAATTTACATGATTTGTAATTTCCTCTTTTAGTATAATTTTTTTGAAAGATAACCCAATTAAGAGGTCTTCATATTCTAGATGAAACAGTGGGTGTTTAGGTCCCTTTACTAGAGGCAGTCAATTCACAGGATTTATGCCTTTTCGTTAGTGAATAGTTGATTTCACTTTTTGGCATATGTGAAATTGCTAAAAGAAAAGAAGGAGGTGGAAAAAGAGGAAGAAGAGTAGGAGAAAAAGAAATTTTTCCAATGTCATGCTCTTATCTCCCCAAAATAAGCAATTTTGATCCTTTCTATTGCATTAAGAATTCCTTGAGTAATTCATGAAATTCCAATAGAAGATTTCTTTTTCTTTTTTCTTTTTCTCTCTTCTTCTTCTCCTTCTTCTTCTTCTTCTTCTTCTTCTTCTTCTTCTTCTTCTTCTTCTTCTTCTTCTTCTTCTTCTTCTTCTTCTTTTCTTCTTCTTCTTCTTCTTCTTCTTCTTCTTCTTCTTCTTCTTCTTCTTCTTCTTCTTCTTTTCTTCTTCTTCTTTTTTTGAGATGGAGTCTCACTCTGTTGTCCAGGCTGGAGTGCAGTGGCACGATCTTGGCTCACTGCAACTTCCACCTCCCAGATTCAAACAATTCTTGCACCCCAGCCTCCTGAGTAGCTGGGACTACAGGCACATGACACCATGAGCAGGTAATTCTTGAATTTCTAGTAGAGACGTGGTTTCACCATGTCGGCCAGGCTGGTCTCAAAGTCCTAACCTCAAGTGATTTGCCACCTTGGCCTCCCAAAGTGCTAGGATTACAGGCTTGAGCCACCGCGCCCGGCCCCAATAGAAGATTTCCAGCCCACTCATGCTACCCTTCCAATGTTTTTAATCTCCCTTGAGTGTTCATTTCTCTTCTTCTGCAGATTAGAGTCCATGGCCCATCATTATGATTCCCTTGCATTATGACAAAATCTCTTGTACTTCTCTCCCTCTGCCCTGGCACATGTGACAAAACCTCTGTGGATTCATCCCACTTCTATGCCCAGTCTACTTTTGTATCCAAAGAACTGAAAACAGTTGGAGAAAAACATGATCCTCCTTGCTGTATGGTTGTGAATTTATGAACTCAAAGTTCAAGGGGACCTCAGCATTGTCTGTTGACCTTGATCACGTCACTCCCAGAAGACTATTCTCTCCTCTCTCTCAAGACTCTTCCTTCCCCCTTGTATTAGTCCATTTTCCCAAATTATAAAACATATCCAGGGCTGGGTAATTTATAAAGGAAGGAGGTTTAATTGACTCACAGTTCCACGTGGCTAGGGAGACCTCACAATCATGGCAGAAGATGAAGGAAGAGCAAAGGGATGTTTTACATGGTGGTAGACAAGAGAATAACCAAGCAAAAGAGGAAACCCCTTATAAAAACATATATCTCTTGAGACTTACTCACTACCATGAGAACAGTATGGGGGAAACCGCCCCCGTGATTCAATTATCTCCCACTGGGTCCCTCCCATAACATGTGGGAATTATGGAAGCTACAATTCAAGATGAGATGTGGGTGGGGACACAGCCAAACCATATCACCCCTCCTTACTCCCAGCTGGTTCCTGTTTATCAGTTTTCTAAGATGATGGAAGTGATTAGAAAAGAACTTTCAATTCTCGCTACCTTTAAATTGGCAGATACATCTGCATCTTGGCCCATAACCCTGCCTTCCTTCCTATGACAATGGATAAATTGTCCGTAGCTTTATCTAAGGTCAGTCTCTCCACCATGTACTGAATCCCAGGTCTTCTCACCTCTTCAAAGATGACGTTCCTGCCAAGAAGTTAAACAAAGCCTTCCTTCTTCTCATCTCCTTTTAAAGCGACTGTTTCATTTCTTTCTTTACTTATATAGTGAAATTTTCTAAAAGATTTGTCTTTGTCTGCCCTTAACACTTTCTCACTTCCAATGCTCTCTTGAATACATGCCAATGGTCTTCATCCACATCTTGCCAAGTAATCACTCTTATGAAGGATACAAGGACATCCGCAGTACAAAGCCAATACTTAATTCTCTGCCCTCTCCTTCTTTGGTGTCTCAGGTCCATTTGGCAGAATCTGCCTTTCGTTCTGAAGCAGAGCACTGTCTTGTTTATCTACTACCTCCATAGTTGTTTCTTCTCCATCTTTTTAAAAATATTTTTTGCTAGATTCTCCTACTTTTCCCAAATTATAAAACACTGGAGTGCTCCAGGGCTCAGGCCTCACATTTCTTCTCATCTCTATCTACATTCATTCCACAGACGTTCTCTTCCTGTTACTATAAATCATATCTATATGTTGGTGATTCTCAAATTTAAATCCCAGCTCAGACCCTCTCCTAACCCCAGTGTCACGGATCCTCCCGTCTGATCACTCTCTTCTCTGAGGCATCTAAAAGGCATCTCCAACCAAACCTGTTCGAAACCAGAATCATGATCCTTTCCCACCCCAATCTGCTCCATTCCCTTGAGTGCCACTCGTCTATTTCACCACAGTGAATCAGATTCATTTTGGAGTTAGCTTTTGAATTCTCTTTATTTCCTCCAACTCCTACATTCACCCTATCAATAAATCCTGTTGACACCACCTTCAACATATATGGAAAAAATAGCACCTCTCAGTGTCTCTCCTGCTACTATCCTAGTCTGTGTCATTAACATCTCTCATGTGGAGTATTCCCAACAGCCTCCAAATTGGCCTCTCTTCTTCCAAACTTGCCACCCTATAGTAACAAGTCTCAATATTGCCCATACAGTGATTCTTCAAACACCAGTCAGATCATGTCACACCTTTGCTCTCAAATTCCCAGCTTCCATGCTGTCTGTCTCCTTCAGAGTGAAAGCCCAAGTCCTTACCATTGTCTAGAGGTGCTACATCTTCATATCACTGGCTGTTTTTTCTTGCTCCGGCTGTGCCACATTAGCTCTCTTGGTTGTCTTCTTTAATTGTACCCCAGTCATTTTCTCAGGGCATGTAGAACTGCTATTCCTTCTTCCAGGCACACACTCCCTCTTAAACATTCACATGGCTTGCACTGTCACTTTATTCAGATGTCAGTCAAAATGACTCCTTTAGGAGGTCTGCCCTGACCACCCTACCTGAGGTAGCACCTCTGTCACTCTCTGTCTCCTTACCCCATTTAATTTTCTTTATTATACTTCTCACCATCTGACATCATGTTATATGCTTATCAACTCATGTATTGTATTAGTCCATTTTCATGCTGCTGATAAAGACATACCTGAGACTAGGTAATTTATAAAGAAAAAGAGGTTTAATGAACTCACAGTTCCACGTGGCTGGGGAGGCCTCACAATCATGGTGGAAGGTAAAAGGCACGTCTTACATGGTGGCAGACAAGAGAGAATGAGAGCCAAATGAAAGGGGGAACCCCTTATCAAACCATCAGATCTCATGAGGCTTATTCACTTATTCCCCCACAAGAACAGTATGGGGGACACTGCCCCCATGATTCAATTTTCTCCCACCAGGTCCCTCCCATAACCTGTGGGAATTATGGGAGCTACAATTCAAGATAAGATTTGAGTGGGGACATAGCCAAATCATATCAATTGTTTTCCATAATATAGGCTTTGTGAGGGTAGGAACTTTGTCCTAGGTGCCTAAAATGGTCCTAAGCACATGGTAACTGTTCAGTAAGTATTTAATAGTTGTTCAGTCAATAAATGAATGGAAATCATGATGAATATGAATGAAAAGCAATCTCTAGGTTACAGTCTTTGCACTGGCTTTCTCTATCCTTGGAAAGTTCTTCCCGAGATATTTTCAAGGCATCTTCCCACACCTCCTTCAAGTCTTTCTTAACCCCATTACCTTCTCAAGTAAGCCTGCCTCACCCTTATTCAAAACTTCAACTTTTCCCCTAATACTGCTGACCCCTCTTTACCTACTTCACTATCTCTTTTTTATATAGCCTGTCCCCCTTGTAACATATTATATCATGTCCTTATTTTTTTAAATAGATTTTTGTTTATTGTCAGTGTGTTCCCCTCTCTCCATTCAAATGTGAATCCCATCTTTGCCCAGTTTGTTCACTGATGTATCTCAAAAAAGTTCCTTGGCTGGTCGTGGTGGCTCACGCCTGTAATCCCAGCACTTTGGGAGGCCAAGGTGGGTGGATCACCTGAGGTCAGGAGTTTGAGACCAGCCTGGCCAACATGGTGAAACCCCATCTCTACTAAAAATACAAAAAATTAGCCAGGCGTGGTGGCACACGCCTGTAGTCCCAGCTACTTGGGAGGCTGAGGCAGGAGAATTGCTTGAACCTGGGAGGTGAAGGTTGCAGTGAGCCACAATTGCACCAATGCACTCCAGCCTGGTCACCAAGAGTGAAACTCTGTTTCAAAAAATAATAATAATAATAATAAATAAAATAAAATAAAAAAGTTCCAAGAGCTGTTTGTTAAATGAGGAGATACTATGGTGGGAATGATGTTTTACCTATTATCTTTTGAATTCAGCTCAAAGGGTCTCTGTTGCTGGAGAGGACAGTAGATGGTATAGAAGACATGCTGCAATTATTGTATTTGTACTTACAAGCAGTTTTTCAGTTGCATGATCATAGCCCAGAGGTCGACCACCTGGAATACTACAGGTGCAGTGTGCTCAGTGGTGCCCCCTTGACACCTGGAGTTAATGTGCCTTCCTTAAGGACATTAATTAACAAATCATGGGCTCATGACTTCCAGACACCATTCTGGTTAAAATCAATAAGTTTATCTTATTGGTCCATTTTCAACTAATTCAAACTTTTCATAATTCTGCATGTACAAATGTTTTTTTATTTAAACAGTAACAGAAAGACTTCTTTCAATGTAGCTAACCAAAAATGTTAAATCACAGGAAGTGGTCTGATGAGCTTTGGTGACCAGGAGTAGGAACAAGCAGCCTTTGAAGTATTGAGAATCAGAACTCAGAGGTAGACTTACCACAGATATTGAAGGGATTCGATTCTGACAAGTAGAACATGGCCAATGTATAGTGACTGCGGTGGTTAATTTTTTGTGTCAAACTAACTGGGCCAGCTATTTGGTGAAACATTATTCTGGGTGTGTCTGTGAGTGTGTTTCTGGATAGGACTAACCATCCAGTCCTATCTACACTGGGGAGGGCAATTTGAATTGAGTAAGCTGAGTAAGGAAGAATTTGCTCTCTCTGTCTGACTGTCACTGAGCTGGGAAATCACTCCTCTTCTGCCTTTGGACTTGAACTCAGGCTGGAACTTACATCACCGGCTCTCCCGGTTCTCAGGACTTTGAGCTTGGACTGGAACTAGACCATCATCTCTCTAGGGTCTTCACAGTGCTGCATTGCTGACTGCAGATCTTGGGACCTCTCAGCCTCCGTAATTTCATGAGCCAATTCCTTAAACTTAATAAATAAATATTCTGATGACTATTAATGTGAGCACAATGTGCAAACATAGGGATGCAACAAATCTCTACTGATAAATGAACTGGCTACTGTTGAGGGTATATTCTCTCACCCTATCAATGCAAAGCTTCTTCTACTCATATGTATTCAATACACACTTAATTAGTAGTAATTATTTTATTTATGACATCCTTTGATGGTTTCGAAGATAGTTTTCATCTACTGACCCACATATTCAGCTGCTTGTCTGTCTATTTCAAGGTCACCTTAAACTTACAGGTTGAGGAATTGGGTTTAAGAGTATTCTAGGCCGGGTGTGGTGGTTCACTCCTGTAATCCCAGTGCTTTGGGAGGCTGAGGCGAGTGGATCACTTGAGGCCAAGAGTTTGAGACCAGCCTGGCAAATGTGGTGAAACCCTGTCTCTACTAAAAGTACAAAAATTAGCTGGACATGGTGATACATGCCTGTAATCCCAGCTACTCAGGATGCTGAGGCAGGAGAGTTGCTTGAACCTGGGAGGTGGAGGTTGCAGTGAGCTGCCAGCCTGGGTGACAGAGCAAGGCTCTGTCTCAAAAAAAAAAAAAAAAAAAAAAAAGTATTCTAGTCAATAAGCATTATTTTCTAACAGAATTAATGGTCTTATATTATGCAAGTGATCATCTTGTTTGAGGAGAAAAACTCACTTTTTCTTATTTTAGCAGACAAATGTGGGAATCTTTCTAGAGAATCTATTATTCTAAAATATTTGTCTTTATTTTTAACCTTACGAAATTATCAACTGTTTTATGGATTATTCTCCTTATTACCATTAACTTTGACTTTATTTAATTAACTAAAAATAATTTTAAATAAGAAAATTTAAATGAAGTCTCAGTACATTTGAGAGAAAACAATCAAATATCAAGATCTCTAATGTGATCTGAAACTGACAACTGAAGCAAAAATTCCATAAGAATAGACCATTTGTGAGCCGTTCTCAGATACAGAAACATCCAATTCTGGGCCTGGGAAAGAAGCAATCTCCCCTGGGGTTTGCTAATATTTCCCTTAGCTTTTGCCTCTGAAACCTGAACAGGGCATCTTCTTCCCTTGGCCTCCTCTTTCTCCTTTCCCAGAAACGGGTTCAATGAATGACAGAAATGGGCTCTTGTTATTTGAGTCAGCTGGTCATCTGTAATCACAAAATGCCAGCTCAGACAGTGGCAATCATGCAGAATAACTAACTTTCTTTGGCACCATTAGTCACTGAGAACAAAATAAACATAAAAATAGGAGAAACAATTATTTGGTTAAGGAGTTTCCTGTGAAAGATGAGTGGGCAACCCAGCCCTCACATTACTCATGAAACGTGGGCTTAAGTTTACATACAAATTGGTTGCTTGGAACTCAAACACAGTTTTTCCACCAGGTTTGTTGTTTATGGTCTCAGGTAAGGGAACAACCATTTATTTCCTCTATAAGAGTATTGGTTGAGTTGATATCAAAGAATATTGCAAAGAATATTTCATCATTTTTTCTTGAATACAGGACGAGCCTAAATTAAAATATTTGGTATTTGGTATTGGTCTTTCTCACCTTGTTTTCTGAACCCTTCCTCATGCTGTCCTTGATCCTTTTTCCAAAGGGACCCAGACTCCAAAATCATTTCCCACACTGCCTCTTATCAAAATGCTCATTCCTTTTGCACATTTTGATCTCTATTAGGTAATAGAAGCCATGCGCATTAATTCTCAACTAATTACTTTCACAGTAATAGCTCTTCAACATCCCAGAAATAGCTCAATTTTTTTAAGAGGATGAATTTTTTTTTCTGAATGCATTTCTAAAGTAGTAGAAGAATATCAGAGTCTCTTAAAGTAAAATGAAAAGGGAAATTTTAGAGGGTCTGTTTTGCCTGTGCCATTTCTGCCTGTTGTAGTTTCATTCTTTCCTTCACTTCTGAAATCTATAAAATTTTCAGTCATCTTTCCAATTCAGCAGCAGGGGGTGAAGGTGGGACAGGAGGTGGGAGCAGCCTTCATGTACGGACCAAGGATTCCAACCCGAAATGCTGATTGTTTAGGTTTCTCTTCACATCCTTCCCACAGCTTCATTAGACAGCTACTGTCAGAATGCGTGAAGGAAACGCAGGGGAAAACTAGCTTACTTAGTGATTAATTGGGACTGGCTGGTCCATACTTAATCACAGCTCTCAACTCAGACTTCACAATTTAAACTTCACTAATAGTCTTCTTCATTTGCCAGCCACTTCTACAGGCTGTCTTTGAACTAAGAGCCTAGCTTATCTTTGGAATGAAGCGTGCACATTACTTTTAGGTCTCCAATTTGGTGTGAGTCATTCAATCCCTAAATCAAACAATGTGGCAGGAAGCAAATTGGTTTCCCTGGACCTCAGTCACTGATAATAATAACCCAGAAAATTCTAACTTCTTTGGGATAATTCCCTAGTACCTGTGACAAGCTAATTTCCATAAATATCTCTAGGGCCTAAAAGTACCCAAATCACTTTGCGTATTACTATAGAAGGATATGATTGACATTTTATACTCTTTGTGGAAATAAATATGTAACTAAAAAGATAATAATTCAGGTAGGCTCCCCCAAATCACATATCTTTGGTGACTCTGCTACCAACTGTTCATTAGAGAACATATATTTATCCATGATCTTCAGCAGAGTTGGAATGGCAATTTTATATTAAAATTCAATTATAATTTGTGCCAATTACAGTTTTACTTTGAAGATATATCTTAAATTTCTAGGCTCCGAATAAAGGTCTCTCAGTTAAAAAGAAGTTGTGTTTGCTTAAACATTAATAGAAAGGCAAGTCACCAAATTTCTGATTTTGATAGATTTCTTACAGACACCTAACTAGCATTTAGCTATTCAGACTAATGAAATTTAGATGGAAAGAATGTACTCACAGTTCTGAAATAGGCTTATAGTACCACCACATCTTTTTGAAAAATCCTAATGCAAATGTTCATGGAATATAGATCCAATAAGATCTGAAGTGCCAGGAGTGATTTGAAATTATATCACTGCTTATAATTCAATATCATACTCATCCGTATCAATAACAACATGTTTGAGTTTTCATTGCTTCTTTGTCCAACTGACTTTAACACCATTGTCTCAATTCTGCATCAGAAGTTATTGAGACACAGAAAAATTCTATGCTGAAGGCTACCTATAAAATAAGAAAATATCAACCCATTGTGTATGCATGGGTGGAGGGGAGTGAAGAAATTAGACATTCATGCTTAATATGGTGCCTTGCATAATGGACAAACTTTGAATAATTATTAATCATGATGGTGAAAAAATAATTGAATCTGTTATCACTCCATTTTTTAACAGTGCCAAAGTTATTAGCATTTAAATAGAAAAGAGGAAGAATTTAAGTTATTCCTAAGGAGAAATATATTGAAAGAAAGTGTCATCTGGATTTAGCTTGAGGATTAAAGGCTGGAGAATAGCCTGTGAAAATAGTGAAATTCACAGAGACACAAACTACACAAACCAGTAGCTTTTTATGCTTTTTATACATACATATTGAAAATCTCTCATCTTTGAAAAATTTTCTCCTGCCTTTGATCTTTTCTCCTGGCAGAGCAATGAAATTTCTACTGCATGTGCTTACAACTACACTGAATAGCAAAGTTTCAACTCTAGAAATGGATGTACATTACTGTCAGGGAGGTAAAGGGAGCATTACATATCACTGCATTTTTACAGATTTCTTATTCCTCAAAATGAGGTTCATGATTTGTGAAAATTGTCCACATATTTTTATCTTTTTCTTGTTTTTCCTTCCTTCCTTCCTTCCTTCCTTCCTTCCTTCCTTCCTTCCTTCCTTCCTTCCTTCCCTCCCTCCCTCCCTCTTTCCTTCCTTCCTTTCTCTCCTTTTCTCTCTTTCTCTCTCTTTCTTTTTCTTTCTTTCTTTCTCAAGATTTTGCTCTTATCCAGGCTAGAGTGCGATGGCACAATCATGGTTCACTGCAGTCTCTACCTCCTGGGCTCAAACAATCCTCCCACCTCAGCCTCCTTGAGTAGCTAGGACTACAGGTTCACGCCACCAAGACTGGCTATTATTATTATTATTATTATTATTATTATTATTATTATTATTATTTTGTAGAGACAGGGTCTTCCTATGTTGCCCAGGCTCCCAGGCTTGTCTTGAACTCCTGGGCTTAAAGTGATCCTCCCATCTCAGCCTCCTATAGTGCTGGAATTACAGGCATGAGCTGCCATGTCCAGTTTTGTCCAAGTATTTTTCTAGAGTGAAAGGTTTGAGATGATGCTCTCTTATAAACTCTCCAACTTACCAACTCCATACGTGATGTTATATATAGTCATTTTCATCTCTTGGTAACAAGTGCGTCTCAATTGTGAAGAGTTAGCTCCATGTTATAAATTCATCTTTTATGATCTCCAGCTGAGCCATGGAATCTTGAGTAGAGCTTCCCCGCAATTTCACATTCAATCAAGTCAGTTATGTAGAAAATCAGTTAATCTGGCAACATGACTAAAGGATATGGTTGCCATGTTCCATATGCTTTTAAAAAGAAAAAAACTTTTCATTTTAGAAAGGCTTTAGATTTATGAAGATAGTGCACAGTTCCCATGTACCCCATACCTTATAATTAACATCTTATATTACTATGGAACATTTGCCACAATTAAAGAACCAATATTGATACATTATTATCATCTCAAGTCCGTACCTTATTCAGATTTCCAGTTTTTTTTTTTTTTTTTTTTTTTGAGACAGAGTCTCACTCTGTCGCTCAGGCTGGAGTGCAGTGGTGCAATCTCGGCTCACTGCAAGCTCCACCTCCCAGATTCACACCATTGTCCTGCCTCAGCCTCCCGAGTAGCTGGGACTACAGGCGCTCGCCACAACGTCCGGCTAATTTTTTGTATTTTTAGTGGAGACGAGGTTTCACCATCTTAGCCAGGATGGTCTCGATCTCCTGACCTCATGATCCACCCGCCTCGGCCTCCCAAAGTGCTGGGATTACAGGCGTGAGCCACTGCGCCCGGCCTCAGATTTCCAGTTTTTACCTAATGTCCTTTTTCTGTTCCAAGGATACCATGTTACATTTAGTCATCATATTTCCTTCAACTTCTCTGGACTGTGACCGTTTCCTGGACTTTCTTTGTTTTCAATGACCTGGACAGTTTTGAGGAGCACTTAATGGCCAGATATTTTGCTTACTGTTATTTTATTTGAGTATATCTGATGTTACTCTTATAATTAAACAGGTGATATCTTTGGATAATACTGGTCTTGTAGAATGAGTTGGGAAAATGTTCCCTGTGCTCCTATATGTACCTATATGTATACATTTTTTTGAAAAGTTTATAAAGGATTCATGTTAATTCATCTTTAAATATTTGGTGGAATTCATCAATGATGCTATCTGGGACTGGACTTTTTTGGTAAGAAGTTTTGTTATTAACAGTATAATCACTTTGCTTTTTATACATTTATTCAGAGGTTGTAATTCTTCCTGAGTCAGTTCGGGTGGTTTTTATATTTGTAGAAATCTGTCTGTTTCACCTATATTAATATGTTGAAGTACAATTGTCCATAGCAATCTCTTATAATTCTTTTTGTTTCAGTAATGTCAGTAGTAATGTCCTCTTTTCATTCCTGATTTAGTAATTTGAGTTTTCTCTCTTTTTTTCTTATTCAGTCTAGTGAAACTTTTGAGAATGTTATCAATGCTTTCAAATAAAAAAATTTTGGCTTTGTTGATTTTCTCTATTTTTCTATTCTCAGTCTCATTTATTTACACTCTGATCTTAATAATTTCCTTTTTTTCTGCTGTTTCACCTTAAATTTGCTCTTCTTTTCTAGTTTTTTAAGGTAGAAGAATAAGTTTTTAATTTGAAATCTTTCTTCATTTTAGGTAGGTGTTTATAGCTAGAAGTATTCATTTAAGCATTGGCTTAGCTGCTTCCCATATGTTTTGGTATGCTGTATTTTTGTTTCCCTTCATCTCCAATTATTTTCTAATTTCCCTTGGGGATTTCATCTTTGGCCCATTGGTCATTTATTAGCGTTGTGTTTAATTTCCACATATTTGTGAATTTTCCAAAATTCCTCTTGTCATTGATTTCTGTTTATATTCCATTTTGTTCTGAGAACATACTCTGTATAATTTTATTTCATTTAAATGTATTGAAGTTTGTTTTAGTGGCCTGACATGTAGTCTTTCCCAGAGAATGTTCCTGTGTACATTAGGAAGAATGCATATTTTGCTGTTTTCTCAAATGGTCTACAGGTATCTGTAAGGTGTAGTTGGTTTAGTGTTGTTCAAGTTTTCCATTTCTTTGTTCATCTTTGGTGTAGTTCTGTACATTTTTTAAATTAGGGTATTAAAGTCTCTGTTATTGTTAAACTTTCTATTTTTCTCCTTAATTCTGTTAGTTTCAGCTTCATGTATTTTGGGGTTCTGTTGCATGGTACATATATCTGTTTATAATTGGTATGTCTTCCTGATGGGTTTCCCCTGTTATTATAAAATGTCCTCAGTGTCTTTAGTAATAATTTTTGTCTTAATGTCTACATTTTCTGAGGTTAGTATAGCCACTTAAGGTGTCATTTGGTTGCTATGTGCATGGTATACTTTTTTTCATTCTTTTATTTTCAAGTCAATTGTGTCTTAATTTGAACTGTTTTTTTTTTTTTTTAGAGAGAGAATATAGAGTTGGATCATTTAAAAAAAATCTATTCTGCCAATCTCTCCCTTTTGATTCAAGTGCTTAGTTCATTTGCATTTGATGAATTTACTGATGAGATACTATTTCCATCTATTTTCCTATTTGTTTACTGTATATCTCATTGTGATGGTTAATACCGAGTGTCAACTTGATTGGATGGAAAGATACAAAGTGTTGATGCTGGGTGTGTCTGTGAGGGTGTTGCAAAGGAGATTAACATTTGAGTCAGTGGGCTGGGGAAGGCAGATCCACACTTAATCTAGTGGGCACAATCTAATCAGCTGCCAGCAAATATAAAGCAGGCAGAACAACTTGAAAAAGAGAGGCTGGCCTAGCATCCCAGCCTACATCTTTCTCCCGTGCTGGGTGCTTCCTGTCCTCGAACATCGAACTCCAAGTTCTTTAGTTTTGGGACTTGGACTGGCTCTCCTTGCTCCTCAGCTTGCAGACAGCCTATTGTGGGACCTTGTAATCATGTAAATTAATACTTAATAAACACCCCTTTATATATATATATTAAAAATATAACATATAAGTAATATATATTATATATATTACTAATATATATTACTTATATATACTATATTATATTATATAGTAATATATATTAGTAATATATATTATATACAATGTATATTATATAAAGTTGGATATAAAGTTCTGGCTAACAGTTTATATATAAGTAATATATATAGTTTTTTATATATATATAAAATATACGTATATATTAGTTCTGTCCCTCTAGAGAACCCTAATACACTCATGTGCTTTTTTTCTCTATTCTGCCTTAGCTGCCTTTTCTGTGTTAAATACATATTTTGTAGTATACCATTTTAATTACTTTTTACCTCCTTTTGCTAATTTTTGAGATTTCCTTAATGATTCCTTTGGTGATTATAATTTACATCTTAATTTAAAATACAACAACCTAATTCAGATTAATACCAACTTAATTTCAATAGTAAAAACTTTGCTTCAATTCAACTGAGTTTCCTCTACTCTCCTTTGCACTATTGCTGTACAAATTATAGCTTTGTGCTTTATTAGCTGATCAACATCGTTTTATAGTTATTACTTTATGCAGTTGTCTTTTACATCAGATAGAAGAATAAAAGAGTTACAAACAAAAATATATTTATATTGTCTTTTATATTAACTTATGTAGTTACTTTTACCAGTGCTTTTTATTTAGTTTTGTGGATTCAAGTTACTGCTTAATGTCCTTTCATTTAAACCCTAAGTACTTCTTTTA
The DNA here is from genome assembly GCF_000001405.40 of Homo sapiens. Classification (NCBI taxonomy): domain Eukaryota; kingdom Metazoa; phylum Chordata; class Mammalia; order Primates; family Hominidae; genus Homo; species Homo sapiens. Next base: position 25,740,488 of record NC_000010.11, on the reverse strand, counting down.
GTATTTCTTCTAGGGTAGGTCTCATAATAAGAAATTCTCTCAGCTTTTGATTATCTGGGAATTTTTAAATTTTTCCCTTGTTTTTGAAGAATAGTATTGTTGGATATAAAGTTCTGTTTAACAGGATTTTTTTGTTGTTGTTGTTCATCAAATTGAATATGTTATCTCACAGTCTTCTGGCCTTCATGGTTTCTGATGACAAGTAAGCTATTCATATTATTTAGGACTCCTTGTATGTAATAAACTGCTTTTCTCTTGCAACTTTCAAGATATTCTCACTTTTTTTTGGCTTTTGACATTTCAACTACAACGTGTCTAGGTGTGGATCTCTTTGAGTTTATCCTGCTTGCATGTGCAAATTAATTTTTTTTTTTTTTTTTTACCAAATTTGGGACATTTTTGCGCTATCATTTCTTCAATTTTTTCCTTTTTCTTTTTTATCTTTTTCATTGTATATTTTCTTGTGCATGAACCATTTTTTCATGTTTTTTTATGTGTGTTAATCTCTTGTTAAAAATTGGGTATTTAAAATAATATAATGTGGCAAATCTGGAAATTAGATCCCCCTCCCCTAACTCAGGGTTTATTGCTTTTGTTGCAGTAGTTGTTGCTGCTGTTTCCTGAAAGAATTCTGGAAAGTTTGTATTCTTCATCATGTGTGGCCACTGCAGTAACTGCAGTTAGATTAAGGGTCAGCTAATAATCAGACAGAAATTTCTTAAAATGCCTTGAATCGATATGTCCCTCAGCTTTTGCCAGGGACAATATTCTGTATGTGGCATATCTTCAATTCCCTGTTATGCTTTCACTTTCTTCTTGCAGAAAACCCCTCTTCTACTTGCTCAGGGCCTCAAAGTCAATCAGAGGTGAAAACTGAACCTTTCTTGAGCATCTATACAGCCCTGCAAATGCAGGTCATCTTCTAGATTCTCAGGAATATGACAAAACTTTTTGAAATTCCCTAAGGACATCTCAATTCCTTTTAATTTTTTTTTTTTTTTTTTTTTTGGTCAGCTTTTTGTTAGTCTCGAGTGCCAACACTGATTCAGGAAGCTGCAACGTTAAACAGTTACCACTATTTTTTTGAGACAGAGTCTCACTCTGTCGCCCAGGCTGGAGTGCAGTGGTGCGATCTCGGCTCACTGCAACCTCCGCCTCCTGGGGTCAAGCAATTCTCCTGCCTCAGCCTCCCGAGTAGCTGGGACTACAGGTGTGTGCACCAAGCCCAGCTAACTTTTTGTATTTTTAGTAGAGACGAGGTTTCACCACATTGGCCAGAATGGTCTTGATCTCCTGACCTCATGATTCGCCCGCCTTGGCCTCCCAAAGTGCTGGGATTACAAGCATGAGCCACCGCGCCCGGCCACCACTGATTGTTTTCGATGAATGCCCTGGAGATAAGGCTGCTCAGACAGAGCAAGCCCTAAGTCATATCAAATAGAGAAAAACTCTGATAATTGACTTTTTCATTGAGATTCCAGACAGTCTAACTATAAGCATGCCTCAGAGATATTGTGGGTTTGGTTTCAGATCATTGTAATGAAGTGAATATCACATAAATATTTTTGTTTCCCAAGGCATATAAAAGTTATGTTTACAGGCTGAGTGTAACATAACAATCATGCCTATAATTCCAGCACTTGGGAGGCCACAGATGGTTCATGCCTGTAATTCCAGCACTTTGGGAGGTCAAGGCAGAAGGATCACTTGAGCCCAGGAGTTCAAGACCAGCCTGAGCAATATTGTGAGACCTCATCACTACAAAAAATAAAAAAGTTATCCAGGTGTGGTGGCACACGCCTGTGGTCCCACCTAATCAGTGAGGTGAGGTGGGAAGATCACTTCAGCCCAGGAATTGGAGGCTGCAGTGAGCTGTAATCATGCCAGTTCACTCCAGCCTGGGTGACAGAGTGAGAGCCTATCTCAAAAAATAAAAATAAAAGTTAAGTTTCTAATACATTGAAGTCTTTTAAATGTGCAGTATCATTATGTCTAAAAAAGCAATCTGCATGCCATAATAAAAAAACTTTATTGCTGAAAAATGCTAACAATCATCTGAGCCTTCAGTGAGTTTGTAATCTTTTTGCTGGTGAAAGGTCTTGCCTCGATGTTAATGGCTGATGAAAGTGGTGGTTGCTGAAACTTGGGGTGGCTGTGGCACTTTCTTAAAATAAGACAACAGTGAAGTTTGCCACATCAATTGACTTTTCCTTTCACTAAAAATTTCTCTGTAGCGTATGATGCTGTTTACTCACAGTAGAACATCTTTCCAAATTGGAGTCAATCGTCTCAAACCCTGCTGCTGCTTTGCCAACTAGTTTATGCAATATTCTAAATCTTTTGTTGTCATTTTAACAATGTTCACAGCATCTTTATCAGAAGTAGATTCCATATTAAAAAACCATAGTCTTTGCTCATCCATGAGAAGCAACTCCTTACTCATTCAAGCTTTATCCTGAGATTGCAGCAATTCAGTGTCATCTTCAGGCTCCACTTCTAATTCTAGTTCTCTTCCTATATCTACCACATCTACAGTTTCTACACTGAAGTCCTAAGCCCTTTGAAGTCTTCCGTAAAGTTGGAACCAGCTTCTTCCAAACTCCTGTGAATGTTGATATTTTGACTTTCCACAATGAAACATAAATGTCCTTAATGGCATCTAGAATGGTGAATCCTTTTCAGAAGATTTTCAATTTATTTTGCCCAGATCCATCAGAGGAATCATTTTCTATGGCAGCTATAGCTTTAGGAAATGTATTTCTTAAATAAGACTGAAAGTTGAAATTACCTTGGTCCATGGGCTGCAGAATGGATGCTGTGTTAGCAGGCATGAAAACATTAATCTCCTTGTACATCTCCATCAGAGCTGTTGGATGACCAGGTGCACTGTCAATGAGCACTAATATTTTGAAGGAAACCTTTCCATCTGAGAAGTAGGACTCAACAGTGAGCTTAACATATTCAGTAAACCATGCCCATCCAGGCTTTGTTCTTTCATTTATAAAGCACAGGCAGTTGATTTAGCATAATTCTTAAGGGCCCTGGGATTTTCAGAATGGTAAGTGAGCACTGGCTTCAACTTAAAGTTACCAGCTGCATTAGCCCCTAACATGAGAGTCAGCCTGTCCTTTGAAGCTTTTCTGGCTTTTCTTCTCTAGCTATGAAAATCCGGTATGGCATCTTCTTCCAATGGAAGGCTGTTTCATCAACACTGAAAATCTTTTATTTAGTGTGGCCACTTTCATTAATTACCTTAGCTAGATCTTCCGGATAATTTGCTGTAGCTTCTACATCAGCACTTGCTGCTTCACCTTGCACTTTTATGTTACAGACATGGCTTCTTTTTTTAAACTTCATGAACCAACCTCTGTTAGCTTCCAACCCTTCTTCTGCAGCTTCCTCACCTCTCTCAGCCTTCACAGAATTGAAGAGAGTCAGGGTCTTGCTCTGGGTTAGGCTTTGGCTTAAGTGAATGTTGTGGCTGGTTGATCTTCTATCCAGAACACTCAAGCTTTCTCCATGTCAGTAATAAGGCTGTTTTGCTTTCTTATCATTTGTATTTTCACTGGAGTAGCACTTTAAATTTCCATCAGTAAGTTTTCCTTTGCATTCACGACTTGACTGTTTGGCACAGGGGCCTAGCTTTTGGCCTGTCTCAACTTTTGATACATCTTCCTCACTAAGGTTAATCATTTCTAGCTTTTGATTTTAAGTGAAAGACATGTGACTCTTCCTTTCACTTGAACATCTGGAGGCCATTGTAGGATTATTAATTGGCCTCATTACAATATTATGGTATACCAGGGAATAGGGAGGCCCATGGAGAGGGAAAGAGATGGAGTAATGGCTTATTGATGCAGCAGTCAGAACACACACGACATTTATTGATTAAGCTTGCCATCTAATATGGGTGCAGTTCATCGCGCCCCAAAACAATTAAAATACTAACATCAAAGATCACCGATCACAGATCACCATAACAGATATAATAATGAAAAAGTTTGAAATATCATGATAATTACCAAATGTTACGTAGAGACACTGATTGAGCACATACTGTTGGAAAGTAATGTCCATAGACTTGTTCATTGCAGGGTTACCACAAATCTTAACATTTGTAAAAAATGCAGTATTGAGGAAATGCAATAGAGTTAAGCACAATAAAATGTGGTATGTCTGTAATAATAATCTCTAAAGAAGGGATTTTTGGGAGATCCAAATCTCTTCTGTCCCTTACAGTGGCTGCTAGGCTGTCAGTGTTTTTCACAACCACTGTAGTTGTGAGGCTGTTGTTTTCCATGGCTACTGTGAAGCTGGACAGAGGAGGATGGGATTAGGGCAAGTCATAATGCCCCAAAGTTCATTCTTCTTTTCAAGATTCAGTTGGTTTTCTTGAATAAAAGCTCCTAGAGTTTTTTCAAATCTTATTCAATTTCTAGAGTTCTGAAAATGTTGATTTGGACAACTTTTGGGGTCAGGGTACTAATTATTTTTGTGGAAGAGCAGATTTCTGGAGGTTCTCAGCCATTCTGGATGTTGTCCCATTTTTAATTGGGTCATTTGTTTTCTTCTATTTGGTTTTAAGCATTCTTTGTGTATTTTAAAAACAAGTCATTTATCATAGATCTGTTTTGCAATTTTTGGTCTGCACCTGTGTCTTGTATTTTCATTCTCTTAACAGTTTTTTTCACAAAGCAAGGGACTTTATTTTGTTAAGGTGAAATTTATATAACATGCAATTAACCATTTTAAAGTGTACAATTCATGGATATTTAGTGCATTCAGAATGTTGTGCAGCCACCATCTCTCTCTAGTTTTGAAACTTTCTCCTCACATAAGAAGAAACCCCAAACCTCTTAAGTAATTACTTATTCTATTCTCTCACTATCACCTGGCAACCATTAATCTACTTTCTGTCTCTATGTATTTGCCTATTGTGGATATTTCATATAAAAATTATACAATTTATGACCTTTTGTGTACGGCTTCTTACTTAGCATACTGTTTTTGAGATTCATCCTAGTTGTAGCATGTATTGATATTTATTTCCTTTTCATGTCTGAGTAATATGCCATTGCATGTATATACCACAATTCGTTTATCCCTTCATTCATTGATGGATATTTGGGTTGTCTCCACCTTTTGGTTACTATGCTTAATGCTGCTATAAACATTCATGTACAAGTTTCTGTGATGATTTATATTTTCGTTTCTCTTGGGTATAAATCTGAATGAAATTGTGGGGTCATATGTTAATTTTATGTTTCACTTTTTGAGGATCTATCAAACTGTTTTTCAAAGTAGCTGCACCATTTTAGATTCCCAATGTAAGAGGGTTTCTATTTCTCCATATCCTTACCAACACTTGTTATGTTCAGTTTTTTTTTTTCTTAAACATTGTTGTCCTCATGCATGTAAAGTGGGATCTTGTGATCTTGATTTACATTACCTTAATGACCAACGATGTCGAACATATTTTTATGTGGTCGTTGGCTATTTTCATATCTTCTTTTGAGAAATGTTTATTCAAGTCCTTTAACCACTTTTAAATTTGTTTGTTTGTCTTTCTGTTGCTAGGTTGCGAGAGTTTTTTATATAGTCCACGTATGACACCATTATCAGATATAAGATTTGCAGATATGTTCTCTCATTCAGTAGGCAGTGTTTTTACTCTTTTGATAGTGTCATTTAATGCACAATAGTTTTTAATTTTGGTAAAGTCTAATTTATCAATTTTTTCTTTTATTACCATGTTTTTGGTGTCAGATATAGAAATCTACTGTTTTCTTCTAAGAGTTTTATTGTTTTAGTGGTTATATTTATGTAATTAATCTATTCTGTATTAATTTTTGTATATGAAGTAAAGTAGGAGTCCAAATTTATTCTTTAGCATGTGGATGTCCAGTTGTCCCAACATCATTTGTTGAAAATACTTTTCTTTCCCCATTAAATGATCTTTGCACGCTTGTTGAAAGTCAGTTGTCCATAGATATTTGGGTTTATTTCTAGACTCTCAATTTTATTCCATTGTTGTGTGTGTAGAATTTTATATTACCATAGAGTTGAAATAAGTGTTAAAATTGAGAAGTTTTAGTCTTTCAACTTTGTTTTGCTTTTTTCAATATTGTTGTAGCTATTTGAGATCCTCTTCAATTCCATAGAAGTTTGAGGACTGTCTGTCCCATTTCTGAATAAAAGGTTGTTGGAATTTTTATAGGAATTACATTTGATCTGTAGATCACTAATGCTGCTAAAACTAATGCTGCTAAAATATCTTAATATTAAGTCTTTTAATCTATAGATGAATAATGTCTTTCTTTTTATTTAGGTCTTCTTTATTTTTTTCAATGTTTTGTAGTTTTAGGTGTATGAGTCTTTCACCTCCTTGGTTACATTTACTCTTAGGTATTTTATTCTTTTGGATGCTACTGTAAATAGAATTATGTTCTTAATTTTGAAAAGTTCAACTTACCTATTTTTCTTTCTTTTTTTTTTTTTTTTTTTTTGAGATGGAGTCTTACTCTGTTGGAAAGGCTGGAGTGCAGTGATACAATCTTGGCTCACTACAACCTCTGTCTCCCGGGTTCAAGTGATTCTCCTGCCTCAGCCTCCTGAGTAGCTGGGATTACAGGCATGCACCACCACATCCAGCTAATTTTTGTATTTTTAGTAGAGACAGGGTTTCATCATGTTGGCTTGGCTGGTCTTGAACTCCTGAGCTCAGGTGATCCACCCGCCTCGGCCTCCCAAAGTGCTGGGATTATAGGCGTGAGCCACTGCGCCCAGCCCCTTACCAATTTTTCTTTCATGGATTTTCCTTTTGATATTATCTCTAAAACCTCTCTATTAGTCCATTCTCATGTTGCTAATAAAGACATACCCGAGACTGGGTAATTTATAATGGAAAGAGTTTATTTATTTGTTTATTTATTTATTTTTAGTAGAAACAGGGTCTCACCATGTTGGCCAGGCTGGTCTCGAACTCCTGGCCTCAAGTGATCTGCCCCGCCTCGGCCTCCCAAAGTGCTTGGATTACAAGCATGAGCCACCATGCCTGGCCAGGAAAGAGTTCTAATTGACTCGCAGTTCCTCAGGGCTGGAGAAGCCTCAGGAAACTTACAATCATGGCAGAAGGAAAAGCAAACGTGTCCTTCTTCACATGATGGCATGAAGGAGAGGTGCCAAGAAGAAGGGAGAAATGCCCCTTATAAAACCATCAGATCTCATGAGAACTTACTATCATGAGAACAGCAGCATAGGGTAACACTAACATTTTCCTACAGAATTGCATATGGATGTCCAGCTGTTCCAGGACTTGATCTTGAAAAGACTACCCTTTCTGCATTGAATTTCTTCAGTATCTTTATTAGAAATCCGTTGACTATCTTCATAATTGGTGCTGGGAAAAACACATATTCACATGCAAAACAATGACCTTGGATCTTTATCTTATATTGCATATAATAATTGACTCGAAATGGATCAGAAACCTAAGTAGAAATGTAGAAATTATAAAACACCTCCTAGAAGAAAACACAGAGCAAAAGCTTCATAACATTAGATCTGGCAGTGATTTATTGAAAATGCCAACAAAATCACAGGCAACAAAAGAAAAAAGTAGATACACTGGACTTCATCAAAATTAAAAGATTTTACACATTAAAGGACACTGTTGAGAAAGCAAAAAAAAAAAAAAAATCAAAACAACCCATAGAATAGGAGAGAGATTTTGAAAATCAATATATGATAAGGAACTTTTATGCAGAATATATAAAGAACTCCTGCAACTCAACAATAACAGAAGAATAATACCCAGCCCAATTAAAAAATGGACAAAGGACTTGATTAGACATATCTCAAAAGAAGATATACAAATGGTCAACAAGCACGTGAAAAGATGCTCAACATCAGTTATCATTAGGGAAATGCAAATCAAATGCACAATGAAATATTACTTTATACTATTAGTATGGCTATTATATATTTTTAAAAAGAAAAATAAATGTTGGTAAAGATTTTGAGAAACTGAAGCTCTTATGCATTGTGGTGGGAATGTAAAATTATGCAGCTGCTGTGAAAGACAGCTCGACAGTTCCTCAAAAATTAAACATAGAATTGACATATGATCCAGTAATTCCGCTCCTAAGTATATACCCCAAACAATTCAAAGCAGTGCTCAAACAGACATTATACACCATTGTTCATAACATCATCATTTACAATAGCCAAAAGATAGAAACAACCCCCAAATATCCATCAGCTGATGAATGGATAAACAATGTGGTATAGACATACCATGGACTATTATTCATGCTTGAAAAGAAATAAAATTCTGATCCATATTATAACATGGATGAACCTTGAAAACATTACAGTAAGTGAAATAAACTAGGCACAAAGGACCCATATTGTATTATTCCACTCATATTAGGCACTGAGAAGGGGCAAATTCATAGAAACAGAAAGTTCAATAGTGGTTACCAGAGACTGAGGGCAAGGGGGGAATGAAAATTTATTGTTGATAATAGGTACAGAGTTTCTGTGTGAGGTGATGAAAAATTCTGGAACTGGATAATGGTGATGGTTATACAACATTGTTTATTCTTAATGCTTCTGAACTGTGCACTTAAAAATGGTTAAAATGGTAAATATTATATACACTTTAGCACACAAAAAACCTCTTGACTATATTTGTGTGAATTTATTTCTGGAAGATGTATTCTGTTTCATTCATTGATGTGTCTATTCTTACATCAATGCCACGTCTTGATTGCTGTAGCTTTACTTGAAATCAGGAAGTGTGAGTCCTTTCACTTAGTTCTTGAGTCTTGTGCTCCACATGCTTTTTCAGTCATTCATGTCATTTTGCTTGAATAAAATGATAGAAATAGAGTATTTGTTACCTGCAGGTTATTACTGAAAAAGTACACACTACACGTTTCTATTTCCATGGCATTCTACAATAGCCCAAACCAATCTACAGTAGGAAAATATCAGAACAGTGATTGCCCGGACAGTAGGGGCAGGGCTGGACTGGCGATTGCATGGTGTAAATAAAGAGCTGATAACAGAATCTTCCTTACCCCAAATTCTGCAACCTTACTGGAAACAATGGTTCGTATAGCAAATTGAGAAACAGTGATGCAGGAGATGGAAAAAAATTATTTAGGCAGATAGTGAAGATAAAAGAGTCCTCGGCAAGGCTTCCCTGTTAACAAAAAGCAGCCCAAGAAATTATTTTTTTCCAACAAAGAGCAGCCTGAAAAATCAAGCTGCAAACATAGATAAGCAAGCTGGAAGCCTGCACGGGAGAATGCCGGCAGCTGTGCCAATAGAAGAGGGCTACCTGGTGGCCAGGCATATCCAACATGGAGGTTCCATCTTCCCTTTTTTGTTACCACATGTGCAATAAAGAGATGGGCAACATGGCGCTGGCCAGATAGAGAACCCATCTGCATAGTAAAAGATTAGGGTGAGCGCAGACAGCTTTTCATGCCCTCTGCTAATGACACACCCAGCCCTAACCAGTTTTTCTCACCCTATGCAAATGGCATACCTGGTCCAACCAATCTTTTGTGCCCTATCTAAATCAGACATCGCCTCTACAGGCTCATCTATAAAACCCTTTTCACCTTGGAACTGGCAACCCATTTTCTTGGGACCCTTCTCTGCAGCAGAGAGCTCTTCTGTTTTTTTCGCCTATTAAATTTCTACTCTGAAGCTCACTCTTTGTGTGTTCACGTGCTAGTTTTCCGTGGCCTTGAGACAACGAATCTCGGGTATCACCCCAGACAAGGAAGCCGCTTCAGCAGCACCTTAAAAGAAGTTGTAAAAAAACTAGAAGAATGTGGTCTCAAAAAAGTCAAAACAAGCTTTCTTTTTTGTTGCTTGTTTTTGTTGTTGTTTGTTTTGTTTTTCTTTTCTTTTTTTTTTAAAAGAGGTGACTCTTAGTGTCAAAATCTTTGGACACGTTGTGTATGTTCAGGAGCGTGCACTCTCCAGGAGATTTAAGAAGAAGTTGTTGCAAACCTGGGAGAGCCATTAATGAAGTCCTCAGGCTTTAGGAGCATAGCAGGACATCTTAGAGAAACTTAAGTCTGTGATTTCTGAAAGTCTGACAAGAAAGCCTTAAGCAAGGAAAGTAATTTTCAGAAATAATAAAGTGTGGCTGCCTGGAATATTAGTTCTGATTTCTGAACAGGTTTCTTACGTGATAAAAACAACCCAAACTGTCTCCCTTTCTGTGCCTGTACTCCTACATCTTACAAAAAAATCTCTCATAATAATCGGGAATGCTACTTAAGAAGCTCTATGTATAACCACAGCTGATGACAAAGTAAGGTGTCACATGGTTAAAATATTTTAAGTTTACCTTTCTTCTTGATCTGGAAGGTAACAAGGCCATGACTTCCTTTTTAAAAACATTTTATTTTATTTTAAGTTCCAGGACACATGTGCAGGATGTCCAGGTTTGTTTCATAGGTAAATGTGTGTCATGGTGGTTTGCTAAACCTATCAACCCATCCCCTAAGTATTAAGCCCAGCATGCATTAGCTGTTTATCCTGATGCTCTCCATCCTCCCACCTCACCACCAGGCCCTGGTGTGTGTTGTTCCCCTCCCTGTGTCCATGTGTTCTCATTTTTCAGCTCCCGTTTATGAGTGAGAACATGTGGTGTTGGTTTTCTGTTCCTGTGTTAGTTTGCTGAGGATAATGGCTTCCCATTTCATCCATGTCCCTGCAAAGGACATGATCTCATTCCTTTCTATGGCTGCATAGTATTCCGTGGTGTATATGTACCACATGATTTCTTTATTTGCTGTAACTCCTCCTTCCAGAAAGAAGAGCCATTTCCTCCCACCTGAGTAGGATATCTTTCCATGATGAAAAATTATTCTTATTTTCGAACAATTACATATCATCTGGGAGCAAGACGGCAGGATCTTTACTGTTTTAGATGTGACATTCTGAAATAAAACAAAGGGTAGACTACTCTGCTGGTCTCTAAACACCCTCTATGGCACAGCCCTGTTCCTCCACGGCACGGGTTTAATTTTTGGATGCCTCAATCTGTTATTTTTATGAGATTAAAGCCTCAAACTCTAAATGCATCTCTCTCTAGGTAACAATCCTGAATTTATTTACTAGTCTCTAAGAATCCTGCAAATATTTATGGTATGTATCTTTCTGGGTCCCCTTTCCTCATCCACAGCCCAAGGAAGATTGCTAGGAGTCATTAAGAATGTCTGGATGCTGCTTTCAGTCTGTGTTTTGACCTGGTAAAGGCAGGGCAACAATTGATACATAATATTTTTACGTATGTACGGAGTACATGTGATATTTGCTTCATGCATAGAATGTGAAATGATGAGGTCACGGTATTTGGGGTACCCATCACCTTGAGTATTTATCATTCATATGTGTGGGGGGACATTTCAAGTTCTCTCTTCTAGCTACTCTGAAATATACAATACACCGTTGCTAACTACAGCCATCCTACTCTGTTACCAAACATTTGGACTTTCAACCATGGAAAAGCCCTACTTCTCAGTCCAAAGAGATTTTTAAGGTAAAGCTTCGAAATAAAAAAAACAACTAGCCAGGTGCAGTGGCTCATGCCTGTGATTCCAGCACTTTGTGGGGCCAAGATGGGTGGATCCCTTGAGCTCAGGAGTTAGAGACCAGCCTGGGAAACAGAGTGAAGCCCCATCTCTACAAAAAATACAAAAATTAACAGGCATAGCAGCATGCGCTTGTAGTCCCAGCTACTCAGGAGGCTGAGCTGGGAGTATCACTTTAGCCCAGGAGGTTGAGGCTGCAGTGAGCTATGATTGTGCCACTGCACTCCAGCCTGGGCAACAGAGCAAAATTTTGTCTGAAAAACAAAACAAAACCACCACCACAACAATAAGCAACTATCAGTCATTTCATCTGCTCCTTGGTAATCTTAACTCTCTTTTAACTTTATGTTTGCTGTGTTTATAATAGTAATAATCATCAGTGTTATTAGCACTAACATTCATTGACCACATACCATGTCTCAGGTATTGTTTTAAGTACTTTATCCATTTTATATTAAAAAAATGAGGTAGGTAAAATTATTATCCTCTTTTATAGATAAAGAAACTGAGACCTAGAGTTTGTTAGGTAATGTACTTGTTGGGTGATAGAGTACCACCCAGAGGGTGGGGACGCTCAGTCCTGGATTCCCTTTGTCTTAACTACAGCTGGCCCCTGATTTTGCTCTCTTCCCATGTGCAAGTGACTGGGGGAATGATCCTTGCACCCCCGGACAACATCAAGGAGCAAGAGGTCAGGGACCAAGGAAGAAGCAGCCTCCTGTTCTGTAGGCTATGCAAAACTAAGCCAGGTGAAGGCCAGGTGCAGTGGCTCATGCCTGTAATCCCAGCACTTTAGGAGGCCGAGGTGGGCGGATCACCTGAGGACAGGAGTTCGAGACTGGCCAACATGGTGAAATCCCATCTCTATTATGGTGGCACGTGCCTGTAATCCCAGCCACTTGGGAGGCTGAGGCATGAGAATTGCTTGAATCCAGGAGGTGGAGGTTGCAGTGAGCCTAGATCACGCCACTGCACTCCAGCCTGGGTGACAGAAGGAGACTTCATCTCAAACAAAACAAAACAAAACAAAACAAAACAAAACAAAAAAACTTAGCCAGGTGAAGAAGATTACTAGAGGTGCCAGGCCAGAAACTGCATGGCAGCGTCATTTCTCCCAGAGTGCCAACCTCTGGTTTCATGTATTTGTGTATACTGTTGGGGCTCAGAAAACTTGCTAGAAATGGAACCAAAGAAGCAGTGTCAAGATCTCTCTAACCTCCCCTCCAATCCGTTCAATCTCTCTCTCCCAAACACAAGATGAGGCTGTTCTCTGAAGTCCCCTTGTTAACCTAGAAACTAGGCTTCAAAAGAGAACACAATTGGAACCCTTGCATCTGTCCCCTGAAATTTCATTAACCAGGGAAGATTAAAACTCATCACAGAGGAAGAGATGGGAAGTTAAACACCATACCTGGAATGCAAATGAACTTTGTCTCAAACTGTTATCTGTTCTCTGTTACCTCTCAGTTCTAAAGAGCATCATTTACAAGATAAATATCTGCCTCCTGGGTCCCTTCAGACCTCCCTAAAAATCATTTTCTCCTACAGACTCTCACCTCCTCTTCCCCTCTGAAGAAGAGTATATAAGAATCTGGACCTCATTGGGTTATTGGGAATTCATTCTCCTGGGATTCCCCAGTGCTATGCATGTTAAAATAAATTTGTATGCTGTTTTTTCCTATTAATTGGCCTCTTGTCAGTTCATTTTCAGTGGACCTTCAGAGGGAGAAGGGGGAAGCTTTCCCTCTTCACCTCTACAACACTCCAGAGGCTGAAACCAGCACGGAAGATGCCAGAGAAGTGAGGAAACAAAAAATAAACAAAGTGAAGGAAGGAAGGGAGGGAGGGTGAGAGGGAAGAAAGAGAGAGAGTGAAGGAGGAAGACAGAAAGGGAGGGAGGGAGAGAAGAAAGAGTGGGACAAGGTGTGTATTAGTCCATTTTCATGGTGCTAATAAAGACATACCTGAGACTGTGTAATTTATAACAAAAGAGCTTTAATGGACTCACAGATCCACATGGCTGAGGAGGCCTCATAATCATGGCAAAATGTGAAGGAGGAGCAAAGGCACGTCTTACATGGCAGCAGGCAAGAAGGCATGTGCAGAGAAACTGCCGTTTATAAAACCATCAGATTTCATAAGACTTATTCACTATCACAGGAACAGCATGGGAAGACCCACCCCCATCATTCAATTACCTCCCACTGGGTTCCTCCCACAACATGTGAGAATTATGGGAGCTATAATTCAAGATGAGACTTGGGTGGGGACACAGCCAAACCATATTAAGGAAGTGGGGAGAGAGGAAAGAAGGAAGGAAGAGAGAGAGAGAGAGAGAGGAAAGAAAGAAAGAAAGAGAAAAAGAAAGAGGGGAGGGAGTGGGAAAATAAAGGGAGGGAGGGAAGAAAGAAAAAAGAAAGAGGGAGGAAGGAAGACGGGAAGAAAGAAAGAAAGAGAGAAAGAAGGAGAGTTAAAGGGAGAGAGACAGAGGGAGAGATGTTGTACCTTTTAGTGAACTCATGGCTGGGACCCTTTCTCTGTCTAACTCCAGTGAATTCCTGTTGTGACAAATGTTTCCTTTGTTGAAAATAGCAAAAACTTTTTGTTCAGGTATTAGGTACTCAGGATAACTACTTTTGTTCTTAGCAAACTCATGAAAACTTGGGTTTGCTAGGTTTTGGAGGGAGAGAACAGGTCAAATGCTAACATAATTCCTTAGCCTTGTGGAAAGAAAAAGGAGCAAGCCGTGTTTTTGAGTAGACTGCCATCTAGTGGCCTCGAATGGATACATTTACATGTCAAAAGCTATCACGCCGGAGTGAAAGATGAAAACCAGTGGGACAAGAAGTATCCAACAGAGAGGCCTTGGCAATTCCATCTCAGTCTCTTTTGGTTCATTTTCTCGGATATATTTTTGTAACTGTAGCTGGAAATTTATCATTCAAAATGCAAAATGTTGTTTTCGTAAATGCCACGTTTAGAAATTATGATTAATGACACATTATTTTCTATCACAGATCACATATATGTTAGAAAGAAAGTAACAATTTAAATATATGTATAGAGGTCGGGCACAGTGGCTCACTCCTGTAATCCCAGCACTTTGGGAGGCCAAGGCAGGCAGATCACTTGAGGTCAGGAGTTCAAGACCTGCCTGGCTAACATGGTGAAACCCCGTCTCTATTAAAAATACAAAAATTAACTGGGTATGGTGGTACGTGCCTGTAATCCCAGCTACTTGGGAGGCTGAGGCACGAGAATTGCTTGAACCGTGAGGCGGAGGTTGTAGTGAGCCGAGATCGTGCCACTGCACTCCAGCCTGCGCGACAGAGCAAGATTCTGTCTCAAAATAAATAAATAAATAAATAAAAATAAATAAGTAAATAAAAATTAAAATATATACAGAGAGTATCATCAATGAAGTTAGGGACTTTTTTGTCCCTAACTTCAGTGGGCCACAGATTCCAACAAATTTCTGTAAGGTAGAGCACAAATAGACAGACGGTCATTCAGATAGAGAGCATTGATGCCATCACGCTCTTCATTCGATGGCATATTATTATCGCAGGGCCACGGGAAACTTCCCCTTCACTCTCTGATGGTTCACTGAAAGTCAACTGACAAAAGGCAGATTAATGAGAGAAAAGGCATACAAATTTATTAGATCATAGTTTTATGTGACATGGGAGCCTTCAGAATGAAGATCCAAAGATATAGAGGAAATTGTTCGTTTTTATGCTTAGGTCCATCACAATATGCACAGCCCTGTAGAAACAGGATTGGGCCATAGGTTCTGGTCTAATGCTGACAGACTGAGTGAGGAAACCCAGCAAGGCCAGTCTGCGTAGATTCTTCTTGGCCTCTCTGTGCCACGTTTCTTCCTTCTGGGTGTGGGGCAGGACCCTCTCTGGAATGGGGCTATTATGACCTACCATCAAACAAGGTAGGTCAGACAATTTATTTATGGTCAGTTTTTGCATAGAAAGTCATTGAGCCTGGGGAGTGGTGGCTCACACCTGTAATCCTACCACTTTGGGAGGCTGAGGCAGGAGAATCCCTTGAGCCCAGGAATTCAAGGCCAGCCTGGGCAGCATAGTGAGACCCTGTCTCTTTTTTTTTTTTTTTAAAGAAAAATTTAAAAAAAAAAGATGTGGGGGGAGGCAGAGTAATAATTTTCAGTTTTATTGTTGGTGTCAGGGAAAAGAGGTTCTGGTTTCTATAACCCACGCTGGGAAAGGGATAATCTTTCTTTCTTTCTTTCTTTTCTTTCTTTCTTTTCTTTCTTTCTCTTTGCTTCCTTTCTTTCTTTTTTCTTTCCTTCCTTCCTTCCCTCCTTCCTTCCTTCCCTCCCTCCTTCCTTCCCTCCTTTCTCTTTCTTTCCTTCCTTCCTTTCTCTCCTTCCTTCCCTCCTTCCTTCCTTCCCTCCTTCCTTCCTTCCCTCCTTCCTCTTCCTTCCTTCCTCTCTTTCTTTCCTTCCTTCCTTTCTCTTTCTTTCATTCCTTCCTTTCTTTCCTTCCATTTTTCTTTCTTTGTTTCTTTCTTTCTTCTCTCTCTCTCTCTCTCTCTCTCTGTCTCCCCTTTCCTCCCTCTCTCTCTCTCTACCACGCTGCACTAACTTTTGCATTCTTAGTAGATAGGGGGTTTCGCTATGTTAGCCAGTCTGGTCTCAAACATCTGACCTCAGGAGATCTGCCCGCCCTGGCCTCCCAAAGTGTTGGGATTGCAGGCGTGGGCCACTGCGCCTGGCCAGAGATAGTCTGGGTCCTATTAGTAGCCCCAGGGAGAATGAGAGGTCAGAGTCAGGAGGCAGCAGAAAGTCAGAGAGAAACTTTTGTTTCTGAGGCCTGGATTCTGGATTATCCTTTCCTGAGCTCCTGCGTGATCACACCCACGTAAAGCTCCTTGCTCTTTTGTTTCCTTTTATCCCCATTCCCCATGCCCTCTCCTCTCTTTCTCAAAGAGGCTTAAGGACCTCACTCTTGAAAATGAATGAATAACCAAACATCATGAGATCATCCTTATGGAGTTAGACTGTGGGATGCATTACAAGAGTCCCAGCTATTCTTGCCTCCCTCCTGTATTATACTTAAAACGAGTTTTTTTACACTTTGCCTATAATAGTGTTGCTTCTAAGATGTAGTATAATCTATATCATCTCTACTTTTCGATTTGCTTGTGCTAGACCTCTGAGCTCGACCATAATCTTCTTTTGCCCTTTATCTCTTCCTTTGCCTGAAGAATGTTGTCAGGTACTTTAATATGTTAGAAAAACATGAATCTGTTTGTATTTGTATTTTTCATATATATATCACCAAACCAAGAGTAGTCAGTGCATTTATTAATCAAAAATTAATAGAATGCATATGTGTGGGTCTATTTCTGGACTCTGAGTCACTGATCTGACTCTCTTTTTCTATGAAAATACCACCTCATCTTGATTACTTTGGCTTTAAGTCTTGAAATTTGGTGCAGAGTCTTTTTAATTTGTTGTTTTTTTAAAGGTTGCTTTAATGATTTTAGGTCCTTTGCATTGCTATATAGATTTTAGAAACAGCTTGTTAATTTCTATGTAAGGAAAAGTCTTCTAGGAACGTGTTGAGACTGCATTGAAGACACAGATTAATTAGGGAAGAATTTCACATTTTAGGAATATTTAGTTTTCTAATTCATGCACATGGCTCTCCATTTATTGATGTCTGCTTTGATTTCTCTGGGGAATCTTTGTAATTGTCTAGTATAAAGATATTTCAAGACTAAACATTTTTCTAAGTATTTTATATACTTGTCTCTATGGTAAATAGCATAATCTTAGATTTTATTTTTTGAGTTGTCTCATGCTAGCCTATAGAAAAACGATTGTTGTATTTTGACTATGTACTTTGTGATCTTGCTAAATTCACTGAATTCTGGTAAGTTATTTGTAGATTCCTTAGGATTCTTTTCATGCGCAACTGTGTGAAGAGACCACCAAACAGGCTTTGTGTGAGCAACAAGGCTGTTTATTTCACCTGGGTGCAGGCAGGCTGAGTCTGAAAAGACAGTCAGTGAAGGGAGATAGGGGTGGGGCCGTTTTATAGGATTTGGGTAGGCAAAAGAAAATTACAGTCAAAGGGGGGGTTCTCTGGCGGGCAGGGTTGGGGGTCACAAGGTGCTCAGTAGAGGAGCTTTTGAGCCAGGATGAGCCAGGAGAAGGAATTTCAAAAGATAATGTCATCAGTTAAGGCAGGAACAGGCCATTTTCATTTCTTTTGTGGTGGAATGTCATCAGTTAAGGCAGGAACCGGCCATCTGGATGTGTATGTGCAGGTCACAGGGGATATGATGGCTTAGCTTGGGCTCAGAGGCCTGACATTCCTGTCTTCTTAAATTAATAAGAAAAATAAAACGAAATAGTGGTAAAGTGTTGGTATGGCGAAAATTTGGGGGGATGGTATGGAGAGATAATGGGCGATGTTTCTCAGGGCTGCTTCGAGCGGGATTAGGGGTGGCGTGGGAACCTAGAGTGGGAGAGATTAAGATGAAGGAAGATTTTGTGGTAAGGGGTGATATTGTGGATTGTTAGAAGAAACATTTGTCATTTAGAATTATTGGTGATGGCATGGATATGGTTTTGTATGAATTGAAAAACTAAATAGAATAAGAGAAGGAGAAAAACAGGTATTAAAGGTCTAAGAATTGGGAGGACCTAGGACATCTAATTAGAGAGTGCCTAAGGAGATTCAGCATAGTCCTGCCAGCAAAGATTATTTATTTACTTCAAGAGTTAACAGTGGCAGTTTGGGGATAGCACCAGGAGATATCCGCTGTGATGGCTTGGAAGAACAGTGTAAACTGGCAGTGTAAACAAGATCAGGGCATGTATGAGTAGTTGAGAATGGTGAATAGGAGTATGACTAGACAGAAGATAGTAGGGATGACAAGTTTTTTGGGGCACAGTCCAAGTTGGTCTGGTGTCTGGAATGAGACTGGGGCTTAATAAAAAGGAGCATCTATACAGGACCTTAAATGGGCTGTACCTTGTAGCATTCCGAGGACAGGCCTGAATTCTGAGAAGGGAAAGTGGTAAAAGTATTGTCCAGTTCTTTTTAAGTTGGTGGCTGAGCTTGGTGAGGTGTGTTTTTAAAAGATTATTAGTCCGTTCTACCTTTCCTGAAGAGTGAGGACTGTAAGGGATATAAAGGTTTCACTGAATACCAAGAGCCCGTAAAAATGCTTGGCTGATTTGATAATAAAGGCTGGTCTGTTATCAGACTGTATAGAAGTGGGAAGGCCAAACCGAGGAATTATGTCTGACAGAAGGGAAGAAATGACTGCGGTGGCCTTCTCAGACCTTGTGGGAAAGGCCTCTACCTATCTAGTGAAAGTGTCCACCTAGACTAAGAGATATTTTAGGTTTCTGACTCGGGGCATGTGAGTAAAGTCAACTTGCCAGTCCTGGGCAGGGACAAATCCTTGCGCTTGATGTGTAGGAAAGGGAGGGGGCCTGAACAATCCCTGAGGGGTAGTAGAATAGCAGATGGAACACTGAGAAGTGATCTTCTTGAGGATAGATTTCCATGATGGAAAGGAAATGAGAGGTTCTAAGAGACGGGCTAACGGCTTGTAACCTACATGGAAGAGGTTATGAAATGACAACAGAATAGAATGGGCCTGTGAGGCTGGAAGGATGTATTTTCCTTGGTCTAAGAACTATTTGCCTTGTGTGGGAAGAGATTGATAGGTGGAAGTTTCAGTGGGGGAGTAGGTGGGAGTGACTGATGTGAAGGGGAAAAACTGGCCATGAGGGACAGGAGTTGGAAAGCTAGCTGCTTGTCTAGCCACCTTATCAGCATAAGCGTTGCCTAGAGCAATGGGATCTGACGCCTTTTGATGGCCTTTGCAGTGAATGACTCCAGCTTCCTTTGGAAGTAAAGCGGCCTTGAGCAGAGTTTTTATGAAAGAGGCATTGATGATGGAGGACCTTTGTGTAGTGAGGAAACTTCTTTCAGTCTATATAACAGCATGATGGTGCAGAATATGAAAGGCATATTTAGAGTCAGTATAAATATTGACGCGTATTCTTTTTGCAAGAGTGAGGGCTTGAGTTAAGGCAACTAATTCGGCTTGCTGAGAGGTAGTGGAGGGGGGCAGAGCGGTAGCCTCAATGATAGATGTGGAAGATACTATAGCATAGTCTGCCTTTGCTGGTGAGTGGCAATTAGGTCTGGTGGAACTGCCATCAATAAACTAAATGTGATCAGGGTGAGGAACAGGAAAGAAGGAAATATTGGGAAATGGGGTGAATGTCAGGTGGATCAGAGAGATACAGTCATGAGGGTCAGGTGTGGTATCCAGAATAATGTGGCAGGCCAGATTGAAGTCCGTGCCAGGAAAAATGGTAACTGTGGGAGACTTAACAAAGAGTGAGTACAGCTGAAGGAGCCCGGGAGCAGAAAGTATATGCGTCAGGTATGAGGAAGAAAACAGATTTTGGAAGTTATGAGAACTGTAGAGAGTGAGTTGAGCATAGTCTGTGATTTTTAGGGCCTCTAAAAGTATTAGGGTGGCAGCGGCTGCCGCACACAGACTTGAGGGCTCGGCAAAACAACAGTAAGGTCAAGTTGTTTGGATAAAAAGGCTATAGGGCGCGGTCCCAGTTCTTGTGTAAGAATTCTGACTGCACAGCCCTGCACTTCAGCTGTGGGTAATGAAAAGGGTTGGGATGAGTCAGGGAGAGCTAGAGTGGGGGCAGTCTCTAAAGCTGTCTTCAAGGAATGGAAAGAGGAGTGGGGAAAGGATTTAGGATTTATGGGGTCAACTAGGTTTCCTTTTGTGAGTTTATATAATGGTTTTGTTAGGATGGCAAAACCAGGTATCTGAAGTCGAAAGTATCTAACCACACCTAGGAAGGAAAAGAGTTGTCATTTTGTAGAAGGTGCTGGGGTTTGAGAGATCAGTCGAACACTATCAGCAGGGAGAGCATGTGTGTTTTCATGAGAATTATGCTGAGATAGGTAACAGATGAAGAAGAAATTTGGGCTTGGCTGAAGTAATGGGGGCTGTCTGTGAAGCCTTGCAGCAGTACAGCCCAGGTAATTTGTTGAGCCTAATGGGTGTCAGGGTCAGTCCAAGTGAAAGCGAAGGGAGGCTGGGATGAAGGGTGCAAAGGAATAGTAAAGAAAGCATGCTTGAGATCCAGAACAGAATAATGGGTTGTAGAGGGAGGTATTGAGGATAGGAGAGTATATGGGTTTGGCATCACGGGGTGGATAGGCAAAACAATTCGGTTGATAAGGCGCAGATCCTGAACGAATCTGTAAGTCTTGTCTGGTTTTAGGACAGGTAAAATGGGGGAATTGTAAGGAGAGTTTATAGGCTTTAAAAGGCCATGCTGTAACAAGGGAGTGATAAAAGGCTTTAATCCTTTTAAAGCGTGCTGCGGGATGGGATATTGGCATTGAGCAGGTTAAGAGTGATTAGGTTTTAATGGGATGGTAAGGGGTGCATGATCGGTCACTAAGGAGGGAGTAGAGGTGTCTTTTACTTGTGGGTTAAGGTGGGGAGATGCAAGGGGAGGATGTGAAGGAGGCTTTGAACTGGGGGAAAAGGTGGCAATGAGGTGTGGCTGTAGCCTAGGAATAGTCAGGGAAGCAGATAATTTAGTTAAAGTGTCTCCGCCTAATAAGGGAGCTGGGCAGGTGGGGATAACTAAAAAGGAGTGCTTAAAAGAGTATTGTCTAAGTTGGCACCAGAGTTGGGGAGTTTTAAGAGGTTTAGAAGACTGGCTGTCAATACCCACAACAGTTATGGAGGCAAGGGAAACAGGCCCTTGAAAAGAAGGTAATGTGGAGTCAGTAGCCTCTGTATTGATTAAGAAGGGGACAGACTTACTTTCCACTGTGAGAGTTACTTAAAGCTCAGCATCTGTGATGGTCTAGGGGGCTTCCGAGGCGATGGGGCAGTGTCAGTCTTCAGCCACGAAGCTGAGAAGATCTGGGAAGGAGTCAGTCAGAGAGCCTTGGGCCAGAGCTCCAGGGGCTCTGGGAGTGGCTGCCAGGTGAGTTGAACAGTCTGATTTTCAGTGGGGTCCCACACAGACGGGATATGGCTTAGGAGGAATCCTGGGCTGTGGGCATCCCTTGGCCCAGTGACCAGATTTCCGGCACTTGTAGCAAGCTCCTGGGGGAGGAGGTTCTGGAGGAACCCCTGGCAGCTGTGGTTCAGGTGTTTGGAGTTCTTGTGTGCTGGAGATGTGGCTGGGGTTTGTCTTACAGTGGAGGCAAGGAATTGCAACTCAGAAATACACTGCTATTTAGCTGCCTCTACTCTAACTCTATTATTATACACCTTGAAGGTGAGGTTAATTAATTCCTGTTGTGGGGTTTGAGGGCTGGAATTTAATTTTTGGAGTTTTATTTAATGTCAGGAGCAGATTGGGTAATAAAATGTATATTGAGAATAAGACGGCCTTTTGACTTTTTAGGGTCTAAGGGCTGTAAAGCGTCTCAGGGTTGCTGCCGAACGAGCCATGAACTGGGCTGGGTTTTTCATATTTGATGAAAGAGCCTAAATGCTCACTGATTTGGGAGAGGTCAGATAAAGAAAAACGAGCATTAACTTTGACTATGCCTTTAGCTTCAACCACCTTTTTAAGAGGAAATTGCTGGGCGGGTTGGGGAGGGCTACTCACAGAATGAAACTGTAAACTGGACCGGGTGTGAGGAGGGGAGGTGATAAAAAGATTATAGGGTGGAGGAGTGGAGGCTGAGGAAGAATTGGGACTTAGCTCAGCCTGGCGAGGAGCAGCCTGGGGAGAAGGGAAGAGGTCAGATGGGTCTGTAGAAAAGGAAGATTAGAAAGACTCAGTGATGCTTGGGGTTGGGACTGAGGGGACAGGCAGGAGGGAAAGAAGGAAGATTTGGGACGAGTTGCACTGGGCACAGAGACTAGGGAGGGACCGATGTGTAAAAGAATGCCTGGGTGTCAGGCACCTCAGACCGTTTGCCTATTTTACAACAGGAATTATTTAGATCTTGCAGGATGGAAAAATTGAAAGTGCCGTTTTCTGGCTATTTGGAACTACTGCCGAGTTTGTACTGGGGTCAAGTGGCATCGCAGAAGAAAATAAGGCATTTAGGTTTTAGGTCAGGTGTGAGTTGAAGAGGTTTTATGTTCTTGAGAGCACAGGCTAAGGGAGACAGAGGAATGGAGGGTGGAAGGTTGCTTATAGTGAAGGAAGCAAGCCTAGAGAAGAGAGAGAGTAGAGACACGGAGGGAAGGGTTTCAGGGGTTCTAACCCTCCAGAAAAGCGGGAAAGGGGTCGGGGCATGGAAATAAGGTTGGGGCGCAGAGATAAGAGGTCAGGGTGTGGAAATAAGGGATTGGGGCACGGAGATAAGAGGTCGGGGAGCGGAAATAAGGGATCGGGGCACAGAGATAAGAGGTTGGGGTGCGGAAATAAGAGATCGGGGGTTCTTGCCCCCAGAAAAGCAGAGAAGGGGTAGAGACACAGAGAGAAGGGGTTGGGGGGTTCTTGCCCTCTAGAAAAGGGGGAAGTGGTAGAGACACGGAGAGAAGGGGTTGGGGAGTTCTTGCCCCCTAGAAAAGCGGTACTTGCCGCTAAGGGTGAAGGACCAAGGCAGGCGTCCCCACGTGGTCAGACACCTCTGAAACGTGGGTGAATAATCAGAGAGGCGTCCCTGCAATGATTAAACACCAAGGGAAGGCTGCCTTCCTGAGTCTGTGACCGGCGCCAGAGTTTTGAGTCCACAGATAAAACATGTCTCCTTTGTCTCTATTGAAATTAAGAGAAGGGAGAGATTGAAGGGTGGTGCCAAGATTGAAAGGAGAAAGCAGTTGAGGGATAGTGAGAGAGGTTGGAGAAGAGAGTAAGAAGAGGCCGCTTACCTGATTTAAAATTGGTGAGATGTTCCTTGGGCTGGTGGGTCTGAGGACTTGAGGTCGTAGGTGGATCTTTTTCACGGAGCAAAGAGCAGGAGGACAGGGGATTTTATCTCCCAAGGGAGGTCTCCGGATCCGAGTCACAGCACCAAATTTCATGCGCATCCATGTGAAGAGACCACCAAACAGGCTATGTGTGAGCAAAAATGCTGTTTATTTCACCTGGGTGCAGGCAGGCTGAGTCTGAAAAGACAGTCAGTGAAGGGAGATAGGGGTGGGGCCGTTTTATAGGATTTGGGTACGTAAAGGAAAATTACAGTCAAAAGGGGGTTGTTCTCTGGCGGGCAGGGTTGGGGGTCACAAGGTGCTCAGTAGGGGAGCTTTTGAGCCAGGATGAGCCAGGAGAAGGAATTTCACAAGATAATGTCATCAGTTAAGGCAGGAACGGGCCATTTTCATTTCTTTTGTGGTGGAATGTCATCAGTTAAGGCAGGAACCGGCCATCTGGATGTGTACGTGCAGGTCACAAAGGATATGATGGCTTAGCTTAGGCTCAGAGGTCTGATAATTCTCTACATAAATATCACATCATCTGCAAACAAACACAGTTTTACTTCCTTCTTTCCAAACTTTCTTCCTGCCTCCCTTTCTTCCTTCTGTCTCTTTTAAAATTGTTTATTTGTTTAAGTTTACCTTATTTTAGTAGCTCTAACCTCTTGTATAATGTTGAATTGAAGTGGTGAGAGCAGATATTCTTGATTTTTTTCCTCCAAATTAAGAAGGAAATAGTTCAATATTTCATCATGTATGTTAACAGTAGTGGTTTTCGTACTGACCATTATGACGTTGAGGAAGTTCACTTCTATTCCTACTTTGCTATGAGTTTTTGTCATGAATGACGTTAATTTAGTCAAATGTTTTTGTTCATATATTAAGATAATCGTGTTGTTTTTCCTCCCTCATCTGTCAATGTAGTGAACTATCTGAGTGGTTTTCTATTGTTAAATCAGCTTTGCATTCCATGGATAAACTCTCCTTGGTCATGATGTAATATTATTTTTATATACTGCTGGATTTGATTTTCTAATATTGTTAAGAACTTTTGCATCTATGTTCATGAGAGACATTTTCTGAAATTTTCTTTTCTGATTTGTCAGATTTTGGTATCAGAGTGATGCTGGCCTCATAAAATGAGTTGGGAAGTGTTCCTTTTTCTATTTTGTGAGGGTTTTGGTAAGATTGATTCTTTTGTCATTTCAGTGTTTGATAGAATTCACCATCTGTAACTGCCTAGGACTGTATCCTTTATGGGAATGTTAGTTATTGTAAATTAAATTTCTTTGGTAGATACAGGGTATTCTGATTCAATATTACTTCCTGGATCAATTTTGAAATATGTCATTTAATTTAAATTGACATATTTATTAGCATATAATTGTCCATTATATTTTTTATTATCCTTTTCATGTTTGTAGGATAAGCAGTTATATTTCCTCTTTCATTCCTAATTCTAGATATTTTGTATGTGTGTGACTGGTTTTTTATGAGTTTATTAATGCAATTACTTTTTTCAAAGGAATAATTTTTGGCTTTATTATTTTTTCTTTATTTCTTATTTCATTGCTTTCTGCGTTTATCTTTATTATTTTCTTTCTACTACTTAATTTGGTTCAATTTGAATTTTTCAGCATCCTGAGAAGAAATATAACTGATATAAATTTTTTCTTTTCTAAATATTTAAAGTGATAAACTTCCCTCTAAGCATTGCACCTCAGATTTTGCTATGTTGTATTTTCTATTGTCATTCAGTTCAAAATATTTTCTAATTTCACCTGTAATTTTTTTAACATCAGTTAGCTTTTTAAAAAATGAAACGTGGACATTTTCTAGATGTTCTTTTCTTATTGGTTTCTGATTTAGGGCCATTATTGGAGAATATAGTCTGTAAAATTGTAATCTTTTAAAATGTATTAAGACTTTTAAAGTCTGATATATGGTCAATAGTGGTTCCATGTACAGCTAAAAGTATTTATATTCTGAACTTGTGTATTAGCTCAGGCTGCCATAAAAATACAATAGACTAGGTGGCTTAAATAAAAGAAATTGGCCGGGTGCAGTGGCTCATGCCTGTAATCCCCACACTTTCAGAGGCCAAGGAGGGCAGATCACCTGAGGTTGGGGGTTTGAGACCAGCCTGGACAACATGGTGAAACCCTGTCTCTACTAAAATACAAAACTTAGCCAGGTGTGGTGGTGCATGCCTGTAATCCCAGCTACTCGTGAGGCTGAGGCAGGAGAATTGCTTCAACCCAGGGAGTGAAGGTTGCAGTGAGCCAAGATTGCGCCATTGCACTCCAGCCTGGCCAACAGAGTGAGACTCCGTCAAAAAAAAAAAAAAAAAAAAAAAAAAAGGAATACATGGATTAGATAGACCTGGAGCCAAAGGAGTTGACCAGCAGTCCCACCTTAACACATGGACAGAGTGTGTGCTGGTTGGTCTCTAAAGTAAAACTGAGGCGCGGGTACTAAGGAATGCAGGCTGTATGGAAAACAGGTGAAAGCCACAGGTGTTCATGACATCTGTACTTTTAACTGTTTTTTTTTTGAAAGAAGATACCTGGATTTCTTCTGTATAAGTAAATAAAATGAGGTTTGGCCATATTAAATAGCTTAGGCTCTTTCTATTCTGATTGCTTCCTCAAAAAACAGCTTGTGTTTTATCTTTATTCTCCTTGCATATAGCACAATTATACTAACCTACTGTAAGCATTCCCTATATTTGTTCAGTCAAAATACAGTCATCCTCTGGTGTCTGTGGGGGGTTCTAGGACCTCCCACGAATACCCAAATCCACAGATGCTCAAGTCCCTTAAATGTAAATTCTACACCATTGTAAAATGTTGTCTTTTTAAGTGTTTATTTGTGGGTGTGTAGACAAAAGGGAAAATAGTAATGTTTGCAAATATGTAGTGTTGCACATAACCTACGCATATCCTCCCAAATCCTCTAAGTCATCTCTAGATTACTTATAATACCTAACACAATGTAAATGCGATGTAAGTAATGGTTATACTTATTGTTTAGGGAATAATGACAAGAAGAAAAAGTCTATATGTAAACAGTACAGGCGAATTTTTTTTTCAAATATTTTTGACCCATGTTTGGTTGAATCCACGGAGGCAGGATGCACCCACATGGAGGAGGATCAACTGTTATCTCATTAAAAAGAATCTTGGCTGGACACAGTGACTCACGCCTATAATCACAGCACTGTGGGAGGCCAAAGTGGGTGGATTACTGGAGGTCAGGAGTTCAAGAACAGCCTGGACAACATGGTGAAACCCCATCTCTACTAAAAATACAAAATCAGCCGGGCATGGTGGCATGTACCTGTAATCCCAGCTACTTGGGAGGCTGAGGCAGGAGAATCGCTTGAACCTGGGAGGCAGAGGTTGCAGTGAGCTGAGATTGTGCCACTGCACTCCAGCCTGGGCAACAAGAGTTAGACTCCGTCTCAATAAATAAATAAATAAATAAATAAATAAATAAATAAATAAATAAAATAATAAAAAAACTTTAATAAAATTGGCCACAAGATGTCCCCACAGCTTTAAAAGATACTTTTTCCATCTAGACAGGCCTTTTCATATTTCAATTGATTGTATGCCCGTAAGAAATCAGTTATTAAACATTCAGAATAGTAGACATCTTCAAACTAGACTTCAAGTAATAGTCCCAAATGCTAAATGTATATTTCTCCTTTAAAGGTTCATATTAAACTATGGTTTCCCTAAATTGCAGGGATTCTTTGAGGCCACCTTGAATTATTATTTATTTATTTATTTATTTATTTATTTTTGAGACAGAATCTCGCTCTTGTTGCACTGGCTGGCGTGCAATGCAATGGCGCGATCTGGACTTACTGCAACCTCTGCCTCCTGGGTTCAAGCGATTCTCCTGCCTCAGCCTCCCCAGTAGCTGGATTTCAGGCACGTGCCACCATGCCCAGCTAATTTTTGTATTTTTAGTGGAGACGGGGTTTCACCATGTTGTCCAGGCTGGTCTAGAACTCCTGACCTCAGGTGATCCACTCGCCTTGGCCTCCCAAAGTGCTGGGATTACAGGCGTGAGCCACCATGCCTGGCCTTGAATTCTTAAGTGAGTGGAAAATGCTACTGCTGTCACATGGTGTTTACAGCTCTATTATGGTCTGTAAAAGCTAATTAAAACTGAAGAAGGGTGAAAGAAAAGTATGTCCTGTCAATGTTTACTGCAAGATAAAAGAGGAATATAAAAATATTGTATTTGTTTTGTTATAAACATGTGCTCTGGAGACTGCTGAGTGAGTCTAGACTGCAATTTTGGAGACTTCCATCACATTTACCAAACACATTGAAATTGGGGTTACTCTGAGCTACCAACAAGGACTGGTTCTCTTCCCTGCGGGTACATTGCAGACACCCAAATCATTACAGGCAGTCTAACTTGTTGCTTCAAGGATCTCTTAAGTGGAAAACATTCTGGAAATAACCTCTAAACATCACGTATACTTGAGTTGGAGGGGCAAAAACAGATAGGCTAGAAGGACTGGAAAGGTTCTAGAGGCAAATTTTTATGATGACATATAGAAGAAGACATACAGGAGAACAAGAGTTTTTCTTTAGTTGACTTAGAAAGTTTTCTTTTTAAAAAATGCTTTTGATTTAATTACTGATTAAGAGTAACATTACAGAAAATATAGTAATCCCCCCTTATCTGACGGTGGTATGTGCCAAGCCCACTAGTGGATGCCTGAAACCATGGATAATGCTGAATGCCATATACATGACTATAGTATGCTATATATACTACTGTATGTTTTTCTCTTATACATGCATACTTATGATAAAGTTTAATTTACAAATTAGGCACAATAAGAAATTAACAACCATAGCTAATAATAAAATAGAACGATTATAACAATATACTGTGATAACATGTATATGAATGTGTTGTCTCTCTCAAAATATCATATTGTACTCTACTTATATATTTTTGGACCGCAGTTGACTGTGGGTAACAGAAACCATGAACAGTGAAACTGTGGACAGAGGAGGAGGCTACTGTGTAGGTACATGTTGACTGAGTCTCTATTTTAAAATGGACAGGATGAGTGATGTGGTTTGGATCTGTGTCCCCACAAAATCTCATGTCAAATTGTAATCCCCAGTGTCGGAGGTGGGTCCCGGTGGGAGGTGATTGGATCAGGGGGGTGAATTTCTCATGAATACTTTAGTACCGTCCCCTTGGTGCTATTCTCATGATGGTGAGTTCTCAGGATACCTTGTTGTTGAAACGTGTGCGGCACCTTCCCCCCACTCTGTCTCGCCCTGCTCCTGCCATGTAAGACGTGACTGCTTCCCTTTGACCTTCTGCTGTGATCATAAGTTTCCTGAGGCCTCCTCAGAAGCTAAGCAGATGCCAGCACCATGCTTCCTGTACAGCCTGTGGAACTGGGAGCCAATGAAACCTCTTTTCTTTATAAATTACCCAGTTTCAGGTATTTCTTTAGAGCAATGTGAGAACAGACTGATACAGTGAGAGACTTAAATGTTCTCATTATTTTTTTTAATCCACTGACAGGTGGTGTTATAGGTTTATATGTGTCCCCTGCTAAATTCATATGTTGAGGTCCTAACTTCCAGTACCTCAAATGGTGACCTTATTTGGAAATAGGGTCATTGCAGATGTAATTAGTTAGATGAGGTCATGCTGGAGTAGGGTGGGCTCTTAATCCAATGTGACTGGTGTTCTTATAAAAAGGGGAAATTTGGACACAGAAATGCACCCAGGGAGAATGACATGTTATTCAGCCGCAAGCCAGGGAACTACCAGAAGCTAGGAGAGAGGTCGAAAACAGATTCTTTCCTAACATCTTCAGAAGGAACCAACCCTGCCAATGCCTTGATCTCCAGGACTATGAGACAATGCATTTCTGCTGTTAAGCATACAGTTTGCAGTGCTTTGTTATGGCAGCCCTAGCAAAATAATGCAGGCAGTAATTGACTTAAGGAACTGGTTCATGTTCATAATAAAACATAAACAGTATGTCGATTGATTATGTTGCTAATTGCCTTTCTTTTTATTGATAGATATCCTCATTTGGTATTTAGTCATTATGTAGCCATGATTTTAATTTAATATTTCCCTGGGAAGCATATGTTAAATAATTTTCTCTAGAGTCATAAGTAGATTTGAGTTTCCAATCCTACTAATTAATACAATTTTAGAATCATCCAGGATATCCACTCTTTTTATAGATGAGGAAATTAAGGTGGAGAGGTTTTAGGACAACACTTATCTACGTCAGAGTTTTCTGTCCCTAAGGAAGTAAAGTGGGAAACTTTGCGTATCTCCTTCATTTTGACTGTTTGCCTCACAATGGAAGGTTAGAGTTTTTAGTCATGGAGGGAAACAGACATAGTCTGGGTACTATTGAAATGTGAGTGATATGGTTTTGCTCTACATCCCCACTCAAATCTCACCTTGAATTGTAGTAATCCCCACGTGTTGTGGGAGAGACCAGGTGGGAGGTAATTGAATCACCAGGACAGGTTTTTCCCATGCTGCTCTTGTAATAGTGAATAAATCTCACGAGATCTGATGATTTTATAAAGGGGAGTTCCCCCGCATAAGCGCTCTCTTTCCTGCTGCCATGCAAGACGTCCCTTGCTCTTCCACCATGATTGTGAGGCCTCCCCAGCCACATGGAACTGTGAGTCAATTAAACTTCTTTTCTTTGTAAATTACTCAGTCTTGGGTATGTCTTTATTAGCAGTGTGAGACCAGACTAATACAGTGAGTGCACTATGAGTGCTATGACAAGCAGAGTGTAGATGAAAGAAGACCTAGAAACCCTGAAACCAAGCTTTTATCAGTGACTTATCTAGAGGCAGCACAGAGCCTCCTTATTGTCATCCAGTCTGTCTGTGTTTGGTGTCTTTCCCTTACCTAAGAGTAGATTGAACTATATTTGGGCTGGGCACGGTGGCTTATGCCTATAATCTCAGCACTTCGGGAGGCTGATGTTGGTGGATCGCAAGGTCAAGAGATCAAGACCATCCTGGCCAACGTGGTGAAACCCTGTGTCTACTAAAAATAGAAAAATTAGCCAGCAGTGGTGGCTGGCGCCTGTAGTCCCAGCTACTCGGGGTACTGAGGCAGGAGAATTGCTTGAACCCAGGAGGCAGAGATTGCAGTGAGCCGAGATTGTACCACTGCACTCCAGCCTGGGTAGCAGAGCAAGACTCCGTCTCAAGGAAGAAAAAAAAAAAAAGAAAACACACACAAAAACCCAAAAACAAAATCTCTTTGCCCAAATTCCAGCCCCTTTCAAGCCTTCTCTGCCATATATCTGTGCATTCCACTCTACTCCACCTCTGCTGCCTCCTCGTCTTTGCTTTGCTCAGTCCTACATTTCTGTTACCAATTGAATTGTGCCCTCCAAAATTCATACGTTGAAGTGCTAACCCCAGTCCCTCAGAGTGTGACTGTATTTGGAAAAGTTATTCAAAGAGGTAATCAAGGTAAAAGGAGACCACCAGGGTCGGCCCTGATCCCATATGACTGGTGTCTTTATAATAAGACACAGACACTCAGAGGGAGGCCCACGTGATGACA
The DNA here is from genome assembly GCF_000001405.40 of Homo sapiens. Taxonomy (NCBI): domain Eukaryota; kingdom Metazoa; phylum Chordata; class Mammalia; order Primates; family Hominidae; genus Homo; species Homo sapiens. The sequence goes on along the minus strand of NC_000010.11, from coordinate 25,709,328 downwards.
CAGGGAGAAGACGGCTGTCTGCAAGCCCCCACAAGACACTTCCGAAGGAATTTCCCCTTCCACACCTTGATTAGGCTTCTACTCTCCAGGACTGCAAGACCATTAATTTCTGTTGTTTTATGCCACTCAATTTCTGGCACTTTGTTATGACCCCCCAAATGCACTAATACAACTTCCTTGAAGACCCAGTCAGCTTTTAACAGCCACATTATTTCCCACTCACTCAGGACATAGCATATATTAGACGATTTTTATTTTTACCCTTAGACTGTATCCCCAGTTCCAAGCCTTGGACTTTTGCAGTGCACTGTTGTTGGTAGAGGTAAATCATAAGAAAAACACAAGATTTTACACATACACACACACACACACACACACACACACACACACACACACACACACATTCAATATAGCTGAGTTTGTTACTGGATTCTATCTCCAGCTAACATGTTTCATGGAAGAAGTAACCATTGTGAGTTCAATGCTTTTCATCTTTTCTGGAGTCCGGAGCTGGGCCTCCAGTCCCAAGTTCAAAGCATCATCACCTTGTCCCTTCCCAACAGGTAATTAATTATGGCACCTCTTAATCACAGGAAATGTGATAAACCCGCCTATCGTTCCCTAATGATAGGCAATAAGCGTTGTTGGAAGCATGCTATTTATCCACCCAGGTTATATATTTCCATGATAGCAGAAGTTTTCTGGAAGCCAGGTTTTAATGCAGGCAGACTACTTTAATTTTAAGAGCTGTGGCAGAACCAGCAGTGTGTGGTTGTATCCCATGAGGCCTTTCAGTGTCTCCAAGCACAGGGGTGTATTGAAGGGACCAGGCAGGCCATCTTGGTTTCTGAAAACCTGGTGATGGCCTTGGATTGTTGTAAGAAGTCGAATAACGGTCCTCCAAAGATGTCTGCATCCTGATCTGGAACCTGTGGATATGTTACTTTACGTGGCAAAAGGAACTTTGCAGGGAGGTTAAGCTAAGGTTCTTGAGATGAGAGATGATTTTGAATTATCTGGATGGACCCAGTGTGAACCAAGCATCCCTAAAAGTGAAGGAGGGAGGCAGGAGGCGGGGAGCGAGAGATGTGACTGATGGCAGAGCAAAGATCAGAGTGATGAGCCGAAGAATGCAGGTGGCCTCTGGAAGCTGGAAAAGGGAAGGAATGGGTTTTCCCCTGGAATCTCTAGAAGGAATGCAGTTCTGTCCACACCTTGATTTAAGCCCGTAAAACCCATTTTTGACTTCTGACCTCTGGAACCATGAGATAATAAATCTGTGTTGTTTTAAACCACTAAGGTTATGGTAGTTTGTTACTGAAGCCACAGGAAACTAACACAGATGTCCGGTAACTGGGTTGCTCAGCTGTGCCTCTGCAATGCGGGACTTGTAAAACCTGAGCAAAGTGGGAGCCTAGAACCCCAAGCAGCTCCTCTCCAGAGCCCAGTCCCCCAGCACACTCGGTTTAGCTCATGATGTCCTGGGAAGACCTTTTCTGTTCTGTGGATGCTCGTAAAAAGCATTTGATTAATCTGATCTAATCGTCTGATCTTTCTAGTCATCTAATAAATCAAACCAGAGCAAACTGGTCTGCTGCCTGCTTGATCTGATTATTGGACTAAATTGATTGATTAATTTGGTAAATGAATTCACAGTGATGCATGAATGGCTGTCAGTGCCTAAATGAATTACCTCATTTAGAAATTATCAGGTTCTTTTCTTTTTCTTTTCAAAACTTTAGGATAAAATGTTAGACACAAAACCAGCTGGGGAGCTGTGTGGTCATTTCGTTTTTGCTGTTGAGGAGGGGTGAGGATGTGGAGGCAGCATCAAGAGGAGAGGGGAGGATTAAGCGACCACTGGCCCCAGCTCACTTGTAAGACTACAATAGAGGAAACAGGTGGTGGAAGAAGACATAATGCTGAGACTCAGGGTGACCAGCCCTAAGGTCCTGGATTTCATTCACTTCAGTGCATTTCTAAGACTCTTGTTTGAATTCTATTCCTGGGCAGAGATGCATCATAACTCCATGTATATGATAAATACACTGTGGCCTTCAAGTGAGATTTCTACCTAGGCCCGCCCAACACATCTGAGTCTATACATTTCAATGCCAGTGGGGCCTGGCTGGTACCTACATGAGGGACGTGAGGTCAGTGGGAACTACTGTGAGGTAGTCACTGCCTGCCCTGGTATGCTTACTCCACCCTCGGGCCACCAGTGTTTGACCTCTGGGCATGTGATTAGAGATGACGCATGCAAAATGGTAGTGATGAAGGTGATGGTGATGATATTAATCTCATTGGTGCCAGTGAGACAGCCACATCCCTGAACAGATGTTAAGTGGTTCCCCTCCCATTTTTAAATTCTTTTCTTCCCCCTCTTTTTTTTTATTTTTAATTTAGAGACAGGGTCTTGCTCTGTCGCCCAGGCTAGAGTGCAGAGGCACCACCCTAGCTCACTGTAACTTAAAGTCTTGGGCTCAAAGGATTTTCCGGCCTCAGCCTCCCAAGTAGCTAGGTCTACAGGAGAGTGCCACCATGCCTGGTTAATATTATAATTTTTTTTTGTTAGAGATGGGGTCTAATATTTTTTTTTTTTTTTGGTTAGAAATGGGGTCTTGCTGTGTTGTCCAGGCTGGTCTCAAACTCCTGGGCTTAAGAGACAGTCCTTCTTTGGCCTCCCAAAGTGCTGGAATTCAGGCATGAGCCACCACACCTGACCTCTGCTCCCTCTTCTTTGGCTCATTCTTTCTTCATTTTCTTGTCTCTTTTCAAGCAAACCATTGCCTTCCCAAGCCTTTCAGGTTTAACTATCTCCAGAGTACCCAGTAACTTCAGGCTAAAATCCAAACTGACAAATCTTACAGCAAAACATCTTTGAACCACACTCAAGCCTGTATTTGTCTCACATAAAACCTTAGAGAGGGGCTTTATGGTGCAGCCCTGTTTGTTATAGGTGTGTAAATGGGAATCCAGGAAAAGACAGGGCCTCTCTCAGCATATCTGGGTTTCAAGGGTGTGGGCAGCAGCAATAAAAACACGTAGGGCTATGATCCTGGCTGCTACATGAGTGCCCCCTTGATCCCATCCAACCTCTTCCATCAGGTCAAGTGAGGATGGTGAGATAAGGTCTTGGAAGTCCTGTTCCCTGAGGTCCCCTTCCCGTGGAAAGCCGAGGATGCAGAGCTAGAGTAAACATGAGTAGATCTGTGCATAAGTGGAGTTAGGAGGAGATGGTCTTGCAGAGTCTCCCAAACACCAGCCCTTGGGGTTGACTGGTGTTTCTCAAGCACCCAAAAGATTTTGGGTGAAGTCAGGCAGGAGTGCCATCTGTAGGAACAACGTGGCAACAACTTTCATGGTTTGATGGGCTGAGGACCAGATTCCTCATCCGGATCCCAAAGCACTGTTTATATTCCCAACTAACTCAGTCATGACCCTAGGAAACATGGGTCACGCCGGACACCATGGCTTTCGACTGAGATTAAGTTTCTGCAATCTAGTGGAGTGCGGGCTTGCAATTCAATGAGATGGCATTTTAGAAAAACATCCCGGAGAACCTGTCTCCTCTAGTGAATAAGAATGCAGATTCTGTTCACAGACTACCAAATTTAGTACCTCAGCTCTGCCTCTTTACCTGTGTGTTGTTGAGCAAGTGACTTGAAATCCTTGTGCCTTCATTGTTTTAATTCAGAAAGTGAGTCTAATAGTACCTACCTTATACGGTTTTTCAGTTACTACTCTTGAAATCTTCAATAAATATTTGCAACAAGCCACTGCCAATAGCAGCAAAAACCTGAATTTGAGACCTGCAATTGACACATAATATGTTAGGATTTATTAGCTCGTGAGGGAGGTGTGTTAGGCCATTCTTGCATTGCTATAAAGAAATACCTGAGGCCGGGCACGGTGGCTCACGCCTGTAATCCCAGCACTTTGGGAGGCTGAGGCGGGTGGATCACGAGGTCAAGAGATTCAGACCATCCTGGCCAACATGGGGAAACTCTGTCTTTACTAAAAAATACAAAAATTAGCTTGGTGCGGTGGCGTGTGCCTGTGGTCCCAGCTATTCAGGAGCCTGAGGCAGGAGAATCGCTTGAACCAGGAGGCAGATGTTGCAGTGAGCCGAGATTACACCACTGTACTTCAGCCTGCTGGTGACAGAGAGAGACTCCATCTCAAAAAAAAAAAAAAAAAAAAAAAAAAGAAAAAAGAAAAAAAAAAAAGAAAAAAGAAATACCTGAGACTGAGTAATTTATAAGAAAAGGGGTTTAATTTTTAATTGGCTCACACTTCTACTGTGTGTACAGGAAGCACAGGACCAGCATCAGTTTCTGAAGAGGCCTCAGGAAGTTTACAATCAAGGTGGAAGGCAAAGGAGTAGTAGGAATGTCACATGGTGAAAGCAGGAACAAGAAAGAGAGAAGGGGGAGGTGCCAGACTTTTAAACAACCAGATCTCCCAAGAACACACTATCGTGAGGGCAGCAACAAGCCATGAGAGATCTGGCCCCGTGATCCAATCACCTCCTGCCAGGCCCCACCTCCAACACTGGGGATTACAACTCAACATGAGATTTGGAGAGCACAGCCAAACTGTATCAGGAGGGAACACACTTCATAAGTCCACGAATTTTCTCTATCATGGACGCACATTGTGGTGACACCAAGAGAGAACAGATACAGATGTCGCGTTTATTTTTAAAAGTTAATCTTGACAGTGTAAGACTGGCATCTGGGAAGAGGCCCCGTACATCTTCTCTAATGCTGTGAATTCTGTCTTAAACCTTCAGTTAGATTTGAGCCCCACAGCCTGTGTCCAGAGGAGAGCAAACCTGGATGGCAAGGAGGATGTATAGATATCAGGTAGATGTTTCATGGACAGCCCATAATTTTTAAGAATAGATAAGGCAAATATGTCTGGAATGGATATGGAGTGAAAGAAAGTGGGAGCCACAGGCTGTAAGAATTGACCAACTAGTACATCTTTGGAATGTGAGGATTGCAGTACCTCTGCAAGCCACTTAGGTTACATTTGCACAGTTTTAATTCAGACGACATCTCCCATTTCATTGCTAGTTTTTGTTGATCTGGAGGGAGAAATCAGTCACTAAAGACAAATTATAGATATAGACATAGAGAAAATAGTTGTATAGAAATATGAATTATTTGCATTCAATAATAATGAGAATAGCTAATTTACTAAGCCTTTTTCTAGGAGCTAGGTTTGTTCTAAGACTTTTACAAGTATCTACTCATCTAATCTTTTTTTGTTTTGTTTTGTTTTTTGAGACAGGGTCTCACTCTGTTGCCCAAGCTGGAGTGCAGTGGCACGATCTCAGCTGACTGCAGCCTCCGCTTCTCGGGTTCAAGCGATTCTCCCACCTTAGCCTCCCAAGTAGCTGGGACCACCAGGCCTGGCTAATTTTTGTATTTTTTGGTAGAGATGGGATTTCACCATGTTGTCCTGGCTCATCTCGAACTCCTGACCTCAAGTGATCCACCCACCTCAGCCTCCCAAAGTGCTGGGATTACAGGTGTGAGCCACTGCATGGGCCTCATCTAATCCTTAAACAATATATATATTTTCTACTGATGAGAAAACTGAGGCTCAAAGAGGCCAGGTAACTTACCTTATATCACTTACAGCTGTAAATGATGAAGCCTGGAATCAGGTATAACCAAATGGTTATGACACACTCGTAACAACAGTTTGAACTATGGAAGCAAGAGAAAAAACAAATGGCTCTATGCATTAACTACTGCTGTGTAATAAAATTCCCCCAAACACAATGGCTTAAAAAAACAAACACGGGCACGGTGGCTCATGCCTGTAATCCCAGCACTTTGGGAGGCCGAGGCAGGTGGATCACGAGGTCAAAAGATCGAGAGCATCCTGGCCAACACGGTGAAACCCCATCTCTATTAAAAGTGTAAAAATTAGCTGGGGGTGGTGGCAGGCACCTGTAGTCCCAGCTACTTGGGAGGCTGAGGCAGGAGAATCGCTTGAACCCAGGAGGTGGAGGTTGCAGTGAGCCAAGATCACGCCACTGCACTCCAGCCTGGGCGACAGAGCGAGATGCCATCTCAAAAAAACAGAACAACAAAACACTTGTTTTCTGATAGCTTCTGTGGAATGGAACTCCAGGCCCAGCCCAACTGGGTCCTCTGGCTCTGGGTCCCTCATGAGGTTACAGTGAGGCTGCCGGGTGAGGCTGTGGTCATCTCCAGCCTCTAGTGGGGCTGAAATGGCCACTTCCCGGCCCTCTCTCCTGGCTGCTGGCAGGTCTCAGTTCCTCACCACGTGGGCCTCTCCCAAGGCTGTCTGCCTGTCCTGAAATGGCAGTTTGAGATTGCAGTGACATGGGATGATACGGCATCATTTCCTGTGTATTCCAATCATTATTAGAAGCAAATCGTTAAGTCCAGGCCATACTGAAGGGGAGGGATAACAAGGGCAGGGGCAGAGGTGGTGTCCCTGGGGGTCTTTTAGAGACTGCCTGTTACAGTAGCCTTTGGAAATTGGAAAACCTAATATGAACAGTACAGCTAAATGTTAGCTCTAAATTGTCAGAAATGCTCCCCCCAGATTTTCCAATAAGAAGGCATTTTTTTTGTTTTGTTTTCCTTTTTTTACAGAATTACGATAATCTTACATTTATGTCTTTATTAAAACATAAACTCAAGAGGCTGAGACAGGATGGTTGAGGCCAGGAATTCGAGACCAGCCTGGACAACATAGTGAGACCTTGTCTCTTAAAAAAAACACACACACACAGAATTATTCTCTATTTTTGCATTTGTTTGACATTTCCCCAAGTAAGCTGTGTTGAGTAGAAAGGGGTGCATAAAGCAAGGTCTTTGCACTCTATGGAGCCCATAGTTTCCCACGTTGGAGAACTGCCCCACTAATTTGAGAGTTGAGCTCTTCTTTCTTTCTTTCTTTTTTTTTTGACAGAGTCTCACTCTGGCACAATCTCAGCTCTCTGCAGCCTCCCCCTTCTGGGTTCAAACAATTCTCATGCCTCAGCCTCCTGAGTAGCTGGGATTATAGGTGCCCACCACCACACCCGGCTAATTTTTTTATTTTTAGTAGAGACAGAGTTTCATCATGTTGGCCAGGCTGGGGATTGAGCTCTTCTTGTTGGAAGATGAGGAAATAGCAAAGGTCGAAGCCCTCCCTTGCTCTACCTCTCTTCAGCCTGGGAGACCTTCCCATTTCCTGGCAGCAGCTATCCCTTTCTATTCAGTCACACCTCAAGTCCCTGCCATTTCATGGTGCTGCATTAAAACTAGGTCAAGCTGCTCTTTCATTAAAATGTCCCCCCAAATATACCTCCGTCCATTCCAGAATGGTTTTTCCAAGCCTGGTCAGTCAGTGAGAATGCCTGAGGAGCCTTGGGGGTTGCCATGGTAACCGCCAGATCAGCCGGGAGATGAGGCTGCACGGGTTAAACAAGCTGTCTTCCTCGCAGGCCACGCAGGGCTGCTCGGGCGGGAGACCCCGGTTGGGTTCTGGAGCCTGGAGCCAGCCTGGGATGCCCCAAGCATACAGGGCAGCAGGGAGGCCCAGCCAAGGAGCTGCGGCAGGAAGCGGGTCAGAGCCGGGCATCTGGAGGGGCAGATCGTGCCACTCAGCAGCCCGGCCCTCCCTGGGGATTGCGAGGCAGGACCAGACTTCTGCACTCCAGGTCACCCCAGCTTCACCCTCCCTGTCTCAGAATTCCCCAATCTGAGTGTGCCATTAATTTAACATCTCATGCACACAATTTCTCTTGAATAAGTAAGCAGGGTTGGGTAGAAAGGGGTGCATGAAGCAAGGACTTGCTACGTATGGATCCCATAAAAAAAAGTGCACTGGGCCGGGCGCCGTGGCTCACGCCTGTAGTCCAAGCACTTTGGGAGGCCGGGGCGGGTGGATCACCTGAGGTCAGGAGTTCGAGACCAGCCTGGCCAATATTGGCGAAACCCTGTCTCTACTAAAAATACAAAAAATTAGCCTGGCGTGGTGGCGGGCGCCTGTAATCCCAGCTACTCGGGTGGCTGAGGCACGAGATTTGCTTGAACCCAGGGGTCAGAAGCTGCAGTGAGCCAAGATCTTCTACTGCACTCCAGCCTGGGCGATAGAGTGAGATGTGGCAAAGAAAGAAAGAAAAAGAAAAAAGTGTGCATTGCTCTTTCCTGCAAGAAAGGCAGTGTTTTGTAGCACGTCTGCTTCTCCACAGGTCCTGTGTTTTCTGTCTCTGGCTCTTTATTTTTAACGCAACCTAAATAATTATTTTTCTTTCTGACAAGATGTTCACTGCCATCTGCTGACCAAACTCAGTTACTGCACATACAACTGCAAACCTGAGAGAGAGAAGAGAATAGAGTGTATTGCCTGTCCTAATGCCTCTGAATTAATTGAAACTTAGATAAATGTCTCTATTTAAATATGATCATTGTGGTATTAAGATCAGAAGAAAAATGATGTTACAGTATAGCTTGATAGAATATTGGAAAAATAGAAAAGCAGAACACAAATGACACATCATTGAGTTAATACCAAAAGACATCCATCATTTTTCCTTCTCAGACGTGTGAACAAAAGGCAAATGTCACAAATACAATGCTTTTTCTGAAACATTCTGAAACATTTAAATGAAAAGATTACCATTTAATGCTTTAAGGAGGACAGGACAAATTTAGACACCATGAAATAAAATCAAGGGAAAATGAATCATTAGGATCGACCCTAACAGGGTCTTGGTTTTGGAGTCAGTGGCTGAGAAGAGAAGCCCAGATGGAGAGCATGCTGCCCTCAACATTGCACAAATGGGCCGGGCATGGTGGCTCAGGCCTGTAACCCCAGCACTTTGGGAGGCCAAAGCAGGCGGATCACGTGAGATCAGGAGTTCGAGACCAGCCTGGCCAACATGGTGAAACCCTGTCTCGACTAAAAATGCAATAATTAGCTTGGCATGATGGCGCACACCTGTAATCCCAGCTACTCGGGAGGCTAAGGCAGGAGAATCGCTTGAACCTGTGAGGTGGAGGTTGTGGTGAGCCGAGATCACACCACTGCACTCCAGCCTGGGCAACAAGAGTGAGACTTCATCTAAAAAAAAAAAAAAAAAAGCACAAATAAATGGAAGCCACATACCATATGTCCAACATATAAAGTTATAAATTGAGCTCCACACTGTTACATAGAATATGTTTTGTCCTCCTACCTTGGCAAACAGTGCTTCCTAAGGACATGGAATACAACGTTTGAATTCAGAACTTGGGTTCCTCCGTGTGAAGTACCAGAATATCACCTCACAAGGAGAACCAGCCTCCACTACCCCACTCTGTGACCTTGCCCCTTCTCTTCTCACTCCTGGCTCCCTCCTGCTTGGAGAGGTGACTAATGATGGGTGGACATCCCAGCTTCACATTCAAGTTCTACTGCAGCCCTCCAGCCCCTCAGCTTGCGGAGCACACCCCAGAAGCCCGCTTGGCCCTCCAGAAGGTGGACCCTGGAAAGAGGCAGGCAGTGATGCTGGAAGTGGGCTTGGGACTATAGGAGTAGATCATTCCAGGGTCCCAGGTACTGGAGGGTGTGGTCTAGAAGGAGGTGCATGGATTCTGGGGGACATGGCCCTTTGGCCCCTTGGAATCATCACCTAGTGGTGACCAGCCTGGCTGGAGAAGGGCAGAGAGCATCTTCTAGAACGTGGCACTAGGGCCAGGGGCTCCTCTGCCAGTGTTTACAGGAAGGACTGATGTGACAGGAGGTAGGAGGCAGGAAGGCATGACAGTAAGCTGAGATTGGGAATGTTCTCTTCCCCCACCTGCTTCCCAACCTTTCTTGATCCTCCTCAAATAACACCCGCTCTTCAGTTATTCATGCTCAGACACCTGGACTGTCTCCTGTATCACATCATCAAAACTCCTCTGCCTAGCATTTCAGGTTTGTGTCATTTGCCTTTTGTTCACCTTTCTGCAGGGGCAAGAGGATGGATGCTGTTTCAAATGAACTCGGTTAGTTTTTTTGTTCATGTTTCCTGTTTTTCCAGTAGTCTTATCAAGCCAAGACACTGCAACTTTTAAAGACGTTTCAACAGAGATATCCTTAAAATGATCTACATGATCTGGTCCCTGAGTTTAATCTTCCTGACTTCATCTCCTACTTCTGTCCCCTTTGGTTTTGAGAGTGTGACCGGATCTGCAACCTTAGTTTGTGCACACATCGCTCCCTCCAGGACACACAAGCACATTCATAACAGACACAGCCAGGCAGACATGGCTACTAGCAGAACTTCCACATCCTTCCTACATTGGTTTGCTAGGGCTCCCATTACAAGACATCACAGACTGGGTGGTTTGAACAACAGAAATGTGTTTTCTCGCAGCTCTGGAGGCTAGAAGTTGAAGATCAAGGTGTTGGCAGGTTTGATTTCTCCTGAGGCCTCTCTCCTTGGCTTGCAGATGGCTGCCTTCTCCCTGTGTCCTCACACGGCCTTTCCTCTGCACACGCACAGGCCTGGTGTCTCTCCCTCTTAAAAGGACACCAGTTGTACTGGATTAGGGCCCACTCTAAAGGCCTCATTTGAGAATAATGACCTCTTTAAACACCCTCTGTCCAAATACAGTCACATTCTGAGGTTCTGGAGATTAGGACTTCCAGATAAGCATTTTAAAGGGAGAAGAATCCAACCCATAATACTTTCCTACTTGTGTTAGGCCATTCTCGTATTGCTATAAAGAAATTCCGGAGACTGGGTAATCTATAAAGAAAAGAGTTTTAATGGTCTTGTGGTTCTGCAGGCTGTACAGGAAGCAGCATCAGCTTCTGGAGAGGTCTCAGGGAATTTATAACCATGGCAGAAGGTAAAGGAGGAGAGAAGCGTCAAAAACGGCGGGAGCAGGAGAAAGACAGAGGGGCCAGGGGGAGACGCTACACACTTTTAACAACCAGATCTCACGAGAACACATTCACTATTGCCACGACAGTACCAAGGGGGATGGTGTTAAACTATTCAGGAAAAACCGCCCCTGTGATCCAATCACCTCCCACCAGGCACCACCTCCAACATTAGGGATTATAATTCGACATGAGATTCGGTGGGGACACAGATCCAGGCTATATCACTACTTAAAGAAGATGTTTAAAATAACATCAACAAATAAGGGAAGGAATGCTCATGAAAAATGTCCCGGAATGAAGAAAGAAAAGACCGGACACATAAAAAGAAGTCATCCGCTTAACCCCTTCATTCCTGGGGCTTTGAACTGCATGGTTTCATGGAGTCACACAAAGAAGGGGGGCACAGAGGCCAATGGCTAAGAGTGACCAGAGGGGGGGATCCTGTGGCTCATCCTCAGCACCTCCAAATCCAATAAATATGTATTCATATTTCTTTCTGACTTTTGTTAAAAGTTTTATGCCTTAAGGTACTTGCTTTCCTGGGCCTCTGTACTTCCATTCTTCTATGGCACCGGCACTATTTCTTACCACCCACCTCACAAGCTCGTTTTCTGGCAATCTTCAGTCCATTCATAGCACAAGGCTCCATCCTTTACTATCTGTTCTTGTCACTCTGTGTACTTTCCCTGGGTGCCCCATGTTACATGGCTTCAACTGCAACTTTGATGCAAATGGTTCCTATTTCTGTCCCTAGCATTGCGGTACCCATGACACGTCACCCACTTGGATGAAACATGGGACCTTCACACTCAGCACTTTCAAAGTCAGATTCATCACCTTCCTCCCCTAACCCGCTCCCTGTTCTGTATTCCATGTTATCAGCATCAGTACCAGCCAGAAAGCCCAGAGCCAAAGTGCACGTCTCCTTCTCACTGAGTCCCACCCTCAGACATTCACCAACACATATTAATTCTTTTTGTTATCAGTTATATTTCATCTCTCCCTCTCCATATTCGTGCTTTTGTTTCTGATTTTGTTGTCCAGACAACTGCACTTTCTTTTTGCCTCCTTTCTGCTCACCTTCCCTCTATTCATTTGTTCCCTCTATTCATTAAATATACAAGAATTCACAATTTTGTTGGTCACATTTGGTTGAATTCTTATTAAATAAAACATAAATTAAACTTTTTGAAATGAACAACTAATTTGTCTCACCAAAGTTATTCCATTATCTTTTGAAGCAACTACTATATTGTAAACTTTAATTTTTGTAACAGTTACATGTCTGTATTTTTTGTATCCAGAACAAGCAAAACATACTATTGTTTTCAATGCATATAAATGGTATTATGTATATATTAAATGTCATTTTAAATTTTATCATTTTAAGATTTATCCTTGTCCATGTATATGTGTATACAAAGTATATGATGTGTCTGTGTGTGTATATATGTCACATATTTATATGTCTGTCTATCCATCTATCTAGAATACTGGTTCACTCTACTTCTAAATTGTAGCCCAACACATACCTATATCACAATTAATTACTGATTTCTCTGCTGAATATTTACATTTTTTCCAATGAACATCATTATACTTGTTTCCTTGTACATATATGTGAAATTTTTCTTTGGTTATATACTTGGAAGTATATTTTCTGGGTCGTTTAGACTTAGAAAAATGTGTGTGACTGTGTGTGTGTCTGTGTGTGTGTGTGTGTGTGTGTGTGAGAGAGAGAGAGAGAGAGAGAGATGACACTTGGGGACTGAAGCTGGCATTAAAAGGTGTAGTGACCACACCAGGTCCTCCTCCCTTCCATGTCTCCCCTGGGCCCAGGACCTCCCTGGTGGCATCCGTGATTCTCTCTGTATGGCCTATCCATTCCCTTCTCTCTTCCTACTGGCTCCGTCTGCTGTTGCATTTCTGTTTCATCACCATGGTAGCTCTTCAGAGTCATGGCTCACTACTGCCCAGCCTCTATCTCATAGCGCTTCCGAGCTTCTGACCCCTCCATTGACTCAATCTCTCTCTGTTGCTTTATTTAAACTCTTTGGAGCCACCATACAGTAGTCTTGTTCATTTTCTGAACCAGGCTTTAGTGATGGGTGCTCCATCTCTCTCTGCTGATTTATTTAAACTCTTTGGAACCACCATGCAGTCGGCTTGTCTGTTTTCAGAACCAGGCTTTAGTGATGGGTGCTGCCCTCCTGTGGCTGCTGCAAATTGGAGATGGGCTGGGGGCTTGGGTGCTGCAATGCAATCTTCATGCCAACAGGGCCATGGGTGAGAGGAAGCTTGCCTTAGAGGGAGGGGTGACAATGGCCAGCATTCTGAGTCTGGTCTATCCACTACACTCCTATTTTCCCCCAGAACTCAGCCAGAGCATCTCTTCAGGACACGTTCCTGACCTCCCTGTCTGATTTAGATGATCACTTTTATTTCACGACCCCACATATAACTCTATGATCATGTAAAGTACCGTGATCTGTTCTTTCTGATAGATGTTAGTCAGCCTGATAGCAGGAACCACTTCTTGTCTGGCTTTGCCCAGGCCCTAGCACAGCATCTGAAACACATTAGATGATTAATAAATGAAAGAGGTTGAGTGGATAAAAAATGCCCCAGATACTAGAATAGTCAGGGAACGCTTTATTGTTGAATTGGATCTTGCACAGGTCCCTACATTTAATCTGATTACATTGGGCTTTTTCAAGCTTATCAGATTGTTTTCTCTTAATTTCAGGTAGGCGGGCCTCAATCTCATGGCAAACTGAGCACATGTTTCTCTGACCCTTTCTGTGAGCTCTTTGCTCCATCTTCACTCTCTCCAATCACCCCCACTTCCCCACCGATCTTTCCACATACACAACTTTAAAACTTTCCCCAGGTATCTAGATCTGTCCAAATTCTACCCAAGAGTGCAGGGCCCTTGAAGCCAAGTGGAAAACAAAAAGTCAAAAGAGCATCAAAGAAGTCTTGAATCTGGGATAGTCAACTAAGAGTGTTGGAACAAAGGAAGAGATGGTGAGAGGGTAGAGAGTTTGCAATTGGGATCGTGGAGGGGTGGTGGCCCTGGACACAGGGCAGAGCATGGTGGAAGGAGAGGCTGCAGGAGGTGAAGAACTGGTTACTGGAGGAGAGGAAGGTAGGGAAGGGAGGCCAGGGGATTGGAGGGGGCATTTGTGGTCACTGACTCACCAAGGAGCCTCATGAGGATGGCACTGAACAGACTGTGTCAAGGAAGAGGTGCTAACCTTATTGAGAGATGAGAGGAGCTCAACTCAGTGATGCATAAAGGGACGTAGCAAGGAGGGGTGGTGGGTGGTAGTCTGAGAATGTGAGGACTGTAGAGGGAAGAGGAAACACGGTCTTTAGTCACTGTGAGGGGCACACCCAAAACCAATGTGGGATGTGGAGAGGAAACAGCTGCCCCTTCGAGGGGCCATAAGAGGCAGAGGCCTCAGAGCAGCAAAACAGTAAAGGGACCCATCAGAGAGGTGGCTGAGGATACAAGGATTTTACCTAAAACTGACTGTGATCCCAAAGGGTGTGGTGGCAGTGTTTCAAAAGTCGAGGGTGATGGGAGGTGGGGTCAGGGTAGCAGAGGGGCTTCACATGTTGGGGTGACATGGAGTCTAGGCCTTCCTGTGGATAGGAGTCACATGGGAGAGAGGGCACAAGGAGATGCCTCCGTGGCCTCAACAAGGTCAGTGCTTGCGAAGCTTCAGGGCTGGGGGCAGGGAATGGGGTTCTTTTCAGAGACATGCAGAGCTTTGGGGTGCCCTGTTCGTGCCTAACAGTGGCTGGGTGGAAGCCGAGAGCGTGGGATTCTGGGTCGACGTCAGCTAGGCTGAGACCGGCTGCCCGTGAGAACCGGGATCTGGCTGGAGGCACCTGCATCATTACGATGGCTGTACTCACCTTTCCCCCCTTCTCTCTCCTCTCATAACCCACCCCAGGTGTGGCTGGCCCTGCCCTCTGCTCCAACCTGGAAGTTTTCACAGGCCTCCCAGCATTGCCTGGGGACCTGGGGATGGAAAATTCCTGAGACTTCCAGGTGAGGTCGGCAAGAGGGCTGCTCCCTGTCCTCCAGCACAAGAGAATTCGCTGCATACCACTCCACTCTCCTCATGTCCTCGGGCCCTTGTGCCTTCCCCCAGGACTCCCTCATCTAGCACATCCCATCACTAGATTTTACTTTTGGTCAGTGTCAATACAGTGTCCATTTATTTCACAATTTCACTGAGAATTGCACACCAATTTTGCCTCTTTTTAGAAAAAAAAAGTCTATTTTTACAAAGACATGGAATCAACCCAGGTGCCCATCAGCAGTGGACTGGATGAAGAAAGTGTGGTTCAAATACACCATGGAATACTGCACAGCCATAAAAAAGAACAAAATCATGTCCTTTGCCACAATGTGGATGCAGTGGTGGCCATTATCCTAAGTGAATTAATGCAGGAACAGAAACCCAAATGTTCTCATTTTTAAGTGGGAGCTAACCATTGGATACACATGAACATAAAGATGGCAACAATAGACACTGGAGACTCCAAAATGGGGGAAGGAAGGACGGCGGCAAGCATTGAAAAACTATTGGCCAGGTGTGGTGTCTCATGCCTGTAATCCCAGAACTTTGGGAGGCCAAGGAGAGTGGATCACCTGAAGTTAGGACTTCGAGACCAGCCTGGCCAACATGATGAAAACCTGTCTCTACTAAAAAAATTAAAAATTAGCTGGGCATGGTGGCAGGCTCCTGTAATCCAAGCTACTCGGGAGGCTGACGCAGGAGAATAGCTTCAACCCAGGAGGCAGAGGTTGCAGTGAGCTGAGATCATGCCACTGCACTTCAGCCTGGGCGACTAGAGCAAGACTCCATCAGAAAACAAAACAAAACAAAAACAAAAAACAAAGAAAAAAAACTATTGAGTATTATGCTCACTTCCTAGGTGACAGGATCACACACACCCCAAACCTCAGCAACATGCAATATACCCAGATAACAAACCGGCACATGTACCCCCAGAATTGAAAATAACAGTTTTTTAAGGCTAATTTTGTAACCATTTAAAAATTGAAAACAAAATATAATGGATAAGTTAATGTTGCTATGCTTATTTTACAACCTAATTATCACAATTAGAATTTAAATTTCCTACAAGTGACTCCAATTCAGCTGTTACCCAGGGAAAATGCCATTTTATGAGGCAGTAAACTCTAGCAGACAGAAAAAAAGCCAGCGTTGAAACAGTTTTTCCTTTTCACACAGGTCCTGGGTCAGATTTTTAGCTGCATAAAACCTTAATAGTTTTCATCTACATGTGGTCATTCACCTAATGGTTACAGCTTTGCCTTGTTCAGGGACAGGACCATGTCTCTTCCTGAAAGCTGAGCTGTGCTGGTGAGCAAAGTGCTGAGGGGATCTGGCCTTACTCACTCCACAACCCCCTCAGCCCCCAGAACTCTGTGGAAGTAGGCTGTGATCCAATACAGAGCCACATCATCCTGGGAATATTCCCAGGATCTAGTCTAGGGTTGTAGTGGAAAGCGTCCAAGGATGTTAAGGCTGAGATCAGACAAGGATGCTCTGGGAAGCCAGATTCTGCATGTTAGCACGGAAGCCACAAATCTTGCAGCTTTCTCCCCTGAAAACCACAGTGGCCCTTTGGGTTCTCTCCTTTGAAGATAGATCCACACCTATCAGGCACAATGTGGCTCTGTTGAAGGTTAATGCTGAGAGCCTTAACCCCATCGTCCTTCAGAGACAAAGCAGAAGCTGCCTCTGATCATCTGAGCTGGCAGGTGCTTCCTCAAGGAGCCCTGTGGAAAGTCACCATTCCTACACCTGGTCCCATTGTGTCCTGTGGCTCTCAGCAGTAAATGACTTTGTCTAAGATTACATTCAAAAAAGAGTTAAATTCCTGAGTGAGGAAAATTCAAAGCCCCCTCAAGCATTGCTCTTGTCAAGAATTGGTATTGTGGGCTGAAAGGCCACATTCTGCAACAAGAGATTAAGGGACTCACAGGGACAGGCAGTGCTGGAGGCCCTGCGAGAGTCTGGGGGCCTGAGGGAGTTGGTGCCACTTCACTGCAGGATGTTAGAGCCAGTTGTGTGAGAGGAGAGCTCACAGCCTGCCAGGACTCCATGTGGCAGGAGGGGCTGGTACAGATGTGTGGAGAACTCAGAGACCATCTGGGCAGTGCAGATGGGTTTAATTCTTCCTTGATCTTCTGCCATTTGTGAGCCAACCTGTTGTTCCAAGATTCTTTGTGATGTCCTCTGTACTTGCCCGGTTGGCCATCCTTGCTACTTTGATAGAGGCATTGGATCTTCTCTCTGCCATCCTCTTAGGATCTTGTTTTTTTCCAAAGTGGTCACAGAAATTTGAACTTCAGTAGCTAACTGTGGCTGAACTGTTAATATAAGTGAACTTAAAAATGTGACTTTCTTATCACTCTGGGGGATCTTCAAGCTCATCCCTGGAGAAGTCTAAGAAAGGCTACAGAACCATCAGGAGAGAAGGCCAAAATGTCACGTCCATCAGGTTCCGGGTACTATCCATGATAGCATTACCCAAAAGCTTATGCATAACAATCAGAGGTCGTTTTAAAAGGCCAGCCAGTCAGAGAGGGAACTGTCTTTGGTGTCAATGCACACAGCCTTGGAGGCAATGGTGCCCCCAATCTACTGCTTCCTTTTGAAGAGACGTCTGCAGGCTGAATTTCACAGTTACTGTCTTTTGTGTCCCCACAAAATCCATGTTGGTTTTCTAGTAACCCCCCTGGATGACCTGCACAGTTATTATGGTGTGAGCAGATGTGAGGTGGTCTCCATCATCTATCAAGCTGGACCTGAGCTCCTAGATTGTTCCTCTGCGTTCATCAAAGTCTTGGTTTTCACCAGCATCTTTACACAGTTTTATTTATTTATTTGCTGCATTAAAAAACTACACTCAAACCCAATGGCATGAATCATTAGTGATATATCTCTTCTTACGATTTTGTAGGTCCACCGCATAGCTCTTCTGTTTCATGTGATGTTGGCTGGAGCATTGGGATGTCTGGAAGTTTCCAAGTGTCCTCACTAGCCTGGCTAAATGCTGGTTGGGAGCTCAACTGGGGCTTGGCTGATAAGGCCTTTGATTCTCTTCTAGTGGATCTTGGCATGTGGCTGATAGGACTTCCTCTCATCATGGCAGCAATGAGTGAGAAGCTTAAAGGGCAGGAGGAGTTGGCTGTTACTCAATGTTGTATATGTTTTGACTTCTTTCCATTCCCATTGGGCTAAACTTTGGAAACTCAAAAGCTAAAAGCTAAAACTAGATTAGCTTACACTTTTTTTTTTTTTTTTTTTTTTTGGTGGTGGTGGTTGGGGAGATGATGAGGCCCAGAGAAAAAGGAAGTATCTGTTTAAAGAAATTAGCTGACATTTCACGAAAGGACATCCCATTATGCTTATTTTAACACTACATAAGTTTTGCATAATATCTTGTTTCATTGCTATGCAGATTTTTCACCCTTGGTCTAAGACTCTTAGCTTTCTGTAATTACATCTGCCATTTAACACACGCAGCAGGACTGAAGGATGTCTCTGCAATAATTAATTCTGAAATCTGTTGATTTAGGTAAAACTGAGCACTTTTTTAAAATAACAGGAATAGTATATTGCATTTTTATGAAAGCATTTGGTCTATCAATCTGGTAGGCAGAATAATGACCTCCCCCAAGATGTCCATATGCTAATCCCCAGAACCTGTGCATATGTTATTTTACTTGGCAAATGGGACTTTGTGGAGGTGATTAAAGTTAAGGACCTTGGGATGGGAAGATGATCCTGGATTACCTGTGTGTGCCCAATGTAATCAAAGGTGTTCTCTTAAGTGGGGAACCTTTCCTTGGGTATGCTCAGAGAAACAGATAGATCCATGGAAGTAGGTCAGGGAGATGCTCCGTTCCTGGCATTGAGAAGAGGCTACAAGCCAAGGAATAAAGGAGGCTTCTAGAAGCTAGAAAATGCAAGGAAACCTATTTACCCCTAGAGTCTCCAGAAAGGAAGATAGCCCTGCAGACACCTAGATTTTAATCCAGTGAGACCCACAACAGACTTGTGGCCTACAGAACCACAAGGTAATGCATTTGTTTTGTTTCTAGCCACAAACTTTTTACAATCTCCTATCAGTTTGCTCAATGCTACTGATGATTGTTTCTATGAGGAAGCTTTCTAAAAAAACAAACAAACAAAAAAACTTTCTTTTTTTGTACTTTTGCATTGCTTAGATTCCTCAAAAAAGTGTGCACTTTTTTTTTCAAAACAATGATTTTCTGAGGAGAAGGAGGAGAAAGAGAGGCATAAGGAGAGGAAAAGAAGAAAGCAAGGCAAAGGCAGAGGAGAAGGAAATACAGAAGATTCTGGGACACATTTCTGCTCAGATTTTATGTCCCATTGGACACTTCTTGGCCAAAACAAAGCTAGCCTCATGCAGGAGAAGCTGAATGTCAGGCAGAACCAGCTGGTGGCTTCTCTGTCCCTTCATATGCTCATGTGTGGCTGCCACATGAATCCTGAGGAATCTGCCTCACTCAAAGGGAGTGTTGGCATGGGGGAGTGTTGATATATATTTTTTGGATTAAAAAAACTATGCTGAATTTTAAAAATTGCTTTTGATGTCATGAATTCTCAATAGCCTCTGATGTGTGTTTCTGAAGCTCATTTCACGGGGATTGCATTTTCTCTCCTTGACTTATTTCTGATGAGACCAGGATGCCTTGCAGCTTTTGCCTGGCTTTTCCTGAGCACTGGGGCCTTGCCATCAGCTTCTTGGCATTCATCTGTGTTGTCCTCACAGCAGCCTGAGTGATCCTTTCCAACACGTCTTGTCACAGTTTTCCTTGCTCAGGGCAATCTGTGGCTTCCCGCCTTGCTCTGAGTAATGCCAAAGTCCTTTCTGTCATCTGCAAGGCCCATCATGAGCTGGTCCCTGTCCCCTCTCTGACTCACCTCCATTCCTTTCCCACCTGTTTCTGCCACCACAACCAGGCTGGCCTCCTTGATTTCCATCATCACTTGAAGAAAGTGCCCCCTCAGGGCATGACACCTGCTTTACCACTGCCTGCAGGGCTCTGTTCTCATCAGCTCTGGGGTCTGTTCACTCATTCTTTTAGAAATCTGCTCAAACGCCTCTTTTCAGAAAGGTCTCCTTGTCACTCTACCTAAATGATCCCTCTATCTCCTATGACTTGCTTTTTTTCCTTTAAAGAAATTATCATCAACTGTCATACTTCATATATGGAATATATAATGTCATGCTATATTTATATAATGCCTATATATGGACTTATACATGTATATAGACACAAATATAGACATTATGTAAAGTCTAATATAATGTATTAATACAAGAATAATAACTATATATAGTATAAACAACATATATACTATACATATATACATATTGTATATGCTGTATATATACACTCTATAATATATACTATGTTATATATGCTGTATATATAGTATGCATACAACATATATACTGTATAAACTATATATAGTAGTATATAATATTATATATAGTATAGGATATATAGCATACTACATTATAATATATAGTATTTAATCTTATAGTATTCTATGTAGTATATATAGTATTCTATATATAGTATTATAGTATTCTATACTATATTATATATAATTTACTGTATTAACATACTATATATCATACTAATATAATGTACTATACTAGTACCTATAATATACTATATATAATATATAAATATACTATAAAACAGTATTATATTTGTTATGTTATAGTATTAATATAGTATCTACACTACATGTAATATAGAGTATATATAGCATATACTATATAGTATATATTATATAGCCTATATATAATATATATAGTAAATATAGTATATAGTATATGTATATATTGTCTATATAGTATATACTATATAGAATGCCATACTACACATATATAACCTTTAGTGTATATGATGTCATATTACATATATAATAAACAAACATACATGCACATGTATAAGTGGATGTGCATTTATTTGTTGATGAATTGTTTCTAACCAGTAAGAATTTAAGCTCCATGATGGGAGGGACTTTTTTTTACTCTGAATCTTTATTGCACATCCTAAGTTTTGGTAATATTTGGTGAATGAAATATGTTGTAATGAATGTATAAATGACAGTTAAACTTAATATTTTTCCAGTTAAACTGCATGTATGCCTCTGTGTATTCCTATATGTCCATAAAAAGCAATGTTTTGAAATACAAGGACCAGAAGATGCCTGCCTTAGAAAAACCTAAGGATCTTGTTTAAAATGCCTATTTCGAGGCAGAGACACTGAGTCTGAACGCCTGCGGATGGGTTCTAAAATCTGCTTTGATAGCAAAGTCCTCATGAGATGCTCTCACCAAAGCGTGAGATCCAGTGGTCTGTGAAGTCCTATGAAAGAATGGATACAAGAGAAATGCAGATTACTATATTCCCTCCAAGGCTTCACTTCCCTGTTTTGATGGAGAGATAGCATGTCACCTAGAATAATGCAGGAAAAAATCACTAGAACCAAATGATACCATGCAAACAAAACACATCAGTGGTGATGTATTGTGATTATGATCAGCCCTTCTTTACACAAATTTTAAGAGACTCCAAGTCTCCTGGGTTTACACAACCAGTGTTATAATTGGACAGCCGGGCTCTTTGTCATTTCCCAGGCTCTCAAAATTAGATAATTTAAAAAACATCCACAGCAGCAGAAACCACAGCAATAAAACTAATGGCAATTTTCTTTCCTTCTGAGAAGAGTTCCCTGTCTTTGGGTCTTCTGTTTAACCCTATGTGGGGTTTTATCTAACAAGCATGCAAGACCTGGAGATCTTGCATGAACCTAACAACAGAGACTCCCAGACTCTAGGTGAGCCCAGTGATGATGAAGCAATCCTCAGGGGAGTCTGGAACTTGGGCCTGGGTGTTCAAGTCACCCATGCTTCAAAGTAATTGATAATTATTTTTACCTATTCTTTCATTCCAAAATATTTACCAATGGTATATGGGGTTATTATAACGATATACATTATCGTCATCATTGCTAACTTCTTTGGACATTTACTATGTATCTGGTTCTGTTGCCATTTATGTTGTTAACTCATTTAAACATCACTGCAACTCACTGAGGAAGGTACTGTTGTTATCATCCCCCATTTATAGAAGAAGAACACACAGCACAGAAAGCTACTACATAGATGCTGAAGTAATAAATCAAATTGAGTCAAGGCACTTACATAATGGGAAAAAACCCCACAATTTCCATAGAAGAAAATCATTTCAAGTTATTTTGGACCAAGGACAAAAAGGGTTCAGACAGGGGAATTATGGAGAGATGAACATTTAAGCTGGATATTAAAATTTTATAGGAATTATAGACTCAGAAATGATGTGTGGAGAAAAAAATGGGCTGTGAGGAGGAGGGGGAAGGCATCCCAGGCAGAAAAATCCTCAACAGTGTATCCATGCAAAAATGAGCATCTGGACCCTTGAGTGGGACGCACCAGTGCCCACCAGGATTTGGGGTTTCAAGGGTATTACACTTTGCTGGACTTGAGGCCTTGCCTTGAACTCTTGAGTTTCTCTGTTCACCAGTGGGATCAGTTGGTTAGTCCCGATTCCCAAATTAGCCTGGACATTGACCACAAAGCATAGGAACAAGATTTTAGTAAAAGTTTTTAAATACCATATGTTATACAGTAAATTAACTCAGGAGTGGGGTCCATACCTCTGCTTCTGGGCCCTAGAACAGGATTTGAAGCTCTACCTTCTGGGCGATGTCTTCAAGTCTCCTGTTACCCAGAGAAAGAGAGCAGCAGAGCTCAGAAACCCAGCACGGCAGGGCTGCAGATCGAAATGCCTCCTCTTCCGACAGTATTTTCACGCACCCTCAAGATTAAGAATCCCTGCTTTTTTTTTTTTTTTTTTTTTTTTTTTTTTTTTTTTTTTTTTTGCTAACTGCACTGTTTCTTTTCTCTCTTGGTTTCATTTTTGATCTGAAACAAACAAACATTGGATCCTGTGAGAACCAGCTAAGTTGCTGCTCTGTCCTTTGGGTTGAGAAAGCTGGGGAGAAATTCACTGAAGACTAATTTAAATCATTTCCCACTTTAGACCCTCACTGAAGAGTATTAGAAACATCTAGGTTGAGAAAGATTTGTATCCTTTCATCATAAAGAATAGCTTCTTCACTTTATACTTGTTAGGAAAAAAATTTCTCTGGAATGCAAATAACAGAATCCTACATAGAAATAGGATTAAAGAGTGAGACAGGGTAGGGTGGGGTGGGCTACAGGGTGGAAATGTGTGTGTTAGGAGAGAGAAAGGAGGGGGATAAAATATTATCCATAAAGTTGGGCTCTCCATCTGGGGCTGATGGAAGAAGAAATTTGCCTACCTTCATTGTGTAGGATTTGAAGTCCTGGTACCCAAAGGCAAAGCATCTTTGTGGGGTGTGTTCCATATCATTAACCCTGGTCATGCATGGCATTTTTCCTGGAGATAATTTCCTCTCCTAGTCTATCAATGTCAAAAATGAAATATTTAGAGTCTGTAGCTGTTCTACAAGAAAGCTACATGAAACATTGTAGCTTCTTAAGTTAAATGACTGATCACCCTCAATCACGTAATTCAGGCCCCACATGGGGAGGGGGTGGCTAACTACACAGCCTTGTTATCTATGTAATTCCTGATTTCCTTTCTTCCTACTTTCTTCTTTCTTTATGCAATGTAAGCTATAAGTACCTGGGGTAATATTAAGGTTTTACTGGGAGTATAAAATAAGAGTATGTGGACATGCAAAAGCCAAGCTCAACCATATGTAAACAAAGTCATCCTAAGTTATATTTGATAAAAGGGTGGATATAGACTATGAATGCCAAAGTTCAGAGACCAGGACAAAGCTAAGGAAGGGAATGGCCTTTAGCGGGTGCTCAAGATGGGAGGTTGGTTGAGACAAGGCTTGTGACAGGGCATCGACAACAGTCTGGGGGAGGATGCAGGGGCCTTCCAGCAGGGAGGCAGCCAACCACATCAAGGTGCATCCCCACAGGTCAGTGCGCATCCCGCGGATTCATGCCATTGTGTGCACTTGGTTTTCCACTATGCTTTCACTTCCAACAGCCAGCACCTGTACCTCTTTGAGTCCTGTGCCTGGGCCAGTGCCGACTTGGGTGAAGGTTGCCAGAGTCTGCTTTCTGCACACATGGGTGACTCTTATCCAGTGGCTCTGTGTGCTGGAGTATAAGTACTCCAGTTCTCTTACCCCTAATGGGACAGTTTGATGTGGGAACTGCTCTACCTTCAAAGCTCTCCTGTGAGGTTGAGCCAAACTCACCTTCCTGGAGACTTCACCTGGTAATTCAGCCTTGCTTACCTCACTTCCCATTCCTGTTCCACTTCCCCACTCACCTACCAGTTTTTCCTGGTAATACATTCTGAAAAATCACTTTCACGTGAATCCTTGTCTCAGAGTCCATGTGCTTCTAGGGAACCCAACCAGAATGCTTGGCAGGCATGTTCCAGTCAAGACAGGTGAGCCAGATTACTACAGCTCAGTGATATTAGCCTTGCAGATCATTTTTTCTCCTCCACACCCACACTTTCATTCCATGATCACCAAACAGCTTCCAACTATAAACCCTCTTTTCATGTGGCTTTTATACAAAGAGAGAAGGCAGAAAGAACATTTCTAGCTCACCTTGGCAGTTTTATTTCACAGTGTACATTTGGAGCTCTGGATTATGTATTAGTCTCTCAAGTGCCATCAATGCAACTCTGGCCCCAAGAGTCAGACCACGCCTGGGAAATTGACAAGTCATATTTTAAAACCTGCAAAAGCTGAGATATTTTAGAACCACATCAGGTGTCACCTTGAGAGAACTTGTTTGGAAACCACTTAGCTTTCCTTGGTAGTTTCTCTATTAGGTTGCTCTTTAGTCACCAGAAGCTGCAGTGTTGGAATCTCCTGGCCAGGTAGAGTTGAAAACGTGAATAGTAAATGTTTCCCTCATCTCCTTGAGAGGGGTCCTCTCCCTTATTGCTGTCATTTTAATGTTTGTCCCTTCCACAACTCATGCTGAAATTTAATTCTTATTGTAGGAGTATAAAGAGGTAAGACCCTTAAGAGGTGGTTAGGCCATAGGGCTCTACCTTCATGGGTGGAACTGGTACCTTATAAAAGGGCAAGTTCCACCCCATCTTGCCTTCTTGCCTTCCACCATGTGAGGATGCAGCACAGACGCTTGCACTTGCACCAGATGCTGGCACTTTGGTCTTGAACTTTCCAGCCTCCAGAACTGTGAGCCAATACATTTCTCTTTGTAATAAATTACCCAGTCTCAGCATTCTGTTAGAGAAGCACAAAATGAGCTTGGGCACCTATCTGAAAAGTGGGCAACTTATTCAGTCAGAATTTTTAGAGATAGACCCAAACACTGGGGTCAAGTTTCTTGGCTTGTGTGTTTTGTTTGTTTGTTTCTTTGCACCCTTTGCCTTCTCAGTTCAAGTGATCCTGGTGCCTCAGCCTCATGAGTAGCTGGGATTACAGACATGTGCCACTCTACACCTGGCTAATTTTTTGTATTTTCAGTAGAGACAGGGTTTTACCTTGTTGGCCAGGCTGGCCTCGAACTTCTGGTCTGAAGTGATCCTCCCACATCAGCCTCCCAAAGCACTGGGATTACAGGCATGAGCTGCTGCACCCAGCTTTTTGTTTGCTTTTTGAGACAAGGTCCTGCTCTGTGACTCAAGCTAGAGTGACAGTGATGTGTTCTCTGCTCACTGCAATCTCCACCCACTGGGGTCAAGCAATCCTCCCACCTCAGCCTCCCGGTAGCTGGGAAAGTTCCTTGGCTTATTGTGCAATTCAAAGAATCTCTTACTTACATTCTGTGAGCTCTAACCATTGTGTATTAAGAAGAGAAACACAAGTCTATTCTTGCGGACGCATTGAAAGTATGAAGTAAAAACACAAACACAGAAATCTGGAGCACTCTTGTCTTTGTCTCTCCACAACAGGCAGAATCCCAATCTAATCTTTTGCTTCTGTGCAAAATTAGTATATGGGAAGTTTTTTTTTTTTAAAGAAGGCTTAAATTTTGATTAATAAGTTCCCTCTAAGATCTTTAAAGTGATTGATTATAATGATTAAAAAGTGCTTATAAGTAGAGTCACACACTATGAACACAAAATAACCATATTACTATATTTTCCCAGATATACTTTGCTTCACAAGAATCTTAGTTGAGTGGAAGGTACTATAAGTTTCATTTAGTTTTTCTATTTCTATACAGAAGTGCCAAATTCCTGTGCAGCATTTAATTCCCTTGCTTTCCTCTTAAACATCCGTTACAAACTGGTGCTCAGGTGAGGTCATTCGCATGACTGAGAATGTGGGATCATCAGCTGTCAACTGTCAGTATAGAGAGACCAGCATTGAAGGAGGAAGCTGTTCTCAGCTATCGTGCTGAGCAAGGTCTCACCCTTTCTGACAAAGGTTTGAAATTTTGCTTTCTCGGCCTCTGCTTTTTGAGCTACAGAATTCATGAACAGGCAGCCGGCTTCCCCTTGCACTTCTGGGCTGGAACCACTGAGGGATGCTGCTGTATCGAGTTCCACCATGGAGATACAAAACTGAAAGTTGGGAAAAATCAGTGGCGATGAGATCACTCCCCTCTGTGTGTCTTTCCATTTCAGGGGACTGTTTTTCAGTGAAAACTCCAGACACTGACAACCATCATTCACAGCCTGCCTCTTTCAGAGCCAGGGCAGAGGCCAGGGCAGGTGGGAGAAATACTTTTCATTCTGCAAGGCTGCCTGTGCTGTGGAAAGAGATGCCAGAAATAGACCTGGGAAAAAGAGGAGAATGGGGACTTAGCAGATGCTTGGAGCCGTTTCTCTTGATAAATATATCTGTCCACTTCCCACTCTTGTCCGTGTCGCTGAAGGCCATTAGCACTCTATTTCTGTCTCTGCGGAGGCTCCGGGCCTGGCCCACCCTACCTCCCCTCCTGGAAGATGACCTCAAGAGGGCAGCACTCCTGGGATGAGGGTCTGACATCATGAATTATTTTTATCCCAGTGGATTGCAATATCATAACAGCACGTATCTTGTGCCAGAAAGTGGCCCCACTGCTGATAAAGAAGATACATTATTTCAAAGGTAAACTCCTTGATCTCAAAATGCCTCCCAAGGTATGCTATTTAAAGCC
Source organism: Homo sapiens (assembly GCF_000001405.40). Classification (NCBI taxonomy): domain Eukaryota; kingdom Metazoa; phylum Chordata; class Mammalia; order Primates; family Hominidae; genus Homo; species Homo sapiens. The sequence goes on along the minus strand of NC_000010.11, from coordinate 25,682,157 downwards.
GTTGCAAAACGAGTAACAAAAATAGACACATCTTGAGTGTGGCCTGGAGAACAATGTAATATCTTCTCCAGTTTCCTAATCACCACAAGAAGGCCTTATGAAAAGACAGTCGTATGTCTAGATAAGGTAGGCAGCCACTTGGCTAGATTAGAATTGAGGGCCAAGAAAGGTGTCCTATCACTCCAGATCTATGCAAAGCTATCCTCTCTGCTTTCCTTACTCTAAAAAATTCTCTTACTGTGGATTCCTTTGGGTTCCATTGTGCTCTAAGAGGGGAAGCTGAATAACGCATGAAGCTGCAGCAACACCTAAGCATGATCCCTAACTGGAGAGCTGTGGATTTTAACGCAGTAAAAGGAAGAGAGTTCAAGGACAATGTGCACTAGAGGATCCAGCAAGAGGCCACTCAACAACTGGCAATATTTGGAGAAGGTTGGTGTAAGACCAGAAAATACCTGGAGCACCAAGCGGGCACAAAAGACAAACTTCAGGCAACAGAGCTTCATTAAGCTGTACCTTGTGAAATTCCCAGTTTGGTTGGCCAGAATTGGTCAAAAACCAGCTCTGGAGTCAAGCAATCCTGAAGATAAGTTGGACCTGACAGTAGTGGTGAGTGGCCCTCCTGCAATCCAGGACTGCCAGCTCTGGAACTCTTAGAATATAGTGCCTGTATTTATCAGCCCTCTCAGGCATCTGGGTGTCATCTTACATCCTTTAAACTCAGTGGGTTTTGGTGTCAATTATTCTTAGCCTCTTTTCTCTTTAACACACCTAACAGATGACACTTCCATGCAAGGCACCTTCATCAGTAATGTGGCCACAGTGTTGGCAGTTACACAACTAAAAGAGGTGAGAGTCTAGGCACATTTCCTGAGCTGCTCTAATTCCATCTTTCTTGTCAGGTTACCCTGTGGTGTGGAGAGAGAAACCGTTTAAGAACATCTGGTGTAGAAGATCAGGAATATGAAAGAGGCTTCAGGAACAAGGTTTTATTGGGAAAATTTATCAGCCTCTCTACTACAGATCAATAAAAACTGACATTAAAATCTAACTGGGTTGGGCTTAATCTGAAGGTTTCTGTGAGACAGAATCGTGGGTCTTGTCATCTGCATGGAGATTCGCTCAAATAGATGATGGTACAAAAGAAACACCCCTGGCCAGGCGCAGTGGTTCGTGCCTATAATCCCAGCAGTTTGGAAGGCCAAGGCCGGCAGGTGGTTTGGGCCCAGGAGTTCAAGACCAGCTTGGACAACATAAGGAGACCTCATCTCTACTAAAAATTAAAAAAAAAAAAATTAGCTGGGCATGGTAGCATGTGCCTGTGGTCCCAGCTACTTGGGAATCCCAGCTACATGGGAACTTGAGCCCAAGAGATTGAGGCTGCAGTGAGCCCTGATCGCACCACTGCACTCCAGCCTGGGTGACAGGGTGAGACTCTCTGTCTCAAACAAAAATCAAACAAAAGAAACACTCCAAGAAAAGAGCCAACTCTGGTTTATGACTCTGTACCCTTAGGTTGAATGCCAAGTTCATGGGAATCATCCGAGAAGCCGGGACAAGAGCTGCTGTTGATGGGAGGCTGTGAATTGTGCTTTTAGTGACTCGCTAAGCATAGAACACTGACACTCAGGGCACACTGGGTGCTGCAATTTCCAGAAGGGAAAGGAAATAAAAAGGGTTCACCTTCTATGTCTCAATTTTATCTCTTATTAACAGGAACAGCTGGATAGAGTACACAGATATGCTGCTGTGTGAGTCCCTGTGGAAAGGTACCTCCTGGGGATCACCAGCAGGAAAAGTCCCTCAAACACAGAAAGCTTGGAGGGGACTGATCCGACAGAGTCAAAGACACTTAGGCTGTTTCATGTTCAAACATTAGAGAATTTTTATAAAATCATATAGCAGAATTTAAGAATTTCTTAGAAAATAGATGGGATAGATACCAAACACCAAAATCCGATCACATTTATTATGACTTTTTCGTGCTTATTTCTCTCCTCTTTTCACTTACCAGTGAATAGCCACATAATTATCCTACTAAACCAATCCATAAGGCTTCCTGGGATTCAGCCCAGGGTTTTTAGCTCTAGGAAGCCTTCCTTTCAATTCTGACAAAGTGGTCATACCTCTTGGTGTTTTCATCGCTATTCAAATACACAGTATTGAAAACACAGATTGATATCCTGCCAGCCTCTCATTTGATCACCCCAAGGTGAACAGATTTATGAGCTGTGACTATAAGATAATGAGGACGCTTTTTATAAACTCTCTCTTAGAGTGATACCAACAGGGGCACCAACTATACTTTGAATAATAACCTCATCTTGAGAATAAATGTACAGGCTCCCACAGAGTCTATCTTGAAGGAAAAATTCATTTGTTTGCTTAAGTTGTGGTCTGTATACTCATATGTCAATTTTATTTCTCTAAATTTACAAATTTCTGGACCTTGATGAGCATAGATATCTTTGGGGAAATGAATACTACATATTGCATTTGAAAGACTTTGTAAGTTAGAGTTCAACTTCTCTTTGCAGAAAGTTTCTCATGTAATTAAATGCAGCGCATGAGGATTTTAGCCCTCTACACTAACTACAGTAGCTAAAACTAGAGTGTTAGAAATGGTACTTTTACGAGGCTCTTAAATGCAGGTACAACATTCAGAGTTTAGGAGCTGTCTTTGGAGCCGGGCACCCCTAGACTGGAGTGGAGCCATTCACCAGCATTGGCAGGACCAACCAGAGTTTAGGATTGCTTGTCTCCAGAGTTGATGATTTTTACCATTTCTGGCTTCCAAATAATGGCATTTCATATGATTCAACTTAATTTTAAGCTTCACTGCCTTAAGCTTATGCCTGTAATTATAACCATGAACCAATATTTAATTTTTGTAGGCAGGTTACTGTAGTTAGTGTAGTACTACAGAACAGAAGACATATCCATGATTTAAAAGTTCAGGAGCACACTGTATGTTTTTGAGTCATTAGTAAATGTCATAAAGTACAAATATCAAAGCTCAGGTCCAAAGTAACTTACATGTTCTGTAAAGGTCTGAGCAATGTGGATACATGATAATTTCCCTACCATAAAAAAACCCAAGAATTTTTCTCTCTGACCCCTCCTCCACACAGTGTTAAACTGGAGGCTGATGTTCATTTGACAATGAGCATGAAAGTGAAATGATGACTCCCAGATATAATTACAGAGAGTTACACACGACATGGTAAATGCCTTTCAAAACCATTTGGTCTGCAGAAATTCTATTTGGCTTACAGTGAGACGTCAATCCCATCAATTTTTATCTGTTGTTTATTTAAGTCTTCTTTACCCCACAAATTTTGTTTTGTTGAGTCATCTCCCAAAGCTGAGTGGAAATCAACTACCACCCAGGGAAAATATACTCAGATATCTCATGAATTTGCTTTGTTATACAGGCATCTTAAGGACAAACAGAAAGGAGAAGTCAATTGCAACTGGGCTCAGATTGAGTAATTGGTTTTAATTTTATTTATGCTCCAAGGAAACAACTTCATTTAAAAAACATGAGATCTTTTAGATTGTGTGGTACACTTTAATTTACTTCTAGTGAGATGATCATTTTTTTCCCAAATTAAAAAGACAACTTTTTACTTTTGTTATTGATCTCTGTACATGTGAATTGACTGGGTAACAAAGATAATTTTGAATCTCAAAATTTACTCTAATGCTTTCCAAACTTTTATTTTATTTATTTATTTATTTATTTATTTATTTATTTGAGACAGGCTCTTGTGCAGTGACATGATCATAGCTCTCTGTAGCATTGAACTCCTGGGCTCAAGCTATCCTCCCACCTAAGCCTCCCAAGTAGCTAAGACCAAAGGCATGCACCACCATGCCTGGCTAGGTTTTTATTTTTATTTTTATTTTTAATAGAGATGGGGTCTCCCTATGTTGCCCAGGCTGGTCTTGAATTCCTGGGCTCAAGCAATTCGCCTGTCTCAGCCTCCCAAAGTGCTGGATTATAGGCGTGAACCACTGTGCCAGCCACTCACCAAACTTTCTTAATGCACTGGAGAAATTCTTTAATAGATCACAGCATAATGTATACTTGGGATGAAATAATTATCAATGAGACCATTAACATTTCAAACAGTATTCTTGATAAAAGCACTTTTGGCGGCCTCTTTTTTTGGTCAGATTGATTATATGAAGATTGCTTTTATTGAAGATGTGGTTGGCAGAGGGATCGTGCAAAAACAAAGACAAATGGTAATGTCATTTTCTTCTTCACTTTTGCTGAAATTGTTAGCATTGTCATGGATGTATACATTTTTAGCAAAAATCTTTTCAAGTCAATTGTTTCTTTTGTAATGATCTATAATTAGATAAATATAATCCATAAATTCATTTCATTCAGCATGAATGCAAATTGCAATGCATCACTGTGCACTGAAAGATCACTGGGGCAGGGACCACCATCAGCTCCTACTTGTGAGATTCCCTTTCCTACTTTATAGGAAATTCCTGGAAATCCCTAGAAGATATCTAAATCATAGACTAATGAAGGCCCCAGCATCAGCTACTATTTTAAATACTGTAAAATAAATTTTCTATTTTCTGATAAAGAAAGCTGATAGAAGTAGAATACCAACATTTCTTCCTAAACTCAAATGAATGGTCCTATTAGATGACCAGCTCTCAAATGGTGATACCATGAGCCAATGGCATCAGAATTATTAGCAATAATTATTTTAAATGTAGATTTCCAGGATCTACTCTGGATGCATTTTTTTCAAGTCTTTTAATGAGCAATCCAACGAGTAATCGTCATTTAATAATAATACATACCGATCATATATTGTTTGACAGACACTTTTCTAAAGCTTTATGTGTATTAACTAATTTTTTTTCTTTTTTGGGGACAGGGTTGCCGAGGCTGGAGTGTAATGGTGCCATCAGGGCTCACTGTAGCCTCAACCTGCAGGGCTCAGGTAATTCTCTGGCCCCAGCCTTCTGAGTAGCTGGAACTAAAGGTGCATGCCACCATACCCGGCTAATTTTTGTATTTTTGTTGTTGTTGTAGAGATGGGGTTTCACCATGTTGCCCAGGCTGATCTTGAAGTCCTGGGCTCAAGTGATTTGCTCCCCTTGGCCTCCCAAAGTGTTGGAATTACAGGTGTAGGCCACCATGCCCAGCCTTGTATTAACTAATTTAATGTTTAGATCAACATTATGAGATATATACTGTTATTATGCCAGTTTCACAAGTGGAGAAATGGAGGCACAGAGAGGTTAAGTAACTTGTCCAAGGCTACATGCTATGAACTGGCTGTGAAGTTAATTTTCGTATTAACTTAACCAGGTCATGCAGTGCCCAGATTAAGCCTTATTTCTGGGTGTGTCTGTGGGGGTGCTCCAGATGAGATTAGCAGTAGCATCAGTGGACTCAGTAAAGCAGATGGCTCTGCCCAAGGCAGGTGGGCGCCATCCAGTCCACTGAGGGCCCAAAGAGCACAAAAGGCAGAGGGAGGAATAACTTGCCCCCTTTTATTTCTGCCTCACTATCTGAGCTGAGACATCTCATTCCACCTTTCCTGCCCTTAGACTGGGCTTAGCAGCAGTGGCTCCCCTGGCGCTTTGAACTGGGACTTAATTACACCACTGACTCTCCTGGATCTCCAGCTTGCAGACGGCAGATCATGGGATTCTAGGGCTCCATAATCATGCAGGCTGATTCCTCCTCATAAATCTCTCTCTCTCTATTAAACCGAATTACAGTTTTTGCCCTTAAAAGTAAAGGCAAAAATTGCAATTACTTTTGTACCAACCTAATATACATACATGCATGCACACATAGATAAATAGATGTGTGGGTAAGTCCTGTTGGTTCTGTTCTTTTAGAAAACTCCAACTAATACACTAGCAGAATGGGTTCAAAACACTCTTAGATAAATGAGTTCTCTAGATGATTCTTATGTGCACATTAGGTTTAAAACCACTGATTTACACTGTATTCTGAACGCCTTAAAACTGATACATAGGCCAGGTGCAGTGGCTTACACCTGTAATCCTAGAACTTTGGGACGCAAAGGCAGGTGGATTGCTTGAGTTCAAGAGTTTGAGACCAGCCTGGGCAACATGGAGAGACCCCATTACTACAAAAATATAAAAATTAGCCCAGCATGGTGGTGTGCATCTGTAATCCCAGCTACTCAAGAGGCTAAGGCAGGAGAATAGCTTGAACCCAGGAAGTGGAGGTTGCAGTGAGACGAGGTTGCACCACTGCACTCCAGCCTGGGTGACAGAGAGAGATTGTCTCTCAAAAATAAATAAATAAAATAAAATAAAAATAAATAAAAATTGAAAATAAAATAAAATAAAATTGAATATATATAAAGAACATTCTTGATTTCTTGTTTCTGGGTCAAGTTATTTGTAAGACCACAATAATATATAATTATTAAACTGAATACAGATTAGTCCCTATGTTCCATGAAAGAGAAAACAAAATATGCCAAAAGTACATGCAGTGTTTGATATATTCATTTAGTTAATATATACATAATGTCAATAGGTATGATCATAATTGCAGTTTTGGGGTTTTTTCCCATATAAGTTCTTTAACATAAAAGAGGTCACACTGCTGTCTGAACCCACGTGTCATTTATTAGCAAGACGAATTGAGAACAAATGCTTCTCGAGCAATGTCCCTGGATCGCAGAAACAGAAGGAAGGAAGCAACCCCGTTTTGGGATGTTCTGTGCAGGTGGGGTCTATTTTTAGTCTCTCCAGCTATATGTGTCAGGTGGGAGTGTACAAGGCAGTAGAATCGCTTAGCAGTGCATAAAGGCAAAGTGCCCCATTAAAACCGGGGCAGCAATTAAAGCACAAAGCTGTTGTCCCAAGGCTCCCAACTCAGCCAGGCTCTCTGTTTGGGTCTCACCTGAAGGTATGTCAGGGCTGGGTGCATGGGTGAGATACAGTCACTGATGTAGCTGCTCCCATGTAACCAAACATCTCGGTTAGTAGCTCTAAAGTGCTACAGCATCAGCACCGAAGCATGTTAAGAATACAAACCCTTAGGACCCACTTTCAGAAATTCTGTTCAATGGAATCAGCATTTTAGCAAGGATTCCAGGTGATCCCAGTGCAGGTGGAATGATCACTACTCATTGAGAAACACTGGTAGAGAAAAGGGTTGTTTATCACTAGAATGGATACAATTTGAACAGAAGATATAATTTTTATTTATTTTTTTACTTTTATTTTTGAAACAGAGTCTCACTCGGTCACCCAGGCTGGAGTGCAGTGGCGTGATCTCAGCTCACTGCAACCTCTGCCTTCTGGGTTCAAGCGATTCTTGTGTCTCAGCCTTCCAAGTAGCTGGGATTACAGGTGCACACCACCACGCCCAGCTAATTTTTGTATTTTTAGTAGAGTTGGGGTTTCACATGTTGGCCAGGCTGGTCTCGAACTCCTGACCTCAAGTGATCCTCCTGCTTCGGCCTTCCAATGTGCTGGGATTACAGGTGCACACCACTACACTCGGCTAATTTTTGTATTTTTTGTAGAGATGTGGTTTCATCATGTTGGCCAGTCTGGTCTTGAACTCCTGACCTCAAGTGATCCACCTGCCTCAGCCTCCCAAAGTGCTGGGGTTACAGACGTGAGCCACTGCACCTGGCCAGATATAATTTTTAATCATGGAAAATATCGGTTACCTAGAACAGCACAGAGATGGAGTACAAAAACTGGAGGAAATAAATAACTGGGCATGGTGACAGTATAGTCCTAGGTATTTGGGAGGCTGAGGTGGGAGGATCCCTTGAGATCAGGAATTTGAGGCTACAGTGAGCTATCAGGGAACCTGCCCCAATAGTCACGTAGGTTCTTTTCTATTTTCCCTAAGCATCGGCCAGTTTGAGAAATAAAGGGACAGAGTACAGAAGAGAGAAATTTTAAAGCTGGGCGTCCGGGGGAGACATCACATGTTGGTAGGTTCCGTGATGCCCCACAAGCTGTAAAACCAGCAAGTTTTTATTAGGGAGTTTCAAAAGGGGAGGGACTATATGAATAGGGTGTGGGTCACAGACATGAAGTGCTTCACAAGGTAATAGAATATCACAGGGCAAATGGAGGCAGGTCGAGACCACAGGACCACAGGACTGAGGCGAAATTAAAATTGCTAATGAAGTTTCGGGCACCATTGTCATTGATAACATCTTATCAAGAGACAGGGTTTTGAGAGCAACCTGTCTGACCAAAATTTATTAGGCGGGAATTTCCCCTTCCTAATAAACCTGGGAGCGCTATGGGAGACTGGGGTCTATTTCACCCCAACAGTCTACAGACCATAAAAAACGACCACACCCAGGGGGGCCATTTATAGACCTATACCCCCAGGTGCGTATTGTCTTTCCCAGGGATGTTCCCAGCTGAGAAAAAGAATTCAGTGATATTTCTCCCATTTGCTTTTGAAAGAAGAGAAATATGGCTCTGTTCCGCCCGGCTCACCGGCAGTCAGAGTTTAAGGTTATCTCTCTTGTTCCCTGAACATTGCTGTTATCCTGTTCTTTTTTCAAGGTGCCCAGATTTCATATTTGTTCAAACACACATGCTGTACAATTTGTGCAGTTAACGCAATTACCCCATGGTCCTGAGGCAACATACATCTTCCTCAGCTGATAGGATTAAGAGATTAAAGTAAAGACAGGCATAGGAAATCACAAGGGTATTGATTGGGGAAGTGATAAGTGTCCATGAAATCTTTACAATTTATGTTTAGAAAGTGCAGTAAAGACAGGCATAAGAAATTATAAAAGTATTAATTTGGGGAACTAATAAATGTCCATAAAATCTTTACAATCCATGTTCTTCTGCCATGGCTTCAGCCAGTCCCTCTGTTTGGGGTCCCTGATTTCCTGCAACAGTGAGCTATGACTGTACCACTGCACTCCAGCCTGGGCAACAGAGCAAGATTCTGTCTCTGAAAAAAAAAAAAAAATAGAGGGAAAGAGAAGAAAACAAAGACTGAGGAAAACAGTAACTGCAAGGAGAGGAATAAGGTTCTTATTTTCTGCCTCTTTTCTTCAGCTGGAATCACAGAAGTGAATGAGTACAGACATTTGATATTACCCCGGTAGTGTGGATGCCTTTTGATGGCTAAAGAAATTGGCCAGGCTGTTTCAGTATCCTTGAGGGTGTCACTTTAGGGCCATGTCTTGATCACTATTCAGGGCCACATGGAGGTTGCACTTGGAAACAGCAGGAACAACCAGGGGTCTTGGGAGGCTGACTTTGTAGTAGTAAGAGGGTGGGGTGCCCTTCGTTCTTGCATGAGGATGTGATCAGCCTGCAAATAACTCCATTAACTGGCAGAGAAGGGAAACCTGCTACTCAGGGATAAGCAAGAACTTATCCCTGGTCCTGGTCTTCTCTATAAGGAGTGTTGTTTGGATGGAGGACCTTCTTTAGCGGGGCAGAGTAGGGAGAGGAACTTGCAGTTAGGCCATTAGAGGCCTTTTCACTTTCAGATGTCAGCAGAACACATCAAACTTGTTTCAGGCCTTTCACCAGAGGCCAGCTGCCTATTTGTTCATGTTCTATGAGCAAGGCTTGGGAGACAGATAGGATGCTGGTCCTTTCTGTTCAAAGTCCTGGTTAGGTGCCTCCATTTTTACACAATGTCCTATTATCAGATGTCATCACCTTTAAAGGCTATACTTTCACACATTTCTCACCCACACCTCCATTCCCAAGGAAAGTAATCTTGGCCTGTCAGCAGCTCAGATTTTCATCAAAAGTCTCCAAAGAAAGATCTGACATTTATGTAAAATTGAAAAATATGATTCAGCCAGAAATACTAGAATTTACCCCTGGATAAAACTGCAGCTAAGAGACCTGCAGAGTGAAACGACATTGTTTTGCCATCCTACACACTTGTAGTTTGGCAACAGGTCTCAGCTGACTTTCAGGGATACTAGAAGGAAAAAGCTCTCCACACTTTGTTGCTCTGCTTGTGGAAATCAATGGTTAAGAATGTCATCTACTGTGTCACTCAGTGCTCTATTTTAAATTTCATGTAAGAAATTTATTTCAAGCTTAAGTGTAAGGAAAAGATGTTCCTTTTGTTGATAAACTGGCATAACCTTTCTACAGATGCACTAAGACATCTGGAGATCTGTTCCAATCTTTCTTTATATGTATTGATTGATTATTTATTTACTTATTTTTAGAGACAGGGTCTTGCTTTGTCACCCAGAATGGAGTACAGCGTTGTGAACATAGCTCACTGCAGCCTTGAACTCCTGGGCTCAAGCTATCCGCCTACCTCAGCCTCCCTAGTAGCTGGGACTACAGGCATGTGCCACCACACTTGGATAATTTTTAATTATTTTTTGTAGAGACAGAGTCTTGCTTTGTTACCCAGGATGTCTTGAACCTCTGGGCTAAAGCTATCCTCCCACTTCAGCCTCCCAAGGTGTTGGAATTATTGGCATGAGGCTGTCCTTGTCCCAATCATTAACCTGACCCTATCTTTCTCTCTGTTGATAGTTTCCCTAACTCTGATTTTTTTAATGTATATAACTATGAATATTGTGTAATATTGCCTCAAATCTTTTGTGAAATTAGGTAGGTAGGTAGATAGGTAGATAGATGGAGACAGTAATTTTTTTTAATTAAGGAAGATGGATTACTTCCCCTTAGCATTTGTTCTGTTTATTATTTTCCTGCAAGCTGTGCATATTTAGACACCTATAATGCTACACTGTTCTTCATTGCAGTATTTCTTTGCCTGTTAACTTTATTTACATGTGTATTTTTTTACTGTTCAGCATTAAATGACTGCTACATTGTTTTAATCTTGGGTTTAGTGATGACCATGAGCAAGAGCTCCCATTCTTTGGTAAAAGATGTGAAAATATTTCACAAATGAGAAGGCACTGTGCAATTTTTTCACCAGGGGAATTTGCAGCAGTGCTCAACCTTGGTTGAACTCAAATTTCAAGCCTGGTGTTACGAGCAATAGCAGAGCTGTTCCCTGTCTGTGCATAATGTTTCATGACCTTGGTGTACATCTTCCTGAGACTCCTGAGACTCAACTTTGAACTGAAGTTTTTCTGGGGAGGATGCCCTCCAAATGATGGCTTTCATAGTGCACTAACTGCCCCTTTTCCTTAGAGTTTATCTATTGGTAATGTCACAAAGGATACATACTAAGTTTGGGGGGGGGTGTAAAGAGAGGGAGACATATTAATTTTAAGATTTTTAAAATCCTCTCCACTAACTCCTGCATGACAGCGCTCAAACAGAACATACTCGCTTGGGTATTCATCCCAACACACGCCCCATCTGTTGTCATGTCTCTAGGGCTGGATTAGATATATTGCATGATTAAATAAACAAATGAATTGCTTTAGAGCTGGAGCCCCATGTTAAACCCTCTTTATTTTATTTTATTCTTTTTTGGATTTTGACTGGATGACAACTGCAGTTTGTTGCCTTTTTTATGTTGTTTTCCTTTAGGCTGCTACTGTGAGATTTAAACTAATTGAGGTTTATACCAATACAGTTTACAATACTCTAATAAATCAGATGTTTACAGGCCAAATGAAGTTTTAAACCTTGGTAGCTTAGAAATAGGTATTTAAAAACGGCAAGTAGATCCATAATGGAGATGAAGGAGGCAAAGTACCCCAAAGATCAGATAATGTTCACAATATATAGTTTTTATGAGGATTAAATAAGATAAATAGTACAAAGCACATAGAACACTTTCTGGTACATAATAATATGAAGGTGAAATAAATGATAGCATAGTAGGCTGTCTTAGCTGAGCACAAACTGATATTCAGTTTGTTATTGGTGAAACAAGTGGATTTCGAGTGTAGGTACCACAGTTGAGTTCTACTGGAAATTTCTATAGTGAAATATTTACTAAATTAATTGCACATTAAAGAAAAGCTAAAGGCTGCAACTTGGAAATCAGTGACAATGCCAGGTAGTCAATGGACAGCAAGGATGTCTGAAGTGGACCATAGTGTGGAAGAATGCTTAAAAACACAAGCCTTCAAGGAAAATCAGCAGCTCTGGGCTTGGAGAAAATTTTTTAAAGCATAGACCTTTCTCCAAGGAGGAAGTAGTCTAATAAGAGAAGACAGATGATGGACAAACAAAAACTTGGATGCAATAAAGAATAAATGTAAGAGGTTCCACACTAGAAGGTGGGGAAGTAATTAGTGGGTAAGTTTGATTAGGGGAATTTCAAAATCATGGACCTTTCATGGAATTCTTTCTTGCTTTCAACTGTGTTGACCCATGCGTATAAGAAAAAGAGAATAGCCTTCTGAGTATGTTGTTTTAGACCTTGTATATCTTAACATGCTAACGGGCACAGCTGAGCTCCAAATGTATTTGCCTTAGTCAAAAATATATAGCTTTCACTGTGGTGTTTCCTGGGCAACTGTGTTCTGTTTTGATCTTTCCTTGACCCAAATTTATAGTCATTGAGTTTTAGAGCTTTATTGAACCTGAAGGTAAGCTTGTCTGATATCCCTATTTGGTTAAGAGAAAAACTTTTGGATAAAGTAGATTTGGATGAAAACCACTGGTTCATTGCTCAGAAACCTTAGACAAGTCAATTAAGTTCTTTTAGCCTTGACTGTACAACTAAATTAAAAAAATAAAATTACATTACTAGGTGCAGTCATTCTTATAAATGGATATTATTACTATTCTTTTTAGGGCCCAGGCAAACTAAGTGATTTTTTTCAAGGCCACACAGCTAGTTGTGGAATTCAGAGTCATATGAAGATTCTCAGACAGGCACTATTACCACTACATAATATTAGTTTTTGGATCCCCAAAAAGATTCTTTCATTTCTCAAAAAAAAAAAAAAAAAAAAAAAGGAAAAAGTAATCTCTCTTCTGGCTTTCATGCTATCTGAAATTTTTTTCTAAGCTCAATTGATGATTATTATTCTTGGATGTGTACTTCGGGAAAATCTACTTCAGAAGAAAAGCTACACTTTTGTGACAGAACAGAATAAAAAGTGTACTAGTACCTTGTAGGTGTACATTGTGAACTACTCAATATTCCAAAGAAACGAGAACAGTGAGAGAACGAGAGAGCAAGATGAGTGTGTGTGTGTGTGTGTGTGTGCATTTCCCCAATTTCTTGGGCTCCAACTCTGTGCTCAGACACTCTACTAGGTATTTACAAATGTTATCTAATTTAATCTTTACCATACTCTGAAAGATAGATACTGTATGGTTACAAAAACCTGAGGCTCAGAGAAGTTAAGTAATTCACCAAAGCCACAAAGCTTGAAAATGACAAAACCAAGACTTAAATCTGGTCTGTCTGTGCCCCAAACTTATAGTAATAATGAATGAATTACATTGCATTCCTCTATTGCGTATCTGAAATGAATACTAAACAGAAATTGGACTGGGGAAAGTCTCATTAATAGACCTATTGAACATGCAACTTTACATAAAGGAATAATGAAAACCACCAAGCAAGAATCAGATTTACTGACTATTTGTACACGTAATAACTTATTTAAACAAAGACAAATAACAATAACTTATTTATTTTTATTTAAATAATGTGTCTATTTGGACAAAAATGTATTAAATGGATCCTCCCACTTTGAGCATCCCCTCTTACTTGTCTGATTAGCAGAGCTGACTGCTGTGCTAGATCTGAACACAAAGTTGAGTACTGAGAAGGGAGAATTAAATGAGGAGAATGCTAGCTGTCCACCAAAATTCATCTCCCCTTCTTATATGTTAATGTAGCAATATCATGGCTATCCAATGAGATTATATGTTCTAGCCTACCTTGTAGTAGGTATGGCCACGTGACTACATTCTCACTAACAAAGGGTGAGCTTGGGACTTAATCCATGTGGATGTTCTCTTCTCCAATTTATTTTACCCCTTACAACTGGCTGTTCTGGAAGAGAAAGAAAAAGTGGCAGAACAACAAACATATGAAAAAAGGCTCAACTTCACTGATTAGAGAAATGCAAATCAAAATCACAATGAGATACCATCTCACACGAGTCAGAATGGCAGTTATTAAAAAGTCAAGAAACAACAGATGCTGACGAGGTTGCAGAGAAATCGGAATGCTTTTATACTGCTGGTGGGAGTATAAATTAGTTCAATCATTGTGGAAGACAGTGTGGCCATTCCCCAAAGATTTAGGACCAGAAATACCATTTGACCCAGCAATCCCATTACTGTGTGTATACACAAAGGAATATAAATCACTCTATTGTAAAGATACATGCACAGGTTTGTTCATTGCAGCACTATTCACAATAGCAAAGACATGGAATCAACCCAAATGCCCATTAATGATAGTCTGGGTAAAGAAAATGTGGTACATATATACCATGGAATTCTATGCAGTCATAAAAAAGGAATGAAATCATGTCCTTTGCAGGGACATGGATGGAGCTGGAAGCCATTACCCTCAGCTAACTAACACAAGAACAGAAAACCAAACACCACATGTTCTCACTTCTACGTGGGAAGTGAATCATGAGAACACATGGACGCAGGGAGGGGAACAACACACGGTAGGGCCTGTCAGGGATGAGGGTGAAGGAGAGCATTAGGAAAAATAGCAAATGCTTGCTGGGCTTAATACCTAGGTGATAGGTTGATAGGTGCAGCAAACCACCATGGCACACGTTTACCTATGTAACAAACCTGCACATCCTGCATTTGTACCGTGAAACTTAAAATTATAAAAAAAAGAGAAAAAGAAACTACATAACTACTACCAAAAAAAGTGGCAGCAATCCACCTTTGACCATGTAGGGATTGTATCTAAGGGGTTATGACATGATGGCTTGAGAGGAGCCTTGGAAAGAGCTGCTTTGCTTACCATGCACTGCTAACCTTCAAACTGATAGCTGAGAGAGACATTTCCATATACTTCAAGGTGCTGTGTTTTATGGTCTCTCTCTCTCTCTCTCTTTTTTTTTTTTTTGGCAACTGTTTAGCTTTATCATAACTAAAACAGGGATAAAATAGTTGGGTAAGACTCCCTAGAGAAAGAGACTTGAGTTGGACCTTGAAATATTCATTGAAGATTAATCCAATGGAAAGCAAAAAGGCAAAGACAGAGAAGAAAAACTCTTCTTTATATGTCGAGTAGGAATTAGACATTCCCCTGTCCATTATAAAGTAGAACAATAAAATCTGTCCTTGGTGGGAGTCTCGCTTTATGACAAAATAAAATTGCTTAACAAAGTATAAAAAGATACTCTAAATGCAAATATACAATAGAACTACGTATCTTTAACTCTTATTAAAGTGTCTAGACCTGGTTCCCTGTACATTACAGGGAATTTTTAGTGGAAGTAATGGAGTTCTATTGGGGATTATATAAAATTGTAGGATAAAACCTACTTTAGTTCTATTGTACAGTTGAAAAAAGCACAAGCTATTACTATTTGACTATACTTGCCATATCCTCAATTATGTTACTCTATACATTTTATCTTTTTGAAAACAAATGTTTCACTCAAGTCATGATGGAGTAACTGGTACCAGATTTAATATCCTACCATAAACAACTAGAAAGCTGTTTTCAGACATTGGACCAAAAGCAGTATAACATGGATATCCTTGAAAGAAGAGAAACAAGAAAATGAACCTGACCGTCACCCTGGCTTTCTGCCTGGAGGCTTTTTCTGGGCAGCCATCCAGGCAGGAGAAACTTAAGGAGAACACGGTCTTTTCGAGTTGAGAAAATAGGGATCAGAGTCTGCAGGGGTTGAGGTGACTGGAATTTGCAGTGTGAAGAACCAGACAGGAAAAGGGTATGCAGAGAAAGAGTTGCATATATATGTATGGAGGTCACCTTAGTATTGTGGAGTACTAAATGACACATACAAAGGGTAACATTCCATGAGACTGAGAAAAGAATGGGATGGGACATGTATGCTAAATAATTCCCACAGTTCATACAGGGTGGGAGGAGATATTCAGCTTTCAACCAGTCAGAGTGAAGTGAACAACTGGAACATTCGGTAGAGTCCCTTGAGAGGTCATGGTTTAGTAGTAGAGTGAAATGATGCCTAGGGTAAAGGCAACATTATATCTGCCCCAATATAGTTTTAAAACAAGCCTCAAAATAATTCAGCATATCCCCAAGTAATTTTAGTGCATTTGAGAAAAAGTCCAACATTCTTTAAAGACAACAAAATCTAGCACTCAACATCATACTAATCACTAAGCTTAGCTTCCAATAAAAGTTTACTAGGCACATGAAGGAGCAATAAAATGTATTCATAATTTGCAGAAAATATGTCAATGATCCAGAAAAGACAATGATGATATTAACAGATGAGGACTTTAAAATATTTGTTGTAAATACGTTAAAAGACTTAAAGGAAAATATAAACATCATGAGATAATATATGGGAAATATATTTTTAAAGAAATTAATAAAATTTATAGAGCTGAAAAATACAATATTTGAAATGAAATTTTTACTGGATGCAATAAACAGCAGATTGAGCACTAAAAAAAAGCAGGCTGGGCATGGTGGCTCACGCCTATAATCCCAGCACTTTGGGAAGCCAAGGCGGGCAGATAACAAGGTCAGGAGATTGAGGTCATCCCAGTCAATATGGTGAAACTCCGTCTCTACTAAAATACAAAAAAAAAAAAAAAAAAAATTAGCTGGGTGTGGTGGCATGCACCTGTAGTCCCAGCTACTTGGGAGACTGAGGCAGGGGAATCGTTCGAACCCAGCAGGCGGAGGTTGTAGTGAGCCGAGATTGTGCCATTGCACTCCAGCCTGGCAACCGAGTGAGACTCCATCTCAAAATAATAATAATAATTATAATAACATAAATAATAAAAAAGTGAAGTTGAATACATAGCTTTAGAAACTATTCAAATGGAAATAAGAGAGGATAAAAAGAAACATAACAACTATCTCAGTTACTCGTGGGATAGTATCAAGCAGTGAAACACGTGCAACTTCAGCCCCATAAAATCGAGGTGTACAGAAAACATCTTTTTAAGTTACAGCCAAAAAAGTATAAATTTGATTAAAACTACAAAGCCACAGATTTAAGAAGCTCAACAAATTCCCAGCAGAATAAACACCCAAAGAAAACTAAACCATGGCATGCCACAAATTGTTTAAAAACACTGAGTAAGAGAAACCTGAAGAGCAGCCAGTTGCTGGGGTACAGGCATTGTGTACAGGGGAACAAAGATAAAAAGACTGTGGATATTTCCAAGCAAGCTAGAAGACGGTGGAACATATCTTTAAATGTTAAAACAAACAAAAATCATCAACCAAGAATTTCATATGCAGCAAAAATATCCTTCAAAACTGAAGACAAAATAAAGGATTTTTCAGATAAATAAGATGCTCAGATAATTCATTAGCAGAATATCCGCCCTCTAAGAGTTTCTTCAGGCAGAGGAAAATGATACCAGATGAAAATATTGAAAAGAGAAGAGTGTAAGAAATAATAAATATGTAGTCCATTTTTATTTCTTTTTATATTTTTAAAAATATCAAATATTTAAGGCAAAAATATCAAATATTTAAGGCAAAAATATTAACACTGTATTTATTATTAGGTTTATAACATATGTAGAAATAATATGTATAACAACACAATGGCCAGGGAGAATTGAATTATCATTAAAAGTAGACTCTAATAAGTTAAAGATGCATATGAGAAACCCTAAGGCAGCCATTTAAAAAATATCAAAAGAGTAAACCTAATAAACTAATACATGGATAAAATGGAATACTAAAGAAATATAATTAATCCAAAAGAAGGCAGCACATGAGAAAAGAAGGAAGGAAATACAGATGCTACAAATAGAAAACAAATGGTAAGATGATACATTCACCATATTGAGATCCTCACTAAATATACATGGTCTAAATATTTCTGTTAAAAGCACAGATTGTCAGTCTGGATAAAAAGGCAAGACCCAACTATAAACTATCTACAAAAAATATACTTTAAATTAAAAAGACACAGACAGGCTAAAAGTAAAAGGATGGAAAATATTTACCATGCAAATATCAGTGATAAGAAAGTGGGGGTGGCTATATTAATATCAGTCAAAGTAGACTTTGGGTCAATAAATACTGCCAGACATAAAAGGGACATTTTATACTGATAAAGGAGTTCATGCTTGAATAAAATATCATATTTCTAAATGTGTATGCATCTTGCCTAAAAATAGAGCTTCAAAATACATGGAAATAACTAAACAGAACTAAAAGGAGAAATAAATACACATAGGTAATTGTAAATTGCAACAAATCTCTTTATGTTATTCATTGAGCAGGCAGATAAAGAAAATCCATAAATGCTTAAAAGTCTAGAGCAAAATTGTCAATCAACTTAGCCTAACAAAAGTAGAATGTATATTTCTCAAAGTTAATATAGAATATTGGCTAGGATAAACTCTCTGTTGAGCTGTACAATAAATCTTGGCGTATATAAAAGGATTGAAGTCTTATAGAAAATATTCTTTGATCACAATGCAATTAACTATAAATTGGAAGCGGAAACATATCTTTCAGGTCTCTTAAATTTTGATATTAAACAACACACATTTAAATAGTCCATGGGTCAAAGAAGAAATAACAAGGGAAAATCAGAAAATAAATTTTAAACTGAAAAATGATAGAAAACTTAATGCATCAAAATTTGTAGGATGCAGGTAAAGCAGTATATAGAAGGAAATTTGTAACTTTTAAATGCTAAGTTAGAAAAAAAGAGCAGTCTCATGATTTAACCTCATATCTCAGGAATATAGAATAAAAGAGTGAAGTAAACCCCAAGTATATACAAGGAAAGAAAAAATAAAAATAAGAACAGAAAAATCAATGAAACAAAACATGAATAGATAAAATAAATGAAAGAAAAAGAAAAATCTATAAAATATTAATAAATACATTTCTAGCCAGAAAATTAAAAAGTGAAATTATATGAATTAGCAATATAATAAATGACAGAGAAGACATCACTACAGATCTTCTTTATGTTACATTAATTATTAATGATTTTATGCCAATAAGTTTGACATCTTCAATTAAATAAAAAATTCCTTTAAAAATTATCAAAATTTACATAAAAAGAAATAGAAAAACTTAATAGCCCTTACATATTAAAGAAATTAAATTTGAATTGAAAATGTTCCCACAAAGAAAATGTCAGACCCGGTTGGGATCATTGGTATATTCTATCAAATATTTAAGAAAATAATAATACCAATATTTTACAAGACGTTTTGTAAAATAGAAAAAAAGAATTATCCCAGCTTGATTCACAGGTCGACATTTCCAAAAATAGGCAAACATTGTGCAAGAAAACGAAATTACAGACCAATATCCCTCATTAACATACATGTAAAATTTCTTAACAAAATATTTAGCAAATTGAATCCAGTAGTATATAGAAAAATAACATGTTATAACCAAGTGGGTTTTATTCCAGGAATGAGAGGTCAATTTAGAGCTTGGAAACCAATGTAATTACCATATTAACAAAACAAAGGAGAAAAAATTACACACAATTATCTTCATATATGCAGAAAATTATCTGACAAAATTTAACACTAATTCTCTAAGAACTTTCAGAAAACTAAGAAGAGAAGGTGACTTTCACACTATGATAAAGGATAATGATAAAATCTCATAGTCATTATCATACTTAATGGTGAAAAACCAAGATGAGGAAGAAAAACAAAGATACCATTGTCACCATTTCAACACTTTACAAAAATCATAGTCAATGCAATAGGATCAAACTAAATAAAATGTGAGAGGAAGTAGAGCAAGATGCTAAATAGAAACCTTCACTGATTGTCCTCCCTGGAGAAACACCAAATTTAACAACAATCTACACAAAAAAACACTCTCATAAGAACCAAAAATCAGGCAAGCAATCACAGTACCTGATTTTAACTTCATATTACTGAAAGAGGCACTAAACAGGGTAGGAAAGACAGTCTTGTATTGCCAACACCAACCCTCCCTCATCTCCTGGCAGCAGCCACATGGCATAGAGGCAAAACTCTGTGCTTTGGGAAGGAGAGTGTAGTGACTGTGGGAGTTGGCATTAGAACTTAGTGCTGCCAACACCAGGCAGAACTCAGCCAATTAACATGGAAGGAAAATTTAGACCAGCTGTAGCCAGAGGGGAATTGCCCATTCCAGCAGTTGTAACTTGAAATACCACAAGCCTTGCCACCCTGGGTTTAAGTGCTCTGGGGTTCTAAATAAACTTGAAAGGCAGGCTAGGCCACAAGGACTGCAAATCCTAGGCAAGTCTTAGTGCTGAGCTGGGCTTGTAGCCAGTGGACGTGGGGGGCACGTGATTTAGCAAGACACCAGCCAGGGCGGCCAGGGAGTGTTTACACTGCCCATCCTCCAACCCCAAGCAGCACAGCTGACAGCTCCAAAAGAGATCCCTTCCTTCCACTTGAAGAGAGGACAAGGAAGAGTAAAGAAGACTTTGTCTTGCATCTTAGATAACAGCTCAGCCACAGTAGGATAGGTCACTGGACAGAGTCGTAAAGCCTCCCACCCAGGTCCTACCTCCTGGACAATATCTCTAGACACACACTCAGCCAGAAGATAGACTGCTGCCTTGAAGGGAAGGATCCGGTTCTGGAAGGATTCATCCTCTGCTGACTAAAGAGCCCTTGGGCCCTGAAAAATCAGCAGTGGTAACCAGGTAGTACATGCCATGGGCCTTGAGTGAGACTCTGAGATGTGCTGATTTCAGGTGTGACTTAGCATATTCACAGTTGTGGTGGTTATGAAGAGAGACTCCTTCTGCTTGAGAAAAAGCAGAGGGAAGAATAAAGGGGACTTTGCCTTGCAGCTTAGGTACCAGCTTGGACACAGTGAAAAAGAACACCAAGTAGACTCTTCGGGTTCCCAATTCCAGGCCTTGACTCTTGGATGGCATTTGTGGACCTACTCTGGGCCAGAAGAGAGCCCACTTCCCTGAAAGGTGAGTCTCAGGCCTGGCAGCATTCACCACAAGCTGACTGAAGAGCCCTCGGACCTTAAGTGAACATTAGTGGTACCCTGGCAGAAATCCCCATGAACTTGTGGTGGTGGACATGGGGAGAGATGCCTCTGTCTGGGGAAAGGGGAGGGAAGAGTGAGAAGGACTTTATCCTGTGATTTTGGTGCCAGCCTAGTCACAGTAAAATAGAGCACCAAGTACATTTCTGAAGTTTCAGTGGCTCCTGGATGGCATCTCTGGACCTGCCTGAGGCCTGGGGGGAACTTCCTGAAGGGAAGGACACAAGACTGCCTGGCTTCACCACCAAGTAGTGGTGACGGCAGGCTTTGGGAAAGACCCAGTGCTCTGCTAGTTTTAGGTCTGACCCAGCACAGTCTCAGTGGTGGTAGCCACAAGGGTGCTTGTGTTACCTCGCCCCCAGCTCACCAGAGAGCAGCTCACCAGAGAGAGAGAGAGAGAGAGAGTTTGTTTGGGAGAAAGTAAGAGAAGAATACAAGAGACTTTGCCTGGCAATCCAGATAATTTTTCTGGATCTTATCCAAAATTACCAAGTCCGTACCTCTAGGAGTCTGTAAGAATCACAGCATTACTGAGCTTGGAGTGCTCCCTAATGCACATACAGCTTCAGTGACCAAAAACTTGGATCACAACACTCAAGTCCCTTCAAATACCTGGAAAGCCTTCCCAAGAAGGACAGGCACAAACAAGCCCAGACTGTGAAGACTACAATAAATACTTAACTTTTCAATGCCCAGACATAGAGGAACATCCACAAACATTAAGACTATCCAGGGAAACATGACCTTACCAAATGAACTAAATAAGGCACCAGGGACCAATGCCAGAGAGACAGAGATATGTGACCTTTCAGACAGAGAATTCAAAATAGCGGTTTTGAAGAAACTCAAGGAAATTCAAGATAACAGAGAAGGAATTCAGAATTCTATTAAAGTTAATATAGACATTGAAATAATTTTAAAAAATGAAGCAGAAATTCTGGAGTTGAAAATGCAATTCACATACTGAAGAATGCATCAGTCTTAACAGCAGAACTGATCAGGCAGAAGAAATAATTAGTAAACTTGAAGACAGGCTATTTAAAAATACACAGAGGAGACAAAAAATATGAAAGAATGAAGCATGCCTACAAGATCTAGAAAATAGCCTAAAAGGGGCAAACCTAAGAATTATTGGCCTTAAAGAGGAAATTAATACATATCAGCAGAGAAAAACAGCTATATTTAAAGGAATACAGGAAGAAAGAAAAGAAGGAAAAAAAGGCCACAAAACAACAGAAAACAAATAATAAAATGGCAGGAGTAAATCCTTACTTGTCAATAATAAAACGGAATGTAAACAGACAAATCTCTCCAATCAAAAGACATAAAGTGGCTGAATGGATTTAAAATATAAGACAATGGTGTGTTGCTTACAGGAAAAATATATTTCATGCCATTGGAAACCAAAAAAGAGCAGGAGTAGCTATACATGTATCAGATAAAATAGACAAAATAGGTTTAAAGACTAATATGATAAGAAGAGACAAAGAAGGTCATTATATAATGATAAAAATGTCAATTCAGCAAGGGAATATAACAATTTTAAATATATATTCACCCAACACTGTAGCACTCAGATATATAAAGCAATTATTATTAAAGAAAGAGATAGACCCCAGTACAATAATAGCTAGTAAAGTCAGCACCCCACTTTCACATTAGACAGATCATCCAGACAGAAAATCAAAAACGAAATATCAGACTTAATCTGCACTATAAACAAAACGGACCTAGAAGATTATTTACAGAACACTTAATCCAACAACTGCAGAAGCATACTTTCCAGCACATGGATCATTTTCAAGGATAGACCATATGTTAGGTCACAAAACAAGTCTTAACACATTAAAAAAATTGAAATAATATCAAGCATCTTCTCTGATCACAATGGAATAAAACTATAAATTAATAAGAGGAATTTTGGAATCTATACAAGCACATGGGAATTACACAATATGTTCCTGAATGATCACTGGGTCAATGAAGAGATTAAGAAATAAACTGAAAAATTTCTTGAAACAAAGGATAACCGAAACACAACATACTAAAACCTACGTATGCAGTGAAAGCAGTACTAAGAGGGAAGTTTGTAGCTATCAGTGCTTATGCGAAAAAATAAGAAAAACTTCAAATAAACAACCTAACGATGCATCTTAAAGAACTAGAAAAGCAACAGCAAACCAAAGTCAAAATTGGTAGAAGAGCAGAAATAATAAAGATTAGAACAGAAACAAATGAAATTGATATGAAAAATACAATAAAAATATCAATAAAACAAAAAGTTTGTTTTTTTGAAAAGATAAACAAAATTGAAAAAGCTTTAGCCAAACTAAGAAAAAAAGAGTGAAGACCCAAATAAATAAAATCAAAAATGAAAAAGACATTACAACCAGAGACACTAAACCAATACCACAGAAATTCAAAGGATCTTTCTTTCCTTGTTTGCAGAAGATATGATCTTACATTTGGAAAAACCTAAAGACTCCACCAAAAAGTATTAGAACTGATAAACAAATTCAGTATTATAGGATATAAAGTCAACATACAACAAACAGTAGCATTTCTATATACCAACAGCAAATAATCTGAAAAAAAATCAAGAAAATAGTCCCATTTACAATAGCTACAAATAAAATACCCTGGAATTAACTAACAAAAGAAGTGAAAGATCTCTACAATGAAAACTGCAAAAAATTGATGCAAAAAATTGAAGAGGACACACACACACAAAATGGAAAGATATTCCATGTTCATGGATTGGAAGAATCAAAATTGTTAAAATATCCATACTACCCAAAGCAATCTACAGATTCATTGCAATCCGTATCAAAATATCAATGACTTTCTCACAGAAATGGAAAAATCAATCTTCAAATCTATATAAAACCACAAAAGACCCAGAATAGCCAAAGCTGTCCTGCGCAAAAAGAACAAAACTGAGGAATTACATTACCTGATTCATATGATACTGTGGAGCTATAGTATCCAAAACAGCATGGCACTCACAAAAAAACAGATATAGAGGCCAGTGGAACAGAATGGAGGACTCAGAAACAAATCCAGACTTCTACAGTGAACTTATTGACAGTAAAGGTGCCAAAAATATACATGGGGGAAAAACAGTCTCTTCAATCAATGGAACTGGAAAAATTGAATATCCATATGCAGAAGAATGAAACTAGATCCCTATCTCTCACCATATACAAAAATGAAATCAAAATGGATTTAAGACTTAAATCTAAGGCCTAAAACTATGAAATGACTACAAGACAACATTGGGAAAATTCTGCGTTACATTGGAGTGGGCAAAGATTTCTAGAGTAATACCCCACAAGCACAGGCAACTAAAGCAAAAATGGACAAATGGGATCACATCAATTTAAAAAGCTTCTGCACAGCAGGGAAACAATAGACAAAATGAAGAGATAACACACAGAATGGGAGAAAATATTTGCAAACTACCCACCTGACAAGGGATTAATAAGCAGAACATATAAGGAGCTCAAACGATTCTATAGGAAAAAAAATCTAATAATCCAATTAAAAACTTGGCGAAAGATTTGAATAGACATTTCTCCAAAGAAGATATACAAATAGCAAACAAGTATATGACTAGGTGCTCAATATCATTAAGAATCAGAGAAATGCAAATCAAAACTACAATAAGATATTATCTCACTCCAGTTAAAATGACTTTTATCCAAATGATGGACAATAACAAATGCTGACAAAATTGTGGAGAAACGGAAACCCCAGTACAGTGTTTGCGGTAATGTAAATTAGAACAACCACTCTGGAGAACTGTTTGGTGGTTCCTCACAAAACTATAAATAGAGCTACCAGCATATGATCCAGCAATCTCACTGCTAGATATATATCCAAAAGAAAGAAAATCAGTATATACAAGAGATATCTGCACTCCCATGGTTATTGCAGCACTATCCACAATAGCCAAGATTTGGAAGCAACCTAAATGTTCATCAACAGAAGGATGGATAAAGAAAATGTGGTACACACATACAATATAGTACTATTCAGCCATAGAAAAGAATGAGAGCCAGTCATTTGCAACAACGTAGATAAAACTGGAGGTCATTATGTTAAGTAAAATAAGCCAGGCACAGAAAGACAAACTTTGCATGTTCTCACTTCTTTGTCGGTGTTAAAAATTAAAACAATCAAACTCATGGAGATAGAGTAAAAGGATGGTTGCCTGAGGCTGGGAAGAGTAGTTGGGGGATTGGGAGGGGGACGTGGGAATGAATAATGGATACAAAGAAATAGTGAGAAACAATGAATAAGATCTTGTATTTGCAGCACAAAAGAGTGACTATAGTCAAAATAGTTTAATTGTACATTTTAAATATCTAAAAGAGTATAATTGGATTGTTTGTAACACAAAGGATAAATGCTTGAGGTGATGGTTACCCCATTTGCCTTGATGTGATTATTACACACTGTTTGCCTGTATCAACATATCCCATATAGTCCAGAAATATGTACACCTACTATGTATCCACAAAAATTAAATGTTTAAAATTTAAAAATTAATAAAATGCATACAGTTGTAGAAAGAAATAAAAATGTATATCTTTGTATACATCATGATCATTTATATAGAAAATCATAAGAAAACTTCAAAAATCTACTAGAACGAATGACCTTGGCAAAGTCATAGGGTTCAATTTAATATAAGAACTATGTTGTGCTTCTATATACTGGTAATAATAATTGGAAAATAAAATGTGATCAACTACACTATTTAGCATATTATCTAAAAATATGAGCTATTTAAGAATAAAATATTTGCAAGATCTGTGCTTTAAAAACTTCAAAACATGTTGAAAGAAATTAAAGATAACATAAACAAGTGTAGATATATACTATGTTCATGGAACAAGAAACTCAATATGTTAAGATGTCAATTCTACTCAAATTGGTCTATAGGTTGAACGATATGCTAATCAAAATCCCAACGGTCTTCTGATGTAGAAATTGGCAAATTGACCCTAAAATTTATACAGAAATGCTAAGAACATAGAACATAGAATAGTCAAAATAATTTTGAGTTAAAAAAAGAATAAAAATTCAAGATATAACCATCTGATTTCAAGATGTCCTGTATGGTAACAGTGATACGGTTTGGACATGTGTCCCCACCAAATCTCATGTTGAATTGTAATCCCCAGTGTTGGAGATGGGGCCTAGTGGGAGATGACTGGATCTTGGGGAGAAGGTCTCATGAATGGTTTAGCACCATCCCCACTTGGTACTGTATAGTGAGTGAGTTCTCACAAGATCTGATTGTTTAAAAGTGTGTGGCACCTCCCCTCCTCCCTTCTTGCTCCTGCTCTGGCCGTGTAAGATGAGCCTGCTTCCCCTTGGCCTTCCATGATGATTTTCAGTTTCTTGAGGCCTCTCCAGTAGCAGAAGCCGCTATGCTTCCTGTACAGCCTGAAGAGTCATGAGCCAATTAAAGCTCTTTTCTTTATAAATAGCCAGTCTCAAGTATTTCTTTTGGCAGCCAACTGACTAATTAGAACTGACTAATGCAAACAGTAATCAAGATAATGCAGTATTTGCATACAGATAGACCTGTAGACCACAGGTCAACTCATTGTTTATAAAGGCAGCAAGGTAATTCAGTTAGGATGGTCTTTCCAATAAACAGTGCCCAAATAATTGAATAGACATTGATTAAATAAAAAGAACCTCAATGAGTTCCTCATGTCACATGCAAAAATTTACTCAGAATGGAGTATAGGTCTAAGTTTAAAAGCTGAAACCATAAAACTTCTAAAAGAAATTATAGACAATGATCTTCACAATTATGGGGTAGGCAAAGCTTTTCAGGCCACACAAAGGACAAACTACAAAAAATGGAGAAACTGAACTTCATCAAAATTTTAAATTCAGTTACATGAAAGAGACCAAAGAATATATTGTCCAAGCACCATGGTTCATGCCTGTAACTCTAACACTTCAGGAGGCTGAGGTGGGAGGAACCCTTGAGCTCCGGAGTTTGAGGCTGCAGTGAGCCATGATTGCACCACTGTACTCTAGCCTGGGTGAGAGAGCAAGACCCTGACTCAAAAAAAAAAAAAAAAGAAATAATATATAATATATAATATATAAAGAACTCTCACAACTCAATAATAAGACCAATTGAAACTACCTTTGTAAAAATTATAACAGTGAGAAAATTATGACGCTGAGAGAAATCTAACCTGATTCCATCTAGCTTCTAAACTCCAAGCTGCCCTTGTTCATTCCTGGTCATAGGCTGAACTAACTTTGGAAGGAACTTAGTTTATAGTTTAACTTTGAAACAAAGATAACAGCCCTTTCCCAAAATCAACTCCCATCTTGCCTGGGGACCAGACTGCCTTTATAGGAGTAATATATTAGCCACAAGATTAGAAATTATGTTCTGGAGTCATACAGCCAGAGGCCACAAGATGCTGAACCTCCCCAATTGCTCCTAGGGATAAGATCACTATTGTAAAACCTAAGACTGGTGCTCGAGATATTTTCCAGACCCTGCATTCTGATCCACCAGCTAGCACCCAGACCAGTAATCTGGCTCTACCAGTTCTGCAATCCCACCCAGGAACAGAAGACAACAAGAAAAACCCACTTCGATCCCCTGTGATTTCATCTCTGACCTAACCAATCAGCACTCTCCAGTCCCTGGCCTCCTGTCTGCCAAATTATCCTTTAAAAACCCCGGTCTCAAAATTTTCAGGGAGACTGATTTGAGTAGTAAAACTCCAGTCTCCCATTCAGGTGGCTCTGAGTGAATTAAGCCCTCTCTACTGCAATTCCTTTACCTGGGCATGCAAAGGATAAACTCCTTGATAAATCACCTTTACTTGGGCAGCAGGCAAGGAGAACCCATTGGACAGTTACAAAATGGCCCTATTTTTAAAAATGGGCATAAGATTTTGCAAACATTTCACAAAAAGAAATTCACGAATGGCCAATAAACACATGAAAAAACACTTAACATTACTAGTCATTAGGAAAATGTGATTAAAACAATGAGATACCACTTTATACCCATTTCAGTGGCTCTGGTTTGGAGCAACTAGAAATCTCAGGCATTACTGATGGAAATGTAAAGTGGTACAGTCAGTTTGGAAAACAGCTGATGGTTTCTTATAAAGTTAAAAATACACTTACTATATGACACAGCAATCCCACCCCCAGGCATTTACCCAAGAGAAATGAGAACATATGTCCACACAAATACGTGGACACTAATACCCATAGCCATCTGATTTTTAATGGGCTAAAACAGAAACAACCCAAATGCCCATGGATACACATATTGGAGTACGTTTATATAATAGAATACTACTCAGCCATGAAAAGCATGGACTAATGATGTACAGCAACACAGATTGAATCTCAAAAAACGTTCAACTGACTTTTTAAAAAGCCATCAGATAACTTCATTTATATGGAATTCTAGAAAAGGCAATACTAATCTACAATGACAGAAAGGAGACCAATGGCTGTCTATGACCAGGGCTGGGGAGAGTGGTTACTGCAAAGGAAACCAGAATTCTTTGGGGTGAGGTCAATTCTCCATGTCTTAATGTGGTTATGGTTACATAGGAGGATACATTTGTCAAATTTATTAAACTGAAAAATAAAGTTAATTTTTTTTTAAAGGGAGACTGTTTCTCCTGTTTTGTTTTCCCCTTCACTTTTCAGAATTAAGCTGCAGTTAGCAGACTTTCCTGGTTACTTTGAATCAGGAACTCCTCAAAAAGTCTGTTGATGAAGGGAGAATCAGAATTAGGCATTTAGAGCAGCTTGATTTGACAACTAAATGTAGAAATTCCTAATAAAAAAAAAAACCACTTGAAATGTTGCCACATATGGAATGGGCTGGAGAAGATATCACTGAGGCATCATTGTTGTAGGGTGTTCTTTCTAGGGAAGGGAAGGGAGGTGAAGGACCATGAGCTCATCATTATCAAGGATTCTGAAACTTCAGTTCATTTTTATTAATAAATTACCTTCATGTGGCCAATGAATTGCCGGTCTGATTGGAAACTCTTTCCTGCACCGAAGAAACTGCACCAATTAGCAATATTCATCTGCCAATTCAGCTCTGCAGGTTCAGGCTCATTTAACTTGACAAAAATAGCTTCTTTTTCTTGAGTAGGGGAAGTTTTTCTCTGCCTCCAGCCCTAGTGATGGGCAGAGATGGTGGTGGAATCTTATTACAGCCTTCCTGTCCCTGATGTTCTTTATCCAGCCGCAGCGCCACAGGCTGCCCGTTTTTTTTTTTTTTTTGGATACCCATTTCACGACCTTCTTTGGTTTCTTTATCACAAAAGTCACTGTATGTCTTTTAGCTCAAAGCCCTACTGCAGTATTCTCTGTTTGTCTTTTTCCCTTTACTCTTAATATCTTATTTGTTCCTTCCCTTTTCCCCTTCTTCCCTTACCCCCTTTCATTCTTCCCTCTTTTTTTCTTTAATTCTTCACCAGCCCCTAGCATATTCTAAACTATTTGCCCCTTTCATGATGTAATGATGAACCGACCCCCGCCATAGTAATCAGGTGGGTTTTTTTTTCTTTGCAGTTTCCTTATACTGAAGTGGTACAACCCCACCCCCATTACCATCACCTCCACTTCATTTTAAATGTTCTACTCTTGTCCAAGATTGACTGGCCAGTTCTTCCTACCATTTCAGCCCATCATAAATTCGTAAATATGGATTCATTTGCTGAGCCTAAGTTTTCTGCATGAAAGTAAATCCCTTTTGTGATACCTACAAAAGTCACAGAATCATCAAACACAGTTCAAAAGAGCAAATGATAAATATTCATTGCATCATAATGATCTTGATTCTAAAAAGCAAATTATTTGCTATATAATAGGAACAGGCAGGTTAAAAACAATAATTAGAGTGTGAAAGAGGTAAGAGAAAGTTCTGAGAGTGATATAAAGTTTCATTACATTGACTGAAGATGGTTTCATGGAAGTATATTATGTAAAAACTCATCAATAATACACTTTAAATATGGATGGTTTATTTACATCAATTATGACTCAATAAAGCTGTAAAGCAAAGGAAATAAATAGTAAAAAACAAAGACAAACAAAAACATCAATGACTTAGGAATAATTAGCCAAGATATTCTTAAATGTAGGCTAGTGTATATGTAATTTTAGACTTGCTATTTATCAGCTGTATCCTTATTCTATGAAAATCTCATTTTACCTTAAAAAAATTAAGATGCGAG
Source organism: Homo sapiens (assembly GCF_000001405.40). Taxonomy (NCBI): domain Eukaryota; kingdom Metazoa; phylum Chordata; class Mammalia; order Primates; family Hominidae; genus Homo; species Homo sapiens. The sequence continues at coordinate 25,651,806 of NC_000010.11, read as the reverse complement.
GACATACCTCTGAATGTTCAGTGGTCCTGGGATGCTCTCATGCAAGCTCGTTTCACTGTGAGCTGATGAATCAGCATAAAAGCTGAATAGTATCTCATGATCACACTCTGTTCTGCCAATAAGACAGTTTATTTTAACTTGCTGTTCCCATATTTTGAAAGAGACTGACTGCTGCAGAAATATACAAATCAGAGATATTATCAATCCTGAATTCCCAGTAACTTTATTTTTATTCTACTTTGCTACACAGGCTACTGGAGTTAATGTCCTATAGGTACTTGAGGATGCTGGGCACTTGGCAGGTATGCATGTTGGTCAATTCATTTGACAACATTTGTTTGCAAGGAAAATTTTCCTTAATGCGTCTTCAAATAGAAAAGTCTATGAGTAATCAAATGTGAGTGACAGAAGGGTAACCTTATTCCAGTAATGTCCCCTTTAAAAATTTTCCCCCTGAGCAACCATAAAGAATAAAAATAGTGATAATTATCAGTTCTCTATTTTTGCTGTGGAAGCTGGGGAGTTATGAAACAAATATACAGCTCAGTTTATCAGGACATTAAAAAATGCATTATGCATGTTATTCTTACCCTAGTGACAAGTTATTTTTTTAACCATTGTTTTTTCTCTGACCTGATCTGATCCTTTTTCTCTTTCTTTCTTTCTTTTTCTTTCTTTTCTTTTCTTTCTTTCTTTCTTTTTCTTTCTTTCTTTCTCTCTCTCTTTCTTTCTTTCTTTCTTTCTTTCTTTCTTTCTTTCTTTCTTTCTTTCTTTCCTTCCCTCCTTCCTTTTTTCTTTCTTTCTCTCTCTCCCTTCCTTCCTTTTTCTTTCTCTCTCTCTCCCTCTCTCTCTTTCCCTTTCTCTTTCTTTCCTTCCTTCCTTCTCTTTCTTTCTTTCTTTCTTTCTTTCTTTCTTTCTTTCTTTCTTTCTTTCTTTCTTTCTTTCTTTCTTCCCTTCTTTCTTTCTATCTTTTGTATCACAGAAAGCTTCCTCCAATCCTTTTTCTAACAAGGTAGGGTGCAAACAAAGGAATAACAAACTTCCTTTAGATATGAGAAATGTGGATCTTTTAAAGTGTTATTTTTGAGAGTCTTAAGGCAACATTAGGATAATAACATAACATGAAAACTGTGGAGATAAATTTTGATCTCATGTGAGCCCCAGGGTGGCTTTTATTTACAAATCATGTTTACTTCTCAGAGGGGTGGGCAGACATAAGCCGGTGTTTTAGAGAGTCTGAGGTGAAAGCTTTTCTCTCCCCAACAATGGCATATTTGTAGTAGAATTTTCTCATAAGAGTCTTGGTGAACAAAAATACACAGGGATAGAAGGTGGAATGGAAGGAAGTCCATTTCAGAAGGAAATAATCCCAACATAACTTTCAAGATATAACAATAGGTTATTAACTGGTGGATTTGGCAGGGAAAATTCTGCTACATCATTTTTTCTTTTTCTTCTTCTTCCTTTCTTTTTAAATTTATTTTATTTTTTTATTTTTAGAGACAGAGCCTAGCTCTGTTGCCCAGGCTGCAGTGTAGTAGCACAATCATAGCTCACTGCAGCCTTCGACTCCTGGGTTCTAGAGATCCTCCTGCTTCACCCTCCCAAGAGCTGGGACTGTAGGTGTGCACCACCATGCTCAGCTAATTTTTTATTTTTTGTACAGACAGAGATCAGCCTCTATTGCCCAGGATGATCTTAAACACCTGGCTTCAAGTAATCGTCCCACCTCAGCCTCCCTAAGTGCTGGGATTATGGACATGAGCTACTGTGTCCAGCATGAAATCATTTATGATGTGTTGACCATTTTTCAACTGGATATGAAGGCAGTATAGACACACAACTGTGAATTTATCAAGACCTGTGCTTTGTTTACTTAGTTTCTTTATATAGGAATTTTCAAACAAATGTAAATTGGAGGCATGTACACTGCAGTAGGTAATGGCTGTATCAGTCAACACTTAGCCTTAGTTGTCACCACAATGTTTTACCCCAGTACCATGCCTATCCTCGTGGGCCAAAAACACAGATAGAGTCTAGAAGAATGCACAAAGCAGCTTTTCACCAAGGGTTAAGTTTCCATTCTACTTGCTAACCCACAGAGAACGCATAGAAGGTGGAGATTAGAGAGTGACTTCTACACTCCATTCAGCAGATTCCAGGTTTCTCGATGGCCATGAAGAGTCTTCGATCTAGAGCCTCAAGGTTACTAAATTGCCACTTTTCAAGGTTCCTATTCTTGCTTTCTCCTCCATGCTGCAGTCTTTAATTCCTTTGGTCTTCCCAGTTTTTCCCAGATTCTGCCCATTTGGTCTCTGGAAGGGGTTGTCAGTCACTCAGCTCCATGGGTTTTAATGCTAGGTGGAGTCATAGTGAAGTTTCTATAACATAATCAGACTTATTATTCCAAGGCCAAGACTGATCTACTTTTATCAGTTAGAACTCCTTAGATTGCAAGTGACAGAAAGCCCAAGCCAAGGGACTTGGGTCAAGTTTGTCCTCAAGCACTCGCTTGTCCTTTCAGCTTCTAGTATGTCCTTGCCCTCATCTACTCAGGCTTTCCTACCAATTGCTGGCTGGCTATTCTATAGTGACTTCAGGTTCAACATCAGACACAGAGACAACAGCCTTGCACAGACTTCTCCACCAGCAACATAGTTTTGTAAAAATCTAACCCCTATAACAAATCCTTTAATCTATATTACTTCTAGTGGTTCTACTTCGCTGACTAATAATATGCCTTCACATAATACATTCCAAGGTCTTGGAAAAGTCTATGCACATTGCATTCGTCTGTTCTTGCACTGCCATAAAGAAATACCTGAGACTGAGTAATTTATAAAGAAAAGATGTTTAATTGACTCACAGTTCTGTAGGTTATACAGGAAGTATGGCAGCATCTGCTTCTTGGGAGGCCTTAGGAAACTTACGATTATGGCAGAAGGTGAAGGGGAAGCAGGCACATCTTACATGGCCAGAGCAGGAGCAAGAAGAGGTGGAGTGGCAGGCTAGGCAGGTGACACAGAATTTTAAACAACCAGATCTTGTGAGAACTCTGTCATGAGAACAGCACCCAAGGGATGGTGCCAAACCATATATGAAGGATCCACCCCCATGATCCAGTCACCTTCCACCAGGCCCCACCTCCAACACTGGGGATTATAGGGACACAAGATTTGGTGGGGACACAGATACAAACCATATCACACATATACTCTGTCTGCCACTCTCTTGATTAAAAATTGCAACCTAGTTTAGACAGTCGGTCTTAGTAATAGTGAGTATTCTCTTTTTATATTTTATTGAAATCATTAGACAAATAATTATAAAGCTTGAGTCACTATTTAATATGTCATGAGCATTATTCATGCCTTTGCACAGTCTTTATAACCATAATTTTAAAAAGGCTTGACAATATTTGAGTGGATGCTCTGTAATTTCATTTTTCACTTTTCTATTGTTGGCGCTGTAGGTTTTTTCCAATACTTTACGGTTATGAATAATGATCCGAGGTGCTGCTTCATGCATATAATTTTTCCATATTTTTGGAACATTTGGTTAGTCTATAATTTCATAAATAGAGCATAAAGGTGTGTAAAAGGTATGAACCTTTGTATTGCTTTTGATTCATATTGTTTAATTGCTTTCAAAAGGACTAGGACAATTACAATCCCATTAGTAATTGGTAATACCCTTGCCAGCTTTGATTGTCCAGCTTGGACTGAGTTGTACATTCACCTGACTGTGATGAAGCAGCTGGTCCTGCAGCTCGAGCAGTGGAGTTTCCGAGTCTATGGAGTTTTTCTTGTTGATCCTCAGTTCATGGTGGAGTCATTCAAGTGTATTTCTGGCATCTTGGCAGTCCTGAGTGCCATGCTCTCTCTATAAATTCCGCAAGTTAACATCGTGATCAAAATGTAGCTGCAGAGTAAAAAAGCTAAAAAGGAAACTGTAAGTTTCTAGATCTAGACATGGATTCCTTATTTGATGATTCTACAAGTGGCTTAAGAAGCAAAGAATTCAAAAAAGTAACTAAAGTTGTATGTGGGCTGATGACTGCAGCATAGTTCTCTTCTTACCTTATGATCAGTCAGATGAAGAAAGTATGAACATTGTATTATAGCATATTGATTTAGCCATTCAATGTGGAGAAGATTCAACATTTAAATAACCAAAGGAATATGAAAATGAATCTTCTTCTATGTTTGAGGAATATTTTCAAGAACACCAGGATGAATGAAGAGTTTACTAAGGAGTAACTGTCTATACGTGAAGAGCTTGTGGCCAAACCGGCAGAATATTCTTCTCTTCGAAGAATGCAGTAGTAGAAAGCTGCATATTCTAATGAAAAAAAAGGTACATGTTTTTTTTTTTTTTTTATCAGCAGCATGCCTGAATCAAGTTTTGAATTATTCTGAAACTGCTGCTGCTTCACGTGGAAACTTGTAGTATTATTTTGATCGTATCAATTTAAATTTAAAAGTCAAAATTGAAATGAATGCACATAGAATTGTATATAAATTAGCACCTCTGCAACAGTTAATAAGGCTAATACAATCTCATTTTTACTGTTTGTATTGTTTTTGAGGTGCAGGAATTATTGTAACAAAATATACATGTCTATCCAGAGGGAAATATCTGGAAGGATATAGGTAAGACCACTGCCCATCTATATCTTACCATTTCCCTACATTGAAAATGTATTATTTATATAATTAAAAAATTTAAAAGGGAATATAATTTTAAGGTCTTTCCTGATTTAACAGAAAAAAGTACCTATTCAATTTAAAAGGCATTCTACATTGCTCATTTTATGCTAATATCTATTTTCTGCTTTACAATATCTAGAAAGTATCAATATCTTTACTGATCCAGAGTACACCTGAAATATTGGAAAGACACTTTCCCTGGACATTAATTTCTGAGTGGTGAATGCAATCTGCCAAAAATATAAGGATTTGAGCACATATTTTCTAATTAAACTAGGATACTTATTGGATCGTTTTTGTAATTGGAAAGGTTAAGAGAATCATCAGTGGAGAGAATGCGGAGGCTATAAAAACACTGCAATTAATAACTTATCTGTTTAAATTTTAGGTAATAGCACTTTTGCTCTTCATAATAGCATCTTCAGGGAAAGCATATTGAATTCAATCTGCTGTGTGAAATATTTTCAGTTAGAGAAGGTACAGTATGTATATATAAATGAATGTACAGACTGCTGATGGTTTATTTTGGATCTGTAGCAGCCTTGGAAATAGAACTGAGTTTTATATAGATCTTTCCGAGTCAGGGTAGCCCTAAGCTCTTTATAGAGCAGTAATTTTGGCTGTGTCTAAATAAGACCCATCCTTACAGCTGAAAGATAAAAAAAATTCAGATAATGAACCATTTAATTTTTTCTGTATAATGTCACATAAATGGTTTGATTTGGGGCTTCCAAAACTGCACGGCTATTTTGGCTTTATGGATGCATCTTTTGCAAGTCTCAATGCCCTGTAAAAGTGGGAAGGCTGTCAGAAATATCTTTAAGTAGGCCGGGTGTGGTGGCTCATGCTTGTAATCCCAGCACTTTGAGAGGCGAGGGTGGGAGGATCACTGGAGTCCAGGAGTTTGAGACCAGCCCGGGCAACATAGCAAGACCTCACCTCTAAAAATAAAAACAAAATTAACCATGTGTGGTGGTGCACACCTGTAGTCCCAACTATTCAGGAGACTGAGGTGGGAGGATCACTTGAGCCAAGGACTTCAAGGCTGCAGTGAGCTATCCAGCCTCGGTGACAGAGCAAGTTCTTATCTCAAAAAACAAAAAAACAAAAAGAATGTCCTAGGTAGCCTACTGGGTAGGGGATGGGAATGCTTTTCCTGGCAACTAATCATGGAATCAGCATGGCACTAGTGAGTTCAAGATGCTGCCCAGGAATACAAGGACAGCTCTGTCTCAAAAGGAGAAACTCTAGCCTGGCCATGGTGGACGAACTACAGTGAGAAGTAATTGGAGTAGTCAGTATTGCTGATGATTTCCTTGCTTGCCCTCAGACAGGACCCATCAGAGCCCCTCAGTTGCCTGGTAGGTAAATGTATATATGTGACGCTTCCTACCTTATGTTCAGGAGTAAGTTTAGCACATGTATCTACAAAGAGTAGCCTTTTATATCCTGAACCACACATTTTGCTATATTAATAGCAATGCCTCACATTTGTATATATTTTCTGAGTTTCTCAAACCCATTTATATTTCCTTGGATTATCCATACAATAACATCTCAGCCATTAGCTGCAAGTCTTCTCAGCTCCACCTCTATGTACCTCAGTCTTCATCTTCTCCCTTCTAACCTTCTAGCCGAAATCTTTATTCTTGCTTGTACAGCTTCAATTGCCACTGAACTGGTTGTCCTACTTATTATACTGCCTGATGCTATGACAACCTCTTCTCCATATAACAGCTTGAGAAAGCTTTAAAAATTATATCTCATGACATATTTCTGCTTGCTTAAATCCTTTGTTGCTTTCTAAATGGCTTGGGAAAAATCCAACCTCCTTACTGTGGCACGAAGGCTCTGCCTGATCTGGCTCCTTCTGACTTACCCAGCCCATCCTTCTCTTTGTCTCACCCATGGCCACATCGGCCTTTTCTAAGTTCCTTGAGTGTAACCCAAAACTGTCTTCCTTGAGGATCCTTGCACCTGCTGATGTGTCTGCCTGAAAACCTCTTTGTATAGCTAAATCCTTCTCATCCTTCAGGCTTTAGCTCAAGTATCTCAGCCTTCAAGAATCCTTCCTCTACAAATGGGACTTCATGAAGAATGTGGGACTCAGATAAGGATGTACAACTATGAAAGCATGGAGCCTGGACAGAACCTAGTTCTTCCAACTCCTCATCCATGACGCCTGCCATGATGTATGCCAACCTGTGATTTAGGTGCATTTCTTCTGTCATGAACTAGGGAGATGATAAATTATAGGGACAATGTCTTTTATGTTTGTTTGCTTGCATTATTTTGCAGGGAAAATGGGGAGAGTATTGCAGATGTTAAATAATTTCTGAGTGGTTGAGACTGATTCTGGCAGGAAGGATTTTGACCATCTGAGAACCCACACAGATGTGTGCTTACCAGCTTCCACAGAAACATGTGCACGTGAGTCCCTTTTTAAAGTGTAGAGAGACAGCTCTCCTTGCTCTCTATTTGTCTGAAAGGACATGGAGATTTCCATTTAAAAAAATACCAGAAAACATCTCATTATGAGTTCTTTAAAATGAAATGGAAGTATATTTTAGGCCCAGTTTCTGCCCTTCTAAGTCATATTTTCTCTAAACTATCAGAATAAACAGGTCATTTTTCCTCTGGACTATTTTCTTCATCTAAGCATTGTCATGCAAATACAATTTTGGCATCTATTTGTGACTCATTCTCACCTTTTTAACCTAGAGGCTCGCCCCCAATGTCAGCTTGTCTCCTCTGAGTTATTCATCCAGGTTTTGAGCATATTGAACACATATGGCATGTGTCACCTTGGACAGGCAAAACCAAGGAAGGATAATAAACAAACAAACATTACTTTTCTTAACCATTAATAAGTGATATGCATTTGCATTTCAGATTTTCATGGTCTTAGATTTTAGAATAATTGAATCACACAATAGAAAAAAAATTAAAAGATTGTTTTGCCCCATAATCTCATAGATACATTAAGTCTCCTTGGCTGTGTCTCCACCAGGCGCCTCATTCAGCCTCTCTTTTAAGATGTCCAGCAATGGGAACTGACTCTCTCCTGGGACTGCACCATCTTTGCAGAGCATTAACTGTTACAAATTTAAGTCAAGCCTAAATTTGGGGGTGTTAGTTTGATCAGGGAATAGCATATGTTTTCATTTAGGTCATCAGTTGAACACTAAAAAGCCAAGAACAGTGCACTGTGGTCAACTTCTAGAGAACTCTAGAGCCATTAATCAAGACATGCTATATCCTAAAAATCTGGCCACAGTGCTCATTGAGGAGACCATGGAAGCCTTTCGCAATGTCTTACAGAGGTCAAGACATGCTGTGTATTCCATGAACATTCCTTGGTCTAAGAAGCTTTGGTAACCTCATGTTGCCCTCTGGCATCCTGATAATAGGCAACGTTATTAAGTAAGCTCAACTCCAGGTAAAGATTTGAGAAAGATTTATATATTAATACATTAAAACTCCTTCTCCCATTGCATAATTTTCAAAATCTCCTTAAAGCTCATCCACCTCTCACTTCCATGATAATACATACCATGATAACCAGTGGAAGAACCTGATAATTTGATTTTATTGCCAATTGAGAGCTGTTCATCTCTGCACACACCACCTGATAATGGTATCTTCCTTTTTCCCTTGGAATCTTGGTATTTGTGGATGCACAGTACCTCTCCAATAGCACTAGAAAAATCACCAGGTGAATCTAAAACTCTCATTGTCTTCCCACTAAGGATACTATGTCTATGTGTCTTCTCAAAATCTAGTATTCACAATCAAAACAAATTCTACAATTACGTAAATTCTATATCTTCAGTTTGGAAAAACCTAAAGGATCCCAGATGTACACAGGTTATAAAAGAAGGAATGTGGATGCTCACTGGATGGCCCCAGACCTAGGTAGGGAAGTAGAGGATTGTAGAGTTCTGAAAAGAACACAGGCCAGGGAAACAAAGAGAAGAAAAATATGGACCAGGAAAGATTGGCGATGACTTTAAGCTGCTTAAATATAGCTCACCTCAATTCTGTTGGACTATCCCTCATTTTAGCATACTATAATGATGTGTACATTTGTTTGTAACTGCATCAAAAAGGAAATGAGATTAGTCTGGCATGACTTACTTGTTCTAACTGAACCCATGCTGGCTGCTAATGATTGCTTTCTTTTTAAATGCTCCCAAGCCATCTGTTTAATAATCTATTCTAGAATTTTGCCTGAGAAGAATCTCAACGCTAGTGAAGTGAAAAGATCCCCAGGCAAAGTCCAGGAGACCCAGGTTCTAGCTGTGCTCTGTCATTAACCAGCTGCTAGGCAAACACCTTAGTCGAGCTCATCCTGTTTCACCTCAAAAATGAGTGGGTCAGAATAGATGATCTTCATTACTCCTTCCAGATGTGAATCTACGATTCCTTCATTTCATTCGTCTGTAGTTTTTGGAGTCTACTATTTCCTGTGATTAGAAAATCAGGACCTTAACCATTTATAGTCTTTGAATGTTTCTGCTCTGTGTCTTCTAGATCCTGCTCTGCCACTAATTTGTTAATTAACTCTGGAGCAGGTTGTTTAAATTCCATGGGTGTCAGTTACTTCACTTCACTTTAAAAATGAAGGAGTTTAAATCAGATGATACCTAAATTTCTGAATCTGAGTCTCTAATGACCTAGCTATATTGGATATTGTTTCTGTGATCACATTCTATACATTCTTAGAATAACCAAGTGTTGTGTGTTTGATTCTTGAGCATAGAAACATAGACTTATCAGTCTAAGTTGGGCAGAAAGGTTAGCCATTATCAGTCAAACAATTTATTGAATAATATTTAGAACGGCCAGTTACTTTCCTTCTTGACTTAAATTTAAATTATCTTCTTATATTTTTTCTTTATTTTTTTTTATAGAGATGAGGTCTCACTATGTTGTCCAGGCTGGTCTCTAATTCCCAGCCTCAAATGATCCTCAAGACTCAGCCTCCCACAGTCCTGGGATTATAGGCATGAGCCACTGCACCTGAACTAAATAACCTTTTATTTCTGATTCATGCCGAATTTGTAAAGGCTCCTGCCTCTTTAACAGCTAAGTCTGCTGGTTGGCCCATTTGCACTGAGGAAGGGCACTATGCTCATCTCACAGAATGCCACCAAAGCTCCAAGGTTGCAGAAAGAGGAATCTTGCAAATTACTCTGTTTCTTATTTCACAGGTGATGAATGCTTTGGGTTGTGGAGCTATTTTATTCTGGCCTGATGGTGTTGCATGACTCAGAATAGATGATTCCCACAGGAAGGTCTGATTTTTATCCTTTGACTGAAATCTAAAAATAGAGCCTTCAATTCATCCTGGACTCTCAGCTGTCATGCCGAATAAACCTGGACACTTGGCATGATTGCTTGTAGCTTTAAAAGAATCACCATGTTCTGTAGTTTAAAATAAAGAACAAACACATATAAGGTATGAACCTGGAATGTTGTTTATGTTGTTTCATTTGCTGTTGCCTTTGTGCTGGGGGAATTATGCAGCTGAAGGCAGTTTGCCTTTCAAATTCATTTGAGTCCAATTCGTTTCAAGGTGACCATAATCAGGTTTGGCCAGGAAAAGAGATCCTCTGTCTAATGACATAGTCTTGTTAAGTCTACCTTCTTAGTAATAATAAAGGCTGATGGAACTTTATGCTTTACATAGTCTCATTTTATGTGGACGATAACCATCCGTTACCATTCTCACTTCAGGAATAACCCAGTTGGGGTTTAGTGAGTGCTTTGCTTAAAGTCTCACGACTATGGAGTAGATGAGCTAGAACTGGAATCCAGGATTTATATTATCCAGGATTTATATTATACTTCATGTCTTTCCACTGCCAGTATGTTCCTGGACCAAATTGAGGGTGGGGCTGCTTATTCTCATGGCCCAATAACAAGATGCAGATGATCTGGGAAAGAAGGGAGTTTATTTCCATACCTGTGTACAAGGAGAAGGCCCGGAAAATGTCACCAGACCAACTCAAAATTACGAAGTTTTCCAGAGCTTATATACCTTCTAAGCTATATGTCTATGTGTAAGTTTGCATTCATCTAAAGACATAAGTGATTAACTTCTTCTAATCTATAACTAATATCCGAGTTCTGAAGACCTTCCTCTGGAGCCTCAGTACATTTACTTAATCTAAATGGGTCCAGGTGCTGGGGTGATTACCCTTATCTTGTCTCCTGCTAAATCACGGAGGTCTGGGGAGTTCCTTCAGACCCCCAATAAACTTGTTTGTGGCGGTCTGAGGAGTTTCTTTAGACCCCCAATAAAACTTGTTTAATTCTAAACGATTCCTGTTAAGAATTCCCTTATTATCATTTCATACTTCAAGGCCCTGGAATGGCCTAGGCAAAACTCTTGGTGGGTTTTTATTACATTCTAGCTTTTGTATAAGGGCACTGGCTCTATCTGCTTTTAATATTTAACTTAACCACTCAGTCAGTGCTGAAACAGCTGTTATGGAGGCCTGGGTTAGTGAGACCTGGCCTGCCACAAGTACACAATGCACCATTCCCCTTAACACAAACACAGACAAACCCCACAAAATATTAGGCAAAGTCAGTGCTACCTTCTCCATGAGCCCTGCCCAGGTGTTCAAGTGCACATAGACCCACGGATGGTCCCTGTCTCTGAGTATCTCTTGTAGCTAATGTTTGTGCCACATAATTGAGGCCCCTTCCTTAGCTCTTTGTAGTGTTCTCATAATCATATGTCCAGGCCAGAATGTCTATTTATTTTATAAAAACCTTTCTCTGCTGGCTGCGGTGACTCGCACCTATAATCCCAGCACTTTGGGAGGCTGAGGCGGGTGGATCACGAGGTCAAGAGATCGAGACTATCCTGGCCAACATGGTGAAACCCTGTCTCTACTAAAAATACGAAAATTAGCTGGGTGTGGTGGTGGGAGCCTGCAGTCCAAGCTACTCGGGTGCCTGAGGCAGGAGAACAACTTGAACCCGGGAGGCGGAAGTTGTAGTGAGCTGGGATCGTGCCACTGCACTCTAGACTGGCGATAGAGTGAGACTCCGTCTCAAAAAAAGAAGAAAAAACAAAAAACAAAAAACAAAAACCTTTCTCCTCACTGTGCACAGAGCTGGGTCCATAGTAGATTCACTAGTTTAGTTCAGGAAAATAAGCTTTCAGGATAGAGAGGAAGGATAGCCCCTTTCCTGGAATTAAATGAGACACCTCTAGCACTTAGCCTACTTCAGAGCCCTCTTCTGGTCATGTGGATAGATCACTGTGTGCAACTTCAATTAGTCACACATAGATTCACCACATTTCAGCAGCAGAAAGAGAAAAAAGTTATTATACCTAAATTAAGTCCTTTGAGACCCTGGTTGATAAAATTCTTAAATATTATACTGGAAAATATTTCCCAGCGTCTCTCAACTAATTCATTACAATCATTAGGAAGTAAAATTGCAATAGCAACTAGTTTATTTTGACTGAATCAGTTGGTGAATTCAGTCATGCAATCCATAATCATGGTTAATTAAATTTTAAAATATTCAAATTGGGTTTATATGCTCCTGTGGCCAATGCTTACTTTAAGTCTCCCTTTGTTCAGTTCCAACTTCCGCTCTGGGAAGTTTCTAGTAATAGGCACAGAGCTGTAACAGAGCATGCTGCAGACATCTCATTAGGTCTTAGACGGACCTGCTGAGCCAAATAGGAACCCAGGTTATTACACTTCTTTTAAGAACTGGGGCCAGGTGTGGTGGCTCACGCTTGTAATCCCAACACTTTGGGAGGCTGAAGCGGGTGGATCACTTGAGTTTAGGAGTTGGAGACCAGCCTGACCAATATGGTGAAACCCTTTCTCTACTAAAAATACACAAATTAACTGGGCATGGTGTTGGGTGCCTGTAGTCCCAGCTACTCGGGAGGCTGAGGCAGGAGAATGGCGTGAACCCGGGAGGCGGAGCTTGCAGTGAGCCGAGATCGAGCACTCCAGCCTGGGCGAAAGAACGAGACTCCGTCTCAAAAAAAAAAAAAAAAAAAAAAAGAAAGAAAGAAAGAAAGAAAGAAATAGGCTGGATAGGGGGAGCATACAGAACCTGCAGTTTTGTTCACAGAAGCAGATTAATTGTGAGAGCCATTATGCCCATAATATGCCACTGGTTAGTCCTAATATTCCCTTGTCGGAGGTTCTGAGCATGACGTTGAAAATCGTCTTGGTGGACGCCGGCCATTTCTCCAAACCTGCACCTTCATTTTACCTACTTTGAATCTATGCCAGTTATCAGTGCCTCATCTCCAAATCCACTCTTCTTTGTCCTACTTTGTGCTACTGGAGATGGACCCTGGAATATGTCTCCTCGGCCAGTGCAACTGGTCCTTGATAGAGGTGAGAGAGTGGGAGAGATATTAAAAGAGGACAGGGCTTGTTTTTCCCTTTCTGGTACCTTATTTTTCTTGCTCTTTCGGCATAGCCATGGCTGCCAGCAGGTGGCTTCCTTGTTTAGGAATTTCACTGATTAGAAGTAAGAGACAGCTGAACCTTCGTGGGGCCATTCATACAAGTCCCTATTTAGGGAACAAAGCGGGCAGCTTTCCTGCCAGTGGGGCTAGGGATACTGCAACCCAAGGTGGTAAGCCCCAATAGCACCCACCATGGGCAGTTTCCTGCCAGCCCGTCCTGGCCTGTGGCATCTCAGCAAACTTCTCCATCCAGTGGGCCATCGATCCGTTGTCTCCAACAAAGTAAGTCTCAGCCATGGAGTGGAGCTTTTTCCAAGTTTGTTCCTTCCTCGAGCACTCTTTCAGCCCCTTCGTGGAGTGGTTGTACTCTAGAGATGCTATTTCTGTTTTTGTTTTTCATTTTTTTGTTTTTAGATGGAGTCTCATTCACTCTATAGCTAAGGCTGGAGTGCAGTAGTGTGATCTCAGCTTACTGCAACCTCCACCTCCCCAGTTCAAACGATTCTCCTGCTTCAGCCTCCTAAGTAGCTGAAGGCATGCACTACCATGCCCAGCTAATGTTTGTATTTTTTAGTAGAGATGGGGTTTCACCATGTTGGCCAGGCTGGTCTTGAACCCCTGACCTCAGATGATCCACCCACCTCGGCCTCCCGAAGTGCTGGGATTAGAGGAGTGAGCCACAGTGCCCGGCCTATTTCTGTATATTAAGAGTTATCTTTACCTCTCTTAGAAGGTAATCCTTCATTAGTAGTTAATAACTTTGATGTTAAATTGTCCCAGTAAAAATTACTTGTGTGGTGTCTGTTTTATGGCAGGACCCCAGCTTTTGTAGCTGCTGCTTCATGAGTAGATCATCCTTGCCCTTTGGTCCAGGCCGGCTTCAACTATTCTGTTTGGACCTTGTCTTAATTTGTCTTTGGACTTTGCTCCTTGGCATTGATAAAGAATTAACGCTATGCCTTAAAATTCCCCCTGAATTGGTTTAAGCAGGTTTCATAGCTACGTGAAAGACCATCATCTTGGTAGCAGCATCTACCTTCCCCATCTCTATCCCTCACCCCTGCGTGTCCAGGAAGAGTGATGAGTCAAGTTCAAAAAGTACAAATAAGATGATCTGTCTACAAAGCTGTATGAACTGCAGAAGTATAAAGTACCTGTTGACTCATCACTCCTGTTTGAAGGGATGCAATTGAAATGGTTCTTGGAAGCATCCTGTTGCTGCTTTGGTGCATAGAGGCTGTGCAGCTAAAAGACGCTTAGAACATGTGTGTGAGATTACAGAATGGTAATTACCATTGTTATCAGCATTTATTGAAGGCTTACTGTGAGCCAAGTGAAACTCAGAGATCGAGCAATATGCTCAAATGCATCCAATCAGTAAGAGGTGGAGATACCATTTTTTCTTAGGTTTGTCGTTTCCAGAGCACCCCTGCTTTTTTTTTTTTTTTTTTTTTTTTTTTTTTTTTTTTTTTTTTTTTTTTTGACAGGTCTTCTGTTACCCAGACTGGAGTGTACCACAGCCTCCCAAAGTGTAGGGATTACAGGCATACCCACCATGCCTGGCATAGAGCCCTAGATTTTAAGACCTTCCCTTGAATCTCTTCCCTGCCTAACAGGCAGCACTGCTACTTCCCTAGGAACAGACCTTAGCTGTAGGAGAGGTTTGCTTTAGGAGTCACCATTAGAACTGAGTTGAGTCCCACCTGTTCTTTTCAAACGAGTGAGAATCCATAGCATAATAAACCTTAGACGACAAGCTATAAAGCCAAAACAAGCATCTCATTATCAACTAGCCATTGAATCTGGTTAAGAGCTGTTTCAAAGCCATGGCCAGAATCTGGCCAAAAACCTTTGGTCTGAACATTTCCCTTGCTCCTTTGAGTATTTGCTTGGATTGATTTATTAAAGATCATTGGATTTCAGGTGCTGGGCATCTTTAGAGCCATATAACAAAATTTAGTTTTATACTTAGCTTTCACGAGTTTCACATGAAGACAACATAGAACAGGATCAAGGTAATAGAAAATATATAAAAACCATGGGTGTTAGGAATAAACAATTCAAATAAGGGTCTCTCCAGGGAGGAATAAGTGCAAACTGTTTATGCAACAGATATGCTTCTATAGTTTTGGGGTTTTACATTTAAGTCTTTTTTTTTTTTTGAGACGGAGTCTTGCTCTGTTGCCCAGGCTGGAGTGCAGTGGCGCGATCTCGGCTTACTGCAAGCTCTGCCTCCCGGGTTCATGCCATTCTCCTGCCTTAGCCTCCCGAGTAGCTGGGACTGTGGGTGCCCGCCACCACGCCTGGCTAATTTTTTGTATTTCTAGTAGAGACGGGGTTTCACCATGTTAGCCAGGATGGTCTGGATCTCCTGACCTTGTGATCTTCCCACCTCAGCCTCCCAAAGTGCTGGGATCACAGGCTTGAGCCACCATGCCCGGCCTACATTTAAGTCTTTAATCCATCTTGAGTTGATTTTTGTATATGGTATGAGGGAAGGGGTCCTGTTTTAAGTTTCTGTATATGGTTAGCCAGTTATCCCATTAATTGAACGGAGAGTCTTTTCCACATTGCTTGCTTTTGATGATTTTATTGACTATCAGATGATTGTAGGTATGCAGCTTTATTTCTGAGCTTAGAGAATCACGTTATTAATCACATTTTTCAAGAATATATATTTTTAAAAACATGCATTAGGAGAATGGCCCATTTTCAAGAATCACTGCCTAAATTCTTCTGCAAAGTGAATAATACCTGAATTATGTAAAGGAAATCTAGACTTTCATGTATCAAGTTTGCTTAAAGCGTGATCCCCTATAGCATTATATTTGTCCTATCTGGATCCTAAGGCCAAACTCCTCCCTCCAACCTCCCTATCAGCAACCCCTGTGACTTCTTGATAATATGGATGATCTAGAATTCTCTCCTTTTCGATTTATGATTTGGCTGGCATTCATATAAAATGTCAAACTGCTAGTTCAGATGTGAGAAAGTTGCATTTTTTTTTCCAAACTGTCTTTCATATACAGGTTAATTCCTGCAGTGACCAGAAACTAAGAGTGGGGGTTGAAAGCAAAGGAGAGAAATGAAATATACCAAGAAATCACAGAATAAGCATTTAATTATGACCCACTTATTATTTTCAACAGCATGACCCCTCTGGACAACATTCTTAACAACTTTCAAGTTTAATTTTACCTGTCACCACTCTCTCGGTGACTTCAAATCATCCCAGTAACTTTTACTTTTTCTTTGCCTCTCTTTGGTTTTTGTTTGTTTGTTTGTTTCTGGAATAAACAGTGAAAGGCCCTTTGGGCAAGTCCAGGTACTGACCTGCACAAAGTGAAGCTTGTAATAGGCAAATAAACTCCAGATAAATGAGATTCATTTCTTTTAACTGTTCATGACTTCAACTTGGCTTGCATTTCTACTTCAACAATATTTGATATACATCAGGTGTGAACATTGTTTCTTCTTTTGTTCTTGCAGCAGGTGAATAAGGTGGGATTTGAAATCAGCATGGCAGTGTCCAGTGGAAGAAGGGAGCTGAAGTTTCTTGAGGGTGAGTCATGTGCTACACTCCTTATCTTCATTAGTCCATTGGATCTCATGTTGGCTCCATAATATAAAGAAAGT